>NC_000007.14:134381779-135006779 GCF_000001405.40 Homo sapiens | reverse complement strand
GCAGACAGTTTGTTCTGCATTTAAATCACATGCCACAAAATTTCACATAACTTCTTTGCAAGGGTATCCAAATCTAAGTATTCCTCCATAAGATTTCACAACACTTCCAAAGTTGTGCTGAGGAGCCACTTTATTTTGTCTTATGTGGCAGATATAAAAGATGACTATTTTCCATAAGGCAGAATAGGTGACTTTGTTAAGTAATTGCCAGGATAAGCCACTTCCATATGCAGATTCAAGTAGTTGTTCAAGTTAGTCCACTGTTATATGAACAAAAGAGTATTTAGGAGTATAAGGCCCTGCACTCAGCTAGTTGTCCTCCAAATTTCCACTGCTAGTTTTTCTATACATTGCTAGTTGTCCTCCAAATTTTCATTCTAACTTTGTTCCTTCCTTACTAAAACCTGAATTTATCAGGGCAGCAATGTACCTCCATTAAAAAACCTTAAGTTTTCAGGCTTGCCTGTGGCCAGGAGTAGCCATGCAATATAATTCTAGTCAATGAGGGGTAAAAGATGACTTCTGGTGGAATTTCTGGGAAAGCTTTTTTAAAAAAAATAAAAATAAAAAAATAAAAGGAGATAGAATCAACTGGCATAAGCATGTTGCTCTTTGTTTTTCCTCCTCTTCACTGTATTTTCATCTGCTTAACAGGGTCTTTTGCAAAACAAGAGCTTTTAATTCTGAAGTCCAATTTATCAAGTTTTTATTAATCATGTTTTTGATGTCAATTCTAAGAACTCTTTGCTTAGCTCTAGATCATAAAGATTTTCTATTTTAAAAAAGATTTATAATTGTATGTTTTACATTTAAATCTATGATTCATTTTGAATGCATTCTTGTATAAGGTGTTAGACTTAGGTTGAAGTTTTCCCTTGTCTCTTTCTTTTCTTCCTATGGATATCCAATTTCTCCAGCAATATTTGTTGAAAATGCAAACTTTCTTCCATTAAATTGCTTTTTCACTTTCATGAAAAACCACTTGGGAATATTTGTGTGGTTCTACTTCTGAGTTCTCTATTCTCTTCTACTAATCTAATACCACATAGCTTTGACTACTGTAGCTATATAAAAGCTTGAGGTAAGAGGCTACTTTATCCCATTTTATGCTTCATTTTCAAAACTGCTTTTTAAAAACGTTATTTTAGTTCTTTAGCCTTTCCATATAAATTTTAGAATAATTTTGTCTACATCTACAAAAAGAAATCCTGATAGGAATTTCTTGAAACCTATATGTCAACTGGGGAGAGTTGACATCTTACCACATTGAGCTGAGTCCTAATCATGAACATGGTATATTTCTTGATTTATTTAGATCTTCTTTTATTTACTTCATCAACATTGTGTAGTTTTAAGAATGCAAGTCTTATACATGTTTTGTTAGATTTACACCTAAGTAATTTTTAAAAAGTAATTATAACAGTAATGTTCTATATTGTGGTATGCGTTTAGATTACACAAATGTATGCATTTGTTAAATTTGTTAAAATTCATTGATACAATTAGAGTTGTGAATTTCATCTTTTGTAAAATGTACCTCAAAACTAAAAAGGAATTCTAGGTAACAATATAAATGCTAAAGTATTTACAGGTGAAATGTAAGGATATCTGCAACTTACTTTTAAATGAATAAAAAACTAAAAGGACTTAATTGGATAAAGAGAGGGATGGATAGATGGCTACATATGTGATAAAGCAATATAGTAAATTATTGATTGTAAGAATCTAGTTGATGGCCATATGGGTTCCTGTACGATCCTTTCAATTTCTCTGCATATTTGAAAACATTCTTAATAAAATACTGGGAAGTAAGAAGTTAATACAGAGCAAGAGGTTAAATAAAGAACAAAATAAATCTAAATAAATCCGATTTATAAAAAAAATTTATATTATTAGAATACAGCACAAAACTAGAACTAATAAATAATTTCAAGCACTGATTCTTTGAAAAAATTAACAAGATAAAGCCTACCAACATACTCAGGGGAGAAAAATAAGAATGCAAAAACACAATGTAAAGTATTAGGACAAAGGAAAAAAATCTCCTATCTTTAAAGGAAATTTTAGCAATTATAGGAGAATGCTTTGCTTAAATTTATTAAATGAATTTTAAAATCCTGCATGAAAAGCATTTTTCTAGGAAAATAACCAAAACTGTCCCTGGAACAGAATATATAGGAAACTTAGATGTAACAAAGAAGAAACTGAGAAGTTTTATAATAACAATATTCTCTGTCTCTCTAAAACAGTAACAAAATATGCACAGTTTTAGAAGATTTCTCTCGAAATTATAAAGAACATTAATTAAAACATTATTGAAACTGCTCTAAAGCAAAGAATTCTAAATAACGTTTATACCAAAACCTGATAAATGTACATGAGCTAGAAAATTTTTAAAAATCTATCTTATTTATGAATATTAAAGCAAAAATCCTGCATAAAATGAGAAAACAGGATTCAGCAACCCACTAAAAATTATCCACAATGACTAACTGCACTTTATTTCAATACTATACAACTGGTTCAATATTAAAAAACTAATATAACTCACCAACATAATAGGTCAAATGAGAAGAATATCATAATCCCTCTACCCCATAGATGTTAAAAAGGCATTTAATAAAGTTTAGTAATAATTTCTGGTAAAGTTTTCTTAATAATATAAGAACAAATTGGTAACTCCTTAGCAGAATCAAAAAAATTTATTTTAAACCAGAAGCCAATAATTTGCTTAATGAGAAAACAGTAATACTAGTCCCATTAAAATGAAGAATAAGATAAAGGCAACATTATTAAATATTTTTTGACAGTACCAGTAAATGCATTTAGTACAAAAAAGAAATATAAGGTATAAAAACTGAAAATTAGGAGATATAATTACATTAATACAGGATAACTGTATAATTGGAACATATATAATAATTTAAATATTAGAAACAAAGTATGGCAATTTTCAAAAGTAATACACACAAAAATAACTTTCCTGTATGTAAACAAGTTAGAAAATATAAAATAGTAAATATTCTATTTGAAATTGCTATTCTCACAACAAAAATATTTAGTTTTAGCAACAAAATAAAATACCTAACAATAAACTTAGAAACGGTGCAGAAAAAAAAAAATTAAAACTATAATAAAGGAGATAAAGGAAAACTAGGATAAATGGTGAAACAAATCTTATTATTGGACAGGAAGGTGCAATTTTAAAAGTATGTTACTCTTCCTTAAGTTAATCTATAAATTAATGTGATCACAATAAAGTTACCAGTTTATTTATTTTAGGACAACTAGGAAAGCTTATTTTAGATTCCATATAGAGACATAATAAGGCAAACGTAGCCAGAAAAATCTTGAACACAGTAAAACAGTAAGGAACTAAGTTTATCACACAACAGAATTATACTTTAAAAGCTATAGTAATAGAGTTTCATGCTGGCATATCAAAAGACAGATTAATGGAACAGAATTCAAAATTGGACCTAAAAGCTTAGTATATCATAAATGTGGCATTGTAAGTGGGTAGAAAAAGATAATTCATTTAATAAATTTTGTTGGAACAACTCACCAGGCATTTAATAATAGGACTGGATTGGAAGTTTACTTCTTATATCAAAATGGATTCCTGATGGATCAAAAATTTAATCACAAAAAATACACTTGGACACTACTAAGAAGTATGAAAATTTCAAAACCCCAGAAATCATTTAAAAATGATAGACAAAGTAACTACATAAAAATTACAAATTTATGCATGACAAAGACAAAAAGGCAAATGAAAAACTGAGAAAAATAGCATGTAACATATAAGACACAGTAATCAAATCTCCTGCATAGGCAGAAAGCACTTAGAGATCGAGAAGAAAAAAAGTCTAATCAATAGCAAAATGGGCAAAGGATTTCATCAGGTAGCTTATATAAAGTCAGTAGATAAAATGTTCCAATCTCATCCATAAAGAATACATGAACAAAAAACACATATCAAGTAAACAATATCAGATTGTCAAAAACCAGAATGAGTGATTAACAGTATTGATGAGAGTATGGGAAAATAGGTACTCTCATTGTGCAGCACTCAGATGGCCTAGGTTGTCCAAACCCTGTATATCCAAAGAAAGATTTGGACCTTGTCCAACTCCTGGGAGATAACCTCTAAGACCCTGAAATATTCTGCCTGTTCAGAGTTTCTTTGTCTACTTGGGGCCTTGGGCTACATCAGATAGTTTATGCTAATAATGTGAGTTGTGGTGGGGGGCTCTGGGCCACATTATATTAATTTTGGATGGAGAGGCGGGGGACTGAATAACTAAAGCCAGCCACGTGGGCATTCCATACAGACATAACTGGTCCCTAATAGAAACTCTGGACACCGAGGCTGGATGAGCTTCCCTGATTAGCAGTACTTCATGAGTGTTATCTCACATCATGACTGGAGGAAGTAAGTGCTGTCTATAAAACTCCACCAGGAGAGGACAACTGGAAGCCCCCATCTAGTCTCTCCTGGACTCTGCCCTAAATTAATTCAGCTGATTTTAGTCTGTATCATTTCACTGTAACAAGCCATAACCATTAATGTCATGGTTTTTCTGAATTTCTCGAGTCCTTTTAATGAATCATTGAACCTTGGGGTGGTCTTCAGGACTCCTGATCACAGGTGACATCAGAAGTGGGATTCACTAGAATTACCCTGACTCACTGAAATGTGGTGAAAGAGTGGTTTGGGAAAAGGAAGGGTAAGAGGGTAGGAGTTGACAAACCTTTGATTCTGTTTGGCCACTGGGCCACCCATGGTGTGAAGTAGCAGCTGTGTTGCAATCAGTTACTAGAAGTAAAAGTCACCACTGGAATTTAGAAATGATAAATCTAACTCCCAAAGAGTTGGCTCACTGGATGCATAAGGAAATGCAAAATGACAAGAAACAAGCTAAACATACAATCTCTCAGTTATTATGTGTAATAGCTAAAATTACAGTAAAGTGTTGAGGCAAATCCTGACACTGGGCCAAGCTTGAATTTCAGCTGGTCCAAGCTACAGACACTAGCTTCAGGGTTTCCAACAAAGGGACAAATAACATGCTGAAAAAACTGAGAGCTAAAATAACATGAGTCATGAAAGAATAGGGAAAGACAAAAGGAAGAATCAAGGGACTCATCCCAGCAGGTTGGACACTGATGGGATCAAAGGTCTTAATGAAACACTATTGGAGATTACATAGACCAATGGGAGCTCCTGGCATACCCCGACTTTGAAGAGCTTTAAACAAATCTGTTCTATTTACCTTAGTCTGGAGGAATTAACAAAGCTGAAAGGCAAAAAGGACAATAAAAAATGTTACCTCAAATCATCTGTGGCAATTGTCTCACAAACTAATATGGATAGACTGATGAAAAGGGTCAGGGTCCTTTAGTCTGATCCTTGTTTGGGGACATGGGCTATATGCACGTGTGGTTAAAATGGAAAGGGGGTGGAGAACAAGCTTTTCTGGGACTCTTTGACATGGCAGACCAATGCACTGAGGTTCCAAAATCTGTTGGTGATATCCTAATGTGGACTACAGTTAGGTTGGGAGGACTTAGCCATGAAATGGTTGATGAAATTAAGGTGAAAGTTGAGATTAAAACGGAAATATTTAAATGGACTTCATGTGAACTGGATGTATCTCCTTTACCTGAATGTATTGGGATGGATTTTATATCTGATTGGGGAACACTTCCCTACCTAATATTGTAAAACTGAAGGCATGTAAATTTGCCCTTTATCCAGTATACTGGCTAAATGGGAACCTATAGAATTGTCCAAGCCGACAGATTTTAGTTGGAAATAGTATAGAATACCTGGTGCACAAAAATAGAGTACACCTTTAATCAATGACGTGTTAGAAACTGGGCTGCTGGCACCGACACATTTTCTCTACAGTAGCCCTGTATGGGCCAGAGATTGGGGCTTATGGAAAAAGCCTGTGAGCACCATCCAGCAGTGACTGCCGGAATTTGGACCAGAAATTGTTCGGATGCAGCTGTAAGATATACAGCATTTGAGAACCAATTACTAACTTGCTATTGGACATTAGTTGAAAATGCCCCTGTGACTGAATGTATTAGTCAGGGTTCTTCAGAAAAAATAGAACCAGTAGTGTGTGTGTATTTATTATATCAGTGAATATACACATATGCGTATATACATTGTCACAAATTATGGAGACTGAGAAGTCTCACAATCTGCTGTGTGCAAGCTGTAGTACTCGGAAAGCTGGTGGTGTAATCCAGTCCAAGTCCAAAAGCCTGAGAACTAGAAGCTCTGATGTCTGGGGCAGATGATGAATATCCCAGTTCAAGAAGAGAGCTCTCACCCTTCCTCCATCCTTTTGTTCTATTCAAGCAGGCCCTCAATAGATTGGATGATGCCCCACCTCCTTATATTGGTGATGGTGGATCTTCTTTACTGAATCTACCAATTCAAATGCTAATCTATTCCAGAAACACCCTCAGAGGCACATCCAGAAATAATGTTTTACCAGCTATCTGGGCATCCCGTGGCCCAGTCAAGCTGACACATAAAATTAACCATTATACTGAAGGACATATAACCGTGAAAGCTGAAATGCCCACAATGCCTTAAGTGATGTGAAAGAAACACTCTAATAAGGCAGTGCCCAGAAGGGCTCCATAATAAATGGAAACGGTTTATACAGGACAATGTTACTGGGACAGTGCAAGGAGATACTCATTCTGTTCATGTGCAGGAGGTCTCTTTTCCACTGGAGCCTACTTTGAAATCAGCTGAGGAGCCACCAAATCCTATGGCCACCTGGGCTGTGCCCTATGAACAGCTCTCTATTGAAAGAGAGCTACTAGGTTGACTGATGGCAGTTCCAAGGTGGATAATCAACATCCTGTTTGGAAGACTACTGTACTACATCAGATGATGGAAAAGTTCTGATTGAGGAAGGTAAGAACAATCTGCTCAGGCTGAACTATATGCTGTCCTTGCAGTGATGAAAAAACTGAACAAGTATAAAAGTTCCATTTAAAAATAATCAAAGTTTGGGTGTGCCAATGGCTGGCCATATGGTCAAATAGATGGGTGATGAAAAACTAGTCTATTAGATGCCCCATGTGGGGCACCATCCTATGGAAATCACCATGGAATTTAGGGGCACATTAAAGTAGGACATGTCAGTGCCCACCAGAAGAACACTCTTCCAGGATCAGATGATGACTGGACCCAGTAAGTGGAAAACTTGGTGTGTTTACTTGAGGTGGGCATGTGGGTCCATGAAATAAATGGAAATGGGAGAGGTGTAGGAATGTAGGCATGGGCTGATTGTTGGCATATTTCTCTTACTCCCTCTGAGGCACAAAATACAAATAAATGCTTCAAGAGAGACGGAGACCGCAGGTGGCTATGGGCAGATTTCCTGGGGAGCAGGTGGCACACACAACTGACAAGTAACTACATCGGAATGCTGTGGTAGCCCCCAGAGACTATAAAAGGGTCCTGACAGGACTAGACATTTACTCTGGACTAGGCTTTGCACCCCCAGAGGTAGATGGATACAAAATGCTTAGAATACTGTAAAAGGACTGAAACAGAAGATACTGTGGCAATTTGGACCATCAAGTTATATTTCTTCAGACCAAGAAACACACTTTACAGCCCATAGTGTCTAATGATGGGCAAAAAGATATCACATCAAAATGGACTAGTGGTTTACTAGAGAATTGGAAAAGGTAATTGAAACTTTTTTTTTTGTCTAAAATAGGGGGTGATAAAGGCAGGAAGGGCTGACATATATACCTTCATGTGTATGCACATTCAACATGAGGGGGACAAGAGTGGGTCCCCACTTGACAAATTCTTTTATGGTGGATCTGGAGAAGGGATAGAGGAGGACACTGGTACAAACTACAAAATGATTTCTCCAGTCACCTCAACTTTTCTTTTTTTTTCCAGCCTGGGGCAGTGGTTGGAGACTGCAGGTGCTAGAAACAGGAATCATTCTTAAGCAAGAAACTTACCTTTCAACCTTTATGTCGGAATTGCTATGGGCCTAACGGGGTGGACTGTGTCTTCACCCCACCTGGCAAAATTCAGATTGATAGTGAATGCAGCTGTATTTCCTGGTGGTCAAGATAGCCCACTAGTTCTGTACCTATATATCCTTACTCTAAATAAAAGGGAATGAGCTGAAAGGAAGCACGAGCTAGACTGGTATTACTGCTGGCAATCTAGACCAGGACAGTGGCTAAGCCTAACAACTCTTCCAAAGGTGAAAACGTTTGGGTAAAAAATTATGACAAGTGAAAAATAGGAGAAATAGCCAAGGCACAGGAATAAATAAATGAAATAGGTAATGAGGAAAATCTAGTATTACACTGGTGTTTTGAGAGAGGCTCAGAGCAAGAGACTGTAGTCTCTTAGCTTAATTATCCTAGATGCCCAAAAAGGTAAAGTCAGTTTTCTAAGACTAGCCTTACTCTTAGAAGCTGAAAAGGTTGAATGGAAGCCTGCAAACTTGAGTGGCATTGCTCTGGGAGACATTCTGGTCATAAGATATAATGATGAACTGGACCAATTAATTGTTAATGACAGAGGTAATGAGCCATTATCTTTTGATTCTTATTTTTCAGGTTACATCTACTACAATACTGCAGATACAGTATAACATTGGTATTGCTGGTATGATTCCTCTCCCTTAGGTAAGTCAGTCATATGATGATGATCAAATGTATTGGAAAATTGAATCACGGCCTCCTTGGTATGTAATATCAATGAAAAATGGGCTGAGTAAGAACTGGATCTACTTAATTATGAGTTAATTTCTATGCTGAATATTTATGTACAAGTTTGTTAAAATGTATAAATAGCAGAATATTAAAATAGGAGATAATTATACTAGTTACAAACTAGGCTCTTTGTTAAAGAGAGCCTAGGCCAAGGGACAGTGGGTAGCCTGTGTGTAAATGATTAACTCAGCAGGCCTTGGTTGTCCAAACCTTGCACATTGTAAAGGTTTGGACCTTGCTAAACTCTTGGGAGATAGCCTCTGATGCCTTGGAATACCTTGCCTCATTAAGAGTATCTTTGTCTACCTGGGACCTTGGGCTATGTCAGATAGTAGTTTATGCTAACAATTGATTTATTGTGGTGGTGGTGGTGGTAGAGGCCTTGGACACACAGTATCAATTTTGACCCCTGGAAAGGCCAGAGACTAAGTAACTAAGGTCAGCCATGTGGGCACTGAATGTAAATATAACCAACCTGCAATAGAAACCAGTGACATCAAAGCTAGATGAGCTTCCCTGATTTGCAGCACTTCATATTATCTCACATTATGGCTGGGAGAATTAAGTGCTGTTTCTAAGACTCCACAGGGAGAGAACAACTGGAAGCTTGTGCTAGGTCTCATCTGGACCCTGCCGCATAGCAAGTGTCCCCAACCCTGAGGCCATGGACCAGTACTGGTCTATGGCCTGTGAGGAACCAGGCCACACAGCAGCAGGTGAGCAGTGGGCGAACGACCATTACCACCTGAGCTTTGTCTCCTGTCAGATCAGCAGCAACATTAGATTCTCATAAGAGCACAAGCCCTATTGTGAACTGTGCATGCAAGGGATCTAGGTTGTGTGTGCTCCTCATGAGAATCTAACTAATGCCTGATGCTCTGAGGTGGAACAGTTTCATCCCAAAACCATCCCCCAACATCTACAGAAAAATTATCTTCCCCGAAACTGGTCCCTGGTGCCGAAAAGTTTGGGGACCACTGCTATACGCCATTTACCTTTGCTGATTTTAATCTGTGTCCTTTCAGGGACATAATAAACCATAACCATGAGTATAATGGCTTCTCTGAATTCTGCAAGTCTTTGTAGCAAATTATTGAATATGAGTTGTCTTGAGGACCCCTGACCACACTCATAAACTATTTGCTTTTATGACAATAAATTGATGCAACTCTTTTTGGAGGAA
Organism: Homo sapiens; assembly: GCF_000001405.40. NCBI lineage: Eukaryota > Metazoa > Chordata > Mammalia > Primates > Hominidae > Homo > Homo sapiens. The sequence goes on along the minus strand of NC_000007.14, from coordinate 134,996,812 downwards.
AATTTGACAGTATCCTTATACCAGAAATTATGGGAATGTACCCCCAAAATATGTACGTATATATGCATTAGGCCACACATAAAAGGATATTTATGCAGTTCTGTTTGTCAGAGCCAATGACTGGAAACCCCTTAAATTCATTAATAAGGTACCAGTTAAAGAAATTCTGATTCATCCATTTAATGAAATCTGATGTACCAGTTTATAAAAAAGGAGACTAATATATATAAACTGATATGGAAAGTCTTTCAAGATAGATGACTGTGTAAGACAGAGTTAATTTATAGCTGGACTGGAAAAGCTCTATTTTTACCTCTGGGGAATTCTGGCTGTCCAGCTTTGACTCTTGGCCAAGATAAGAACAGTAAGATTAATGATGTGCTGTTTACTGTCTGAAACTCCCCCTGAGAGTTTCATGTCCCCCGCATGGCCAGTTTGTTTACTGATGGTTTTCATTTGGCAGAATCAGGAAGACAGCCTGGCTTGATGTCATGACTACAGGGGTCTAAAAACCCAGATGGGAACTTTTGCCTTGAGGTTTTCTGAAGCTAAGATGCATCACATAGATCTTGGTGTTTCAGTCTGAAGACAGGCAGTCTATGTGTGTGAATAAGGCCCCTGGAAAGCTTGCACCTGGGCCCCAATGCTTGCCACAGTATCTTTCTCTTGCTGCACCGTATCCTGTGCCTTTGAATAAAAGCCACACAGAAGAATGCTCTGTGAAGTCTTATAAGTCCTTTCAAATATCCAAATTTGTAAAATCTTTGCAATAGTCAAGTGACAAAAGCAAGGTCTAGAGCAATACGTAAGACTGTGGGAAGTAAACTTTCTGAAATGCTAGCAAGCAAAGGTGGAAAAAGCCATCAAGGACACATGTGGGAGAAGATTTTGATTCTTCCTACACAAGGATGTATTGTATTGGGTGTTCCAGTTGGCTTGAGGACCAGCAGAGCTTGCAAAAATTTCAGGGGCACAGACTGAAAATAAAAGAACAGTGGCATAGCCCAAAATAAAGCTTTTATCCAGCATGACTATACCTTGCACAGATAGTGTGACCAGTAGCTGTGTGACATCATGACTCTGGGGATCTTGGGAAACGTATGCTGAGAGAGGTTGCACCTTCACCAGGGTGGAGGCTGGATTCACAGGGCCCAAAGTCTATTCATTATGTAAGATATCTGAAAGGAGGCACCACAAACTCTAGCCACTCTTACAACAATATTTTGGTTAGAAACTATATTTAGAATTTCAATAGAAGAGGCCAGAAACACAGCTGCCCACATCTGAAAGAACCTCAGCAGTAACAGTGGGGGATTACCAAGCAACCAAGGAAAATAGAAACTCTCCCCACTCTGAGCTGCTGATGGTGACTCCTGTGACTGAGGGCAAAATGACGGCTGAAAGTGAGGGCTAGGAAATTTAAGGAAGAGAAAGGTGTGGCAAAGATGTGACAGAAGGGTTTTCTAGTTAGGTGAGGTGGAACCAAGTTGAGTGGAATGAGCACATGCGGCTGGAAGTGACACTGAGAAGCAGTGGCCCGACGGGGTCTTGCTTTCCTCTTCCTTTTGGGTCTCTTCTGCTCTCATTCTCTCGTCACTGTTACTGGAGAGAAATTAGGCAGAAGTCACAGTAGGAGCAGTAGGGATTTTCCTTTATTGCTCCTTATCCATTCCCTCTGTCACAGATATGTCATGAGGAGGCTAGGAAACAGAACCAAAGTACAAAAAGAAAGGCTTGGGGGAAGGTTTAAATTCAGTAGCATGGCAGTGTTTTCTCTGTTGGACTTTTTTATTTCCTGACCTGGTGCTGTAGGAAAAATGAGGTTGGAGGGGGTGGTAGCAGAGGAGAGGTGGGGATGATGGTAGAAGGACTGAAAGGAGAAAAAGAGAGAGAGATGTCCTATACTACAGAAGATAAATATATACCCAGCTTTGAAGAGATGTGTAAGGAAGTGATTCTGTTTAGTACTATTAAGCATGAATTCTTTAATATATTTTTAACCCTATAACTTTGGAATTCTTGAGAAAAATTACCTTTGTCCTCTATGAACAAAAATCAGTGTTCTTTCTCTCTCTCCACCCGTCCTTTCTCCCCATGTCTATCTATCTATATGCCAGATGATATATGAAGAAAATTTAGTTTTTAAGAACTCCTAGTAGGCACTGCAATAAGTGTAGTTATAAAAAGTATGTATGTGTAATTTTTTTTTATTCACCAATGAGTGTCCATAAGATCTCCACCTGGCAATAACATATGTTTGCGTGCCTCAATCAACAAAAGGTGGAAAGTCATGGCAGTGAAAAGATGATGAACAATGGGATGTTTCTGTCATGCCTGTGCACGGATTGGAGAGATGAGGCTATAAGCTTTACTTGGAAAAGCAAAAATGAATTTGGGAATGGACACATACAGAAATATTAAAATCTATATATACTAAAATATATACTCTTCAGTTTCATAAACATCCATTAAAGGAAAAAGCAGAGAGTGGGAAAAAGACAAAGGAGCAGAAAGAGAAAATGAAAGAGGAAAAGAGGAAAAAAGGAGAAAGGCAGAAAGTGGTAAAAGAAGATAAAGATACACTAAGAAGACAGACCTACAAGGAGGAAATAAGGAGAAAGAGACAGAGAGCCACAAAGAGCAGGACTACAGCTCACAGCCATTCCGGCATAGCCTCCATCTGTGACTTCACTCTGTGTATGAGTTTGTGCCTGGGACACCGTCATGCCCTTTGGAATTGTTTAGAATTGCTAAAGCTTCAGGAGCCAAGCAAATGCTGCAAGTGCCTCCATTTAAGCCCATGTGGCTACTGAACACTTGAAATGTGGCTGATCTCAATTCAAATGTCTGTAAAGATAAATGCACACCAGATTCTGAAGACTTTGGACAAAAAGAATGTGAAATATTCTGGATATATTTGGGTTAAATAAAATCCATTTTTAAAGTTAATTTCATTTTCTTCTTTTTGCCTTTTTAAATGTGGCTACAAGCAAATTTAAAATTACATTATGTGGCTCATGTTATATTTCTGTTGGAATGTGCTGTTTTCTAACATTGTGAGTCTCCTCATTAAAATTAAGGTTGGCAAAGTAAGTTTGCTAATGTCTGAATCCCCCAAACTGCTAAAAACATACCAATATGCTGGACTTTTTCATCGATGACTTCACAATGGTATGGCCACCGTGTTGGGCTCAATGGACCAGAAGAAGAGACACCATATAAATCCCTTGGTTCACGAAGACGTGGCACCCATCTCCCTAGCTGATATTCTAATAGTATCTGTGTAGTCCGGGGGAAGAAGGGATCACCAAAAGAGTCAGCTGAGAAAAAGATTCAAACACAATCATGAGTGGGAAGAAGAAAAATACCAACTCCTGTAATTTTTATATAGTTCCTTTTTTCCTTTCAACACTATTCAATGTGTGGGTATCATTATAAATGTTTTATAATTCATGGCACTGTTTATAAAAGTACTAATGAAATTTTGTGATGATTGATCTTCACAGTAGCCAAAAGATAGTTGACTTTTATACTATTAATTTATTCTAAAAGCTCACTACTGGTTTAAAAACATGTTTCTCGTAGCTTTTCTAGCAAATCATCTACTTTGACTCTTCTTAAATGTAGTCACACTATTTGTCTAACGAGTTAAATACAGTGATGAACTATAATTCCTCACCACTTCCTGGAACTGTATTCTCAAGGTTTGCTAGTGAACTCAGTCACAACTTTTTCTCAGTTCTCCTTCTAGAGCTACTGTGTGATACAATGCCAGGAACACAATTCACATAGACTAGTATGGGGCCACGCCAAGCAGGCTGTGCAGTGATCTGGTGTTTTGGTGTGATACTGTACGGCATCAATTTGACGTTGATGGTCACCCTCCTTAAGCGCACTTCTCTTATGATACATTTCCTGGGTTTCCCCCTCCCTTCCACATATTTGGTTTTCCATTTGTCTCACTGACTCCTCTTGCTCTTTCACCTCTGAAATGTGGCTTTTTGCCGAGATTTAGTTCTTGGTTATTTTTGTACAACAGCTGATACAGCAACTGGACTAGAGCTCAGATAACTGGATTCCTTCCCTTTTACCACTTTGTTTTTGTATGACTTTGTTTGGGCAAGGCAGCCTCTTTGAACATAAATCTTACTACAGGTCAATAACTAATAATATCACCTGCCCTAGTTACTTATCAGGATTGTTCTATAGACTCATTCATTCAACAGATGCTTATCATGCATCTACTATGTGCTAAAAACTATATACAGACAATTGCCATACAGGGTGAAAAAAACAATGTCCCTGCCATCATGAGCTTACACTGTAGTAGGGCATATATAAATAGGAAAACAAGATAATTTCAGTGATCATAAATGCTACAAAAATAAAAAACAGAAATATAAATGAAGATTAGAAATGGGAAAGTGGGAGTAAGAATGCTATTTTAGATAGGGTGGTCAGGCAAGATTTCTCTGAAGAGGTAACATGTGAGCTGACACCTAAATAATGAACTCAGCCCCGGAGTAAAGACTGTTGTGGCTGGACACACTCTAACAAAGCTGAAAGGCAAGCCTCAAAGTAATGAAACTGATCCACAAGCAAAACAACTGCTTATCAGGACAAAGTCCAACATTCTTTAACTGAATACAACAAAATCCAGCAACCACATGTAAAATTTGCAAGTTTGTCATTCACCCAAAAGTTAATGAACAAGAGTTCTAGTCCTGCTGTGGCAACATAAGTCTTATAAAGGCCTTCTCTCTCACTAATTCCAACTAAACTCTAGATAAAATACAAAAACATAACTATCTGAAGAATTTGAAAAGTAAACAAGAGCAGACTGTAGAGTTAATACTTAGAGAAGCACCCCCACAGGAAGGTGAGTCCAGCCCCTTGTTTGCTCTGGCCTGCTGAATGGCAGGCCTCATGCACAGAGAAGTGTGGTGGTGCAAATGGCTAAATCTCAGATAGAAACTGAGTCTTTTTTTTTTTCTGTTTACTAAAGTTTGGAGTTATTTTTTATTATAAATGTTTGATTCCAAAATGCTTGAGAGTAGCCTTTTCTTTTTCTCTTGAGCAGAATAATTTAGTCACACCACCCTAACAATGATAATATCCTATTTAGTGATTACCTACTATGTGCCAGACCCAGTGCTTGGAAGAGATACAAACATTGATAAGACAGCCTCTGAGATCAAGGCGTTCTCAGTACAGACAGAAAGAAGGAAGGGTTAGGTGATATGATATGGCAAGGGCAACCATGCAGGCATATACAGGATGTCATGGGAGAACATGGTGGGGTGGTCAGTAGTGTAGAGGTTGAGAAATTCTGGCCTAGACTAAGAAATGACAATATGTACACATACAAGAAAACAAACAAAAAAAATTCCTTCTCCAAATCAGAAACCCAGTCTTTCTTAACAGAAGACCCAGGAAAAGGGGTCCTTACAGTGTGGAGGGAATCTGAAGGGAAGAAAGCAACCAGAGAAAGGTATCTCCTAATCCTGTGTATGAGTGCACAAAAGTCTCATCCTAATCCCTGAGCTATGCAAGCAGACACACTCTCAGAGACTATGAAAACTTAACTGAAATTTTAACCAACCCCCCCCCCACCCACACACAAATGTCTCAGCTCAATCCCTGAATTACACATGTGCAAGATAGTCCCAAACCAATACAAGGAAAACTTAAGAGAACTAAACAGGACTTTGAACCATCTATACAAGTCTCAAAACCCCTGAACTACACTGGCATGGGAAAGAACCAAATAAGCATAGCAAAGGCTTACAGATCAGAACTGAGATCTGAATTATCCACAGAAGGGGCACCAGAACTTATTGCTTCAACCTAACTGGATTGATTGCCTGCTAGAAGAAATACACTGACCCAGAATCTACACAGCATAGCATGAATAATGGAAAACCAGGAGTAGGACCAGTTCTCAGGGCAAAAGGCAATCAACAAATGTTAACATCAAGATAACCCAGATGTTAAAACTATCAGACAAGAACTTTAAAGGAGTCATTACAATTATGCTCCATGAGGTAAGGGAAAAGCACACTTGTACTGAATTAAAACCTAAGAATTATTGGCGAAGAAATAACACATTGCTGGGAATGCAAAAGGATATAGCCACTTTAGAAAACAGATACAGTTTCTCATACAGTATATAGTTAGCATATAACCCAATAATACTATTCCTAGGGATTTACCCATGAGAAACAAAAACATGTTCACACAAGGACTTGTACAAAAATATTCATAGGAGCTTTATTTGTTACAGCCCCAAACTGAAAATAATTTAAATGAGCATGAATGGATGGCTAAATGGAGAAATTTTGATCTATTCACATAATGGAATACCTCTCAACAATAAAAAGGAACTACTGATATATGCAACAACATGGATAAATCTCAAGAGTATTATGCTAAATGAAAGAAGACAGAAAACACAAAATGTATGATTCTGTTTTGTGAAATTCTAGAAAAGCCAAATATAGGGGAGGGAACGCAAATCACTGGTTGCCTGGAGCCAGGGGTGAAGCCTGGAAGGAGAGGATCTACTGCAGAGACACAGGAACACTTAGGGGTGATTAAATGTTTTACATCTTGCTTTTGGTAATGTTCTAAACAAAGGAAGCAACATAAAGGGATTAGTATAAATGGGCAATTCAGACCAACTAAGAATATGAGTAGATAATAAGCCTATAGAAGTAATTCTCAATTTTTCTAGCAATCCCAGAAATGCTAGTTAAAGGAGTGAGTTATCTCCTGTTTTCTAATAGCTTGGCAAAATTTAAAAAACAGAAAAGGGTAGCAGGGAAATGTCCACAAAACAGTACTATAAAATTTCTATGCCTATGGGTATAGATATGTGTATATGCAAAGAAGTTCTAGAATGATACACACCAAACTAAGAATGGTGGTTATTTCAAACAGGAAGATTTATTTTAGGATGGTGGCAAAAGACAAAAGAAAAAAAAAAAGATAAAGGCCTTAACTCCAATTTCAGAGTATTTGTGACACATATGTAAATATTTAGTAGAGATATCTTAGAGTTTGAAAGTACAATTCTAAGTATAAATCTTTAAAAATTAAGTATACATCAAGATGTCCACACACATGTTCAGTTGCAAATGAATGACTTTATTAATGAGACTCTTTAGACAATGTACTTCGTTTAAATGAAGATGTACTTCTAACATAATCTGTCCGTTATAACTTGAGTCATACAGTCAATACATTTAAACAAATGACAAGGTAAATCCTTATGTTAAATATAAGATAATCACCACTTTCATTTATTATTTTCTAATATAAAATAGGCTTACCTAAAACAAACCTGAAAAGTTTGAACTCTGCAAGTAGATACAGTTCTCTTTCACAATCTACTAGAATAATCATTCCCTATATTATTCAATCTGACTTTTTAGTTTCCTCATCTTCTTTTTTATCCATTCAAAGTTTTATGCTAAACAAAAACTATATGAATAGGTTCAAACCTGTTAAAAGTGCACACCGATGAAGATCTTCACTTACAAATTTCATGAACATATCCTCATCCTAAAATAAGAATTTAAAAATATTTCTCTTTTAAAAACCAACAGTTTTCAAATCCAGAATTTTTTTACATCTATTTTAGTACTTGGGATTGAGTATATGTCTTTAACCTTTAATAAACGAGAAAATTAAAGGATTATTATCAGCTACTGGTCTCAATGCACCCAACACTTCAAATATCCTGAAACCTTAAAGTTTGCATCTTTCATTCCTCCTCTTCCACTGGGTGTGGTCATAATAATGACTTTATGGAAGGAATAAAGTTTAAAGATTCTTGATAAACCCGGGAAAACTATTTAAATTAAGAATAAAATTGGCCGGGCGTGGCGGCTCATGCCTGTAATCCCAGCACTTTGGGAGGCCAAGGCGGGTGGATCACCTGAGGTCAGAAGTTTGAGACCAGCCTGGCTAACATGGTGAAACCCCGTTTCTACTAAAAATACAAAAAAAATTAGCCAGGCATGGTGGCACATGCCTGTAATCCCAGCTACTCGGGTGGCTGAGGCAGAATCGTTTGAACCCAGGAGGCAGAGGTTGCAGTGAGCCGAGATCGCGCCATTGCACTCCAGCTTGAGCAACAAGAGCGATCTCAAACTCTGGCTCAAGAAAAAAAAAAAAATTAAATTAACAAAAAGAAAAACACAGAAAGCCATAAATCCTTTAAATAGCTAAAGTAAGCTTTAAGAGCTTATTTCGGGACATTAGTTTACATACATAATTTATACTTTAATAAAATTTGAAGGAAATCTCGCAGCCTATGTAGTAGAAAAAGACTAAAGAATTTTAAATACTACGTTTTTCCCCCTTTTTCTTCTTCCATGTCTCTTCCTTTATGACATCAGAGCCACAATAAACTGTTATGGTGATACACAATAAGGTTAGAACACGGTGGTTCTACTATGATTCATACTACGATGTAACACAATCCAATCAGCACATAGAAGAAAATAAGTGGACATCAATCCTAAAACTAAAACCCTACTAATAATTTCATATACAAATTTTAATAAAACCTAGAAGAATCTTAGCTAAAATATTTTCTCAAAAAAAATACAAATATAGTTTCTCTTTCTAGACAGGGCATAGTGTTCCCAGTGATAGCTTAGCTTTTTCAGCCAAATTATTTCCCAACTTCAATGACAATAATTTAAACATCCAATTGATTTTTATATCCAATTGATTTTATAATATTTTAATTGGGGATTTATATAATACAAATTTTATCTCCAAGTAAAATAAAGTTGAGAAAAACATACCGATTCATCTTCATCACTGATTGTTCTGTCTGAATAGTCTTCCTTTTCTGAATCTTCTGACATCTTTTCCAGTGTTTGACTTGAGATTTCTTGTAATATACGGGTAGGCTGTAAAACAATTTCTAAGGAAATTATATGACAGCTTTTCTTTTCAAGCTGTAGGTGTTTACTACATTAAATGAGTACTCAAAAATATATTCAATTGTATTTAACAGTCACAACAGTCTTCTCTAAAAACTAATTAGAATACAACTAATAAAACCTTCAATTTCAAAGAGTTAAAGGAATTTTCCATGACTATACGAGACAACAACCACAATAAGACAAATCAAGCAAATCATTTAATTAAAAGGAATTTCCAGAGTATACAGCCAAATCATTCACATTTTATATTTACAATTAAATACTACACAGCAAGTTCAGAATGATCCTGAGGCATTAAAAGATAATGAATTTAAAAATTATAGTCACTTACTGAAATGTAGCAATATAATTTTAAGTTTTCTCCTTGATTTTCACTTGACCAAAAGTTCAAGTGACAAGACTTTACATTTTGATTATTATTCTGTAGATACTGTCTGTTCTAATATTCATTTATATTATTCTTATTCTTAGAAATCTAAATAGCTACCAGAAGGTTGTATTGGTAATGACCATTACCATTCTATGCAAGTATCTTCCCATGTGGGTAATATCAAGACCAGGGAATAATCGAAATTTCTTGTCAAGTTCCCATCGTTCTTGAGAGACCAAAGGACTCGACAATTTCAAATCTATTAGTTTACGCCCCTCTCTACAGGAAGCGTGTTTTGGAGCGTGGACTACATATAAGTTAAGTCCAAGCTCTATGGCAAATCACTGCCAATGCCACGGAACCGACTGTCTCATAGATGACACCTTCAGTCCTAAGAAACTGAAGTTTCTGCCTGGGCATCACAACTCCACATTTGGAAAATCCGACTGGCCTAAATTCCATTCCTTACAGGTGCACACAGGGCGCACGAAGTGCTGACCTGCTGCGGATACAGCTCTGGTCTCAGGAAACGGCCCTTATCCACCGGCGCTCCGCGGGTGTCTTCCACCACTGCGGAGGAGGGGCAGATGCGGGCGCGTCCACGCTTAGCCGCGTCCCGACAGTACCAAGGCGTTTTTGGCGGGAAGCACGATGAGGCCACAACTCCGGGCGGCCGAGTTCCTTCCCGCACTCACTCCTGGACACCTTGGTGTGGGGAGGCGCTCATTTTCCGGGGCGCGCTCGCTTCCCGCAGGGGGCGCCCCGCCTTACTTCTGCATACCTCACCGTCCTGTCGGGGCCGGCACCTCGCTCCCACGCGAGTCCTCTGGCCAGGCCAGTCGTCGCTTCCGTGCGGGGAGAATATCTCGGGATCTCGCGATCTCGCGGAGAACCCGGTATCCAGCCGCTAGAAGTAACGCCACTGCTGGAGATCCGCAGCCCCAGCCACACTCCCAACTCTCGTCATCAGGCAACGGGTCCGCCCTCGCGAGACTTCGGACAGCCTTCGGAGATCACCTAGCAACCAGCTCGGAGGAAAGGAGCCTGCGTAGGTTTTGGCTCCAGGAAGAGGGATCCCAGAGGATGCCGGGAACTCGGGGTGGGCCGCAGGGCGGTCAGAGAGGCTCTCAGAGAGGCTTTGGGGTCTGTCGGGAGAATTTAGGAGTGGGGAAGACCGGGCAGCTATTTATTCCCAGTGGTCTGCACTTCGGCTGTTGCCTCAGAGGAGGCAGTAGAGCATGCTGGTTAGGACTGTGCTTTGGAGCCCACCTGACTTTTAACAGTGTGACATTGAACAAATTAATTACCTGGACTTCATGGGTACAATACTTGTAACTACTACTTGGAGATGTTAGAATATTAAAAAGTACGTTGGTCTTGATTTTTTACAGACTGAGTTCCATTCTACACAATTGTGCGATTAATTCGCTTATTCGATTCTGGAAAATGAGGCTTTTCTCCTTAAATACTAAATGGAGAGTCATAGATGAACTAGGGTGAATTCTCAAAATTATCAGCTCAGAGATTCTTTATAGCAATCGTCAGCTAGCATATTTAACACTGTTTTCCTGATGACTGCAAATCACTATATGTAGTCTCATTTAGTTAACAGACGTTATTCATGAACATCCCATATTGATTTTTTCCCTCATCTTTAGCTCTACAGGGTAAGGTAATCTATTTGGAAAAGTTTTCCAAGTACAGCTGAAAAAAAGTCTAGATTTTGATGATATAAGAATGTAAATAAACACTTTTCACAAAGCGTTATATGTCATGAGATTCGTGATATTGTAGAAATGGAGATAATAAATGGTAGCAAGTTTGAAAGTAGAATAAAGGGCAAAGCACTATGGCTTAAGCATGGAAATGGGTTAACATAATCTCTTTGTATTTTGTAAGTATCTGAAAATAGGTGTTTTTGAGGTCAGCAGTTTAAAAGTATGAACCTTCCAGATTAGACCTTGGCCAGAGAATATTAATAGAGTATATCTTAGATCAACCTCTTGAAAAGTAGCTCTTATAGTTGAAGCTTGTTTTATGCCATACATAAATCACTAAAGGTGACATGCACAGAGAAATCTTTATTTATGTAATCTGTTTTTCTGTTGGATTTTAGTCATGGCTGCAAGCCATAGGATGTCAGCTGTACAAGGTAAAACTGAGAAATGGTCTAACCAGGTTATATAAGAAATTAATGGCAGGGCTGAGAGACTTAAGTCTCGTGATTTTTAGTCCAAATAGTTATATTATCACATACCAAGTAGTCCATGGGAAGAAAAATGATCTTAATGCATAATTTTAAAAACTTAGGATTTTTTTTTTTTTTTTGAGACAGAATCTCACTTGCTCTGTCGCCCAGGCTGGAGTGCTGTGGTGCAATCTCAGCTCACTGCAACCTCTGCCTTTGGGGTTCAGGTGATTCTCATGCATCCTGACTAGCTGGGACTACAGGCACGTGCCACCACTAATTTTTGTATTTTTTAGTAGAGACGTGGTGTCACCATGTTGGCCAGTGTGGTCTCAAACTCCTGGTGTCAAGTGATCCGTCTACCTCAGCCTCCCAAAGTACTGGGATTACAGGTGTGAGTCACCGTGCCTGGCCAAAAACTTAGGAACTTGGCAAAACTTTGAAAATGATATTCATTCATTATTTTATTAACAACTTTTTTCTTTTTAAAGACAGCTCTGTCACCCAGGTTGGGGTGTAGAGGCACAATCATAGCTCACTGCAGACTCAAACTACTGGTCCCAAGAGATCCTCATGCCTTGGTATAACAAATTCACTGGATGGCTGCTGCCTACTAGGGACAGTTCACTATTGCAAGGAAAAAAACCAGACATTTATTGTGGAGGTTATGTTCTGGTGGGAGTAATCAAACAAACCAATGATGATAATAAAAATGATATCACTCAGACAATAACCGCTATGGAGAGAAATCAAGTAGGGGGGAAAAAAAAGAATAGGGGATGCTGGGAGTGGGGGGCCTTGCTAGGTTACTCTTTTAGATGGAATGGCCAGGGAAGGCCTCTCTGGCTAGGGGGCATTTGAGCAGAGGGATGAACTGTAGGATGTCTTAGGGGGAGACTCTGCCAGGCAGGGTAAGCAGCAAGTACATAGACTGAGAAGTCTGTGTTATGAACTACAGTTGAGCCTTGAACAACTCGGGGGTTAGGGGTATCGTCCTCTACATAGTTGAAAATCTGCATATAACTTTTGACTCCCCAGAAACTTAACTACTGAGAGCCTACTGTTGACTGGAACCCTTACTGATGACATAAACAGTTGATTAGCACATATTTTGTATGTTATATGTGTTATATACTGTATTCTTACAACAAAGTAAGATGAAATGTTATTAAGAAAGTTATAAGGAAGAGAAAGTGTATTCATTAAATGTAAGTCATTCATCATAATGGTCTTCATCCTTGTCTTCACATTGAGTAGGCTGAGGAAGAGGAGGAAGAAGAGGAAGAGGAAGGGTTATTTTATTAACAATTTTTTTCTTTTTAAAGACAGCTCTGTTACCCAGGTTGGAGTGTAGTGGAGTTGCTGTCTCAGGGGTGGCAGAGGTGGAAGAAAATCCCTGTATACTTGGACCTACATAGTTCAGACTCGTATTTTTCAGGGATCAGCTGTATACTAAGCAGTACTGTTTAGCCAAAGCTTAGCTGGAATCAGTATCATTTTAAGGTATGAGATTTCACAGGGATTTTTTTCTTCCCCAAGTAAAATTGAAATGGTTTGATTAAGCTTCTGCTTTTTTTTTTTAACTCTTTCTTTTTAACTTACTCTCCTATTAAAGACAGTACTATGTACTGGAAATGAAATTCTTTGTCTTTAAGTTAATATTGGAAGTAAGGCCTAGAATAAACTTCTACCAAGGACTTTGTCTGAATTTTTGTTCCCCTTCCCTATAATCTCACCAAAGAAAGTTACTGGACATGTTCCTTCTATAGACAGCTTCTGCCTTTTGGGAAGACAGCTTTACCCTTGTGGCAACTTTTTCTCCTTTTTTGTGTGTGTGTGTGAGTTTACTCTAAGACTGCAGTCTAAAAGGCAATATAATAAAAAATAGAGTAAGAAAAGAGGAAAAGACAACCAAAACTCTAAGTGCCAACTGTGCCAAAAAGCACAATTACTTGTGTGGGAATCAGGAAGAAAGTTCGTTTCAGCAGGATGGCCAAAGATAAGTTGTGTTAGGAGTATAATTTTGTGGAATTATATCATTTTGATCAGAATGAAAATAGAGTCATGAAAGTTAAGAAAACTCTGACAAACAGAGCTGGGGAAGGCCATGAAAGAAGAGTCCTCACATTTGTTTGCTTGATAATGAAAAAGACTCCATAACAACCATAACGTTACACAAGGGCCATCATAACCTTACACAAAAGATACTTCTACAAGGACATTGGCTAAGCAACTGCCTGGCTAACCTCAGACTGGCATCACTCTTGTTATTGATCTTTGTGGCTAAGGGTAATCATTTAAAAAACCAGTATGTAATCTTCCTTTTTTTCTTTTAAAAATCTTTATCTTCCTTTACCTCCCTGACTACACACATAGTTTACTATGACATGCATATTCCCATTGCAATGTTCCATTCCCAAATAAACATCTTTTAGAGAGCCTGTCTCTGTTATTTAGGTTGACAATTGAGAGGGGCTTAAATGAGTATATGAAGTGACTAGCGCAATCAGTTACTTATGACATCATAGAACTCAGTAGTCAAGTGACCTTAGAGGTCTTGTAATTCGACTGAGGAAGCCATAGTAGGGCCTGGGAAGCCTGGGATAGTCTAGTAATTATCTTGGCCTTCTTCATACTATCTGGGTCTAGGATGACCTAATACAGGGCCAAACCTCTTAAACTGTTCCCAAGCTCAAATCTTGAGATCTGTCTCAGCCAGTCAACTAGCCAACACTCAGCTTAAGCATCATTCACTTGATGATGTCTTTTCTAATTACTTTGTCATTGGCAGAATTAATTGTCTGTATTTGGGGGCTACAGTGAAGCTATCGTTGCCCTTAGTATTTGGAAATGAGTTAGTAAGAATGCCTCCTGCCTGCTCAACAGATAATAGATAGGATAAATCATCTCAAAAGAGAACGAATGGTTCCGAGACTCAGTGTGAAATCCCATGACAACAAACATGAAATTGTCTTTTTTCCCCCAAAAAACTGCCCTAACTGTGCAATGGTGAAATTCCCTTTCCGGCTGAGGGCATGTTGGCTAGAGTTGGTAACTTTTCAGCTACTAAAACAGTATCATTTTGATATTTGAGATTTGCTTCTGGTATTTGGCATTCGATTTGGCATTAAGAAGTTCATTTTTTTAAATTATACTTCAAGTTCAAGGGTACATGTGCACAACGTGCAGGTTTGTTACACATGTATACCTGTGCCATGTTGATGTGCTGCACCCATTAACTGGTCATTTACAATAGGTATTTCTGTTAATGCCATCTCTCCCTCCTCCCCCCACCCCAGGATAGGCCCCAGTGTGTGATGTTCCCCGCCCAGTGTCCAAGTGTTCTCATTGTTCAATTCCCATCTATGAGTGAGAACATGTGGTGTTCGGTTTTCTGTCCTTGCGATAATTTGCTCAGAATGATGGTTTCCAGCTTCATCCATGTACCCACAAAGGACATGAACTCATTCTTTTTTATGGCTGCATAGTATTCCATGGTGTATATGTGCCATATTTTCTTAATCCAGTCTATCATTGATGGACATCTGGGTTGATTCCAAGTCTTTGCTCTTGTAGATAGTGCCACAATAAACATATGTGTGCATGTGTTTTTATAGTAGCATGATGTATAATCCTTTGGGTGTATACCCAATAATGGGATCTCTGGGTCAAATGGTATTTCTAATTCTAGATCCCTGAGGAATCGCCACATTGACTTCCACAATGGTTGAACTAGTTTACAGTCCCACCAACAGTGTAAAAGTGTTCCTATTTCTCCACATCCTCTCCAGCCCCTGTTGTTTCCTGATTTTTTAATGATCGCCATTCTAACTGGTATGAGATGGTATCTCACTGTGGTTTGATTTGCATTTCTCTGATGACCAGTGATGATGAGCATTTTTTCATGTGTCTGTTGGCTGCGTAAATGTCTTCTTTTGAGAAGTGTCTGTTCATATCCTTCACCCACTTTTTGATGGGGTTGTTTGATTTTTTTCTTATAAATTTGTTTAAGTTCTTTGTAGATTCTGGATATTAGCCCTTTGTCAGATGACTAGATTGCAAAAATTTTCTCCCATTCTGTAGGTTGCCTGTTCACTCTGATGGTAGTTTTTTTCACTTTGCAGAAGCTCTTTAGTTTAATTAGATCCCATTTGTCTATTTTGGCTTTTGTTGCCATTGCTTTTGGTGTTTTAGTCATGAAGTCCTTGCCCATGGCTATGTCCTGAATGGTATTGCCTAGGTTTTCTTTTAGGGTTTTTATGGTTTTAGGTCTGACATTTAAGTATTTAATCCATCTTGAATTAATTTTTGTATAAGGTGTAAGGAAGGGATCCAGTTTCAGATTTCTACATATGGCTAGCCAGTCTTCCCAGCACCATTTATTAAATAGGGAATCCTTTCCTCATTTCTTGTTTTTGTCAGGTTTGTCAAAGATCAGATGGTTGTAGATGTGTGGTATTATTTCTGAGGGCTCTGTTCTGTTCCGTTGGTCTATATCTCTGTTTTGGTACCAGTACCATGCTATTTTGGTTACTGTAGCCTTGTAGTATAGTTTGAAGTCAGGTAGTGTGATGCTTCCAGGTTTGTTCTTTTTGCTTAGGATTGGCTTGGCAATGCAGGCTTTTTTTTAGTTCCATATGACCTTTAAAGTAGTTTTTTCCAATTCTGTGAAGAAAGTCATTGGCAGCTTGATGGGGATGGTATTGAATCTATAAATTACCTTGGGCAGTATGGCCATTTTCATGATATTGATTCTTCCTGTCCATGAGCATGGAATGTTCTTCCATTTGTTAGTGTCCTCTTTTGTTTCGTTGAGCAGTGGTTTGTAGTTTTCCTTGAAGAGGTCGTTCACGTCCCTAGTAGGTTGGATTCCTAGGTATTTTATTCTCTTTGAAGCAATTGTGAATGGGAGTTCACTCACGATTTGGCTCTCTGTTTGTCTGTTATTGCTGTATAAGAATGCTTTTGATTTTTGCACATTGATTTTGTATCCTGAGACTTTGCTGAAGTTGCCTATCAGCTTAAGGAGATTTTGGGCTGAGATGATGGGGTTTTCTAACCATAGAATCACATCATCTGCAAACAGGGACAATTTGACTTCCTCCTTTCCAAACCAAATACCCTTTATTTCCTTCTCCTGCCTAATTGCCCTGGCCAGAACTTCCAACGCTATGTTGAATACCAGTGGTGGCAGAGGGTATCCCTGTCTTGTGCCAGTTTTAAAAGGGAATGCTTCCAGTTTTTGCCCATTCAGTATGATATTGGCTGTGGGTTTGTCATGAATAGCTCTTATTATTTTGAGATACATCCCATCAATACCTAGTTTATTGAGAGTTTTTAGCATGAAATGCTGTTGAATTTTGTCAAAGGCCTTTTCTGCATCTATTGAGGTAATCGTGTGGTTTTTTTTTCTTTGGTTCTATTTATATGATGGATTATGTTTATTGATTTGCATATGTTGAACCAGCCTTGCATCCCAGGGATGAAGCCAGCTTGATCATGGTGGATAAGCTTATTGGTGTACTGCTGGATTCGGTTTGCCAGTATTTTATTGAGAATTTTTGCATCAATGTTAATCAGGGATATTGGTCTAAAATTCTCTTTTTTTCTTGTGTCTCTGCCAGGCTTTCGTATCAGGATGATCTTGGCCTCATAAAATGAATTAGGGAAGATTCCCTCTTTTTCCATTGATTGGAATAGTTTCAGAAGGAATGGTACCAGCTCCTCTTTGTACCTCTGGTAGAATTCAGCTGTGAATCCGTCTGGTCCTGGACTTTTTTTGGTTGGTAGGCTATTAATTATTACCCCAATTTCAGAGCCTGTTATTGGTCGAGTCAGGGATTCAGCTTCTTCCTGGCTTAGTCTTGGGAGAGTTTATGTGTCCAGGAATTTATCCATTTTTTCTAGATTTTCTAGTTTATTTGCATAGAGGTGTTTATTGTATTCTCTGATGGTAGTTTGTATTTCTGTGGGATCAGTGGTGATATCCCCTTTATCATTTTTTATTGCGTCTATTTGATTCTTCTCTCTTTTCTTCTTTATTAATCTTGCTAGCAGTCTATCAATTTTGTTGATGTTTTCAAAAAACCAGCTCCTGGATTCATTGATTTTTTTGAAGGGTTTTTTTGTGTCTCCATCTCCTTCAGTTCTGCTCTGATCTTAGTTATTTCTTGCCTTCTGCTAGCTTTTGAATGTGTTTGCTCTTGCTTCTCTAGTTCTTTTAATTGTGATGTTAGGGTGTCAATTTTAGATCTTTCCTGCTTTCTCTTGTTGGCATTTAGTGCTATAAATTTCCCTCTACACACTGCTTTAAATGTGTCCCAGAGATTCTGGTATGTTGTGTCTTTGTTCTCATTGGTTTCAAAGAACATCTTTATTTCTGCCTTCATTTTGTTATTTACCCAGTAGTCATTCAGGAGCAGGTTGTTCAGTTTCCGTGTAGTTGTGTGGTTTTCAGTGAGTTTCTTAATCCTGAGTTCTAATTTGATTGCACTGTGGTCTGAGAGACAGTTTGTTATAATTTCTGTTCTTTTACATTTGCTGAGGAGTGCTTTACTTCCAACTATGTGGTCAATTTTGGAATAAGTGTGATGTGGTGCTAAGAAGAATATATATTCTGTTGATTTGGTGTGGAGAGTTCTGTAGATATCTGTTAGGTCAGCTTGGTTCAGAGCTGAGTTCAAGTCCTGGATATCCTTGTTAACTTTCTGTCTCATTGATCTGCCTAATGTTGACAGTGGGGTGTTAAAGTCTCCCGTTATTATTGTGTGGGAGTCTAAGTCTCTTTGTAGGTCTCTAAGGACTTGCTTTATGAATCTGGGTGCTCCTGTATTGGGTGCATATATATTTAGGATAGCTAGCTCTTCTTGTTGAATTGATCCTTTACAATTATGTAATGGCCTTCTTTGTCTCTTTTGATCTTTGTTAGTTTAAAGTCTGTTTTATCAGAGACGAGGATTGCAACCCCTGCTTTTTTTTTGTTTTCCATTTGCTTGGTAGATCTTCCTTCATCCCTTTATTTTGAGCCTATGTGTGTCTCTGCACGTGAGATGGGTCTCCTGAATACAGCACACTGATGGGTCTTGACTCTTTATCCAAGTTGCCAGTCTCTGTCTTTTAATTTGAGCATTTAGCCCATTTACATTTAAGGTTAATATTGTTATGTGTGAATCTGATCCTGTCATTATGATGTTAGCTGGTTATTTTGCTCATTAGTTAATGCAGTTTCTTCCTAGCATCGATGGCCATTACAATTTGGCATGTTTTTGCAGTGGCTGGTACTGGTTGTTCCTTTCCATGTTTAATGCTTCCTTCAGGAGCTCTTATAAGGCAGGCCTGGTGGTGACAAAAATCTCTCAGCATTTGCTTGTCTGTAAAGGATTTTATTTCTCCTTCACTTATGAAGCTTAGTTTGGCTGGATATGAAATTCTGGGTTGAAAATTCTTTTTTTAGGAATGTTGAATATTGGCCCCCACTCTCTTCTGGTTTGTAGAGTTTCTGCTGAGAGATCCGCTGTTAGTCTGATGGGCTTCCCTTTGTGGGTAACCCGACCTTTCTCTCTGGCTGCCCTTAACATTTTTTCCCTCATTTCTATCTTGGTGAATCTGACAATTATGTGTCTTGGAGTTGCTCTTCTTGAGGAGTATCTTTGTGGCGTTCTCTGTATTTCCTGAATTTGAATATTGGCCTGCCTTGCTATGTTGGGGAAGTTCTCCTGGATAATATCCTGCAGAGTGTTTTCCAACTTGGTTCCTTTCTCCCGTCACTTTCAGGTACACCAATCAGATGTAGATTTGGTCTTTTCACATAGTCCCATATTTCTTGGAGGTTTTGTTTGTTTCTTTTTACTCCTTTTTCTCTAAACTTCTCTTCTCGCTTCATTTCATTCATTTGATCTTCACTCACTGATACCTTTTCTTCCACTTGATCGAATCGGCTACTGAAGCTTGTGCATGCGTCACGTAGTTCTCGTGCCATGGTTTTTGGCTTCATCAGGTCATTTAAGGTCTTCTCTATGCTGTTTATTGTAGTTAGCCATTTGTCTAATCTTTTTTCAAGGTTTTCAGCTTCTTTGCGATGGGTTTGAACATCCTCCTTTAGCTCAGAGAAGTTTGTTATTACCGATCTTCTCAAGACTACTTCTGTCAACTAGTCAAAGTCATTCTCCATCCAGCTTTGTTCTGCTGCTGGAGAGGAGCTGCATTCCTTTGGAGGAGAAGAGCCACTCTGATTTTTACAATTTTCAGCTTTTCTGCTCTGGTTTCTCCCCATCTTTGTGGTTTTATCTACCTTTGGTCTTTGATGATGGTGACCTACAGATGGGGCTTTGGTGTGGATGTCCTTTTTGTTGATGTTGACGCTATTAATTTCTGTTTGTTTTCCTTCTAACAGTCAGGACCTTCAGCTTCAGGTCTGTTGGAGTTTGCTGGAGGTCCACTCCAGACCCTGTTTGCCTGGGTATCAGCAGCAGAGGCTGCAGAATAGCAAATATTGCAGAACAGCAAATGTTGCTGCTTGATCCTTCCTCTGGAAGCTTTGTCTCAGAGGGGCACCCAACTGTATGAGGTGTCAGTCAGCCCCTACTGGGAAGTGTCTCCCAGTTAGGCTACTCGAGGGTCAGGGACCCACTTGAGGAGGCAGTCTGTCCGTTTTCAGATCTCAAACTCCTTGCTGGGAGAACCACTACTCTCTTCAAAGCTGTCAGACAGGGACGTTTAAATCTTCAGAAGTTTCTGCTGCCTTTTGTTCAGCTCTGCCCTGCCTGCAGAGGTGGAGTCTACAGAGCCAGGCAGGCCTCCTTGAGCTGCAGTGGGCTTCACCCAGTTCGAGCTTCCTGGCTGCTTTGTTTACCTACTCAAGCCTCAGCAATGGCGGATGCCCCTTCCCCAGCCTCGCTGCCATCTTGCAGTTCAAACTCGGACTGCTGTGCTAGCAGTGAGCAAGGCTTTGTGGGCGTGGGACCCTCCAAGCCAGGCATGGGATATAATCTCCTGGTGTGCTGTTTGCTAAGACCATTGGAAAAGTGCAGTATTAGGGTGGGAGTGTCCTGATTTTCCAGGTACCATCTGTCATGGCTTCCCTTGGCTAGGAAAGGGAATTCCCCGACCCTTGTGCTTCCTGGGTGAGACAATGCCCCGCCCTGCTTTGGCTCACACTCCATGGGCTGCACCCACTGTCCAACAGGTCCCAGTGAGATGAACCCGGTACCTCAGTTGGAAATGCAGAAATCACCCATTTTCTGCATCTCTCATGCCGGGAGCTATAGACTGGAGCTGTTCCTATTCGGCCATCCAAGAAGTTCATTTTAAACCTCAATTTTAAAGCCTATTTAAAGCCCTCCCCTCTTCACCCCCTGTAACTGAGGGTCCCAGGGATTTGGGGTTTTGGGGTGTACACTGTGAAAAAGTACCCACTGATAACTGTTGCACTTTGAGTTCTTGTTATTTCAGAAAAGTTCCGGGTGTTTCTGTAGTGTAGTCGTTATCACGTTCGCCTAACAGAAAAGTTCCAGGAGAAAGCCTAGCCCTGGCAAAACAAAAACAGGTTGGATACAGAGATACCTAAGTTGGAGATGACCTTTGGCAAACTCTCTTCATTACCATACTAAAAACTCTGCCCAGGGAGGAGCTCATTTGCTATTTTCTATACACACAGCATATGAAGAAGTGTGGTCAACAACTGTGCCTGTGCTGCCTTGACTCCATCTCTACATACAGTGACTCGGCTAACCAGCCTGTTAAAAGCCCCGTTTTCACCTTTGTTTGGGGAGATACTTTGGGGAACTATCCCCAGTGTCCTCCTTGCTTGTTGCAGGTAATCTCCTTGCTCAGTCCTCCTTGGCTGTGGTCATTGGACCATTGCCTCCCCAAGTAATAAAATCCCACTGTTCAATCCTCCTTGGTTGTGTTCACTGGACTATCACTCCCTGTATTAGTCTGTTCTCATGCTGCTGATAAAGACATACCTGAGACTGGGTAATTTATAAAGGAAAGAGGTTTAATTGACTCACAGTTCCACATGACTGGGGAGGCCTCACAGTCATGGCAGAAGACAAATGAGGAGCAAAGTCACATCTTACGTGGTGGCAGGGAAGAGAGCTTGTACAGGGGATCTCCTATTTATAAAACCATCAGATCTCACGAGACTTACTACCACAAGAACAGTATGGGGGAACTGCCCCCAAGATTCAATTATCTCCCCCTGGCCCCGCCTCTGACACATTGGAATTATTACAATTCAAGGTGAGATTTGGGTGGGGACACAGCCAAACCCTATCACCCCCCAAGTAATAAAATCCTCTTTTTCAGTCCTCCTTGGTTGTGTTCGTTGGACTGTCACCCACCAAACAATTGAACCTACCCCCTGTGTGGGTAACACCCCCAGAGCACCTGAGAGCTATCCATAGCTATGGTGGCTTGGAAGATGTTAAGGAGGTTGGTGTTTTGCTGTTTACATTCATCTCCTCTTCTTTCTAGGTTCTAGTTCCTTGCTGTGTTAGGCTGGGGATGACTGGGGAACAAAAGGGGTCTCCTTAACTGGGCCAAGTTATAGTCTACATGGTTGGTCTCAAGTGCTGTTCTTGCTCTGTCTGTGGACTTCAAGAAGAGAGTAGAGACACCCACCTGCCCCGTCAACAAGGGGCTCTCTTCAAGGCGCACTCCTAGGCAATAATCTCTTGTGACAGAGTTAAGCACATGGGCTCAGGAGCCAACTGCCTATGGTCAAATATTCTGCCAGTTAGCCATATGACTGTGGGCAAGTTTCTAAATTCTCTTTGATTCAATTTATTTACCTGTCAAGGGGGACAATACAGTAGTACCTGTCTTGTAGGGTTGTGAGGATTGGGTGAGTAACATGTAAGTTCTAAGCACTTACACGTTACATCAGGGAGCAGGTTGGAGCCATCATTCTCCTCAAGGCATGGGGAAGTCGTTTTTAAAATGTGGTCTGTGAGACCCTAGTTGAGAAACCCTCGTGAACTCGACAACTAATTTCCATAATTTGAAAAAAACTCAAAGCACCCATGTTACTAATGTTGGCAGGTGTGACGGTTAATACTGAACGTCAACTTGATTGGATTGAAGGATACAAACTATTGATCTTGGGTGTATCTGTGAGGGTGTTGCTAAAAGAGATTAGCATTTGAGTGATTAGTCTAGGAAAGGCTGACCCACCCTTAATCTGGGTGGGGTCAATCTAATCAGCAGCCAGCATGGGGAAATATAAGCAGGCAGAAAAATGTGAAAAGAGAGACTGGTCTAGCCTCCCAGCCTACATCTTTCTTCTGTGCTGGATGCTTCCTGCCCTCAAGCATCGGACTCCAAGTTCTTCAGTTTTGGAACTCAGACTGGCTCTCCTTGCTCCTCAGCCTGCAGATGGACTATTGTGGGACCTTGTGATCGTGTGAGTGAATACTTAATAAACTCCCCTTTATAGATTTTATATAAACTATTCCATTAGTCTGTTTCTCTAGATAACCCTGACTAATACAACAGGAACTAGACATATACAAGATAGCATTTTATTATTCTAATAAAAGCAGGTTAGAATGAAAGAGTGCTAGGTAAGGTTGAAAACTGGTTAAGAAACTAATCTTGTGTTCTGTAGGATTGCGGTATTTTTGCATAATTTTTAGTATATTCGATAAGAGAAGATTGAATTATGGTTCCTTATTCAGGTAGAAATGACCCATTGGGCCTTCTAAAATCTATTTTAATGAAATATTTTTTGGAAATCCTATTTCAAGATAGTAAAAGCCATCACCACTAAGAGCGTGTCATGGCAAAATATATTAAATCTGCATTAGAGGCCAGGCATGATGGCTTATGCCTGTAATCCCAACACTTTGGGAGGCCGAGGCAGGCAGATCACTTGAGGTCAGGAGTTCAAGACCAGCCTGGCCAACATGGTGAAACCCCATCTCTACTAAAAATACAAAATTTAGCTGGGTGTGGTGGCACGCACCTGTAGTCCAAGCTACTCGGGAGCCTGAGGCAGGAGACTCACTTGAACCTGGGAGGCAGAGGTTGCAGTGCAGGGAGCTGAGATGGCGCCACTGCACTCCAGCCTGGGCAACAGAGCAAGGCTCCATCTCAACAACAACAACAACCGGCATTAGAGTGACGTAAGGAGCCAGTGTTCTTTATGGAGCTGAGATGCAGGGCTGAGTTGATACACAAACTCTAAATTTAGTAATATAAAATGTCACAAAACTCACCTCTTATAACTCTAGAAACTTTACGGAAATTCACAGCAGCACATCTAGCAAAGTTTATAAACTGAGTTGCTCATGAAATCATCTTATTGCTTACGAAGCACGGGTATGTGTAGTGGTACTGGGTACACTTCTGGGTATACAAAAAACGTTAAGGCAAATATTTTTCTTCTTTGATTACCCCATGCTGATGTATTCTCTCTTCCCTCTAAATGTTGACAACTATATACTACATAATTCTTTGACAATTATGTGCTAGAGCCTTGTTGATACTTTATCTCTTAAATTCTTGAATTGTTACTCAGTATTTCGTAACTTTTCTCATCTTTACCATTGATCATTTATTTCTCTGCTAGAATACTAGAATTGTTCAACACAGTGGAGCTAGGTGGCAATCTGTGTGAAGACCAGATAACTTTAAATTCACCTTACTTTTAGGAGGCAGCTCTCTGAAGACCCAACCAAAGCTAGAAGTAGTTTACCTAGCCCTCATTCTTGGCAGTTAGCAGATTCTGACTTTTTTTCCTCTAGCCCAATTGTATTTGCAAAGGTCTAGCTCAGCCTCTCAGCTGCCACTTGTAGATCAGCATATGCTCTGAAGCAGAAGCAGTCCAACATGAACAAGAAAGAAAAAGTAATATAGTACAGGTGGCACATAGCTAGGATACTATTAAATACAAAAATATCAGTAATTACATTAAGTATGAAAGGACTAAATATTCCCATTGAAACTCAAAGGTCATCAGATTGGATTAAAACCCAAACCATGTGATTATGGTTAAAGACACATATATAAGACTAAAGGATATATAAAAGTTGAAATTTAAGGGATGGAAAAAATAATATGATGCAAGCCCTAGTCAAAAGGAAGCCACTGTGGTAATTTTAGGATAGAAAAAAATAACTTGAAGGCAAAAGTCTTTGCACAAATAGATGGTCACTTCAGAGTGATCTTTAGCTAAAGATCTAGAATCATGATGTCTTCCTAGTGAATTGAATATTTCACCTAAAAAATAACCTTAAAATATGGAAGGCAAAATTAACAGAATTACAAGGAGAAATAGACAAATCCATAATCATAGTGGGAGATTTTTCACTTTCCTTTCTCAGTAACAGATAAGGAAAAAGTCAGTAGGATATAGAATATTAGGACAACATGATTAATAGACTTGACACAAATAGACACTGTACTAAAATCAAAACCTTGTTAGTTATCTCCTAACACCAATGGAAGAACACAAATTTAGGACTGAGATCTTTTTTTCTTATCCATTCTTCCACTTGGAGCATACATGCAAGCAAAGGTAGGAAAAAACCTTTAATACAGACCTGTTTTGACATCACAGAAGACACTAGTATGTTTTCAAGCTCATATCCTGAATATACATATTGTAAAATTAATTTCCATTCACCCCTAATCTTATCAGTTTGGTGTTGGTATTACAAATTGTATTTCCATTGCTTAATTTTGCAAATTGATTTTGATAACTATATTATTGTCTATACTTATCACCCTTCTTGTTAGGACACAGAAATAAAAATACTAATTTTTTTATAGTAACTTAGTTCATTGTGTCAATTTTGTAGGCAGGGTTGAGGGAACTGTTCAGGAGCTTCGAACCCACAGTTTAAAACCTTTATGAGAACTTCAGATTTCAGACCAATTAGTGCTACATAAATATGCAAAATTACCATGAAAAAATAACTTTGGATTCACATGTAATCACCAGTGCCTTGTAAGTAGTAAGTATTCTACAAATGAATGGTATATATTAAATGGGTCTTTCTATATAAGAGACACTACCTTTGAGAAAACAGTACTGCCCATCTTAGGAGCCAGAGGGGCTGGTATGTGACAACACTGGCAATGAGAAGGAGGATGGAGGGACAATCGATAGTTACTTTTTTTTTGAGACAGGGTCTTGCTTTGTCACCTAGGCTGGAGTGCAGTGGTGCTATCAGGGCTCACTGTAGCCTCGACCTCCTGGGCTCAAGCGATCCTCCTGCCTCAGGCTCCCAAGTATCTGGGACTACAGGCATATGCCACCATGCCTGGCTTTTTAATTTTTTTTGTACAGAAAGGGGTCTTGCTATGTTGCCCAGGCTGGTCTTGAACTCCTGGGCTCAAGCAATCCTCCTGCTTCCCAAAGTGCTGGGATTAGAGGCGTGAGCCACTGTGCCTGGACGATAGTTTCTTTTAGGAAGGATTTGCAAAATCCCTCTTCAACCTTTTCCATACGTGTTAGGTCAGTTGTCAACATAAGACCAATTTTCTATATTTTATTAGGTAATTTAAAAATATGAAAATGCTTTTCTTCTTTAAAGAGTGAAACCAAGACTCAACCTGAAATACAGGTTTTACTGTGCCATAATCTTTATTATAATAGACATACCTCTCACTATCAATATTGTACATAAAAATAAGTGAGAAAAAGACATTTTGCAGGAAGGAATTCCATTTATTGTGGATGCATTTTCACAATATATGTTTATTGGAGCGATCCATTATCAGTGAAAAGTATCAAGTGTTTATAAAATTTTTAGGAATGGCAGATTCACAGAACATGCTAGTCAGCTTGCAGTTTTACCTCGTAAAGATAACAGAGAATTATAGTCAAACCAGTAAACAAGGAATTTACTTTTCAAAAGATTAAATCCAAACTGAACAAAATTCTACCCTAAAACTTACTCCATCCAAATATTGGAATAAAAGTCAGCAGTGATACATTCTCTTCTGAACTTTAGATTTTCTAGAAAAATATGTAATAGTGATCAGGAGGAGCTCTTGTTCAAAAGTACAACAAAGCAATGTTACCTTACCATAGGCCTTAATTCAAACTTTGATCCATTTCACTCCAATGACGGGAGTCAATGCTACCTGGGACACTTGTATTTGTAAATTCTGATTTAGCTTATTGTAGACTTGTGCCTACTTTGTCATGAGGGTTTGACTTCTGCATTCTTCATGGCTTTCCTTCCTTTGGCTTAGGTTTGCTAAAGCTAGAAGATTCAATTGCTCTTTACAGACTTATGAGGAAGATAGACTTTGTAACGCAGATGTCACTTCTCATGCCAGCCCTGCCCTGGTTAGCTCTTCTGGAGGAATACTGCAGATAAGAAAATAGTTATTTGGGAGGCTCCCTCAGTGTGGTAGGAATTGAGACTAACACAATTTTGGTTAAGTCCACTGAGGTATGAGTTTATAGAACTCCACTGTATGTATCCAGCTATACTAGAACATTTTGCCAAGACACTGGAGGACTCTTTCATTATCTACTGTGAAGAATAAAGACTTAGAGGCTATATAATAAGTTCTGGATTGTGTGTGTAAAAATCATGAGTTAAAAAAGACTTGGGGGAGAAAGTAAAACTAGTAGAAGTTACATATAATTTTGAAATTTCACCACATTGTCAACTTACTACAGGTATCAATGACAAATAAAAGTAGAAAAGTTTGAAGAAATGCTTCAGAGTATATAAAGATCAAAGTACTGTCATGACTCCTCAACACTGGATTTTGCTCACTTTACTTCTCTGCTTCTAGACATTTAGCCAAAGGTAGTCTTTGTTGAGACTCATACATGGAATTTCTGTCTGTACAATATTGGCACTAAATTTCTTGTCTTTCAATTTTAGAAAAGGAAGAGACCTTATGACCTATTGTGAACTTCATTGTTTCTAATAAGTAGGCTTTGAGCTTGGTCGAGATGATAGCATTAATAAAATTCACACTGGACTTCAAGAATGCATTTAATTATAAACTAAATACTATGTCTTTTAGAAAATTTCAACTCCTTCTAACAGTTCTAATCTCTCTTCTTTTCAATACTTTCTTCTTATAGGTCATCAGGCATTGAAAACATATTGATACCTATCTGCCATGTTTCTGTTGGCAAATATAAAATATTAATATAGTGTGATTTTTTAATTTTTCAAAAGCTGTGATATTGGCTAGTTACAATGACATACTACTAAATATAATAGTCTAGCACATAAAAAAGCATTCTACCATTAGTGTGTTTGTATATGTGTATGCACATACATACATAATTGAGTTATCTAAAATGTGGTTCAGGCTACTATCACTACTAAAGAAATCCACAAAACAACCAACCTAAAAAATCAGTACCACTGTCAGCTAACATAATAATGTAATTTAGATATGAATCATCAGCATGAAAAAAAGTAATACCTTAACAGTACATTTCTTTTTTTTTTTTAAAGACAACCATTATTGCAGTATTTCAAATCTGAAATGGGTTACTTTCAAAAAGTGTTACAATTGCCTACTAAGATAATTTCTTCCATGCTTTATTATAAAGTGCAGAAACAACATGACTTCTGTATTTAAAAAAACAAAAACTACGGTTCATTTTTCTAGATACTGCACACATTCCGCAGGCAATTTTAAACTTGGATCTTCTGTTGACTTCAGATGTGGTTGGTATCACTGCTCAGATACAGAGTTATGATGATCAGTAGAAAAGTCTCTATTTCACAGCATGGGTTTCTTTAGAAACAGGCTCCTGTGCAAAGGCAGTACTTTTACCATGAACATCTCTAGACTGTGATTATTAAATATAGTGATAATATACATGGGTTTACTGGGATATTGAAAAATAAAAGATAATGAACCCAATTTAGTAAATCAACATAAATACAAAACAGAGCGAATTAGCCCTCTACAACTGAGCTCGTCCTGCGTCTTGAGCTTGGGTTCTTTCTGGAACTGTCTCAAACCTGCCAAGAGAAGAGAACTTGAAATTGACAGCCTGTAGTGTGAAACTGACAGCCTGCAGTGTTTCAGGCAGATGGTTTTTATAGTCAGAAGAAAAATGAATAATAGTATGGCAGGAATAAATATTTATGAAAGGGAGGATTATTATCGGCATTCCATTCAAATATGATCTTTTATTTTACTTTTTATTTTTTTGAGATGGAATCTTGCTCTGTCACCCAGGCTGGAGTGCAGTGGTGTGATCTCAGCTCACTGCAACCTCTGCCTCCCAGATTCAAGTGATTCTCCCATCTCAGCCTCCTGAGTAGCTGGGGATTACGGGCATACACCACCACGCCCGGCTAATTTTTGTATTTTTGGTAGAGACGGGGTTTCCCTATATGTTGGCCAGGCTGATCTCAAACTCCTGACCTCCAGTGATCTGCCTGCCTCGGCCTCCCAAAGTGTTGGAATTACAGGTGTGAGCCACTGCGCCTGGCTGGATCTTATTTTATTTTAGCCTTCCTTCTGCTGATTTTTTTCACTTCCCTCTTCCTGTCTTTCTCCTTGATGTTCTCTTTTCCTGTCTTAACTTTTGGCCTTGCTTATAGCATTTAGAGTCAAGTAAGTTGCTTTGTTTTTTTCATTTTTAAGCCCCACTGTAAGAGCCAAAAATCTACAGTGTGTATTCCAGAACAGGCACATGCGACTGAATAGCTCAGTGAGGGCCACATCAATGTATGATGGTGAAGGAGGATGTTTATCTTTAGTTTTCTCCCATTTTTAATCTAGCAATCTCTATTTTCTCCCTCCTATTCTTACACCCCTACCCCACGAGACTTATCTGACCTATAGTCCTATTCTTACACCATTCTCTCCCCCTCAGCTAGTTGCTAAAAATTTTTGCCAAGCTATTAAGAAATCTTAAAGTGTTGTGAATTCCAATTTTCAAGGGTGTTCATTGTATTCATTTCTAAGGAATGACTGAGTAACAAGAAATGAGTTTGACAGTTTGGAGCAAAAGAGGTACCTAATCTGCTACCTCATAAACTCAGTTCTCGGTCTGGTGGTTATATTATTACTACTGTAGAAAGAAGTTAGTGGCACATGAAAACTCACACTGTCACCCTCCTACCTTGTACTGCCCTGGTGCTACATAACTCCAGGGAGTACCATTCATGTTTGTATGTGAGTGGTGTTCTCTGAGTCTGACCATTCCACATCATCTTTGTTCCACTTTCCAGAGCTCTGGCTAGGAGGAATGTTATCCAGAGAGACTCCGTTATACTGGTGATGATGGTCTATGGCCAGCTGACATCTGCTTTTCAGACAGGAACCTATATAAACACTGGGACTGCCATTCTGAGAAGTCAGATACCTCTCAGAGGTCTGAGAGGAGAGCCTTCTGCTGTCAATGTTCCTCCCACAGTGGTGTGTGGAGAATGTCTTCCTGGGAACCATTCCATGGGTTTGGGCTATTTACATTGCATGGCTGACAAACCTGCAATGCGCTAATAGCATAGGCTAGAGAGGTCATAAAAGCTTAGGTCAACAAGCTCATTCTTTGTTTAAAAAATAACAAAGAAAGTTCTTTTCTCCCCTGCCACCGAGAGAAAATTATACAAGGAATTGAATAACTATACATTTTCTCCTGAATATGCATCCTAAAAGAAAGTACCATGTATAATGGTTAAAAATGCAGGCTCGGATCAGGTGCTGGAGTATCAATGCAGGCTATGCTACTTATTCACTGTGTGACTTTGGGAAAGTTACTTCATCTCTCAATGCCTCATTTTTCTCAGCTGCAAAATGAGAATGATAAACTACTTACCTCACATGGTGACTGGAGGATCAAATGAAATAATGGAGGGTAAGAAGGTAGAATAGTGTCTGGCATATAGTGGGGTGCTCACTTGTAGCGCTAGTAGTTAGCAATGTGATAATTACCAGCAGGTACTTTTCATATGTTTAGCAATGACTTAGAAAGGCTAGTGGATTTTAATGGAATAAAAGCGCAATACGTAGCTAATAGTGAAGGTGGGGTAATATGTTTAGGTAGCTGCACCAGAACTAAGAGCATGAGAAAGTGGGAAAGGGAAGGTAATTCTCTCACTGCAGTGAATTGTAGTGATTCTCTAGTTGCCGTTGATGTGCTCTTTAGTCCTGAGTTTGCTTACGAAGTGCTTCTGTTTAAATCAACCCATAAGCAGCCTGTTCTAACCTTGCTTATTGTTGGTCTCCAGTTTCTCCCTTTTTAATTTTCTTTTTATTGAAGGAGAACACGAGGTCTATTACTTGAAATGGGGAAAGGCTACAGTTGGGAGTTGAATGAGCTCATTGTACCACAAAGGGTCCCATTTGCAGTGTAAGCATCATTTAGATGTTCTTCAGAGCCTCCTTTCTGAAGAATGACCATATCCTTTGACCAGAAGACTAAAAGTAAGAGGAACCCAATCATTCTTAATCATTCATTTTCACAGGGTGGTAAATGGTTGCCTTACTTTTGAATATTTTTTTTTTTTTTTTTGGCCATAGCAACCCTGAGTCTTAGGCTGCTGGCAGTGGCAATGTAATCTAAAATGGTTCCAGAAAGCAGTTTTGGAAACACTCAGGGAGACAGATGTTTTCCCCAAGTGATTTTTAAATGACTGTGGCACTAAGCTGGGACCTTGTAAGGAAACGTAGACCATGGTATCCCATACGGCCTTCTGCTGCCAATGTTCCTACCACTGTGGTGTATTGAGAATGTCCTACTGAGAACCATTCCATGGATTTGGGCCGTTTATGTTGTATGACTGACAAACTTGCAATGCGCTTTTCATTTCACTGTGTTATGTACTGGTCTTTTAGACACTGATGGGTGTGCAGGCAAAGATCTGTAGGTCAGTGATATTTCTCATCTGACTCCAGGACATTATACTACACCATACATCAGGAAAACAAACCTCTGAAATACTAGTCTTCCCAATAGATTACCTTAGTGGGGGAAGTGACCTTATCCACAGATTGCTTTTCCCAGAGGTTCCGCTTGCTGGATACGTCTCCTGGTCTCAAGTCCTGATAAAAAGGAAGCAGAAAAACATCGATAGGTGGCCATTTATATTTTCTAGCCAGCTCTAAATAAATGGCCACATCTATTGTTTATTTGAATCAGTTTGTTGTTTAATACACTTTACCCCAGTGATCTGAAATGGAATTGAAAGGACCATCAGCTGTTGTTTGATTTTTTTATTTTTTTATTTTTTTTGAGACAGAGTCTCACTCTGTAGCCCAAGCTGGAGTGTAGTGGCGTGATCTTGGCTCACTGCGACCTCCATCTACTGATTTCAAGTGATTCTCCTGTCTCAGCCTCTCGAGTAGCTGGGATTACAGGCGTGTGCCACCATGCCTGGCTAATTTTTTTGTATGTGTAGTAGAGATGGGGTTAGCTGTTGTTTGATTTTATATAGACCGTGACATGTCTTATGATATGAGAATGGGCTGGAACTATAGCCTCGGGGTCCTTGCCCTTTCCTAAGGACTTACTGTTTATTGATCAGTAAAAGTGAAACAGGAGCATGTTTAAAATAATGTAGCCTCATTTTAAATTTCTGCACTCTTACAAGTCAATAGATCATGGGTTATTTAAAAATGATTAATTTGGGGTTTGATAAGCATTTCCTGCCTCACAGATGAACTCAATTTGTACTCACCTCTTTCCCCCCAGCCCTTACTACTTTAGTGCACACCAGCCTGACTGCCAACTGCCCACACAGCGCTTCTCTGCCTAGGGACTTTCTCTGGGTACAGATGCCTGATTTGCCTGCCCAGGGGCAGGCTGGAAAGTTGAGAGAGTTATTATAACATCCCCAGGAGCAGTCCTCAATGGCTGACTGGTGAATGTTGGTGCAATATTATTTTCAGGCTCACTCTCGCCTCAGCTTGGGTAACTCTGAAGTATGTGTTCTTTGGTGGCTTCCAGGATTTCCTCCATGGGATGAAAGTTTAACAGTCCATGTGGGGACTTGCTTAATAACACCTTCTGTGAGGACTGCCTTCTTCTCCCAACCTCAGCCCCTGTAGGGTTTTCTTCACCTCCACGTAAACAACTTGCTCTGGAATCACTATCTTGGGATCCGTTGCCGGGCAGCCCAAACAAAGTCACTTTTCTTTCTTCTTTTTCTGTTGTGAGACAGTCTTGCTCTGTCGCCCAGGCTGGAGTGCAGTGGCGCAATCTCGGCTCACTGCAACCTCCGACTCCCGGGTTCAAGCGATTCTCCTGCCTCAGCCTCCCAAGTAGCTGAGATTACAGGCACAAGCCACCACGCTCAGCTAATTTTTGTATTTTTAGTAGAGATGGGGTTTCACCATGTTAGCCAGGATGGTCTCGATCTCCTGACCTCATAATCTGCCCGCCTCAGCCTCTCAAAGTGCTGGGATTACAGGCGTGAGCCACCGCGCCCAGCCACAAAGTCCCTTTTCTAGCAGCATTTTCCTCACCCTAAAATCATTATGTGTCTCCCGAGGGGCAAGTGGGTAATTCAGAAGTGGATCAGTAGAACCTAGCAAATATAAACATTCATCACAAATTGAACCCATGCGAGAAGTTGACAGTTGATGACATGTGTAAGAACATGTGGAAATCTTGGGATGGAAACACTAAAATATGATCGATAACAGTTATACAGCTTAGAGTCTTTATTTACTACCTCCTAATTAATTTCATTTGGATAAGGATCCAAATTTCTGTTTCAATTTACTTTTCTTCCAGCATTTGCTTATATTAGTACTTGGCAAAAGGTAGTTTGTAGAAAATAAATGTGTTTTACTGAAATAGTAATGCTTATCTTGGCAAACCCTTTTCTCAGGAGGAAGGCAAAGCTAACAGCAATTGCATTTACCCGTGGACACTGATCTAAATGGACATATTTCTGATAGATAGTATTGAGATTGTAACACTGAAAATGCACAGTTAAATGATACCTGTGAAGCATTTCAGATTTGCCTAAACTTTACTGAGTTTCTGGATTTCCTCTGTGGCATGAATTCCTGATATTCTATTAGAGAGTTACACCTATTTAACTTGGAGCCATTAAGCAACAAATCAGATTATTTTTGTAGAATTCCACTACATTTGCCAGCGTAGGTGGAAGCTGCCAAACTGTCTGGAAGACTGTTTTAAAATTTTGGAAACTATAATTAGGAACATGCTGAGGGAAGCTCTGGAAAGCAGCTATTATCGCTTTGTTTATTTGATTCATATGAGACAAATATTTTTCCTTCTCATGCACGTTCTTCTACCTAAGAAAATGGATTGCACTTCCCATAAATCCTGCCGATGAATCTTTCAAGATCACTTAAAGAGTTTAAAGAGTCCTTTTAAGAAAATATGAACATCTGAGTTATAAGTTGGCATTTTAAATCAAAGGGGAAATATAAATGGAATTACCTGACCAGACTACATTTTAGAGAAAGACCCACTCCGGAAGAAGAGGGAGAAATGAAGGCAGGAGAAGCAGGTTTCCAATCAACCAGAGACCAAAGAGTGAGGAACAGAAGGTCAGCTGAGAAAGACATTGTTGGTTGTTTTTTTTTAAACAAAAAGAAAGACAAATTAGCTTTTTAATTTCTGTGTAACATTAGTTTAGACACAAAGAATAGACAAACCAGCTCAAACAGACATACTCAGAATTGAATTGCAGTTACAAAGTTACACTGAAATCCTATAAATTCTACCCACAAATAGCAAGGGACATCCCAGTAGCAATCTGGTGTATTTACAACATTGATTTCATAGAACTTTCTTCCATCTGGTTCTCATTCAGGAAGCCACACTAGTCTACAAAATCTAATGGGAAGAAGGATCTCACTAAAATCTATACTAACTGCCATGTTCTTCTTTCCTTTTCTTCACCCTCTAGGGGGTGATCTAGCAAGTCACATACTAATTAGTAGGTAAAGCAGGCAATGATTTTGTAATTTCTCTGCAATGCCTTTTTTTTTTTTTTTTTTTTTTTAGGAGGCTGTCAATAACCCCAGAACATGGTGTATGTTTTGTTTTGTTTTTGCTGTGGAAACCTGGATACAGTTATACCTATCATAATCATAACTGCATTTTATCTTTTTAACCTCATTAGGATGTCATACAGATGATGGTAAACTTTTCAGTTTACAAGTTAAAGTGCTGATAAAAGAATAGGGGCCAAGTTCTGGATCAAATTTTTGAGTATAATCTGCTACAAAAATGAAAGATTGCAAATATCATAAACGTGCAAAAATTAGCATCTCCTCCAAATATTTCATACTTATCAAAGAGGGAAACATAGATCTTTCTCTCCTTACTTACTATCTTGAGAGTTACTCAGTAGGTCCATAGACTGCCTTGTTTTTTTATATGTATATTTTGGGGGAGAGGGTCCTTAAATTTCATTAGGTTTTAAAGGGGTTCATAATTCAAAAAGGGTTAATAATCACTGGTCTGGAACCAGTGATTATTTTGTTTTTGAAAATAATTTCTACTCCTTATGTTACCAGAGATGCTTGGAAAACTTGAGGCACTAAAGAGCACATAACTTTTGGGTCCGGTCTCTTGCCTCAACTGTGTCCTTTTATAAACCCGCATTCTTGTACCTATTGAGAGGGGGAGGAAAAGTTGCTTTTTTCAATGTATAAAGATTTTCCAATTGTAAATTGGGTTGACATTAGTGTATACCTCCTGTGAGCCTTTATGCAAAGAATCTCGGGGTGTAGATTAATTAAACGGTTCAAGGAGTTGTGCCCAAGAAGGATTTGTGAACATTTCCATTTCTTCCTTTTTAAATTGGAAAGTGACAAAATTTAATGACTTTGGAGATTATATATGGAGCCAACAAATGCAATTAAATGGCATGGAGCCAATGGATGCAATTAAATGCACAGAGGCCTAGGATTGGAAACTTTTTCTTCTTCCTCTAGAATGTAGGATTATGACAGTGGACTCTCAGCTCCCTTGGGCACCAACAAAGCTATAAAAGCAAACTTAACAGGGAAAGCTCAGCAATATACAGTGGGGAGCTTGATACGTTTTCTTATTATAATGACAAATGCAAGCAATTGTCGTATACATTCAACAAAAAGGTGAAAAGAAATGTACTTTTTAGTAAGATAGCTGCACTTAATAAATTAAGAAAATTTTAGATTCTCAAAAACATCATTCATAACCAGTTTTTCTAGTTTCCAGTTTTATGACTTTCCTCAGGAGGTGCTGACAACACAATTAGACCAATTATTTCAACAGCTACCCAATAACTGCATTTTTGTGCCAAGTTATAAAAATGAGGCAAATTGGAACATATGGGTTCCCAATAGGCAACATACATATTCTTTTGGGAATAAGTTTAGGGGTGCTCTTGACAAAGAAGTAGCCAAAATGATGTGACCTTTCATTTTCAAATTTCTATCCAGAATTTATAGAATAGAAGCTAAACAAATAGACGAGTAAAGGATCTAAATTTGAACTGCCTCAGTATTCTAGCTGATTCCTCCTCTCAGTTAGGGTGTAGAGGTGATTATTTGGTTCCATTTTACCCTCTGAGTAACTGAGATGCAGCTTCTTAGAACTGTTGTAAATCTGAACACTTTCCTGTTTGCTATTCATCAGGGAAAGCAAAGAACAGGGGCACTGCCATTCCTAGGTAAACAGACCAACTGCTTGTTTTCTTCTGCTGGTAGAAGCTGGGAGATCAAAGAAACTCAGAAAAACCTAAAGGTACTTACAGAAGGTTTGGGAGCAGGTGACTTGTTTCCATCTGGGGTTTTAGTTAGCCATTCATTGATG
Source organism: Homo sapiens (assembly GCF_000001405.40). NCBI lineage: Eukaryota > Metazoa > Chordata > Mammalia > Primates > Hominidae > Homo > Homo sapiens. Next base: position 134,960,567 of record NC_000007.14, on the reverse strand, counting down.
CGGCTAGAAACCCCTACCTTCAAGCCAGCAGTTTCCTACAAAGGGGCAATCATCCAAAATATTAAAGAATGAAGTAAACTTTACCTGGGAAGGAATTTTCAAAGCAAATTCAAAATATCATTAAGTATGATTTCACATAACCATAAACCTTAACACTTGATATTTACAGAATATGTTATCTGGTTTTCTTTCCCTGGTAACTCACCCCACTCCAACTCCAAGGGTGGACATTTCAGCCCAGGCACTTTATTTGGAGTAAGATGGCCCGGGCTTAGTACCTCATGCAACCTCACAAACACATTCTCTCTGAGCTTGCTTTTGTGGTCATTGCAAAACAAAGTACAAATTGCACCTTCTTCACTGCTTTTATTATTTACTAGTGTGATTCCTAAATCAAAATCGACATGCAAAAAAATATGCCCCTCTACACTTAAGAGACAAAAATCAGATGCTCACCTTATTTGGTGTGCCTGCTGCAGTGGGGGATGAAAACACATTCCCTTTCTCCCACATACTCTTGATGTTGCGTACACCTTCAGCAGGAACAGGAAGATCCGAGGCTGCCGGCTTTGTAGGTTTTGCGCTTTTTGTTCCCTGAAATTTGTGAGTTATTTTTAGGATTGGTGCTGGGAAGTTTGTTCTCATAAAATTATAGTGAGTTTGTCTTCCTCAACATTATCATCTTAAAAATTCATTGTGTAAACACCTCCACCAAAAATGAGAGTGATAATTTCTGTTGTAAAACTGTATGCTGATGACATATGTCCCTCAAAATAAACCATCACAGCTAGATCAGAGGATCTTTCAAAAATGAAATATGCTTTTTGTTGGGACACCATTTGTTGTGAAATTGATATTCTACTTCGTTTCTTCAACAGATACTTTTTTGTTTTTTTTTGAGACAGGGTCTTGCTCTGTCACCCAGGCTGGAGTGCAGTGGCACAATCAAGGCTCACTACAGCCACGACCTCCAGGGCTCAAGTGATCCTCCCACTTCAGCTTCCCGAGTAGCTGGAACCATAGGCCTCTCTCTATTTTGTAGAGAAAAAAATGAAAAAATTAGCCAGGCATAGTCCCTATGTTGCCCAGGCTGGTTTCAAATTCCTGGGCTCAAGGGATCCTCCTGCCTCGGCCTCCTGAAGTGCTGTGACGACAGGCATGAGTCACCACACTTGGCCTCAACAATACTTCTTAAATGCCTACTGTATGAAGGGCACTTTGCTAGGCTCTGGGGATACAGTCGTGCTCAAAACAAGACGGTTGGGAGGCTGAGGCAGGAGAATCGCTTGAACCTGGAATGCAGAGGTTGCAGTGAGCCGAGATTGCACCATTGCACTCTAGCTTGGGCAACAAGAGCGAAACTCCATCTCAAAAATAAAAATAAAAATAAAAAACAAAAAAACAAACAAAAAACAAGACAGTCAGCTGCAGTGGGCTTATATTTTAATAGAAAGGAAAGATAGTAACTAGTTATACAAGTATTTATTTCACATTGTGCTAAGTGCTATGAAAAATAATGATGTGCCATAAAGCATGGCACACAATTGGGGGGCAGTACTTAGTTTGGGGGTGCAAAGAAGGCTACTCTGAGGAAGTGACATTTAAACCCAGATTTGACAGAATACTTGAAAGAAGACTTAAATATATATATAGTTAAATATATATATATATATATATATATATATATATATATATTTAAATACCAGTAAACCCATTCGTTACAAAAAAACCTTTTCATTAAACAATATTCACGCTGAAAGTAGAAAATAATTTATTTAAAACTCTCCTAAAATTTATCTTTATTATTGTATTTCTTAGAACTTAGAATTTCAAAGTGTAATAAAGCATCATTAATATTCTGACACTATTGGGGGCCAGGTGTGGTGGCTCACATTCGGCTTTGGGAGGCCAAGGCGGGTGGATCACTTGAGGTCAGGAATTCGAGACCTGCCTGGCCAACAGGGTGAAACTCCGTCTCTACTAAAAATACAAAAATTAGCCAAGTGTGGTGGTGGGCCCCTGTAATCCCAGCTACTCGGGAGGTTGAGGCAGAATTGCTTGACCCCAGGAGGCAGACGTTGCAGTGAGCTGAGATTGCCATTGCACTCCAGCCTGGGCAACAGAGTGAGACTCCGTCTCAAAAAAAAAAAAAAAAAAAAATTCTAACACTCCTGGGGCTATTGGACTTGATTATTGTCCTAAGTGTTTTTATGCTCTTCTATGTAGTCAGAATCTATTTCTGTTCAGCAGGACCATAACGCTGAGGACAATTCTCACCTCAATTGCACTGGTATACTGCTCCAGTCTGCTGTCAATCTTGGAGACTATTGCTGCTTGATGGGTCGATTTGACACCACTGCTAAAAAAGTAAACACATACATATAAAAATATGAGAGAGAATCTTCTCATACATATGCTAGCTGATTAGCTCAATTGAACCATCAAGCATATTTACCTTTTCTGCACAGACTTATTCAAAAATTCTGCTCGCTCTTCTATCTAGGAATTACAAAAGAAAATAAACCCAATTAATATTTCAAGCTTATAAACAGTGTTTCTCAGCCCAGGCCAATATCATCCCTGAACCTGTTAAACACACCGAAGAGCATATAAGGGTATTTGAGTTACTGTGCGTAGCTCTGCTAGAAAGCAAAACTACATATAAGGTATTTGATAGTGAGATTTGGGGGAATGAAGGTAGGATTGATACAGGATAGAGAAAACGTGTAAAAAAAAAAAAATCAAGTTTTCAAGGCAAAATAAAGACCAGACAGAAATGGAATAAAAATGCCTCTAAAACAATATAAATCAGTGGCAAAATAATTAAAGTTTAAGACTAACATAATTGGCTGAGCGCTGAGGCTCACACCTATAATCCTAGCACTTTGAGAGGCCGAGGCAGGCAAATCACTTGAGGTCAGGAGTTCAAGACCAGCCTGGCCAACATGGTGAAACCCTATCTCTACTAAAAAATACAAAAAGTAGCTGGGTGTGGTGACACGCGCCTGTAGCCCCAGCTACTTGGAAGGCTGAGGTGGGAGAATTGCTTGAACCTGGGAGGGAGAGATTGCAGTGAGCCAAGATTGTGCCACTGCACTCCAGCCTGGGTGACAGAGTGAGCATCTGTCTCAAAACAAACAAACAAAATGCAACAACAACAAACAAATAATTTTTTCAAAAACACACACTGTTACCCTTTAGGATGTATTTACTAGAGACATACCATGCTATTCGAGTAACAAAATTTTCCCATAATGTTTTAACTATGTATTTGGTATGTAACAGGATTGAATAACTAGGAAATGTGAACTAGTCCCTTATTGCTTAACCTGATTTCCTAACTTGACAAGGGTCAATGATCAAGCCTATTGCTGAACTTAATTAGCCTTGGAACGTAAAAGGCGGGATACAGGTAGAATGAGGATGGGGCACAGCTCATCTGTAATGGCTGAGGCTTCCCATGAAGCCCCTCTTAGCCCAAGTGTGAAATGAGGAAATGAGCCCAGAGAAACAGGGTTGGACATAGAAAAAATCAGCAGTTAGTAGTCTTTGATGAGTTCTTTTTTTTTTAAAGCTAGGAACTTTTTTGCTACAACTGAAGCTGCTAAATCAAACATTATATTTTACTGAAACTGTAACACTTAAATTTAGATGTTAGCAATAAGCAAATATTTGTTGAATCCATGCCACACCCAACTCCAGGCTAGAAATATCCTCTACCACCCATCACCTATCAATACCATGAGCAAATACCTTCTTTGCTTATGACTGCATGTGCCAAAGCACATGCACGCTGAAAAGTTCCATTTTCTTCCCTGTTCAGGACAGTCAAGAAATCTACTGGATTTTAGTTGCCCTAGGCTAGTATGTTTGAGTGGCCCCTTGTCTCAGTGAGTCTTGGTTAATGTGAGAAATTACCATAGACTGGGTGCCTTAAAACAACAAACATTTCTCACAGTTCCGGAGACTGGGAAGTCTAAGATTAGGTTGCCAGCATGGTTGGGGTCTGGTGAGACCTCTCTTCATGGTTTGCAGATGGCCACCTTCCTGCTGTGTCCTCATATAGTGCAGAATAGAGAGGGAGCAAATAAGGTTCTGTGTCTCTTCTTACAAGGGCACTAATCCCATTAAGGGGGCCTCCACCCTCATGACCTAATTGTCTTCCAAAGATCCCACCTCCTAATACCATCATATTGCAGATTAGGATTTCAACATATGAATTTTGAGGGGATACACACAATTCTCCAAGATGTGAGGGGTTCTTTCTGACCCAGACTGGTCTGGGATTCATGAGCAATTAATAAATACCACAGAGTTTTTTTTTTTTGAAAACATGCTTCCTCTCTAATATCAGTTGAATAACAGTTTTATAGATACTAGTAAGAGCATTTCATTCTTTCTGATGATTTCCTACAAAGACAAAAGCAAACTCTTACTTAAAAAACTATGCAAAAAAGTACTATAAGTAGTGCTGACTTTATGGGATATATAAAACATCTGTAAAGTAACTCTTATTTTTCTGATTTTAATTATAAACTTAGAAGTATATTTCTGTAGAAAAAATTCCCAGGTGAGTAAGGTGAAACAGTTTAGAACTATGCAATGCACTGGCACTTTTAATAAATATTACCCATCCGTCCGTCCGTCCATCCATCCATCCATCTATCCATCCATCTATCCTATTTTTATCCCTGCCAGCCTGTCAGCCAAACAATTAGCCAATAAATAATATACTCAGTACCTTCTATATAAAATTGAATACTAATAAATAAAATAGTGCTATTGATCGAACTGTGTCCCCCTAAAATGCATGTGTTGAGGCCCTAACCCCCAATGTGATTGTACTTGGAAATGGGGCCTCTAAGGAAGTAATTAAGGTTAAATGAGATCAGAGCGGTGGAACCCTGATCCTACAGGATTGTTATCCCTACAGGAAGACACACTAGAGAGCTCACTTGCTCTCTTTCCTCCATGTGAAGACACAGTAAGAAGGCAGCCATCTGCAAGCCATGAAGAGGGCTCTCACCAGAAACTGAATCTGCTTGCACCTTGATTTTGGACTTCCAGCCTCCAGGACTGTGAGAAATACATTTCTATTGTTTAATCCATCCAGTCTATGGTATTTTGTTATGGCAACCTAAGCAAGCTAAGATAGACAAGGTCTTTTTCTTTTTCTTTTTTGAGACAGAGTCTCACTCTGTTGCCAGGATGGAGTGCAGTGGTGGAATCTCGGCTCACTGCAATCTCCACCTCCCGGGTTCAAGTGATTCTTCTGCCTCAGCGTCGAGTAGCTGGGACTACAGATGCGCGCCACCATGCCCAGCTAATTTTTGTATTTTCAGTAGAGATGGGATTTCACCATGTTGGCCAGGATGGCCTCGATCTCTTGACCTCATGATTCGCCCACCTTGGACTCCCAAAGTGCTGGGATTACAGGTGTGAACCACTGTGCCTGACTGACAAGGTCTTATTCTTTAAGGAACACAGAATTTAGTAGGGAAGACTAGTAAAGTATATAAAATAAAATATTTAAAAATTAACAGTAGGTACAATATTAAAGAAAAAAATGCTGTGTGTATAAGAAGTAACTATCTGGGGGAGGTGGAGAAGGCTTTTCAGTAGTGTTGATATTTGAGCTGAGATTAGTAGTTTCTGGTTTACATGGTTTCAGAAATGAGTTTATGAAAGTGAGGAAGGAAGTGCATGGCTTAGCCAGGAAAGGGCATTTCTGGCAAAGCAAGCACATGTACAAAGATTTGGAGAGCCACAAGGCACGCAGCGTGGTGAGACTGGGGATAAAGAAAAATTCAGTGTGGTGGGAGGATAGAGGCACTGCAGAAGGGGATAGCGGAGGTGAGAACTGTTCTTTGTCCCACCTGCAGCATCTTTATGACTCAGGGATCATCTTTCTAACCTTGGCCATGGCATTTATTCAAATCACCGAGATTCTCAGATTCCTACTCCTCCTTTTGCTTCTATCATAGCTAACATAGCCTGACTTCATCATTGCATTTCGCACATTTTGTCAGGATGCACTGTCCGTTTACTGATGCACTCCTGCTAGAAAATATCCTAACTTAGTGGCTCTAAACAATTTGTACTGAATTTGTATATTAAATGTTCTGTTTAAGGAATTTAACAAGGGAAATTGGTTCTTCTGAAGACCAAGAGGTGGCAGTATTGTCTCGATAAAACTTGGAATAAAAGCACACCATTCGTTTTAGAAAATTGGTGCTCTCGTTACTCCACACCCTGCCCCAACCAATAAAGGCAATAGAAATTAAAAAATCTTTGAATTTAATTTACTTAAAATCTATTCTTTATTGCATATGAAAATCAGTCACTGCTAACATAATTTAATGATGAAAAACTAGGTACAGACTTTCCCAAACAAGGAATAGAAATCATGAGATATTTTTTAAAAATACAGTAGTTGGTAGTATTTTGATGTCAAATAGCAAATATTTTTCCTCCCATTGGTATTCTACAATGCTAACTTGTGACCACTTATAAAAGTTGCAGGGCCAAGGGTATCAATAGCTATCCCAATTACATTGTAGAATATGAAATTGAGCTTGAAAATCAGAGTCACAGCAAGTTCTTCAAGGCACATACATGGAGGGAAGCATAGACTGTCTGCCCCTGAATATGTGTCTCTCTTACATAGAAATTTAAAATAACCTAGACCTTTTTTATACATCTACTTTAATCAATTGCAGACAAATGCCTCTCCATCAGAGGGAGTAGATAAATGGCTTCCTGGGGGTACTAGATGAAATGGGAAGCCAGCATCTGGCTGAGGGAAAGACCAGAGAAATAGGTACGTTGAGAAATTTGGTAGAGAAGAAATAATTAGAGGAGGGTAGGGTAGGTTGTAGTTTCTCCTGAAAAAAAAAAACAAAAAAAAAAAACCACAGTAGAATTTGGAAGTCTAGATGACTACTATTTTCTTCATGTTACCAAGACTGTTCAAGGAAGGCTTGGGTGGGATTTTAAAGAAGGTAGAAAGAGAGAACATGGTTTTCTTTTTCTTTTCTTTTTTTTTTTTTGAGACGGAGTTTTGCTTTTGTTGCTGCCTCCCAGGTTCAAGCAGTTCTTCTGCCTCAGCCTCTCAAGTAGCTGGGATTACAGGCATGCGCCACTGCGCCCAGCTAACCTCTGCCTCCCAGGTTCAAGTGATTCTCCTGTCTCAGGCTCCTGAGTAGGGATTACAGGCACCTGCCACTTTGCCTGGCTAATTTTTGTATTTTTAGTAGAGACGAGGTTTCACCATGTTGGCCAGGTTGGTTTCAAACTCCTGACCTCAGGTGATACACCTGCCTCAGCCTCCCAACGTGCTGGCATTACAGGTGTGAGCCACCGCACCTGGCCTTGAGAATGGTTTTCACACTGTTAAACGGTTAAAAAAAAATCAAAAGAAGAATAATATTTCATGACATTAGAAAAGCACAATAAAATTACATAAAATTCAAATTTCAGAGTTTATAAATAAAGCTTGCCTACTCCACAAGGCCTTTCTCTACTCATTTTGCTCTGCTCACTTTTGTAATTCTTGAATTGTTTCTTTGAGGCAGTCATTAGAGCCATCAGGGCAGCCACCTTGCTTTGTTCTTTCCCTCATAGGACATAGCATGCATTAAGTATTTCATAAATAATCAGATATTAAATGTATAATCCCTCTGTGGCTTAGTTTAAATTTTCCCTGAAGCAGACCTTGAGACAAGGGTTCAAGTACAAATAATTTATTTGGGAGGTATCAGAAATATGACTGGGACCTAGACCATCATAAAGACTAAGTGAGCCGGGCATGGTGGCTCATGCGTGTAATCCCAGCACTTTGGGAGACCAAGGTGGGCGGATCATGAGGTGAGGAGTTCGAGACCAGCCTGGCCAATATGGTGAAACCCTGTCTCTACTAAAAATACAAAAATTAGCTGGGCATGGTGGCGTGCACCTGTAGTCCCAGCTACTCGAGAGGCTGAGGCAGAAGAATCGCTTGAACCTGGGAGGCGGAAGTTGCAGTGAGCCAAGATGGTGCCACTGCACTCCAGCCTGGGCAACACAGCGAGACTCTATCTCAAAAAAAAAAAAAAAGACTAAGGGAAGTTATTTGGGGATTAAAAAATTCTGATTTTCATGTGGAACAAGTAATAACTGTAAAATGTAAGCAGTTTTTGGTCATTTTGGTGTGCCACTTGATATAACCGTACACATATGTACATAATTAACCATCCAGACCTCGCTATGATTCTTTTTTTCTTTTTTTTGGGATAGGGTCTCATTCTGTCACACAGGCTGGAGTGCAGTGGCACGATCTCGGCTCACTGTAACCTCTGCCTCCCAAGTTCAAGTGGTTCTCCTGCCTCAGCCTCCCAAATACCTGGGATTACAGGTGTGCGCCATCACACCTGGCTAATTTTTGTATTTTTAGTAGGGATGGGGTTTCACCAGATTGGCCAGGAAGGTCTAGAACTCCTGACCTCAGGTGATCCATCCACCTCGGCCTCCCAAAATGCTGGGATCACAGGTGTGAGCCACTGTGCCCGGCCAGACCTGGGTATAATTCTCTCATGGCTTTGTCCATTGTTGATGCTTTATAACCTAGCTAGGTTGATGGAAAATGAAATGTTAAAAGTCCCAATCTCTGAAGATTCATTCCTTTATTCATCATTTAACAAATTTTTATTAAGTATCTTCAATATGATGTAAGGCACTGTGCTAGATGCTCAATGATGTTAATTCTCAAAGAAACTGCCACTGGCAATAATGGTGGACTGATTATAAATCAAGGATGCTACTTTCTTGAGTCCACTGTGTTTTCCCTACATCTCAACTATTCTATCATCTCCCTGACTCAGCTGATTCCTGCTCCTTTTCTGTTCTCTTGGCAGCACTCTGTTTTACATCAAATAGGAGCTGTGCTCCATGAAGGCTGTCATAGGACCAAAGCCATCCTGGAAAAGGACCCTTTCCAAGTCACATTTCACCTCCTCCCATAATAATTGCTTTAAAATTTGCACCTGTACCATTTCCAGCTGGCTTTTAATCATGACAAAGAAAAAATGAACAGCTAGCATGAAAAGCAGCTTAAACTTTTAAAATATACTTTCCTATTTTATAAATTTTAGATGTCTCTATTCTCAGTTGCTCAAAGGAATGAGGCACATGGAGAATGTGGATCAGTAAAATTGAGAGATAATCACCGAATGTCATTTTAATGTATGCCAAAGCATCTAATAAACAACAGATAAAAATTTCACTACTGTCCCTCCTTTCCATATGTTGTAAACAAAGAGAAGCTGTGAAACAGCTGAAAGGAGGTGCTATGGTCCAACATTTATATGTTGAAACTGAGTCCTTGATGTGTTGGTATTAAGAGGTGAGACCTTTGGGTGGTAACTAGGTGATGAGGGTGAGGCCCTTGTGAATGGGACTAGTGCCCTTATAAAAGAGGCCTAAGGAAGCCTGTTTTCTCCCTTTCTCCTTCCACCATGTAAGGACACAGGGAGAAGGTGCCACCTATGAGGAATAGGCCCTCACTAGACACCACATCTGCTGGCACCTTGATCTTTGACTTTCCAGCCTCCAAAACTGTGAGTGATAAATTTTGAGATGGAATCTTGCTCTGTTGCCCAGGCTAGAGTGCAGTGGCATTATCTTAGCTCACTGCAACCTCTGCCTCCTGGGTTCAAGTGATTCTCCTGCCTAAGCCTCCCAAGTAGCTGAGATTATTACAGGTGTGTGCCACCACGTCCGGCTAGTTTTTGAATTTTTGGTAGAGATGGGGTTTCACCACGGTGGCCAGGCTGGTCTCGAACTCCTGACCTCAGGTGATCTGCCCACATCTGCCTCCCAAAGTGCTGGGATTACAGGCATGAGCCACCGTGCCTGGCCCCAGTCTAAAGTATTTTGTTATAGCAGCCTGAACAGATTAACTTGGAAGGATAGCAAAAAGATAAATGAACAAAGGCCCTGTATAATCAATAACTAAACAAGGGGCTAAAATCCAGTCTCTATCATATTCTAATAGAAGTTTTCTGGGGAAAAAAATACCTTGAGAGATGAACCTTTAGGAGTGAAACACTTGAATGGTTTCTTGTCATCTGACAAGCCATCTTCTGGCATCTTCTGGCGTTTCTCAGCAGCTTCTGCTCTTCGCCTTTCAATCTCTTCCTTTAGCCTCCTCTTCTCTTCCTAAGAGAGAAAGAACAAATAACGAGGCATCAGTACCAGCTTCACAGCCAAAGGGAAGAGTGCTGTAGGAGAGAGAGCACAGTTGGAGAGGCAGCAGACTCAGGCCGCAGGCTGGACACTCCCCTTCTAGGTGGTCACCAGAGGTTTAGCCTGAGAGCTGGAGTCGAGCTGCCTGCATTTGCATTCTGGTGCTGCTACTTTCCAACTGCCTGACCTTGGCCATGTTATTTATCTGCTCTGTGGCTCAGTTTCTTCATCTGTAAAACAGGGATAACAATAGTACTCATTTTTTAGGGCTTTCGTGAGGGCTCAGTGAGATAGCACATGTAAAATGCTTACACCAAACTTGTCCAACCCATGGCCCAGGGGCCACATCATGCCCAGGATGGCTTTGAATGTAGCCTAACACAAATTCGTAAACTTTCTTAAAACATTATGAGACCTTTTTGTGATTTTTTTTTTTTTTGGCTCATCAGCGATCATTAGTGTTAGTGTATTTTATGTGTGGCCCAAGGCAATTCTTCTTCCAATGTGACCCAGGGAAGCCAAAAGATTGGACACCCCTGGCTTAGACTAACACTCATTATGATGATTTCCCATAGGATGATACATAATCACCACCATCCTGTGGGTCATTAACAATGACCTCACACTTCTGTATATGTAAAAGGGATATGAATATTCCTTCTACCTACATCCTAGGAGAGTTGTGAAGACAAATGAATAACTTATGTGAAAAGCTATCTAAATCTGTGGTACTATATTTGCCAGATGGTACAAGAGGTGATTTTATGGTTGCTCCCCGCTTCAAGTGAATATATAATTTTAGATGGTTTGACAAACCTGAAATGCTCTAGACGTTGAACCATGGTAGTGCAATTGCAAATGTTTACAGACTGTCTCATTAACCCCTCTGTGTCTTCATTCCTAGTCTAGAATACTCTGTCTTCTCTATCAGGGCTCTGATCAAGTTGCACAACTTGATTTTCTGAGAGATTTAATGCAGTCTTTGGTAGTTCTTAAGCTGTGAGATCATTATCACTGCATGTTCTCAAGCAGAGACTAGATGTTCATCTGTCAGAGGATGTCACAGAAGGATCCTGTGTTTGGTAGTTTAGCCCAAATAATCTCCTAGGTCCAATCCAGTTCTAAGACTTCGTGATTTCTCTTCAGCCTTTCCTGATACTCTCCTCCTCTGAATAATAATCATAATAACAATGATGGCAATAATGATACCTACTAATTTTTGAGTGCCTAGAATGTGCCAGGCACTGGGAGCACAATGATCTATTAAATTATTGGAAGAATCCTGCAAAGTAGATATTATTTCACAGATAAGGAAAAGAAGACACAGAGTAGTCCAGTTTTCCCAAGGCCCCAGCTTGTTAGTGACAGAGTTAGGATAGAAGACTGGGTGTGTTCCGAGATTGCACCACTGCATTCCTGCACTCCAGCCTGGGTGACAGAGCAAGACTATGTCTAAAAAAACAATAAAAAAAAAAAAGCCTGGGGTGTGTTTAACCCCCAAACTCTATCATCCTGATTACTTCCCATACTTCCCAACCAAAGGTCATTGGCTCATTGAAAGTTGGAGTTAAAAGAGACCTCAAAATAATGTATCCAAATTTTCCATACAGTTCAGGAAAATTTTGCATAGGATCCTTGTCAAAATGCCATTGAAAGTCTTTTTTTTTCTTCATATTTTGAATGATGGGAGATCGCTATCTCAAAAGCTCTGGGCTCTGAGTTGGAAAAGCGGGGTCTCCTTACTGATTCTACCATTTATTAGTCAAGAATCTTCAAATAAGTCACTCAAACTATTTGATTCCTGGTTTCTTTGCCCATAAAATGAGAACGATGTACCTCAGGATGAAATGAAAGAATGCACTTTGTAAACTGTAGTACTGTAAGTTGTAGTTGGTTAAACATTATTTCATATGCTGAGCCAAAATGTTCCTCCTTGTAACTCTATCTGCTGTTTTTAGCTCTGTCTTAAAAGATGAAACAAATCCATCTGTTTATAATGATGGGGCTCTTCCTGCATGTCAGGCACGGTATGGGGTCCTGGGTATACAGTAATGAACAACGCAGATACTGTCCCTGCCTCTTTATATTCTAATGTACTTACTTGCTCATTAAAAAAAAAAAAAGATTTAAAAAAATCTTCTCTATAAAAACTCTCCAACTATTAGAAAACCATAACTTCATTCTGGTAACTAATTTGCAGACCTTTCATCCTTTTCAGCTTTCTAACTTTTCCTTTTTGAGAGGCAGTAAAGGGTTTTAATGATGGGGCTCCTCCTGCATGTCAGGCAGACTCAAGGGAGACCTTGGGAAAGTTACAAACAAAAACAAAAACAAAAACAAAACCTCTCTGTGCCTCAGTTTTCTCATCTGTAAAATGGGGATTAGTACCTAGGTCAGCGAGTTCTTAGAAGCAGTGGACAAATTAATACATCTACAAGTTATAAAACAGTACCTAGCACATGGTAAGTTTATTATTCTTAAAAAAATATTTTTGAGAGCCCATGCTCAAAAGAACAGCCGCACGGCACTAGGGAATTTTCCCGGGCAACGTTCTCAGTGGGCTAGCGCCCGCCTTACCTCCTCTCTGAGTTTTCGATCGGCTTCCTCCTGCTTCCTCCTCTGCTCTTCCTCCTCCAGGACCTTCCTTCTCTCCTCCCTCTTTTTCTTGAGTTCCTCCAGCTCCAAAGCCGCCTCCTGCTGCTTCTGTTTGAGCTTCTCGAACTCTTCGCTCTCGGTCTCCCCGCGACGACGACGAAGCTCCTCCAGCCTTTTGCCGGCTTCCACCTGGGGGGCGCCCTCAGCCTCCTTGGTGTCCACGCTGGCCCTCCCTCCAGGGCGGCTGTGGTTGGGGGGCAATGGAAAGGGGTTTACATGCTTTTGCCTGTAGTCTCCCTGGAGGAAGGGGAGGTCGGTCTGCGGCTTCTGCATCCCCGACTAAATACCCACTGCCTCTCATTAGCCCAGGGGGTAGGCTGGGGAAGGGGTCTGCCCGGAATCACAGAGTCCAGGAGCCTCTGCTCTTCCACTTGTGCTTCGTTTCCTCAGCTGTAAAATGGGACAAATATGCACTGTAAAATGGGATTGTAAAGTTGTGCAGCTGCTATGGAAACAGTATGGAGGTTCCTCAAAAAATCAACAAGAGAACTACCACGTGATCCAGCAATCCCACTTCTGATACACTTCTAAAAGAATGGAAAGCAAGGTCTTGAAGAGACATTTGTATACCCGTGTTCATAGCAGCATTATTTACAAGGACCAAGAGATGGACGCAACCCAAGTGTCCATCATAGCAGGAATGGATAAATAAAAGGTGGTCTAGCCATACCATGGAATATTATTCAGCCTTAAAAAGGAAGGAGAGGCCGGGTGCAGTGGCTCACGCCTGTAATCCTAGCACTTTGGGAGGCCGAGGCGGGCGGATTGCCTGAGCTCAGGAGTTTAAGACAGCCTGGGCAACACAGTGAAACCCTGTCTCTACTAAAATACAAAAAAAAAAAAATTAGCCGGGCGTGGCGGCGTGTGCCTGTGGTCCCAGCTACTCTGGAGGCTGAGGCAGGAGAATTGCTTGAGCCCAGGAGGCAGGGGTTGCAGTGAGCCGAGATTGTGCCACTGCACTCCAGCCTGGGCAACAAAGCGAGACTCTGTCTGTAAGAAAAAAAGAGAAAAAAAAAAAAAAGGAAGGAGATCTTGTTACCTGTTACAACATGGATAAACCTTGAAGATACTATGCTAAGTGAAATAAGCCAATCACGGAAATCATACAAATATTGTGTGATTCCACTTATATGAGGGATCTAAAGTAGTCAAATTCATAGAGACAGAAATAGAACTGTAGTTACCAGAGGCAGAGGGTGGGCGGTAGCAGGAAATAAAGAGTTGCTGTTTAATGGGTGTAGTCTTTCAGTCTTGCAAGATGAAAAGAGTTTTGGAGATCTGTTGCACAACAATATGAATATGCCTCACACTACTTAACTGTACTTTTAAAAATGCTTAAGATGGTAAATTTTAGGTGATGTTTGTTTTTACCACAATTTTTAAGAAGATACATGCTACAACATGGAAAAATGGGTAAATACTATTTATTCTATTTACCTCAGTGGGTTGCATGGGCTTATGTATTATATCAGTATGATATCATACTGATATCATACTGATATACTATAATTTCTATATCATCTACAGTATAAATATTAGTTGTTATTAGAAAGGGAGGCATGTAGTCCAAAAGGTTACTTGTGAATGAGTTCAAAAGTCTTGTAGTGGCCTTACTAGTCCTTTCCCGTAAGTTACTGGTTAACTTGGGTCTGCCTGGAGTAATGGATCAGGAGGGAAGACAGAAAGGTTCAGGCGCTGGGAATGGGAAAAAGTGGCTGTAACTAAGGGTAGGCATTGAAGTAAATCCATCTGTCCACAACTGTGCCTTGAGCTTGACTCTAGCAGCTGATCTCTGGCAGACGAAATTACCCATTGCCTCTTGATTAAGAGCTAAACACAGTGATTTATGTCTATTCTTACAGAGCTGCTCCAGGAAAGTCCTTAATGACTGCATTAACCTATGGCTTCAATTTGTGAATTTTCTATGCTCTTTGACCCCAATACAACTGGAATACTCCTTATACAGACTTAAAATTATGAAATTAGCTTGGTATGATGTGGTTAAGGTTATTACTTACATGTCATTCTTTATGCTCTCTAAACCCTTTTCATATCCACTACTTCATTTAACAGTCACAATAACTGGGAAGATGTCAGGTTAGGTTTATTATCCCCATCTTACAAACAAGGAAACCACAGGTAAGACAGAGAATAATATACTCAAACTTTTGGAAGCTAGAAAGCAGTCGAGCCATGATCAGATTCTAATGCTTATCTATTAGTTGTACTCTTCTTGTAACTATAATTATACCTGAAATTAAATACGTTTTGTTATGAAACAATGAATAAACTGAAATAGAACATGTTATTCCATCTCTCCACCTCTTACCTCAAACCTTCAGGATAGAGTCTGAGAGAAGCGTTTCCTACCTCTGTCTCTAGAGTTTCTACAGTCTAGGTCTAGCTACCTTCCGTGCCTGAGATGAAGCAGAAGCTTCATCAGGTAGAACAGCTTATAAAACAGGAAGAAATGGGTACGTTTTTATGTAAGTAAGAACTAAAATTGAAATTATGTTGAATTTTCTTTTGTGATTAAGGAGGATACACAGGGATTTCATTGCAGAATTGGGAACA
The DNA here is from genome assembly GCF_000001405.40 of Homo sapiens. Lineage (NCBI taxonomy): Eukaryota > Metazoa > Chordata > Mammalia > Primates > Hominidae > Homo > Homo sapiens. Next base: position 134,945,117 of record NC_000007.14, on the reverse strand, counting down.
TATTAAGACTTCAGACAGAATGCTATCCCAAGAGTCCTTATGGTAAAATTTTATTTTGGAACTGGTATTTTTAGTATTTTACACAACTATAAAAAGATGAAGACATATCATTAGCACCTACTGTGACCCCTGAGTTTCTTTAATAAATTTACTGTATGATACAGTTAGAACACTGATAATTTTAAAACATGTCGATACTCAAAGTAGAACTTCAGTAGAATGCAGAGTTTTCACTAACACAGAGTTCACCTAAGTTGGATTTGCCTGGGACTTCACTAAGCAGAATTTAGTGGCTTAATTTAGGCTTGAAGCCCTTGTTATAAGTAGTCTTTAAGAGACAGAGATACAGCTTTGCCATTTAAATACTTATTAGCAAGTAGTAAGGTCATTCTTAACTAGATGTCAACGTAGATATCCTATTCCTGACACTTTTGTCTAAGGAACAAAGGAATTATCACACCCTAACATCATTTACTACATGTAAAGAATGGTACAGTGTTTCTAGCTGTGAAACAAGAGGAAGAATAAAACAAGAAATGGGCTCAAGAAATACACTGTGCAATATTGATTTTATAATATATATATGTATATTATATATCATGCTTTTTAAACACTGAAGTAGTTCTGAATATCCTGTGTCCTCCAGAACAATAATTTTCAAGCTGCAGACCAGAAAATCAATTTAGTAGATTGTAATCAACATTTAAAAAAAAAAAAAACAGAAAATATCAGAGTGCACTGCATAGAGCAAAACAAAGTACCATTTCTTGACACACTTGTTTCAGTTATAAAAATATATACAGGTGTGTACTGGGTCATTATGTAAAATTTATTTCTTACTAAGGGCTTAGGTTAAAAAATTTAGAACTATTGGTCTAGGCTCATGCCAGTTACAGGTAAACTTTTATTTTGAACTCAAACAAGGTTAAAGGGTCCCTCAAAACCTTGCTGTCAAAGGCTCTTTCAGGGTCTTCTAGGTTCACAGGCCTGTGACTCCTCTCTCAGTCAATTTAGGGTCTTTCCTTCCAAAAATGAGTTTGCTCTCTCTTTGTGTTCATCATATTACTGTACAGGAACTGGACCGGCAAAACACATGCCTATAGAAACATCTATGGATTCCACTAGGTGTCACTCAGTCTTCATTTTGGACAATCAAAATGTCCGTCATTAGGGACTGGCTAAATAAGTCCTAATACATCCATCCAGTAGAATCTAATATCATTAATTATAGGCTTATATTTATTGGCATAGAAAGCAAGCTATGACACATTCTTATGCACAGTGCAAGAATCAATGTAAAATTATAAGTATACTCACACACGTATATACTACATATAAATATACACACGTGTGTGCATTTATCTTGAATATTATATACATAGATAAATATCTGGAAAAAGTGTTACTGCTAGTTATCTTTGGGTGGTGGGTGCTTATTTTTATTCTTCTATTTTCTGAGCGTTTTTATAATGAGTATTTTTTTCTATAATCGGAAAAAATCTTTTAATTTCTACCTTCAAAAATAAAAAATCAAAAAACCATTTTGCACTTTCTATAAAACCCTTGGTATAATTTGCATCGCTATATCTTGCTCATTGAATTGAGATTTTTATGTCATGTTTTAGAGAAAACGAGTTACAAGAAAATGCAGATATCAAAGGGAACAGTAATTAAATCACACATAAGCAGCTATGCTCAAAACAGGAGCAAAAGTTTTGTTCACACCACCTCTGCCTATGTGCATGACCTCAGCATTAGGGTGCCACTTAATGTGGAAATCGTTCCATAAAGTTCTTTCTCCCCGCACCCCACCCCCACCACCCTACCCCCGTCCTTGGCTTCCTTAGGTGTAAGTCAAGATGAGTATCAGGCCTTTGACCATTAAGAACACAGCTTGTTTTCAGTGAAGCTGGTAGGTACTAAACTTACCTAAATAGAGGCTAGGCGGATACTCTCTTCCTCTCTCCTCATTTTATATGTATATGGAGCAAAACTATACTTCTCTACTTCAATCAGCGTGAACTTCTAATTGAAACTAAAACTCACATACGTTGGTGGCTAAACAAAAATAAATAATATGGTAGCAGCTTGTTCCTGTATTTTTTTTTCCTGCCCAAAATAGAAAAATTAAGGCCAGAGTCACACGTAAGTGTTCTTAGCACTTAACTTGTCACCATCTCTTGTGACTATTCCTTTCTTCGAATTACCCAGCTTTTTGGATTTCTACACAATAGGCATGTTAATTATTAATTTGAGCTTTGAAGCTTGTTGGCAAGTTTGCTAATTGTTAAACAGACTTTTTTCTACTGACAGATTTTCTTAAACGTTATTTCTCTTAACAAAAAACTTATACCTTAAAAGAACCTTATGTTTACAAGACATCTTTTAAACTATTAAAAAATAGTAATATTAGGTAATATTCATTGAACACTTTTCATGAACCTAACACTATTCTAGGGCTTTAAAACATTAAACTACAGACACTTCAGCAAGTTTTAGACTCAACTTACCAACCTGAATCAACTCGCTTTGTAGATTTTCTATGAATGTTCAATAAACTTAATTTTCACATCTATTCTCTTGGCAATCCCAAGTAATATCTATAGATTCTACCTTTCTTACACCTTCATCATTTTATTTAGATCTTTTATGTACACCTTTTCTTCTGTGAGCTTTAGGTTCTCCTTTGGATAAATATGAATAGGTTTCTGCTTAAATTTACGTACAAAAAAATTGTTTTGGGGCAACCGTATTTATCCATCTTAGCCTCTTGGATGAGACTGAAATATCCATCCCTAGTAGCTCCGCCTGCTTTTGAATATTACAAAGGCTTTGGTGTGAGGAGCATGTCAGATTTCTCCCTCAAACCTGCTTGATGACTTTCTTATTTGAAGTGTTCAGAAAAACAGGGTCACTAGGCAAGCCTGCAGCCAAGGAACAAGCCCGGGGAAATCCACATTGCAGGGACCCAAGACTCCTCTCCGGCACATCTGGCACAGCAACCAGTGACAAAACAGAGGTTGGAATTTGGCCCCAGTGGTTGGAGAGAGTGTTTTGTGGGGAAGGAGCACAGGAATCACGTAGCCAGCCCAGTGTCTGCACCTCAAGTTCTTCTACAAAATTGGTAGAGAGCTCTCAGGATTCGACTGTATTTAGAAATGAGGATTTACCTGAATATACTGGTCTCGTCTGTCTGATAATCAGTTGCCCAGATTTTCAGTTTGATGGGGTAAGGGATTATGTTGAGGGGAAAGCTCAAGCTATACAAGAGAGTTTTTCCAAACTGTATAAAATAGAGCAGTAGGTCCATACCTCTCACTCCCTCTTAGAGACTTCCAATGAAAATGAACATGAAGGGCTCTCAAAGTCATGTGGTAAAGAAATCTGAGGAATTTAGCTTAATCCAGTGTTTCCCAAGTATTTCGCCACAAAACAATCTTAGTCTTATGCAATATTTATTTACAACCTTTAGAAAATGCATTCTTGAAAATGGTACTGAGAAAGGTCTCTTAGGAAGGTGGTCAGACCATATAGAGAATCATTGAATGACATGAATCCCAGTTATAATGTTTTCTAATACACTAATCTCACAAAAGGTCAGTGAACAAAAACATGGATGCCAAGCATGATCTGCCTTTCAAAATAATGGGAAAAGCAGACTAAGCCCTGTCTGAGCGATGACTGCTGGTCTTCTGTTAGTGATATAAGAACTGGACCTGCTGACTGAGTATCTCTAAGACAATGGCTAATGACCTCACAACAAAAGCATGCTGCCTGCTTAGCACGTTTCTGTCTGGAAGCACAGGATGGGAAGACTGACTTTTTTTTTTTTTTCTTTGCATGTGAACACAGTTTCTATTAACTAGTTGCTACTTCTTACCTGAAAGTATTCTCAGTATGTTTAAGTTTGTGGGTCATGAATTCTCCATTCTGCGACTTAACTTCTGTAAATCCCTTCTTTCGATCCATGAAGCTCTTAACTTCTTCTTTGGGTTCTTTGTCCTTTTTAATCTTTTCATCTTTGATCTAACCAACAGTACATATCAGGAAGAAACAGAACAAGAAAAATCTTATTAGGTTTTGGTTGGTATCATCAAGTAAGACCCAAAATTGTTAGGAAGGCAGAAAACTCAGAAAGAAACCACTCAGATGTGGTAGAGTTGGAATCAGGTGAAATTCTTAGAGAATGAGCTATGGTCCTTTAGCCTGTGAACAAACACCTTTACCACAATTTTAAGAAGGTAAGATCATCCCTGATCTCACTGAGGTTTTTATTTTCAAGAGCAGTGGTAGTACTATTGTTTGGAAACCACTAAGTTCTGGGAACTTCATGTAAAAGTAGCTGTTTGCAGTTCCCACTGGGAAGAGCAATTATTAGGATGGCTTTGATGGAAGAATGACCACGTTGCTTAGACAGGTTTCTTCCTGGATGGTGAGAGAATCTGTGAGAGAGACACAAATGGGAAAGAAAGAAAAGGAAACCTATCAGTTTAGCTAGATCTGCCAAACCAACTCTGGCGAAGACCAGTATTTTAATCAACTGAGTAAATTATGTCCCAAGGATGGGACATTTACTAACCCTACCTTTAGTAGGAGGATCCAAAGATATGTGGGGTCTGTGAGAACATGTCTGTAGTCATCTAAACCATTAAAGTTAGAATGGAATAGGAAAAATTCCAGGGTTTACCTTGATTTCCATTGTCAATAAAAATTTAGTTCTCTGGAAGTAGTTTTGTGGTTGTGGTGGGAGACATAGGAAGATGATATATGGAGGGCAGGTGTTAGCTTTCATATTTTGTGCGTTTTGTGTTTCTTTCAGTAAGTGAGACAGATTATTTAAAAGTATACTGAATTTACATAGCTTTTTGTGGGGGAGGGGGTAAAGGAATTCAAATCACTTCACTTATATCATCTCATCCATTCTTAAAAGATGAGTGTGAAAACAGGTGAGGTGCATTCACGATGGTTCTTTTCAAGACAGTTACAAACCATGAGCATTCTAAAGAAATCCAGAGGAAAGGTAGGCCATAAGAACTCAGGACTTTAGGTGTTGTGGCCTAGGAGGTTCTATCCTGACCTGATCACTCACCTCTTCTCACCTATTCTTCAGATACTCTGTGAAGATTTACTCCTAAAGTGCATTTTTTTTTTTAAGAGACAGAGTCTTGCTCTGTTGCCCAGGCTGGAGTGCAGTGGTGCGATCTCAGCTCACTGCAGCTTCCACCTCCCGGGTTCAAGGGATTCTCCCGCCTTAGCATCCTGAGTAGCTGGGATTACAGGCATGCAACACCACACCCAGATAATTTTTGTATTTTTTAGTAGAGAATGGGTTTCACCTTGTTGGCCAGGCTGGTCTCAAACTCCTGACCTCAAGTGATCTGCCCACCTCGGCCTCCCAAAGTGCTGGGATTACAGGTGTGAGCCACTGCACCTGGCCTAAAGTGCATGTTTTACAAAGCAGAGCACAGTTTTTTGCTCTTTATTGATAAGTTTTAAGTCATTTGATTGTCTTCTTTGGGTATTATCTGATTAATTACTAGGGATTCACTTCTATGCTGCCCTAATTAGTTAAGACTTCAATCTTTCACCATGGGGTATATACCTAGGATGTCCCTCGGACACACTGAAAATGGGGGCTGTACTTTGCCATTCTCTGCAAGAGCTTTGTCTGTAAATCAGGAAACCTGACTTTTGGCTCCAGTGCTGACAACAAACTAGTTGTGTTACTTGGACAAATCACTTGACTGCTCTGGGATGCTGGTCCCAAGTACGTGAAAAAATGCGGTTGGACCAGATGATTCCTTCCGAATTTTTCATCCTGTCATTTCCCTCTTGGGTCCTCATGGGTCATGAGAGGCTACAGAAAAAAGGAGCAAGCTCATAGCCTGAATGACAGCTTCACTGTGGCTCCCTGATGGCTGTCCTTGCCCAAGAATATATCAGTATTCACTGGACAGGAAGGAGGAAACAAAATATATTCTCATTTTGGCCTATTGTTGTTAGACTTAGCCCCAGAAACCATGGACTGGAGTTTATGTTCTAGTTAAGAAGCATCTGTGGCTCCAAATGTGAGGGAAACCCATTTTAGGGATAACCATGAAATAAATTCCGAGTAGGAGCTCACGGTCTGTGGAGCACTACGCATGGAGACATTCCCTTTAACTCATTTATCCTATGTTGCAGTCAGAAAAATTTCCATTCTCCCCAAATGTATTATATCTGATTTACTGGTCCCAAAAGTGTTTAAAATAGATTTGTAAGATGATACATGTCTAACAGAAAAAAAATCCCCCCTTTTTTCAAGCTCTGCCTTTATTGGCAAAGGCTATAGTGGATGGCAGGCTTATATTCTTTTTGGAAAACCTTAGAAACCTTGTCAATGTAATAATGACGATTTGAGTTCAACTGAAAATTATTTTCTCTTTCTGGGAAATGAATAAATAAAGTAATTCCGTAGAGCCTTTACATTTTTTTTTAGATGTTATGGCAGATTTAACCCAAACTCATGGGATTCTGAGCCCCCTGGGAAAGGCATTAGATCTTATAGGTCAGACTGTTACCATGGAGAACGTCCGTGCTGAAGGATTAATAGATAGCCGGGTATCCTGAAAAAGTTTGTGTGCTTCATACACAGATAACATTAGCATACTCATAAAAAAGGCTCTGGCCAAATGGGATCATTTGGGTTTTGAAACTCTAGATATTTGGGATATCCAGTGGAATAATACATGGGGATGAGGTGGGGGATGGGAATTCAAATGACAGGCCCTTGTGCCAGAGAGACACTCAGAAAGTCAAGCAAGCAAGAACTGAGATGTGTCTCGAGCATATTTTGCATTATTTGGTTCCAGAATAGCAACAAGAGCTGGGTGTAGCTACTGTTTCTCAGGCTGGGTTTTACGTGCTTTTGTTAGCTTCATAAGCCCCAAATCCTTTCCTGGGTTCAATTTCTATAACATGGACGTCTTCTAGACTCCTCGCTACTACTGCAAGTTTGGTCCACGGACAACATGGACCTCATGGAATCAGATTCTGCATTTAATAAGACTGCCAGGTGATTTGCATGCACACTAATGTTTGGGCAGGATTGATCCGCATGACACGAACATCACTTTTAATACCTCAGGAGCAGCTCGGCTAGAAACTCTGTTTTCCTGTTAGAGGCCAGAAAAGAAAGAAAATAGCTCCTGCATGAAGAACCAAAAAGAGACTTTTTATGATTGGAGAGGAGAGAAAAAAGCTAAATTAAGTTTCAGTGTTGGTGATCGTCTGCAACTCATTGCCACAGTTAAACTGCAGTGGAGAAAGGTTTTATTTTGTGTGTTTTTTAAGACATTGGAGTGATTTCTGGAAATGTTTTCTTTAAGAAGGCTCACGTGATGTTTGTGTTTACTTGTGGTTGCCCTATCCTATGCTGCATAAATCCTTGAAAGGAAAGGTTTTAGTTAGTTGCTTTCTTTCTTCTTCTTTTTTTTTTTTTTGTACAAAAAGGAAAAAAAAATAGGAAGAGGTTGTTTAAAATGGCTGAATCATGTAAACATGATTTAAAGCTGTCTACATAAAGAAACAACACAACTAGCTGGAAAGGGGAAAACCTAGTCTTTCGAGCAGCAGGTTATGTACACAGTATTAAAAAAGGAATATAGATTGGGGTTGTTTTCTTTTTTTAAAAAAACCAGTTTGAGTAGCTTATCTGGCCTTGTGTCAAAAACAAGCCAAAAGTTTTGGAACTGGCTGGAATGTGCTGAGGGGCAACTTGGGAAAACGGCAGGGCTCACTCATTCCTGGGAGTATCTGATTGACACAGAGGACGCTGTTGAACTGGGGCCTTATCTGAAAAGAGACAAAAGGATCATCCGAGTGGCAACTGATGGGCCCTTCTAGTTCTCAGACACTCTACATAGGTATAGAAAGCTTTGGTCAGTAAAAACAAATTAGTGAACTGAATGAAATTTTAAATATAGAATCCAGTGTTTTCTACAGCCTCCCTTCCCCCATGTGTTTAATTACTGAGTCATCATTTCATGCCCACTTCTTTCTATAAAGACATTCACCAAGAAACATTACAAGAACCCATGTGGGACATATTTCTGAGTTTAGTTCTGAGGTAACTTTCATTTTTCTTTTTTGTAAATGAATTTGTAGGTATTTGGTCACCAAATGAAAAGTATTTCCCAACATGTTCAATGAATGATTTCCTTGACTGCCTCATGAGAGCTAAATTCAGTTTTCCTGTTATTAACATTTACACTTTCTCCTTCCTTTACATGGCCTGTGCTCACATTCAATTTTCACTTCCAAACCACCACAACTTCTATTAGAAACAGAGGAACATACATCTTAACAGAAATGTAATATGTAACATGAACTAGGGGTTTTCATTTTTCACGTGAAATTGACAAAACGTATTTAAGAAAATAACCCACCCCCTATTTAATCTGGCCATGTTTTCTAAATATGGATTTCTCTGTTTAAGATTTTGAATTTTCTTAATAGATGCCATAGTTTTCTTAATAGATGGGTTGGAGCATGTTGGCTACAAATCACTTCACCAGTCTCATAGGCGAAGAACTTCGGGTCTTCCTACTTCAAATAATTCAGTTTCACCACATCCTAATAAGTATTGTGAACTTATTCGATATAGTCACAATTTTTAAGATTATTTGGGGCAAACACAGCATGAGAGTTGAAGTGCAATCAAGTGTTCTGATGTGGTGTTCTGATTACTGTCAAACCCCGTGCCATTCTATCTGTATAGCTCCTTGTTCACTTACCTACAGTCAAATACCCTGGCACCCGCTCCTGTGTGTGCCTCAGAAATGCAATGCAGAACATTTGGCCAAACTTTTCTTTTGAAAACCAAATATCATCTTCAGTTCACCATATTTTCTACTGAGATGTGTGTGGGTGTTTTTCCTTTGAAAAGTTAAAGCATTAATCAAGGCCAGTTGGAAATATTTCATGATTGAAATGAAAGTAGAATGGCTCAAGGAAAAAAAATTAGCATTCAGAAGAATAGAAAACAGGATAAATTGATTCCAGCAGTGTTTTTCAAGCCTTTTTGATGACGTCCCACAGAAAAAAAGACAATTTACCTGACAATGCAATACTTACTACCTACAATGCCCTCTGATGGCTTCTATCCATTTCATTTTTTAAAAAATGCTGACTGATACATTTAATTAATTTTGAGACACTCTAAGCTGATCTCACTATTCAGTGGACTGTGAGTCATGGCTTGAAATACACTGGATATGAGGTTACAATTTTGAGATCATCAGACCTGAGATATCTTGGAACACTGACTGCTTTTTCTGTTGCTTTACGATCATTACTTTTCAATCATATTTACCTCTTCTTTTTTGAAGGTAGGCTTGTCTTCTTGGAGCTTTTCTCTTTTAGCTTGCACTTTAGTTCCCTTCTCTTCTCCCTTTTTATTTTCAAGAATGGTAAGGTCACACAAGTAAAAGAAGCCCTTTCTAGTTTACAAGAGTGACAGGGTGCTCGGATCGCCTTGCAAGTGCTGCGTGGGATGGCTTCTCTTCTGCCGTCTCAGCGCTCACAGCACAGTGGTTCTAAACAGCAAGGTGGGATATTTTCTTCCCACCCCAACATCTTCTCGTGTGCCTGCCATTGCGCTCACTGAAATCTAGCATGATGTGGCACTCCTCGTGTGTTTACAAACCTCGTGTGTGGTTTGGTGCACTTTGCTCATGGTCTCAATTTTAGCTGTGTTCATGAGCCTCTTGTACAGAAGCAGGAGTTAAAGATACCTTCAGTGCAATGCAGGCTTAGTGACAGAGAATTTGCTCTGGAAAGGTGAATGTGAAAGCATCTCTTTTTTTCTTTTTTTAGGAGTGGTGGTGGTGGTGTGGTGGTGATTAGGTACAGTGCTTTCAATGCAGTCTTGCAGACAGAAAAAAAATCTTTCTCAAAGCTTACAAACATTTCCCCCCTACTATTTCCACCCTTCCTCAGGCCACATGAATTTGTGTCACCCAGATAATAAAGAAGCAGCATGTATGCTCTTAATTACCAGTCAAATATAAATCAATACTACCCTAAATTAATGGCTTTCTGCAAGTCTACATTAAGCTGAGGTCTACATGTTGGCAAATCAGGGTTTTGACTTTTTTTTTTAAGGAAAGTTTCCAACCAGTTCCTTTCCCCCTCTTTATTACCAGTTAATTTCCAGGGGTTTGTTTTTGCCTTTTTGTTGTTGTTGTTGTTTTTGTTGTTGAGATGGAGTCTCTCCCTGTTGCCCAGTGGAGTGCAGTGGCACAATCTCAGCTCATTGCAACCTCTGCCTCCCAGGTTCAAGTGATTCTCCTGCCTCAGCCTCCTGAGTAGCTGGGATTACAGACATGTGCCGGTACACCCAGCTAATTTTGTATTTTTAGTAGAGATGGGGTTTCACCATGTTGGCCAGGATGGTCTCGATCTCCTGACCTTGTGATCCACCCACCTCAGCCTCCCAAAGTGCTGGGATTACAGGTGTGAGCCACTGTACCCAGCCTGTTTTTGCCTTCTTAAGATGAAATGTCTGACCATTATTCTTCATGTCTCTTTCCCACCCCAGCTTTTATCATTTTTTTAATTCAACGTCAAACCCATGAGTGAGGTAAGGAGTTATGGGCCTCTTGCCTCATGCAGACCTATGGATAGAGGAAAGATAATTAAAAGAACGAGTTTAGATGCAAGCACAGAATCAGAAGCCAACACACCACCACCACATTTATCATCTTTGGATTAATTCTTTTTTTGGGTATTCATAACAATCAAGCACAGAGCAATTAATTTCTCTCTGTCTTCTGGACAGCCAAATTTACTGGCTGTCCCAGTAAATTTGGTTGATTGAATATTCAGCCATCAATCAATTGCTGCATGCTTGTGTATCGCTATGGCCTGAAAAAATGAACAGCTTGCCAAATGATCAAGCATGTGAGCTATATGCATGTGGCCTCAGTCCCAAATCAGATGTGCATTACATTTCTCACAAGTCACAGGCATCACACATTTGGTGCAAAATGTTTACTGTACCTGTTTCTTTAGGACAGCTGTCTGAAGTTTATCTTCTTGTGCTTTCTTTTCATTTACCCATTTCCCTTCTATTTTCTGTTCTACCTTTTCCCCTTTTATCTTTGTCTCTTGCATGGCATGTTTTTTCTCTTCTAGCTGCTTGTTACGTTTCTGCTCTTCTACCTTAGCCTTCTCTTCCTCCTCTGCCCTGGCCCTTTGCCTCTCCTCTGCTGCCCTTTTCTCTTCCTCTTTTATCCTCTGCCTCTCCTCTGCTGCCCTTTTCTCTTCCTCCTTTATCCTCTGCCTCTCCTCTGCTGCCCTTTTCTCTTCCTCCTTTATCCTCTGCCTCTCCTCTGCTGCCCTTTTCTCTTCCTCCCTCATCCTTTCCCTCTCTTCTGCCTCTCTCCTTTCTCTTTCTTGGGCAGCTGCTTTTTCTTCTGCTTCAATTCTTGCTCGTTCATCTGCTATCTTTTTGTCTTGCTCGGCTTTAATTCTTTCTCTTTCTTCTGCTTCCAACCTTGCCCTCTCTGCCTCAGCTCTTTCCTTGTCTTCCTCTTCCATCTTTTCATGATGGGAAATCTCATCTGAACCTTGTTCCCTCTCCTCCTCTTGTTTAGGCTCTTCTGAACTGATCTGCCCATTTTTTAATGACATTACCACTGTTTCCTCCTGGCTTTCAGTTGTTTTCTCTTCCACCATCACCTCTACCTGATTTTCTCCAATGCTCCCTCGCTTTGGCTTCTCCTCTTCCTCCTCCTCCTTTTCCTTGTCTTCTTTCTTGTTTTCTTCAGCATCCCTCCAATCATTCTTCTGGTAGGACTTGGTGACTGTTTCTGTTTCCTCTATCTCGTATCTTTCTTGGCGACTTTCACTTTTTTCTTCCTTCTCGGTAGTTTCATTTTCTGCTGTGTCATTTTGCATTCTTCTGCTTGGGAGCGACAGACTTGCATCTGTTATTGTTGGGTCGAACTCCTTCTGCCGCTCCAGAGCCTCCTGAAGGCGTTTTTGGCGTCTTTCCTCACGCCGAGCCAGGCGCTCCAGGAATGCGGCCTCATCATCCCCTTCCACTTGAGTGTTTGTGGTGGTTGTCTTGGCCTCCTCGTCAGGCACACTGTACAACAGAAAGAACAACACCAAAGACAGCTTGCTCATTCATCAGTCAGCAGCATTCATACAGCCTGTGCTACCCAGGACTACAGCAGATGCCAGTAGTGCCAAGCTTGCCCATATCCCCAGTACGTTACCATTTTAGTACACGCCTGCCTGGCTTTCAGCTGACAGCATTTGCAAGCCTTTCTCTGGGGACTGGAGTCTACTCAACATGCCAGAAGTGCTTTCGGTATTAATGTCCCCTGGGAGCAGTTTTCAAACAAAAATTGATAGCCTGAGTGTTTAGATACCTCAGCACCCCTCACTTTTTGAGTGGGATAACTCCGAGGTGTGTATTCCACACTGGATCTCAGAGTTTCCCAGTGGAGTGAAGCTCCAGATACCCACAGTGGTGATGTGCTTGGTCATGCAACGTTTATTTGGTGGCCTTCCCTTTTCTGTCTTACCTTCCCACACCTCCACCAGTGTTTCCTAGCATCACCTTACAAATAAACGACTTGCAGTCAAATCGTTGTTTCTGGACTTGCTTCTTGGGGAATTCAAACTTAAGGATCAAACTGAAATAATAAGTGAATTCCTTCCATGTCATGTAGTATTCTCCCATGTCATCAAGTCATCTAGAATTCCTGATCTGGATTGGAGGCTCCCAAGGTACTTTGAGAGGAAGAAAATGTACATTACAGTGTTGAGATTCCACACTCACGCCAGTGACCCCAATGGAAGAGACATCTAAGTGTCCCTTACAATTCCTGCTCCTCCTTCCATAGTTGGGGGGAGTGATCACCACTCAAGGATTAAATTTGCACCCTCTCCCTTCTTTGCACCTAGGCGGGCCATGTGACCAATAACTGCCAATGAAATGTAAACAGAAGTGTCCAACCAAGGCAATGAACAAACAGAGGTGCACTCCCTGTCTTCTCTATCTCTGTCTGTTGGTAGATCAGGGAGCACCAAGCCCTAGGGATTGAGAGTCACAAGAGAAAAGAAGACAGGTGGCTGGTTCTACCAACTAGACAGAAATATGCATAATGGTAAGTGTTACTGCACTAAACTTAAAATTTGGGGGCACTAATCGTTATAGCAGCCAGCGTTACCCTAACTAATGTATACACAATCTACCTTCTTTGTCAAGATTTCCATGAATAAAGGGTTTCTTGTCCATCTTTTCTACAGTGGAAAAAGGGCAGTTAAATTTGACATTTATTTTAAAAAGGAAAGAAAATCTCCAAAAGTTAAACTGTTGTCCATCACCTCCCTCACTACTGCAGGATGCTGGACACTGTCCAAGCCAGGGTGTTGGTTTCTATTTGCAGGAAACAACCAGTCATGTGATACCAGAACTGTGACCAGAGTTGGAAGAATTTGTCTTGCAATGTTTAGAAACTCCATCAAATTTCATAGTTCAGACCAAACTTGGCCCTTTCAACGTTCAAATTCACTTAATTTTGGAAAAAACACATTTCATATTTAACAATGAAAATGGCAGAGTAAAAACTAGCTTTAAAACTTTCTTGGCCTTTACTTTTGCTTCAGGATATTGCCTCCATGAAATTAGACATATAAGGATTAAATGTCCCTACAAATGCAAAAAATTTATAATTTAAGGGGAAGTCTATAGAGGGGCCATTTGGATCAATTGAATTCTAATAATTTTTAAAAGGCACCAAAATTCCAAAGTGCTAGCCAGATTAAAGTACTCTTATGCTAAGAAACCAACAAACTGTATTGAACATTTCTTTGCCTATTTATAAATCATGACCACAATTATCAGTAGATATCAAATGCCAGTTAGAGTTGTTTAGCCCCAAGAAGACTTATTCTTCTTGTGGCTAACTAATATGTCAGAGATAAATCACACATTCTCAGACCTCAATATGATTTTCTAAAAAAAAAAAGAATTTGATTTCAATTAATAGCATGAAATAATGAATAACAGCCAAATATCCGAAGAGAAGCACAAGGAAAAGCAAGATTTTAAAAGCAAGAAAACTACAGATCACCAGTAATTTTTAAAGCTCCTGTTGACCACTCATTAATAACAAGATTCAGGAAAGGCATCAAAATGCCATTTTTAAAACTCTTTCTATTATTTCTCTCTCAGCTTGAAAATGGAAAAGGCAGTGAATGACTACGTTGCCCTCCCGTGTTAAGAATCTGGTAACAGTGAAAATTTATTGAGTGCTTACTATGTGTAAGACACTGCATTTTACATGTATTGTTACATAGTTTAAGTTTAGCAGCATTTTTTGGAGAAAGGTATAATTTTTATTTCCATTTAACTGAAGAAATACAGTTAGTGAAAGGTCAAATTGGGAGTCAAAGTCAATTAGTGAACCCTAGAAATTATACCTATTTCCCCTTTGCTATACCTACTCCCCAATTAGAAGCTACTTATTGAGGGAAAGGGTAAACAATATTGTGCTACCGGCCAACATTTTCAAGACTGCTTTCTGAAACCTTCTAATACAGCCTCTCAAACTTGGGTTAAGGAGGCCAGGACCCATTCCCTTTAGAATTTTCTAAATAGACTGAATTAAACAAAACAAACTAAAACCAAAACCACATGTGAGATCTTATATAGTGTAACCATTATAATCAGTCCATGGTTTTAAATTAAAATTATTTTCTCCATTTTCCTCCTCAAATATCCTCATCTTTTTTAGACCTTGGGGCACATAAATGACAATATAAATGACATATACTAACCATTAGCATAATGAACCATGTGACCTTATTTCTGCTGCAAAAGCCCTCTTTGAAGAAGTTGAACCTATTAGGCATTCTCAAGTTCCCTGATTTCAACCAGGGCCCGAGTGAGAAAATACGTAATAGCAAACTCATTAAGTGTGTTTGAATAATCACATTAAATTAAGCGGAATTCTGTATCTTGTTGAATATTATAATGATCAGAGACTATTGATTCAGGCTGTATATTAGAAAAAAGAAGACATCTGCAATTCATGCCCACTTTAAAAATTCACGTGTTACCTATTAATGGTAGCCATGGAGGACTCTACTAAACTAACATATCTTCAGTTCAAAACAGATAGCAACACCCTACAGAATAAATGTAAATACTTTTCCTTATTTAAAGATATAACCTACCAGAAAACAGTATAGATTCCTTAAAGAACTAAAAGTAGAACTAACATTTGATCCAGCAGTCCCACTACTGGGTATCTACCCAGGGGAAAAGAAGTCATTATATGCAAAATATACTGGTACACGCATGTTTATAGAAGCACAATTTGCAATTGCAAAAATATGGAAGCAGCTTAAATGCCCATCAACCAAGCAGTGGGTAAAGAAAATGTGGTGTATATATATATATATATATATATACACACACACACACACACACACACACGTATATATACACACACCATGGAATACTATTCAGCCATAAAAAGGAACACAATAATGGAATTCACCGCAACCTGGATGGAGTTGGAGACCATTATTTGAAGTGAAGTAACTCAGGAATGGAAAACCAAATATCAAATGTTCTCACTTACAAGTGGGAGCTAAGCTATGAGGATGCAAAGGTAGAAAAGTGATATAATGGACACTGGGGACTCGGGGAGAAAGGTAGGAGGGTGTGAGGGGGAAAATACTGCGCATTGGGCGTGGTGTGTACTGCTCGGGTGACGAGTGCACCAAAATATCAGAAATCACCATTAAAGAACTTATCTGTGTAACCAAAACCCCACCTGTTCCCCCAAAACTATTGAAATTTAAAGAAAGAATTAAACAGAAAAAATAGACCATACTTATTTTTAAGATATAGCACACCATACTTATTAAATTAAACAAATGCTAGATTGTGAAATGAAATAAAAGCCTTCAACTGGGGTATGTTTATGAGATGGGAACGGGGTGGAGAGAAATAGAATAGTGTGTCCTAGTGTCTAAATCAGATTGCCTGTCTAATCAGATTAGTTGCCTAAAATGACTGCAAAATAATTAAACCAGTTAGATTGAAAAAGGGTTGAGTTGGGCTGAGAAAGGAATGCTCTGCTCAACAAATTCCATTCAACGGACAGGCTAAGACGCAAGTTAGAAACTCCCCGTCCCAAAGAGGACAGTACCTGTTCTGGGCATTCACCTCCACCTGGTCGGTCACCTGTCCCAAGGATTCTTCCTCCTGCTTCTGCCGCAGCCGTTCCTGTCGGGCTCGGCGGCGCCGTTCCCGGGCTGCCTCCTCTTCATCATCGTCATTCCTCTGGTAGGCGATTCTGCAACATTACAAAGACAACCTCTTGAGCGTGCCACTTGCCACGTGTCTTCACCAACCTCTTGGCAGGAACAGCCCTGAGCCCTTTTCTGAACTTCACTGCTTAATGAACCACATACGTCTAAAAGGATGGTTCAGTTCCTTAAGTTTAGCGACCTAGTCAGCTAGCTTTCAAACTTTTAACTATTTGAAAAACATGAATCCAATAGCTACAGAAGATAATTTACAATGACCAAATAACAACTTAAACTAAAACATTCTGCACAAAAGCAAGTTGCCTTTGGAAACTGTGGGTTAGTTTTTTTTTTTTTTTTTTTTTTTTTTTTGAGACCCAGTCTTGCACTGTCACCCGGGCTGGAGTGCAGCAGCACAATCTCGGCTCACTGCCACCTCCACCTCCTGGGATCAAGTGATTCTCCTACCTCAGCCTCCCGAGCAGCTGGGATTACAGGCACATGCCACCATGCCCAGCTAATTTTTGTATTTTAGTAGAGATGGGGTTTTGCCAAGCTGGCCAGGCTGGTCTCCAACTCCTGACCTCATGATCCGCCCGCCTCGGCCTCCCAAAGTGCTGGGATTACAGGCGTGAGCCACCGGGCCTGGCCTTGTAAGATTTAGAAGAAGGGACCCAAAGTATTGAACCAAAAATAAACAAAATGCTTACTTCAAAAGATACAGCATGTTGCATGAGTTATTTGTGTAGACACTGTCACGAAGATCAGAAAAGAATCAAGTTACACTACCAACCGGGACTTTGGTGCTAATAAGCCAAAATTATTAAAATTATTTAATAATTATAATAAATATTATATTATAATAAATATTATTAAATAATACATATTATTAAAATTAAATATTATATTAAATAATAAATATTATTAAAATTGGGAGTAGGATATCTTCTTTGCTTGGATTTTGTTTTTCCCTCCAGTTCCTTTTCCCTGGCGAGAGAAGGTGTTACTGACAATTGGTAGGATGCTTCAGAGTCAGTGCATTTTGAAGGGGTGGCAGCTCCCTTTAAGGCCCCCCTCTTTTGCTCTAAAATGTGCCTTAGTATCATACCACCCACATGCTGGGCACATCACAATGGCCCACAGGTGTGTATTTAGATAGATGTCTATGAGCTGAAGAAGGCAGAAGAGACACAGAGGACTTCACATGTGTATATATTATTTAGCTTTTTTTTTTTTTTTTTTTTTTTTTGAGACACAGTCTAACTCTGTCACCCAGGCCAGAATGCAGTGGTGTGATCACAGCTCACTGCAGCCTTGACCTCCCAGGCTCAAGCAATTGTCCCACCTCAGCCTCCTGAGTAGCTGGGACTATGGGTGCACACCACCACACCCAGCTAACTTTTGTATTTTTTTTTTTAAGAGATGGTGTTTCATTATGTTGCCCAGGATGGTCTCGAGCTCCTGAGCTCTATTTAGCTTTTGTAGTCATCTAAAGTGAATGTCTATTTGAGGAAATTACAAATCAATATCACTATGCTAGATATGTTTCTCCTAATACTTATTTCCAAATAAAGAATTGGGGCTGGGCAACTGCAGATGCTCAAACTCAAGAGGAAATAGCTATTTTGACACGTTTGACTTAGCTGTTTTTGAAGGTAGAATGTGTACTGAGATACAGAGTGCCAAGAAAGGATGGGTGCTGGCTTGATGGGTCAATGGGTTGGGTATGGGTATGGGGCTGCATTGTGTAGGAAGCTGCTTTTTGTATTGGAGAGTTACAGTGTTTTTATTACAATGTTACTTACATATCTACAAAATAGAAACCCAGATATGTAAACATTTCATGCTAATAATTCTTTTTAAAACTGTGGTAAGAACACTTAACATGAAATCCACCCTGTTGGCATATTTTAAAGTGTACAATACACTTTAAATTGTTAAAATTGTTAACCATATTGTTAACTATAGGTACAATGTTGCATGGTACTTCTCTAGAACAGGCTTATAATTCTTATATCATTGCAAAGCCAAAATAATTTGCAAATTAAAACAAAACAGTAGAACCATACTACTTATACCATATATTAACCTAATATAACTGATGATGGTTTGCTCATGTTAGAGTTGTAAGTTAGGCATTTTTAGGCTTAGAGTCAGTACTTTATTTCATCTGTGTCATCTTTTGACTTCAATAATAAGAATGCTATGAATGTTTTTTCACTGAGGTATCTCATAAAAAACAGGATTAATGATTCCGAAGGTTGGTTGGTTTCTTCTTTGCTACTTGAGAAAATCTGACTTCATATTTACTAAAATCTGCTCATGTGCAATCCTCAAAAGCCAATACAAATAAAATGTCACTTAGTAATTCTATAAAATGGGCTGGTTTATTTCACAAATATGGGGGGGCAATGTGATATAGTTGATAATGGATGACTAGATTAGGATTCAGAAAACTTGGGTTTTAGAATTGGTCTCTTACTAATTTGCAGCCCTTTGATTAACCTTTTAAAGTTAAATTTAAAGTTAAATTTTAGAGTTAAATTTTCTTGTGTGTGACAATCAAATGAAATAATAGATAGATATGTTGTGGCAAAGCATTCTACACTGCAGTGTCTTCCTGTTATTAGGAAAGTTCAGTTAAGGAGCCGCTTCGTGAGGAAAAATGAGTTCAATTTTAGACTTGTTGAATTTGAGGTGACATGACAGGATTCGAATGTTCCTTTCTAATTCAATCACATTGTAGTTGAAGTAGAAAGCCCTTCCCAGTGGTTTGGCTTCACCCTTCAGATTCTTGGCCTAATGTTCCTTTGGCTTATTTCTTGGTAGACAGCTTTAACCGCAACAGGGAGAATCAATCCTTAATAACTGCTTCCTAAACTAATCAAACAGGAAGTCTCAATTTGCTTTTCTACATCTCTGGATCAGCCATGAGGTCATGACTGTTACTTGGGGCCTTCTTCTTCCAAGACAAGCAAGAGGCATAAAACTCCGTATGGGACATCCCTATTGATAGGGTTAGGCTTTGTGTCCCCACCCAAATCTCATCTTGCATTGTAATCCCCCGTGTCAGGTGTTGAGGAAGGAATGTGGTGGGAGCTGACTGGATCATGGGGGTGGTTCCCTCATGCTGTGCTCGTGACAGTGAGTGAATTCTCTCAAGGTTTTTATAAGTGTTTGGCAAGTTCCTCCTTCGCTCACTCTTCTCTCTTCTGCTGCTTTGTAAAGAAGGTGCCTGCTTCCCCTTCCTCCATGATTGTAAGTTTCCTGAGGCCTCCCCAGCTATGAGTGAGTCAGTTAAACCTCTTTTCTTTATAAATTACCCATCTTGGGCAGTTCTTTACGGCAGTGCAAGAACGAACTTATACACCTATCCTAAAAGCAAAACTCCTCCGTCCCCTTAATGGAATATAACCTTAAGTCCTTAATTTCCCACTATTTTCAGAACTTACCATCTTTCTCTTTTCACCTACCCACTGGGCTTCATGGCTGGATATTGCTGGCTGTTAGCTCTGACATGAACTAGATTTGCCACGTAGGCCACATCACATGTAACCTCTCTTCATCTTTGATTTCTCAGTGGAGCAACCTGAACAACCGATCATCTCCACTATCTCTTCTACCTCTTCTTGCTTGGTACAGCTTAAAGTTTATAGGCAATCATTCTCCATTGGGAGCCCATTTTCTAGGATACACAGCTACTAGAGTGTATTAGTCCGTTTCACACTGCTATAAAGAACTGCCCGAGACTGGGTAACTTATAAAGGAAAGAGGTTTAATTGATTCACAGTTCAGCATGGCTGGTGAGGCCTCAGGAAACTTACAATTATGGCAGAAGGTGAAGGGGAAGCAAGGCACCTTCTTCACTAGGTGGCAGGAAGAAGCGCCAAGTGAAGGAGGAAGAGCCCCCCCTTATAAAACCATCAGATCTCGTGAGAACTCACTGTCATGAGAATAGCACGGGGGAAACTGCACCCATGATTCAGTTACCTCCACCTGGTCTCTCTCTTGACACATGGAGATTACGGGGAGTACAATTCAAGATGAGATTTGGGTAGGGACACAAAGCCTAACGATATCACGGGGCAAAATATCTATGGATCTTTTTATGACTACTAATAAAGAAACATATTAAAATTATTTACAAAGTTAAGAACAAAAAAAGAGCTAAAATGGTTTCATGGCATTTTCAATCATAACATGTCCAGTTGCTGGTTCAAGAACATATCAGTTGACTTTATAGGTAAAATTGTGTCCATGCCAAATGACTTGATAGGGGTGAAAATTCTTCAACTCTGAGGCTCCCTACATTAGCGTTAGGCAAGCAAAGCAAACAGTCATTTCTTAGCTTTTAGGCCTCTCCCTCATGGTGAGCTTCCCATCCTACTAACACCACAGGTTTATTATTTTTTCTTCCGAAATTGAAAAAAAAGTACCCTGAATTGTTCATTCTTTTGGATTTTAAAAGCAACGCACACATAAATTTTTTTTAAAACCAAACAATTCAAAATATATAAAGGAGAAAGTAAAAGCCACTCCCGAGAATCATGCAAACCCAGATTTGAACATGATGAGTATGTGATATATTCTACCATTTTCCTGTGCATGCACAGACATTTTTGTTTTTAATAAAATAGGGTTATGTCATACATATCATTTCACAAACCATTTCTTTAATTTACCTTGTTTATGACTATTTTTAACATGTTAGCAATATATAATTTCAATAGCAACACAGTATTACCACTTAGGTATACACATACATAATGATTACATGGATCTATTATGACTAACCAATTTTCTACTGAGGCACATTTAAGATTGTTTTCAACTTTATATCTTCTTATAAACAATGCTGCTAAGGACATTATTACAGACTCACTTTAATCACTTGTTCAATTATTTACTTAGGAAAACTTCTCAGAAGTTAGAATTTCTGAGTTTAATTTCCGAGTTTAAGAGTATGCTCATTTTAAAGGCTTTTGATAATCATCGACAAATTGTCAATTTAATACCAGTAATGCATGAAAGCTAATTTCACCACAAAGCAGAATTTGTCCAAAAAGACAAGTACACAGGATCCTTATTATATCAAACGATAGCACAGGGTCTGCTTCATGCTTCAGTGAAAGACAAAATGTTGACATTTCTGATTTTCCACACGCCAGATTTAAATGTATTTGAAATGCTGCTGACTAGTAAAAATCATACCTAACCAACCACTGGATTGTAATAAAAGCATAATAATCCATTTGTTCCTTCTGTGAAAATTCAGCAGATGCCAGTATTAACCTGTTTGCCATATGCTACAGAACAAAGCCAAGTGATGTTCCCAGATGATTCAGAAGGAGTGTGGGATCCTGAAGTTTATCTGAATCATCTGAGAATTATTGAATTTTGTTTAATAGAGTTTAAATCAAATGCATTTTATTGTGGATCTATTTTTTAAAAAAACTGGCAATCCACAAATGATCTATAAAGTACTTCTCTATGAAATAAAATGTTTGTTTGACCAGAATCCATGAACTTCCCACCTATGCTGGTTGGAAGAGGGTTTATTGTGGAGTATTCCACTTTGTTACTTGGTAACTGCTTTTAGCTCATCTGTTGGCACAAACACTTGGAGAAAGGTACCTTTCTGCAGCAAAGGTCAGCTGACAGCAACATGGCTCATTGGATATTTTGGAGAAAGAGAAATAATCTTGTGTGTGTGTGTTCACACTGACGAATAAATGCAACGAATTTTAAAAGTCCATAATAACCACATGATGTTATTTGATTGTACGAGTAGCATGAAAAAGTAGAGAGGATTGGCTTTTCTTCCATTCCTGGAACCATTGCTTAAGGGCCCTGGTGTTACAAGATAAGAAAAAAATATATATGCAATGGGAAAGCTCTCTTCTAATGCTGTGGCTTTTACACTGAAGATATTTTAGGTCTTTAACACCAGGCCTTGCTGCCTCAGTGTATTTAAGTAACAAGATAACCATGTTTTAGTTTGTGCCTTTCAGATAGAAAGTTCAAATGAATTAAAGTCTTGCAGACATGGCAAATGAGGAGACCAATGAGATGTTATTACATTTGGAAGGGCCAGGGTCTAAATATATGCCAGACGAGAGCCAGAAGAACTTGCAGAAGCTTCCGTAGCAAGACACTGGAGCAAGGAACGAGTTTTCCTCTTGCCCCAGTGTCCCCCGACCCCAGCTTCCCTAGCAAATATTTCTCAAAACTTCTGCAACACTGGCAAAATTCTTATTTTCATCTCAACTATAGTATAGGTCGTCTTGTTTGATTTTTTTACTCCGTGTTCCCCGTAGTTTAAAGAATGTTGCTCTTATTCCCTTCATTTTGTCTTTTCTCCATTTTGGTATCTTCTGGTTTGAGACTATAGGACATCATCCTTAAAGGTTCAAGTAAAATTGTGGCAATAGTATTTTATTAACAAGACAAGATCTCTTATGAGGAAGCCATGTTTAAAAATTAAATCAGGGAAAAATAATAGACATTTTTATGGGGAGGGTGCTGATTTTATTACATGTTTAGGAGCATTAAAGACTCAGAGAGAATGAAAAAGAACAGTTTAAGTCTATAGAGAGTACAAATATTTACTTATTTTATGTTGATAATCACAGTATTACTCTGAGTAATTACCTAGATAACCAAATAGTTAATCAAGTTTGGATTTGCATCTTGCAATGCTGTATTTTTTACATACATGGGATATATAATATAGTTATTTTGCCATGTAAAAAATTTAATAATGTGTTTGAGGACTTGCCAAAATCAGTTCACTAGGGCATACCTTTATTTTCATCATTTATGTAATAGGATAGCACAGTTTAACCATTCTATAGAAAGACATTTTGGGTTCTTTCATTTTTTCCCCTATTGCACGATGCAAGTATTTCTTTAGGGTAGATATTGAGAAGTGAAATAGTATGTGTTCACTTAAATTTAAAATTTAAAAGATCAGTTTTGTTTTGTTTTGTTTTGTTTTGTTTTTTGAGACAGAATCTCACTGGAGTGCAGTGGCCCAATCTCGGCTCACTGCAACCTCCACCTCCTGGTTCAAGTAATTCTTGTGTCTCAGCCTCCCGAGTAGCTGGGATTACAGGCTCCTGCCACCACGCCCAATTAATTTTTGTATTTTTAGTAAAGAGAGAGTTTCACCATGTTGGCCAGACTGGTCTCGAACTCCTGACCTCAGGTGATCCGCCCGCCTCGGCCTCCCAAAGTGCTGGGATTACAGGCGTAAACCACCATGCCGGACCACAGCAGTTGTTTTAATTTACATTCCCATGCTTTGTCATTTCAAATAGCCAAGTTGGATCAACACACACTAAGATAGCCACTGCTAACTGGTAAGATTAGAGAAAAGATGTAATCTTCTAGATCTTGTATTGCAATGGTTTCTAACATCTTAAGAATGAGGATCCTTTTAAAACATTATGAAAAAATTAAGATCTCATGACAATTGCTTATACTTTTGTTATTTGTTGATAAAGTGTTTTATAAAATATCTATAAATTCAATAGTGCATAAAAAGGAATCTGTATATTATAAACCAGTGCATATAAGCTTATTTGAAAAACAGTCTTTCATACATGAGACAACTGTTCATCAGACTACAGAAAATACTTGGTGTGGACATGAATTTGGGAATCTCTTTCAAAATCTTCACCGCTAGAGAACAATTGCTGTATTGAAAGAGATTACAAGATTGCCAGTGGATAGACTTTGAATTGTCACCTTCAAACTTTTTTGTGTTCTTCAATATTCCCTGTGCTTGATAAGCACACACACAAATGCAGACACAGATGCAGACACACAGGTTAAGTGAGAAAAAGCCTCAGAGAAAACAAAAGGCTCAAGGTATTGTAGTGAAGCCCAGTTATAAAAGACTTAAAGAGGACTCCATTCAGATCAAAGTTTCCAAGTCTGTTTTCCTTAATTGTTTCTGCACATTCCTATATTTTGAAAAAGAACTCTGCACCTAAAATTCCAACAGATCAAATAAACTCACTATCTGACAGAATGAATGCTATTGAAGTTCACCATTTTTGAATTCATAGTAACTTACTGGCCAGTAGACAGTTGACCGGTCCCCAAGATCAGCTCTAAAATTTCTGCATTCCACTGTCTGTCCACTTTCATATAAGAAGTCATTTGAGAGAAGGCAGTGTTGGTCGATGGAGATTTCAGGCTGGTAACTGAGATACTCAATCCAGAACACTATTCTGTCCCCAGCTTTCTGCAGCAATACACTCCCCATGAAGGCCACACCCCAAAGAAGAATGCCTGGGGCTCACAGCCTCAAAAAAGGATGACTTCTTAGTCAATTACTTTTATTTGATTCCCATCATTATTGGTTCTGCTAATGGCATTGTCTGAACCTGGGTCTTAATTTGGGATCCAACTTAAAAAGTTAAAAACCTCATGTAGGTTAGAAACATGCTTATCAACTATTTGGAGGCAAAATGACTCACACATACTTTCATTATTCTTTTTCATGTACCAAAACCCCCAGGGATTTTATTTCATAGCATGAAATACAAGCACATTCTCCAAACATATCCAAATAGCTCTATAAATTGCTCAAACATTCTTAGCAAAATCTCAGACCATACTGTGATCAGGAGGGAAAATCCTGAGCTACTGAAATGAGTCATATTTGCCTTGCAGATTTACTGTATGTTTGAAAGTTAAAAGAAGTTTATAGAAACATTCCAGGCTCTTAAATATGATTTTGTTTATATGTGGTGTCTGCAAAATGTTGTGGTTTCATTTAATTCACATAAAATCCAACTCTGAATTTTTTTCCTTGGATTCCTTAAAAGGCAAGCATTAAAAATTATGGAGGAAAAAAAATCAAGAAAATAAAAATATTTTTCATATCAGAATATGTTTAGACATTTATTAGTAAGTAGTCTGTAGTGAATTGGTCTGTTATTAATACAGGATAGAGTGAAAGAAAGCCCTCTTGGTTTAGAAGAAAAAAAATTTTCATGGAAAAGTGCTGTATTATTTCATTGTGGGGTTCATTGCTGTATCAGTGTTGTGCCTTTTCCTGGGGTGAGAGCATGCAAGGGGATATATTACTTGGAAGAAAGTTACTAAGGAAGCAAAGCATTTCCCACTTCATTTATTCCCCATTCTCCCACCCCATCTCCCCATACATAGACATATTTGAGAGTCACTAAAGTTTGCATACCAACCATACTTGGGCTCTCAATAATAAAACACTGTGTACTTGGAAGCTTTAGTGTTCTTATGTATGTACTCACAAGTTGTCACCACCAGCCCAACATTTGCTTTATACAATGGTGACATCCCATAATTGGATGAGTTTCTATAATTACAGACCCTAACAGGGGAAATATGCTGCAGAACAGAGTACATGGTGACATAAAATCCTCTTCTTGTGTCTACACATACCATAGCAGTCTGGTTCTTAGCATCATTATGACTGGAACATCCTGTCCAACAAATAGATCAGGTCTGGTGGGTCCTGTATGGTTAGAAGGCACCCAGGGAGTACTGAGAGTTCTGATTCTGACTCTGAGTTATAAAAGGACAGTTTTTAGAATGATCCTGCTCCAGGGCAGGCGGATCCCCAAGCGTACAGGCTCATTTCTGAATCCATGCACATATTCACAGGACATTTTAAAATGATGGATTCTAATTGTTTGGGTTTATTATTTCAAGCTAAAAAGACTTTTATCATGACTTATATTGTACCTACAAATGAATGTATGGTACATGACTACTTTGTTTTATTACTATTATTAATTTATTTACTTATTGAGACAAGTTCTCCTCTGTAACCCAGCTGGTGTGCACTCATACAATCTTGGCTCACTGCAGCCTCGACCTCCTGGGTTCATTCATGTGATCCACCCACCTCAGCCCCCTGAGTAGCTGGGACTACAGGTGTGCACCACCACATCTGGCTAATTTTTGTATTTTTTGCAGAGACAGGGTCTCCCCATGTTGCCCAGGCTGGTCTCAAACTCCTGAGCTCAAGCAATCTGCCTGCCTTGGCCTCCCAAAGTTCTGGGTTACAGGCGTGAGCCACTACGCCTAGCCATGTACATGACTACTTTAAAGAACAATCAGACACACAACCATGTGCCTACTACCCAATGTAAACAGCACCAGTTGTTAGGGATCCTTATGTGCTCCTCTTCAATCGCATCCCTATCTCTTTTTATATGCCTCCAAATAAGCACCAGCCTGAATTTTAAGATCTCTGAATTATTCTCTTGCTTTTCTTTGTAGTATTACCAGCATGGTATGCATCCCTAAACAGCATATTTTTCAGTGTTGCCTTAAATAAACTATGCATAACAATACTGCATGCATTCTGTGATTCTTTTATTTGACATGATGTTTTTGAGATTCATCTATGTTTATATCAATAGCTGTAGTTTATAACAACAGATGAGGCACAAGCTTTTCCAAACATTTCTTGAGATTATAATTTGTATGGGATAGATGTTTAACTTCTTTTTCAATTGGTGCCATTTTCTTTTAAAACATCCAGAAATGGTTTGTGATATTCAGTACAAATAAAATGAATAGAAACTGGATTTATCTTTTATTGAGTTGCTATTTTTCTCACATTTATTTTTAAAAGAAATAGTGCATCTGCCAACCCCAGTAAATATGGATTTTGGAAGGATAAGTCCATGACAGTTTCCTAAGATAAACTAAAATCTATTCATCTTGCCACAAACAGGGACAGAATTTGCACCACCCCATCTACCCCACCCTATTAAATCAATAAGCTTGCTCAGATACAAACATTCACTTTTTAATTTATAAATGTTTACAAAGAATATGTAAGGAAAGACAGGGTTGATGGTGGAGAAGATATCTATTGCTCCTGACTTAGTTACTTGAATTAAACTTTAGCTGAAATGAATGAAAAGGAGTTATGAATGCTTAAGTGGCCAGGAAGATAATTAAAATAAAATAACCAAACTCCTTCCTCTCTTTCCATCATTATTTAAGATTCAACTGGTATAAATGTGGCTAAAAAAGATAAGCCCAGTTACTACCTGGGTTTTCATGAACTTTACCTTTTCTTCATCCCCAACCTAGAATTCTTTGTTTATAACAGTCTTAAATAATGAGTAAGAATTTTAAATAGGCCTGGTGTGCTGGCTCATGCCTGTAATCCCAGCACTTTGGGATGCCAAGGTGGGTGGATCATCTGAGGTCAGGAGTTCGAGACCAGCCTGGCCAACATGGTGAAACTCCGTCTCTACTAAAAATACAAAAAGTTAGCTGGGCGTGGTGGTGCGCACCTGTAATCCCAGGTACTCAAGTGGCTGAGGCAGGAGAATCTCTTGAACCCAGGAAATGGAGGTTGTAGTAAGCTGAGACCACGCCATTGCACTCCGGCCTGGGCAACAAGAACAAAACTCCGTCTCAAAAAAATAAAAATTTTTTTTAAATAAATATGATCCTCAGTGAACTTAGGCTTTTAAAAAATGTTGTCAATCAAAAGTAAAATCTGAGTTGGAGCTGTTCTTTGACTGCTATTATCTATTAAAGGACAATTTTGCTTTAATGTGCATCGTAGATGTGGACAATAAACCTTGGGCTTAGTCGTTTAAAAAAAGTAAAACATTAGGAAACAGTTCAGACCCAGGTGTCGATGGCTGGCAGCACTATATTTTTCCAGCTCTTTCTCTTGCATAGAGGTCTAGATCTGGATATGCAACTGAATCACACCTGCTCCAGAGCAGGATGTAGGGATATTCTCACATTTCTACTGGCTAAGTTGGATGCAATGACATTTGACCACAGGTATATAAACAAGCACATTATTTTCGTATCTGAAGACAATCACCTAGAAAGAGAAATTTCCACTGTCGTCTTCAAATGTAAAAAATATGAACTCCTTTTAGATAAGTCTTATATTTAGAGTGATCTAGAAGTTCGACTCATCCCTAAATCTGAAATGTTCATGTGATGCAATACTAAAGTCCATAATCTCATGTGGTTGAGCTTCAAATTATGGTACCACTATCACATCGGTAAACATCTGACAAAAGACATAAAGCGATTGGAAAATGGAAGCAAGATGTCCTTAAATGGAGATTATAAGCCTGCGAGTAATTAAAGGGGATCCCTGCAAGGGAAAGTGGTATTGCAGACATGCCAATGGAAACGGTACACAGCATGTGGATGCCACTAAATCAAGTCACATATCTTGTGTCAGCTGAGTGAATTCTCAGCATCCTCTCTAGACAGGCTCTGCTTAATGTGGGGAAATTTATGGGTAATAGATTTTCATAACAGGCCTTTTATGATCTTTCCCTCCCCTAAAAGTGCCCTCTGGAGCTTTTCTGCTTCCACTCTCATTTTTCTTAATTGGAAAAAGATTTACTATTCATTTCCTCCTTCCCAGGGCTCCTTTCCACTCGAGTGGCATTGCCTCCCATCTTGTTCCTCCCTCTTGTACCCCTCATCTCTTCTTCAGACAGGAAACTGTAATATATGATAGATCTGACACTGGGGCATTGTTGCTAGCTCTGCTAGGGAAGAAGTCACTGCCATTCTAACAAGAATGGGGTGAACCCTACCTGCCTGACTCCAGAGGTCCTGCACACACCTATCTAACATCCAGTTGGCTCATACCCCCACTCCATGTGCTAGCATTGGAGAGCTTTGTGTACAAGTGGCAGAAAGTAAAAAGACAAACCTTGAGTGGAGACAGGAAATGGGAAATGAAGGGCCAAATCATGGATGCTTTGCCCATTGAAGAGAATATTTATTCTTGCAGGGGACTTGGCAGTCAACCACTGCTCATGGGTCCCATCTCCCTACTGTTGAGAAAAGAAGTCAAGGAGTCTTCTCTGCTCTTGATAGATCATCTTCCTAAATCAGTGGAAACCTTGCTTAACACAGGGCCTGCTCAATGTGGAGGGAGAAAAGCAAACACCCATTTGTTGTGATTTGGTAAAAAGCCAGCCTGACCAAACCAAACCAAGTAGAATCTTCTATGCTTAAAGACTCCCTTTGAGTTAATAGAAGACCCCTATAAAAATGTGAATGTTTTAACAGATAGAATAATATTAAATAACTAAGCACCCACATTTGTGTGTGCAAATTGAGTTAGAATCACCAA
Organism: Homo sapiens; assembly: GCF_000001405.40. NCBI lineage: Eukaryota > Metazoa > Chordata > Mammalia > Primates > Hominidae > Homo > Homo sapiens. The sequence continues at coordinate 134,915,662 of NC_000007.14, read as the reverse complement.
CAGCTTAAGACTCAGGGAATCAGGACTCTGAGAGAGGGAGCATGAGCATTAGAGACATTCTACAGCACTTAAATGACTTGAGGGTTCCTGTCTCTCCTGGAACAGATTTCTATCCCAACAAGGCAATTCCATCCTAATTCATTGGTTAGATTAGTTTACTAACCAATAAGGCTTATGCTGTCTTCTGACTAGATCACCAATGTAATCATTAATTCCTTAAACTTGTTACCTAATACAGGAGGAACTGCTTCAGTGGTGAAGATCACTGACTTGACTTAAAAAAAAAGTTCATATTTCTGAATTACAAAGTGACAGCACTGGCACTGACTTATGGGTTGCTAATCTGGTATACATTCCTCTCCCTGACTGATCCACGTGGAACCTAGACTTGGAGGCAAGGACAGTTCAATTCAGAACTGTCATCAGAGTGGTGAGCTCTGGGCAGCAAGGGGGCTGCATGAAGGCCTAGGTTCCGAGGAGGAGGCATGGGGGCCTAGGTTCTGAGGAGGAGGTGGCAAACCATTGTTCAGAACCATCTGCCAGATACCAAGGTGGAGTCTGAACTTGCGGTTGTGGGATGCTGGTAGGTAATGCTTGCTGCTATAACCTGGAAATGGACACACAGGTGGCTGGAATTAGCACATCCATTCAACAGATATTTATTGAACATTTACTCCATTCAAGCCAGTGAGGGCAGAAACCAAGATAAATTCAACCCCTGAAAGGAGTTCATAATCTGTAGGGAAGTTAAGACCTGTTAAGGATGTGATAATAGGTAGAATGTGGTAAATATTACAGAAGACTTAAAGTGATTTAAAGTTTAGAGGAGGAAGAAGGCAATTCCAGCTAAGGGATCAGAGGAGGCTTCATAAAGAAAGTGGTATTCAAGCTGGCTCTTTTGGGATGGCTAGCATTGGGAGCTGGGGGAATGAAAGAGGACCTTTCCATGTACAGAAAGCTCAAATAGCAAGGTTGCAGAATCGGGAAATATGGTTATGGAAAAGCACACAATTCCATCTGGCTAGGGCTTGGAAGGCATGAAGGGCATTAGTGAGGCGCCAATCGTGCTTGGTACATACAGAAAGATGGCTTCGAAGAACTGAGAAGAGCAGACCAATCATTTAACGAAGTATAAGGCTCTTTCCAAAGGCTATGGCCCTGTGGAAGGGAGTCCCGGAAGGGCAGCACACATTTTCTAGTTTCAATCTCCACTCCAGGTGTTTCATTTCACTCTGCAGCTTTCCCCAAGAAATAAAAGAAATTAGGGCCAGCTACCCCATATCAAGGATCCCATCCATCTTAGCTGCAAGAGGAGACTTCAGTTGAGCAAGTCCTACAATCATTTAGAACAGCAGCACCATGGAGGACCCCTCAAGAGCCATAAGCTGTGACTTTACATTTTTCAGAATGGAATTTCTGTCCTTTTTTATTCTTGTCACCTTCTCCACTGTTTTGAACTCACTTTGCCCACCTCGTATTAAATTGGATTTTCACTTATTCTGCTTCCATTCAGAGCCCAGCTGAAATCCACTGCTTGTGGCAAGGTAGTGAGCATCTAAGATGATAGATTAATGAAACTAGAAGGAATTTTGACATTATTTCGAATTCAAGCTTTATATTTTATACTTGGTAACCTGGGATCTAAGAGGTGAAATGACTCATAAAAGTAATTACAAAATCAGGATTGACCCAGGTCTTCAAGTTCCTATACCTGTTTTCTTTCTACAATAGGAAGCTTTCTTAGGGTGCCCTGGAGACTAACAAAGAGCTTCAGTCATCTGAGCCAGGGATTGGCAAACTATGACCTGCAGGCCAAAGCCAGCCCACTCTGTTTTTGCAAATAAAGTTTTATAGGAATACAACCACACCTCTATCATCTATGGCTGTTTTGCACTTCAGTGCCAGAGCTCAATTATTATGACAGAAACTGTATGGCTCACAAATTTGAAAATATATACTATCTGACCATTTACAAAAAAGTTTGGTGATCCATGATCTAAGCCAATGGTTTCTAAATGACTTTTCATACTATACTACAATCAATTTTAAAAATTAAGCATGCACCAATAACACTGATATATACATTTATGTATGCATATACATTTATACGTATATGTATAGTCATTTATAAATTACATGTAGTGTTATTTAAATGTTTGTAGACATTACAAAACACAATGAACAGAAATTTAAAAGGACAGAATGACAATAAAACAAAGATACATTTAAAGTAATGTTAAATTTAATCTATTAATGTTCATAAAACTTTAATTATTTTTGAAACATCTTGGCTGAATGCATTGTAATCGATAATGTGAAGGTCTGGTTCTAAGTTCAGTTTATTTAGGCATTTAGTTTTAAATGACAGTCATAGCCTAATTTTTTTTTTCTTTTTTGAGATGGAGATTCACTCTTGTTGCCTAGGCTGGAGTGCAATGGCATAATCTCGGCTCACTGCAACCTCCACGTCCCTGGTTCAAGCAATTCTCCTGCCTTAGCCTCCCAAGTAGCTGGGATTACAGGCATGTGCCACCACACCCAGCTAATTTTGTATTTTTTTAGTAGAGACGGGGTTTCTCCATGTTGGTCAGGCTGGTCTTGAACTCCCAACCTCAGGTGATCCACCCGCCTCAGCCTCCCAAAGTGCTGGGATTACAGATGTGAGCCACCACGCTCAGCCCCGCTTAATTTTTTTAATCCCCAAAGATATACAAAGAAACACATAATTGGCTTGACAGGTGGAAGCACAGTACTAATATCTTAAATCTGCCCCACTAACCATGCACAATTTTTTGATACAATTTGCCTAGAAAATTGTATCAAAAATTGTCTGTCCTGATGTCAATCAGTTGTTCCAGTTCAAAGTAATCCCAAGGTGTTTCAATTTTACATTTTAAATAAATAGTTTCAAAACCTACTGAAATTCTTCACTGGGGAGATTTTTAAATACATTAGAAAATGTTTCCAAGGTGGAGTATGAAGATATGATAGTCTTGATAGGTTACATGTTTACATCTTTTTCACCAGCAAAATCACAAAAAAATGCTGCCATTTTCCAAAAGATCTGTTCTCTCATGAGTTACTTCTGAAAAGCAGTGAGATTCCCCCTCTCTGCTGTAAACTCACCTTGCTGAAAGGAACAGGTAAAGTGTGAGCTGAGGACGCACTGGTCTGCGTTCACAAGCATTAGTGTCCTCTCCGTGTGTAAGTGTCAGCGTTGCCTTGGGTTTGCATTATTAGTGTTACCTCTGCTTGAAGCTTCTGCAGAAATCCTTCTCAGTACAGGTCTATTTCATGAAGTTTAAACTAGATAAGGTTTACCACTGGTAAATCCATTTACCCAGTCAAGTAAACTGCCTTGAGTCACAGAATGCTGAAAAGACAGGGCCAAGCGAAGGCCCCACTGTTCTCCCCTCTGGGGGTGCAGGGGACTCATGTTCCATTTTTCCAGGGCACTATTTTTGTGTGATGCTCTCAGGACCAGTCACATGGGGTCGGAAATTGAGGGGAGGTGCTCGTGCCAGAAAGCATAACGAACATCAGTAAAGCTTTCTTTCTTTTTCTTTCAACTTCATTTTATACTCTCTTGCTCTCTTTGATTACACTTAAGTGGTTCTTTCCTTCTCTCCATTTTTACCGAGACCCCGCTTATCTGTCCATCAATGTCAGCTCAAATGCTACATTCTTCCATCATGGAAGTCAACTAGAAGGAGCTCTTTAATGCCTCTGAAATCTCTGTGGTTGTTCCAGTTATTTATCACATATTGCTCTATTGCTGTTATTTGTGTATTATCTCCCATATTATGGCATGTGTTTCTTGAAAGCAAGTCAAGTTTTATACATTTTTAGCACCCTTCTCAAAGTGCCTTGCATAAAGCAGGGATTTAATAAGTATTTTTAGTTAACTGCAGTCAAGAAAGGCATATGGCATTAAAACACAAAGCAATAGCCATCATGAGGCTAACCTATACCTGAATAAGAGGTGAACTGCCTAAGCTCATGTGGATTCATCTAAATCAGAACATGGAAAGGCCAAATACTCCAAGACTTAAAAGTTTTAGTGTCATATACAGAACAACAGTGCTTCCTTAAAAGGCAGATCAATGAAATATGACTCCAGTCCATGTGTAGGGAAAGGCTGACAATTCTATGCTAGGCTTATGAGTATTTACTGCAAAAATGGTGTTTAAAGTTATTACAGCTTTATCTTCTCTCAGTAACAGAGGCGGGAGAAGGTCATCCCCAAAACCAAAGCATGTGCACACACACAGAGCACACATACACTCTGTTGGAAGTTTTGTGAGTGGCTTTAAAAGCAGACACTTCATACTGGCTCATGGATATGAACCAGGAATACCTGGCTACACCTGCTGCCATGTTGCTATGGGCTGCAGGGCTCGCTTTCTGACCATCAGTTCCAGAAGGTGAAGCCTGATCATTCACCAAAAAAAAAAAAAAAAAAAAGAAAAAGGAAATGACCTCTCAGGTTTCAGTTTCATCATCATGACAAAACCATATTAAACCAACCGAGGAGTGGCGGCGGCAGCCTACTAAAAGCTAGGCTTGGAGACAGAAGAATTTTTAGAAAAAAATACAGGAGATGGAACCCCCAACACTTTGCACTTCTTTCAATTCCTTCCTGCCAATAGTCAGAAGCAATTACTAGCCACAAACTTTCTTGCCAGTGTTTGCTTAGGTAGGTTCTTGGTGCATTTTGCTCATTGGTCCAGAATGCAAATGTTTTAATGCATTTCTTTGCTTCTCATTCCCATGTTACTTTCTCTGGAGATGGCATTATGTTGCAACTATATGCAGAAAATCCCCTTGAGTTCAGAGCTGGAAAATGGATATTTTACTTACTAAGAAGACCAAGTGATTATGGACAGGAAAAGTATTTGACTTTTGAACCTAGTCAATGATCAGGTGCTAAAGTCAAACGGAGTCAACTGGTGTTTTCCAGTGAGACTGTGGACTTTGGCCTGCTTCAAGAGCGTGTGTGTGTGTGTGTGTACGTGTGTGCATGTGCCATCAGTCTTTTTTATTGTCATGTGATTGGCCTTGGCTTGGCTCATGAATAGAGCAGTTCTATATTTTCCTGCAACTCCAGCACATGCCTTTTTACCTCCATAACTCCTCCTGCACCATCTTCCCTTGCAAATTTCTTATATTCTTTCTCTTTTCACTATCAAGCCTAGTGTTAGTTTTGGCCTTTTGCAATGTCTGTGGGAAGCAAAAAGAACTCAGTACAACTAGGTAAACTGAGCATGTTTGATTTAGCAGTCCTTTGGAAATATTTTCATGTGCTGTAGCCAAAACTGGTTCTGAAATTCAATGGATAAGTCATTAATAGCCCAAAATAGTTAAATCCACCCTATCACGGGCTGTCTTGTCAGTTTACATTCAATTTTGGAGTTAGGTTTATCAGTTAGTTTAACCTACTTGGTAGTTGACCTAAAATCATCTTGAGATGGATCTCTACGGGGCTAGTGATTTTTAGTTCCAGACATCTTAATCACTTGACCAGTTGATCAAAATATCAAAAGAACAGTTCAGTTTCATTATTAAATATATCGGAACACTATATTGACTATATTCAATATTTTTGATCCAGGTATTAGTAGCCCTAACTCCAAAATGACATTGTGTTATGGGCTTGTGCTTTCTAAGCTGTCCTTTGAGACAAATTGTCCAATGTCCCTTTGTGCTCTCAATCTTACTTGATCCCACAGAGAGCTCTGACACTGTTGACCACATCTCCCTTTTTGAGATTCTCTGTTTTTAAATTTATTTTGTAGTTTCTTTTGTACCTTTTATTGGGTTTCTTCCTCAACTCCTTTCTTCTCCTATCCAACATATGCTCCTTGGATAATATCATCTATGTTTATAACTTGTCTGTCAGTTTTAAGGTGAGGATTCTCTAATTTATATTCCCAGCTCAGTCTGCACTTCCAAACGAAGTTCCTTTTTTTTTGAGACTGCGTTTTGCTCTTGTCACCCAGGCTCCCAGGCTGGAGTGCAATGGCGTGATCTTGGCTCACTGCAATTTCCACCTCACCGGTTCAGGCAATTCTCCTGCCTCAGCCTCCCAAGTAGGTGGGATTACAGGTGCCTGCCACCATGCCCAGCTAATTTTTGTATTTTTAGTAGAGACAGGGTTTCACTGTGTTGGCCAGGCTGGTCTCGAACTCCTGACCTCAGGTGATCCATCCACCTTGGCCTCCCAAAATGCTAGGATTACAGGCGTGAGCCACCACGCCCAGCCTTTGCACTCCTGAATTTCTAAATGGCCTTCTTCCTTGGTAATGAAATATCCAGTAAGGAAGCTGAGAGTAATGAGTAATTCTAGACACCTGATTAATCCAAAATTCTTTCAAAATTCAAAACTTCTCTCCATGCAGGCACTGCACTTCCATATCCTCTTACTTTTAAAAATTGATAATCTGAAAATTTTTTTTAAACTTCTCGATCATATCATCCTATCCTTGCTACAGCAATTTCACAATTCCAGGATGTGAAGTTGGCTTAATATTATAAGAAAAAGTAAAATAAGAGGCATGTATTAACTAAATTAAATATCAAGGGATGAATAACTTGCAGGGACACAGAGAAAATATAAAAAATCTCATCTCATTACTTATGACTTTGAAATGGATACTGTTTTCAACTACCTGGCAGAGTACTTCACTCCTTATATGCATGGAAAATAAAGTTTAAACAATACCCATGTGTCTAGAAGTTGATTTTGGTTGAAAGCACAATTCTCTACTGTTGAGTTTTAAACAACCGAACTGAATCTACCAACTTGGGAGGAAACCTGTCTAACTTGTTTCATATATATATATATATAGTATTTTCTTGAGAGGTTTCAAAATGTCAGGAAGAAAAACTGCCTGGCCCTTTACGGGGCCAGATGATCCAATAGAGGATGCATTTCAGAGTAGCAGTTGCTTCTCGAGGTCCTCAACCTCAGCTGCACATTAGAATTGCCTGGAGAAGTGCCTAAGAATCCTGATGCCCAGGCCATGCCCCAAATCAATTAAACCAGAATCCTGCTCGAGGTCTGATCTAGACATTAGAACTTTTGAAAGCTCCCCAAATGATTCCAGCCTGCAGCTCATGTGAGAAACACTGACGTATAATGAGTGACTTAAGAACACTGTGGACCAGATGCAGTTAAGTTAAAAGGCAGTGTCGAGTCATTCAGAAAATAGAGTGGAGAGAGGAGTCACTGGCAGGTATTTAGTGATCAGACAGGAAATAGATGAGCAACTCATCACTATGATCCTAAGTGCCAGGCTCTTTTTGTTTCTTTTATTATTTTAAAATTGGAGAATATAAATATTTACAAGCAAAAGTAGGTGTTACTTAATATTGTTGCATAGATAAATGTTTAAAACTTTTTAAACATGTGTTAAATATATCCAATGGTATATCCCTTGTTCTCTCCATGACTAAATTTGATCAAGTCCAGTATCACCTTCATCGCCTGGTGACCGAGAAGATTTTAACCTATATCCTCAACCTCTTTTAATGAAAACATCATGTAACCCCAAATTCCTATCTTTTTTCAACATAGATAAACTGTGTCAGCATGATATTCCTAAAGCTCAGTTAGAGATCTGTGAAAAAACAATTCTTAGCAGTCTGTTCTACAGAATTCAAACTGAAAAAAGAGAAAAAACCTAGGTCTGGAGCCAGCCAAACCAATGAGATACCTGCCAAACCACACCTTATCCTCTTTAATCAGCAAAAATATCATCCACCGCCTGACTCCCCTTCCCTCACCAATAGGCGCTTGTTCATTCCCTTATTAGGACACTGGCAGCGGCCAGAAGGATTGCTCGTGTCTGAGGGCCCACGAGTGGCTCCCACAACATGTGCAGTTCATCAAAAATGAAAAGGCGGGGGGGGACTGGAAAAATGAAATCCTCACTGTAGGGAGGAGAATCCATTTGGGGTAGGCCACAATTATGGTTTTGAAAACAATTTTTTTTTAAAGTCCAAACCAAAAAAACACAATCCTAATATTTTTTGTAAATGCATTTTTAGGAAGAATATGTTTGAAACTTAGAAATGCCATCAAGGAAATTTTACTTGCATGCTTCCAGGCAGTTGAATATATAATCAGGAAGCACCTAGTCTTACTTTTAAGAAGGGTTGGGCTTGGTTGGTCTATTCCAGTTCTAGGACCTGGGACAGACACCTGAACATAGAGTTGTAATGTGCTTTTTTTTTTTCTTTTTAACCTGGAGCAAAATAAAAGCTCTGTCCTCCCTTCTCTCTTTCTGCTTCTCCTCTGTTTACAGGGCTACTTTCTCTACTATGCTCTGATCTTAGTTCTTATCACCTTCTTCCTCTTCTCACAAGGTACCAACCAACAGTTAAACCTGGTTTTTTTATTTTCTATGATATCAGTGCAACTTCCAAGTCAAAATGAGACATCTCCCTGTTATGATCTGTGTCAGCAAGGCTGTCCCACTAATCCTATCCTGTTTCGTGGTAAGCTGTTTTCAGAGCCAACTCAGGAACTCAGGTCCATCCAAGCAAAGACAGATGGCAACTTTTTACAGAACACTTTCATCATGTATATGCGATCTAATTTGATCTTCGTAGTTATAGTATCTGTGAGACGGGCACTATTATTTCTATTTCATAGTTGAGGAAATTGGCTCAGAGGCGTTAGGTAACTTGTATTCAGAACCGGGACACCACTACAATTGTGGGCTTTTCTGACTGGTGGTGTTCTCTTCTTTCTCCAAGATGTCACAGTTCTGCTCAAATAAGGAGCTCTGAAGCCTACTAGAGAGACTTTAAGTCCTCAACTTCCCCCAGGGACCCGTAAACAAAGGGTATCAGGGCTGCTAGGAGACTATAGGAGGCCCTAGGAATCACCTCACCCTGCTGGGTTTATGCTGCTAGTGAGGAATACCTAACCTGCTCAATTTTACTGCTTGTTGAAGTTCTAGGTTTCTCATTTGTAAGGCTAAAAAAACTAAAAATCATAGCCACTGTCTATTTAAAAATGAACAGTAACATTGATAGTTTTAAATAAAGAAGAATGTACAGGTCCAGCCAATCTTACTTGGAATAAGTGAGTCAAACAGATTGTTTTACAGGATGGTGAAGCTTACTTAACAGTGATAATTTGCATTTGTGCAGGACTTACAAGGTGCCAGGCAGATGCATCTCATCTCATCCTTAGAACAACATTGAATAGACATGATTGCTCTATTTTACAATCTAGATGTGCAAACCTGGCACAGAGAAGTCAAATCACTTGCCCAGGATTATACACACAGCATTTTAGCCATCACCCGGCCAACCCCAAAGTGGGGGCTCTTTACACGACAGCAAAGCCCATTCATTTCTTTCCAGGTCTCAGTTCTCTGGCTTTGACAGGACAGGGGTTAGAACTTAAGATATAGAGAAGTCCGGCCAGGCATGGTGGCTCATGCCTGTAATCCCAGCACTTTGGGAGTCTCAGGTGGGTGGATCACCTGAGGTCAGGAGTTAGAGACCAGCCTGGCCAACATTGTGAAACCCTGTCTCTACTAACAATACAAAAATTAGCCAGGCATGGTGGTGGGTGCCTGTAATCCCAGCTACTTGGGAGGTTGAGGCAGGAGAATCACTTGAACCCAGGAAAAGGAGGTTGCAGTGAGCCAAGATCGCACCACTGCACTCCAGAATGGGAGACAAGAGCAAAACTCTGTCTCAAAAAAAAAAAAAAAAAAAAAAAAGATATAGAGAGGTCCAAAATTATGCCGAGTTTCTTTTCCTTGAATTGGCATACAAAGTCATGTGAGATTAATAACAATGGAGTTAGAGGATTGGCTAGTTATACGGAAGTCCATGTCTCCTGCTGGGGAAAGAGGTACACTCATGACTTCTTTTTAGGGCCTGTAAAGCAGTATTTAGACCCCTGGGCTAGATATTTAAGGGAAAGAGTTATAGAACTCAAAGTCTCTTGCTAGATCCTTCCTCTCCAGCCCTCCAGCCCTGCTCCTCCAGGAGGAGAAGTTTGCTCATCAAGCAGGATCTGATGTAATAACACAGCTGCTGCCAGATTCACCCACTCAAAGACTAGCGGTTAGAACTCTGAAAACACAGGGAATAACTTTCATAAATGCTAAGCTGGAGAGAGCAGGGGAGCCACCAGGAGCCAGCCTGGAGCCAAAAACCAGGCACCAGTCTTACACACGTCCAAGCAGGGAGGAAGTGGGCAAGTGAGTGAACCCCTCTGGCCTCATTTTCCTCATCTGCAAATGGAGGTAACACATTATTAGCTAACCACGGAAGTCATAGTGGAGTTGTAAGGATTAAATGAACTAATAGTTGCACGGTACTTAGAACAGTGCTTGGCATATAGTTAGTACTATATGAATGTTCACCATTTTTAAAATTTTATCATCATCATCATGATGGAAATTAAATCTGTGCTTACAGGTCTTGCAGAGCATGTTCTTGTTTCCAAACAAGAAGTGGGGAATTGGGCAGAAAAGATTTTTCTAACTTAAGGATCTTAAATGCCTTTTCATTGATGATAGTAACACCACAGAAGGCTGAGAAACGCAGAATACATGTAGAAGAAAATTCTTATCTCCTCTTTGTGTTCCCTTGTTCCTCCCTGTTGATTACTTTTCTCTTTCTTTTTTGAGGGGTGTACAAGGAGAACTGTGGCTAAAAATGTCCAACAAATAGAATGCCTTTCATCTCTTATTTTCTCTATCTCTTTCTTAATCCATGTCATTTCTCATTAAAATGTACTTGGAAATTTATCATCAGAGAGCTTTATCTTCCCATGCCAGAAAAGGCATGTGTCCTAGTGGAAGAGGATAATCCCCTTTTCTGTTCTTCTTTGGGGCTGGTTTAATACCCAGACTTCACGGAGAATTGATGGATCAGAGCTCGATGCAGGGAGATTAGTTAGCTTTCTAAGAAGCGAATACTTCCTGATCACAAAGAGGCAAAAGCTCCCTAGACCCAATGGTTTTATACAGGTTTTTTACCTGTGAGGGAAGGACCCAGCTGTCCTCCCTGCCCCAACAAACTTCAGCCAGCTGGCATTTCATTTATTGATTTTTATTATTTTTATTTTAAGACACCATCTCACTGTGTCACCCAGGCCAGAGTGCAGTGGTGAGAACAACGACCTCCCAGCTCAAGCAATCCTCCCACCGCAGCCTCTTGAGTAGCTGGGACTGCAGGTGTGTGCCACCATGCCCAGCTAATTTTTTTAGTTTTCGTAGAGACGAGATTTCACCATGTTGCCCAGGCTAGTCTCAAACTCCTGGGATCAAGCAATCCTCCCACCTCGACCTCTCAAAGTGTTGGGATTACAGGTGTGAGCCACCATGCATGGCCAGCTGGCATTTTAAATGTATTCAATAATTATCCCACTTATTGCTTTTATTTATTTATTTATTTATTTACTTATTTTGAGACGGTGTCTTGCTCTGTACCCCAGGCTGGAGTGCGATGACATGATCTTGGCTCACTGCAACCTCTGCCTCCTGGGTTAAAGTGATTCTCTTGCCTCAGCCTCCCGAGTAGCTGGGATTACAGGCATGCACCACCACATCTGGTTAATTTTTGTATTTTTAGTAGAGACGGGGTTTCGCCATGTTGACCAGGCTGGTCTCAAACTCCTGATCTCAGGTGATCCGCCTGCCTCAGACTCCCAAAGTGCTAGGATTACAGGTGTGAGGCCCCATGCCTAGCCTATCCCACTTATTGCTTATGGATTAAATTATGAAACTGCACATTACAATTTTTAAATCTTTCAGTATTTGTCATGTGTTCAGTTGTGTCCTCCAAAAAATGATATGTGGACGACCTAACTCCCAGTACCCTAGAATGTGGCCTTATTTGGAAACAGGGACTTGACCGAGCTAACTGAGTGAAGATGAAGTTATCAGGGTGGGTTCTAATCCAATATGACTGATGTCCTTATCAAAAGGGGACATTTGGCTTCAGACACAGACAGACCTGCACAGAGGGCAGACGCTAAGAAGAGACACAGGGAGACAATCTTGGCCATGTGAAGGCAGAGATTGGAGTGACGCATCTACAAGCCAAGAAATGCCAAAGCTTGCTGCCAAACCACCAGAAGTGAGGACAGAGGCATGGAACAGATTCTTCCTCACGGTTCTCAGAAGGAACCAACCCTGCTTGTGATTTATTTATTTTTAAAGATTTTATTTTTGTAGAGGAGTTTTACATTCATGGCAAAATTGAGAGGAAGATACAGAAATGTCCCATATATTCCGTCTCACACACACATAACCTCTCCCATTATAAACATCCCTCACAAGTGTAGTACATTTGTTACAACTGATGAACCTGCAGTGACACATCAGTATCACCCAAAGTCCATAGTTTACATTAGGGTTCACTCTTGCCATTGTACATTCAATGGGCTTGGACAAATGTAGTGTCATACCAACTATTTTCACTGCCCTAAAAATCCCCTGTGCTCTGCCTATTCATCCCTCTCTTCTTGCCCTAGTGCCTAGAAACCACTCATCTTTTTACTGTCTCCATAGTGTTGCCTATTTCAGAATGTCACATAGTTGGAATCCTACAGTATGCAGCCTTTTCAGACTGGCTTCTTTCACTTAGTAATATGCACTTACGTTTCCTGCATGTCTTTTCATGGCTTAAGAGCTCATTTGTTTTTGGTTCTGAGTAATATTCTATTGTCTGGGTGCACCACAGTTTATTTATCCACTCATCCACTGAAGTCATTTATCCATTCACCTATTGAAGGACAACCTGTTATTTTAAGCCACAGAGTACATGATACTTTGTTAAGGTAGCCCTAGGAAAGTAATACAGTAGTCAGTTTAAGGATTGAAGGATTCTACTTTGTTAATAATCATGTTTCCACAATTTCCAGCACCTTGTACTGTTTATTCAGGTGAGTGGTTCATTACACTGAAGCGGCAGTCCACCTGACTTTTTCAGATGCCTTCTGTTGTAGGTTGTAAATTTATTCTCTTGGATGTTCAGTTTTTCCCTTTGCTGTGTTCCTTTTGTCCTCTGGTATCTGGGGATCTTGGATGGAGATTTCCCTGTAGCTCCGAGGTGGGCTCATGAAACCTAAGCCTTCCTAGGCTCCCAGGGGTAGCTGGATCACAGAGCCACTCCATTTCCTGGGAGTAGGGGGTGGTTTACATGATCTCCCTCCCAGCCCCAAAACCTTCAGATTCAGGAAAAACAGACTCATGATACTTCCCTGGATCACACTGAATGTTTCATTAATGTCAGACATTTGAACATATATACAGGAAAGGGAAAGCAAGTAGGAAAAATATTCTCCATGGTATGAACTTATGTAGACCTGGGATGGCTCTGTCTATGATGCAAGGCTGTTTCCTTTGGGGTGAATGGACATGCACACACTTCCTGGTTGCCTTTCACTCAGTGGGGTTAAAAAGAAAGTCCCTGCCTACGCTTGAGTCTAGGGAACTTTTGCTCTTTTGTGACGAGAAAATATTCACTTAGAAAGCTAACCAATATCACAATATCATTTTTCACAATAGGCCTCTCTAGGTTGCAAGAAATGTGCCCAATGTGTGGAGATTGTGCCCAATTTTAGAATGTGGAGGTAATGCCCAGGCTCGTTGCATTTAATCTAGAAGTATGTATACTCAGATGATGGGTCAAATTGTATACTCCACCTCCAAATATATGTTAAAGTCTTAACCCCCAGTACCTCAGGATGTGACCTGATTTGGAAACAGAATATTTGCAGATGTAATCAAGATGAGGTCATTAGGATGAGCCCTAATCCAGTGTGGCTGGTGCCCTTTGGACACAAACACAGACACACACAGAGGGAAGCCTCTGTGAAGAGACATAGGGAGAATGCCGTATGAAATTATGGAAGCACTGGAGTTACGATGGCCTAAGCCAAGGAATATCTGGGGCTACCAGAAGCTACAGGAGGCAAGGAAGGATCCTCCCCTACAGGTTTCAGAGGGAGCATGGCCCTGCTGACACCCTGATTCTAGACTTCTAGCCTCCACAACTGTGAGACAATAAGTGTCTGTTGTTCTAAGACACCCGGCTCATAGTACTTTGTACTTTACAAGCAAAGCAGCCCTCAGAAGCTAATACAACTCATCACAGTCACTCATGCTTTTGTGATTACCCAGAAGCTCCCCCAGATTCATCTCCTACATACCCAGTTCATGGCAATAATTATTGTGAAACACCTACGTTCCCCCATTCCCACCCCTTGAGCACTGAGTAAGCACCAGGCACTGTGCTAGCCACTTTACATGTATATTCCTCTTTTTGTAGATCAATCAGCTGAGAAACTCAGAGAGATTCAGTAATTCGCTCAAGGGCACATAGTTGATAAAATGATGAGACTAGGATTTGGATTCAAGTTTATCTGGATTTTGACGTCAATAGTCTTAATTTATGCTCTCCTCACTTGTCCAGAATACTTCAAGATTGATGGCATCTGCTGGCAAAAAAAAAAAAAACCCTACTTCTCCCTACCTCCCTCTTGGCACTGAATCTGGCTTAGGCCCACCAGGAAAAGTAGTAATTCTATATTTTGCCAAAACAAAAATCAGTTTTCAGCAAGTTTCCTTTAACATCAGAGTTAGCCAACGTATAGTGGTACAAATTCTTATTTTAAATAGTAAGCCAACGAGATAACTCCATCTGAAATAAAGAGCTCTGATTTTCCTGAAAGCAGAAGGATGTTTTAATAAATGCATGCCAATCACAAGTTGAATTCCGCTGATTTCACCCTGGCGTCTATCAGTTTGTTGGCAGAAGATATCATGCCATTTCTCTTCGGGGGTCTTTGGGGAGGGGAATGTTCAGAGGGAAAGGGAAAAGATGGAAATGTCACACTGATCAGGCACCCACTGTGGTTTATATACTTTGCATAGCTAGTTCCTTTCATTTTCACCTATAAGACAGACAACAGATGTCTTTAACAGATGGAGAAACTTAGGCCAGTGAAATTAAGTGACCTGCTTGTGGTCATACACTGTGTCATGAGTGGGATCTAAATACAGATGTGGGAATCAGCATATCGGGCCCCAGTTTCTTATTTGTCAAGAATGTACCCATTTAGTGCTGCGAGGGCTAGGCCTGGGTAGCAGGAGGGGCGTTGAGACTCTTTTGTGCAACCTGCAGCGCAGCTACACCCCAGAAAGGCTGCCTGCCAGTTAGTGAAGATGAACAACCAGCTGCTCTTTAAAACCATCCCTTCTGCTTCCAGTCCAATGTACCTAACCCCTCTGGGCTTCAGCTTACTGATTCAAAAGCCGTGTGAACTCAGTCTTTTTCAATTCAATTCGCAGGCATACCATAACATTCATGAAACAGCTGCAGAAACTATCTACAAAGAAGCTATACAGCAGTCATGAAATCAGCTAAAAGCTAGGTATACAAAAACTGCTTAACTTTTATGCATTTTAGATGTTTTCTCTGGAAACTACACTAAGTGCTGATGAGCAGTGGCCTTTGGTGGACATTGCTGATTTGTGTAATGAATATTTTCACTCTTTAAAGGACAAAAGGGAATTATTTTCTTCTCTTTGGAGTGAATATAGTTTTGTTTTTATTTTATTTTATTGTTATTTTATTCTTCCCCACCGTTACTTACAAAGTGAAAGGTAGAGTGATTTGGAGAACTGACTCCTAGAAAAGGTGAATGTAGACATTCCTTTAAAACAGATCAGCAAACAGACTGGGTGTGGTGACTCATGTCTGTAATCTCTACACTTTGGGATCCCGAGGCAGGAGGATCTCTTGAGTCCAGGAGTTTGAGAGCAGCCTGGGCAGCATAGTGAGACCTCGTCTCTACAAAAAAAAATTTTTAAATTAACTAGGAGTGGTGGCAAGCATCTGTAGTCCTAGCTACTCAGGAAGCTGAGGTGGGAAGATTGCTTGAGCCCAGGAGGTTGAGGCTGCAGTGAGCTGAGATAGTGCCACTGCACTCTAGCCTGGGAGACAGAGCAAGACCCTGTCTCAAAACAAAAACAAAAACAAAAACAAAAAAGAAAGATCAATAAACAGACATGGAAAGACACAGGGAGCTAATGCAGCAGGCAGAGCTAGCCTGTAAGGCACAGCTCTAGGGTGGGTTAGGCTCCGAATAGGAATTCAGCAGGCCTTGAATGAAGCATTCTGGCTGGGCGCGGTGACTCATACCTGAAATCCCAGCACTCTGTGAGGGCCAGGCGGGCGGATCACCTGAGGTCAGGAGTTCAACACCAGCGTGGCCAACATGGTGAAACCCCGTCTCTACTAAAAATGGAAAATTAGCCAGGTGTGGTGGTGGGCGCCTGTAATCCCAGCTACTCAGGAGGCTGAGGCAGGAGAATCGCTTGAACCTGAGAGGCAGAGGTTGTAGTGAGCCGAGATCGTGCCATTGCACTCCAGCCTCAACAAGAGTGAAACTCTATCTCAAAAAAAAAAAAAAAAGAAAAAGAAAGAAGCATTTGTTCTAACCAATGTCTGTGTGAGATGTGTGAAATGAGGTCTAGGATAGTTACAAAAGGAAAAGTGAAAGATAAATGAGGAAAGTACTATATTTGATCTAAAAGTTTATTGTTTTAAACCCTTCTTGATAAAATTATCTCTTTTAGTGGTTGGTTTTATTTACTGTTAGTTGCTTTTAATAAAAAGTGGTCTTAAAACAGTAGAAATTAGTGTTTATAAATCTACTGGGTTAGAGTAGATAATATCAGGCAAAGCACGCTCCTTTACAAATAGGTTCATGACTTAAAAACCCAACAACCACCTAGTTGCTTCCTTGATTTTAAAACCAGAAAAATGGCCAGGCGCAGTGGCTCACGCCTATAATGCCGGCACTTTGGGAGGCTGAGGTTGGCGGATCACCTGAGTTCAGGAGTTCGAGACCAGCCTGGCCAACATGGCAAAACTCCATCTCTACAAAAATACAAAAATCACGCCTGCAATCCCAGCTACTCGGGAGGCTGAGGCTGGAGAAGTGCTTGAACCCAGGAGGTGGAGGTTGCAGTGAGCCGAGACCATGCCACTGCACTCCAGCCTGGGCAATAGAGTGAGGCTCCATCTCAAAAAAATAAAAATAAAAAATAAAACCAAAAAAAAAAGTATTTAAGGGAAGAGGGACCAGGATAACTTGGCTGAGTTTCTTCAATTCAAATCTACTTAAAATATCACAAAAAAAGTTACCCTGAGATTTCCATTTATGAAGTTGCATCATATTATAGCCTTGTTCAAGAATCCTTTCCCAGATCTACAAAGAACAAATGGTCCCTCCAAGTTGTTCCTCTGATATTAAATTTTAATTGTAAAAGTAAGACTGTTTAATAATAACTTGGATTTGCTCTGTACTTAATATTTTTCTGCACACTTTAATGCACATTATTATACTGGATGTTCTTGCTCACCCTGTGAATTACACAGAACAGGCATCAGCATCTCCACTTCATAGCTGTGTCGCAGCAAGTTGAAGCGACTTGCTGCAGATCACAGTACTGATTACTGAAGGAGTTAGACCAGAATCCAGACCCTCTGACTCCCATCCAAAAAAACTTTTCTTAAACCCCCAGGCTAGCCAGGCATGGTGGCGGGCGCCTGTAATCCCAGCTTCTCGGGAGGATGAGGCAGAATAATTGCTTGAACCTGGGAGGCAGAGGTTGCAGTGAGCCGAGATAGTGGAGGCTTATCACTTTTGGGAGGCCGAGGTGGGAGGACTGCTTGAGCCCAGGAGTTTGAGACCAGCATGGGCAATACAGCGAGACCCCATCTCTACAAAAAAATACAAAAACTTATCAGGGCATGGTGGCACACATCTGTAGCCCCAGCTACTTGGGAGGCTGAGGCAGGAGGATCGCTTAAGCCCAGGAGGTTGAGGCTGCAGTGAGCCAAGGTTGTGCCACTGCACTCCAGACTGAGTGACCAGAGACCTTCCCTTGAAAAAACAAAATTAGTTAGATTAAAAAAAACAAAAAACAAAACAAAACAAAAAACCTCCATGCTGACCCTTGTAGCTGGCAGCCTGGGTTGTCACCAGCCAACATAGCTTCCTAAGCTGCCCTGAAGGCAGGGACCAGAGATACCAAGGTCATGTGATATGTTCAGTGGTTTTCAAACTTCGGTTTGTGACCCATCTGCAGCTTCTGAAATCTATTTAGTGGATGACCAGCGTTTTAAAATGAAATAGAATCGTATAGAAAATATCAGATGACTTTGTACACAGCAAGTGTGAGCACCGTTTTGTGAAATATTTGCTTCAAATATATATATATATATTTATATATATATATTGTATATAGGTACTGGGGTTACAAAATAAAATGCATTTATTTCAGAAGGTCACAGGAAAAAAAAAATGAAAACTGAGAACACTGATGTAGATAATGCTAAGCTGGGTGGGAGGTCAGAAGACAACAGAACCCTTGAGGCCAGAGCCTGAGCTTTGTCCTTTTTGATGTTCTTAATGCTCAGTCAGTACAGCAGTATTCACTAGAATGCGAAACCCTCAATGAGTATTTGCTGAATGAATGACTGGAAATGAATGAGGTTTACAGATTTTCTAAGGACTCCTCTTAAAAATTCAATTAGGCTTGGAAATAGATCCAGGCAGCACTACATTTATGAAGAGGTTGTTTCCAAGACCTTCATTGTAAATTGGCTTTTGAAACTTTCAACAGCATGACACATGGTAGTCGGGCTCTCAGACCAGCCTACAACCACCTTTTTAAACCCAAGGTGTGTCTGAAGCTGGTATGGAGAAACGAAGCTGTGTTTCTATAGGGAAACGGATCCTCACTAGTCTGATTAAAAATGCCAGGGGTAAGTTCGCCTCCAGAGGACAGAGGACCTCTTCCCCATTTCTCATTCCTCTTGCCACTGTTAGGCCTGTCTCTATAAAGTGATTTTGATGGGCTGAGAGGAATGTGAGAAGCAGCATAGGCAGGGCTCATTTCAAGGATCAATAGATCAAAGGTAAGGAGAGGGAAAAACGCAGACAGCAATGCAAATTGCTGTTCAATAGGTTTGAAAGGCTTGTGGCCACCAGGTATTGAACCAGTGTGAGTGTGGGTGGGCTGGCCATTTGTAGAGAAGACACATATACAGAAGGTCAAGACCACCTCCATAATCACCACTGCTCGTGCAGTGCTGCAATATCTTGTATAGAAGAGTACCCAATACATGCAAAGCACAGTGACCTATTTCTCTGCCATTCTTTTTTATTTTTAATCTATAAACAGCAGTAGCAATTTTATCCATAACCAGATAAAGGGTCCAGATCATTTGAAACCTTTCTTTGAACCAAAAAGTAGACAAATTGGTCAGTGTTAGAAATGCAAAATGCTTGTTTCCCAGTGCCACAAAGAAATAGCACTGGAACATAAATGCAATTTTCTCAGAAAGGCAAAATTTACTTTCTGCAGAAAGGGTGCCCCTCGAAGATGGAACAATGGCGAGAGCACACCTGGACAGGGGAGGGGCAGGAGTTCTTATTCCTGATGCAGGCGGCCCCTACTGCTGTGTTGTTCCCTATTGGCTAGGGTTGGACCACACAGTCTAAGCCAGTTCCGACTGGCTATTTTAAAGAGGGCAGGGATATGAGCCAGAGTGGCAGGGTGAGTAGTTTGGCGGGAAGGATGGTTAGAAACAGGTAACCAAAGGTGACTTAGGTCAGAGCAGGTGACCAGGGGTGATTCAGGTCAAAGCACGTGACCAGGATGAGACAGGACAGAGCAGGTGACCAGGGGAACAGATGTGAACCTACTGAATAGGACTGGTGGGAAAGTTGTTTACTGAAACTAGAAGCAAGTGGGCAGAGAGAACCAGGAAGTTAAACTTTGAAATCAAGAATTAAAAAATAAGAAAGCTGAACATACTGACATACTGATTCTTTGAAGAGAAACTGGAAGTTCACTATATTTAACACTTTGGCCTACAAACCAATAGTCACAAAATGTAAGTGCCCATTACTTTGTAGGAGAGAAGGCCTCTCTCACCAGATTGTTGATTTTTACTTTGAACGTAATTCTAACAAATGGGTGTCCTGTTACTCTTGGCTACAGCAGAACAGGGAGCGGGACCATGACAGGCAGATGCATTAATAGGTATTAGAAGAGATTTAAAAGCATCAATATTATGTGATGGAAGACATCACATAATAACTGGACCCATTTTTGGATGGGAGTCTTATCCCCTGAGGTATCACTGTTTTACAGCATGATTAAAAAACTATGTTCATAAGGACAGCTCCTAGCAATTTGAAAATGTTTTAAATGTGTTGTAATATCTGCTTTAATGAAGGCAAAGAGTTTCCACTAAATACATACACACACACACACACACACACACACACACACACACACACACACATACATATATAAAACCAAATTTAGCATCCTGGATAATTATAATGCTACATTTCCTGATAACATTGAATAAGCCAGGCATTCCTAAACTTTTGACAAATCTCAATATTCTTATGTTTATTTCCTTTGTCATTTCTGCAGAATCTTTAAAAATTGTGCCAATTATTTATTTATTTATTTATTTATTTATTTATTTATTTATTTATTTCCCAGCACTGTTTTGGATTCAGTTCCCTCAGAAAACAGTGGGATGAACTAAATAATTTCCTACGTTTCCTTGACTCCATGATTTTACAATTTACATACCCTTCCATGTTTGTTACAAAATGTAACACACACAAAAAACTTTTAACTTTCAGCTGCAAGATATATAAAAGCACACTTCTCTATAAGAAAAATAACCCTTTATGGACTAAAACAAATATTTACAGGAAACCCCAAATCTTGTTGCAAGTAAACTTCCTTAGGCTTTGGGAAAATGATAAAAGTACCAGTGAAAATATTAAACCGCAAGTGACAGAATCTCTCAGTGATCTTGGTAGGAACAAATTAAACATGCCTTGAAATCTAAATAACTGAACAACCATTCACGACTGCTCCTGAAAATAACATGGCCCTTGTGTAGGTCTTGGCATTCAGGAATTTTAACATGTCTCATTAAAAAATCACAGCCAATCTTGCTCTACAGGTGATGAAACAGAGATAAATTATCTGATGGAAATGCAAAGGAACTTAGAATTCATTTTGTTGAGCACCTGTTTTAGCATTTAACCTAGTACGTCTAGCAAAGCAAAAGGAGTGAAGGCTTTGTGTGTTCAAACGGTTCAAATGAAAAAGGTAAACTAAGGGGAATTGAGTTTGATTTACTCAATAATAGGAAACTTAAAGAATATTTCTGGAGCATCAGCACTGTTCTGGATGCTGAAGCTTCAAAGATTCAAAATCATTCCTGCCCTCAAGTGAATTGCCATTTATTGGGAGGGAAGATAGCTATGTTCAACAATAACTTTATTGAAAGGAAATTAAATTTTGGTACCCCGAACGCATTTAGACAAACGGAAAAGTCAAGCCGGGAACTGGGTCACTCAAAGCCTTCCCCTTTTAGTTCCTAAATAAGATGGCTACAAGGTGAAAAGCTACACAAGCCTCCCCCATATTTTGTCCACAAGGACATTCCTAGAGAGCTGTTAAAACTTCACCATGGCAATGCAAATGGACAGCTTATCTTTATAGGTGCAGTCACCCTGGCCCACCAGACACAAATGCATATCTGAGTGTCGCCCTACCCCATTTTGTCTGTTATCATACGTAAAATGCAGATTCCCCGCATTTTTCCTCTGCCCCCTTTGTTTATGTGATCTTATGTACAAAACACAGATTCACTTAGATGAAAATTGTGTACTTCTCAATATCCCCACCCTTTCCCCTTTAAATCTGGAGCCCTCAAAATCATCTTCAGATAAAGGCATAGACCTATCTCCCAGGCACATCCTTAACTTTGGCAAGTAAACCTCCTAAAATGATTGAGACTTGCCTCGTCATTTTCCTCGATTGACGGTACAAAGCTAGTAATAGAAGGATGGGCAAAGGTTATTAGAGTGAGAGAAGTGAGGAATGAGGAAGGTTTACAGAGGAAGGGAGCATTTGATCAGGGCCTTGCAGAACAGAAAGGAGGTCAGAAACAGGAGGGTGAGGGTATTCCCTGTGTAGGGAATAGAATGAGTCAAGAAACAGTGGTGGCTTGTATATGCTGAGTTTGGGGAGCTGTGAGTGATCTTATTTCACCGGATCAGGTACTCCTATAGTTTTTACAAATCTCGACATCCCTGTGTGCATTTCTTTTGTCATTTCTGCAGAATCTGGTAAAATTATGCCCATCATTTATTTATTTCCCCACAATGTTTTTAACATTCTCCCTGGCGGAAGTCAGAATGGGAAGAAATAGTGAAGGCATGTTGTGGAGAAATTTGAATGCTGTAGTAAGGAGAATGGACTTTATCTTCATAGGTGGGGGCTGTAGGGGGCTGGATCAGAAAGGGGAGAGAGACAGAGGCCGAGGACCAGATGGCAGGCAATGACAACCATCCCGGTGAGAGGTAATAGCTGTTGAAATCCAGGAAATGGCAGAGTAAACAGAGAAGAGAGACACAGAGAAAGGAGACTGATAGAATCATAGGCATGAAGGAGTGGAAACAAGCCTCAGGACCATGAGTTGAGAGAGAGACAGCCAGCCAGACTGGGCTCTTTTCCTAGCATCCCACGCTCTATTGCTGATCAGCTGTGTGACCCTGGGCAAGCCCTTCCTGTGCCTCAGTTTCCTCATCTGAAATGAAGGCTTTCAATGAGATCAGTGGTTTCTGAACTATTCCATGGAGACCTAGGATTCCAAGGAAGTTTTGATGAAGAGGGTGGGGAGGTGGGGTAGAAGAGGGATGAGGAGAGGGGTAGAATTGTGCAGTGGGCTATGACTGCAGAGTAGAGCGAGGATGAGGAGCTCTAGATCCCAAACCTTTTCTTTAACCAGAACATCTCCTTTATACAATAGCGTTCCCCTTAAGATTAAATTTGATTTTTTAAAAAGTTTGATAAGCACTGGACTATACAGATAACGTCTAAAGTCCCTTTGAGCTCTCCCACGTGAATAACCAACCACACTTACGGAAACTAGCTCTCCAAGAGATCTGCTAATGTAATGGACATGGGTCTTGTTTTTAGGACCCTGATGAGTTTCTCTGTTTATTTGATTAACTGTTGCACAAACGCTGGAACAACTGGAACAACAATTGTCATGCTGAATCGGTGCCAAAACTCT
The DNA here is from genome assembly GCF_000001405.40 of Homo sapiens. Classification (NCBI taxonomy): domain Eukaryota; kingdom Metazoa; phylum Chordata; class Mammalia; order Primates; family Hominidae; genus Homo; species Homo sapiens. The sequence continues at coordinate 134,892,490 of NC_000007.14, read as the reverse complement.
CAAAAATGGAAAAGATTTACTGAAAGGCCATTTGGTGTTCTAATTCTTGTGCGGTACCTTTTCCCAAGACCCAGTAAGTTTTTCAAACCTCATAAACACCAGTGTGAAAACGGCCCTTTGCATGAGAGTACAAAGACATGGCTTTGCTACCGACTGTTGTCTGCTTTGGGGTAAGTTGAGTTGCCCCTCTGGTTTCTGTTTCCCTGCCTATTGAAAGACAGCATTGCACCAAAGAGTCTAAAGGCCTCCCTTCTGGCTTTAACATTCCAGGATTTCATGATCCTAAACCCTTGGAGTCCGTTATCTGAACAATTCCCTGATCAATAGCATATGCTCTGGGTCTTGTTCTGTCTTAGTCAGATGGTCAGTATATTGAGGGCTTTGGCTGTTTACTCTAAGGATTGGGCAATGTGTGCTTTAGCCAAAATCTCTGAGCCCTGCAAATGGATCATTCTGAACGGAGGGCTAAGGTCTAAATTAACAGCAGACCTTTAGAAACACAATGCTTTATGGATTGGTATTTGAAACGGAGAAACCCGTGCCTAGGTATAAACTCCTGGCAAATGGTCCACAAACCACCATTAAAATGGAAACGAGAAAAGCCAGCGAATCAGAGCAACCATGAAGTGGAAACCAGAAAGTTTCAGACAGGTCTGAAACTCACACACTCACTGCATTCCTTTCCTGCCTGGTGTCTCCTCCTCTCCCCTCCCACTCCCACATTTTTTTTTTTTTTTTTTTTTTTACAACAATTCGTTTGTTTTTTATAAAAAAAAAAAAGAAAGGAAAAAACCAAAGAGACGAAATGAGGACTCACTGGGAGAGCGCGGCCAGGCTGCGTCTTCCATGCGATCCGGATCCACCCAGCATGTCCGCAGTTGGGAAGGGGCGGCGGGGCAGAGAGATACGGAGACCTGGCCAGGCCGGGCGGTCAGGGCGTGGGCTGGGCCCGCGGAGGGGCCATGTGATCTGTGGCTGAAATGCACGGTGCAGGATGCTCCCGTGTTCTCCCTTTGTGTTAACACGTTGGTCTGTCCCTGTGACGAAAGTCTGGGCTTGTCCTCAGCCAAATCTACTCCTCCCAACCCGTTCCCTCCTCACAGGATCATCAGAGAGCTGATTGTTATTTTTTACTGTAATCTCTCTAATAGAAGCCCATCATGTTTAGCGATCAGAGAGCACTGATTGCTTCGGGAGTTCCAGAAATGTTATTGCTGGGTAGTCAGGGCCAGGATCTCCAGTAGTTTTCCTGATGAAGACTTTATATGCTTAACTACAAATAATTTTTCCAAGGTAAGTAACTGGTCAAAGGAAAAAGACACTGATGCATTTGCTCAGCCTTTTGGAAAATAGTTGATCATGGTATTACATGCATATACAACCTAATTCTGACAAGATCAACAGAAATCAGCCCACCAAAAAGTTCATCCGGGTGCAGTTCTCAGGCTCCCATTCTGAGCTCTGTTCTCAATTAGCATTGGTGTAGGTGGCTTCCAAAGCAAACAGTTCCCACTGAGAAATCAAATCTGAGAAACTCCTCTTATCCCTTTTATCCAGGGAAGGAGCATGACATAAAAATGCAAACCAAATGAAAAGGGATGAAGAGAGATGGCCCTGCTCAGTGATGGGCTGGATGGTTCAGCATGTTTGGTGCTCACACCTCTCCAAGAAATGTGGGCAAGAGCCCTCCTGAGAACATGTTGAAACAGCAGGCCCCGTCTGCACCCATGGTACTCTGCCAGTGATCTCATCAGCCAAGCTGGGCAATGGAACCTGGTCAGCAGCGGCTTGGAAAGCAGCCAAATCCCAGTTCCTGAGGAGGGGGTGGTGTTGATTCTGTCTGGAGATGACACTCCGTCTCAGCTTGACTTATGAATATGGTTCTTCATCTCTAATGAGCACTAAACAGACTGGTATTTGGGTACCAAGCTGCTCGTGGGACTGGCTTTCTGTCAAGTGAGAACAAATCCGATCTCCACAATGTAGAGTTAAGATTATTCTCTTGGTAAACAGCAGGAGAAGCAGTCAACTTCACACATTGAGAGCGCTTTCACGGAATGAAAGAGATCTTTGAGATCTGCGGCTTCATGTCACACGCAGACAAGGACACCAAAGCACAGAGCATTTAGACAACTCACCCAATGTCATGGAGCTGAACTGCATCTACTACTCTTGTGTTCAACTTAAAGTTTAATTGGGTTAGGTTAAGTGGTCTCCACTTTAGCTAGAACATTTTGGTTGTTTTCTTGCTTAAATACTATGCGGTCATCAGAGTCGTAGTTTATAGGCCAGGCGAGGTGGCTCATGCCTGTAATCCCAGCACTCGGGGAGGCTGAGGCAGGTGGATCAAGGTCAGGAGTTTGAGACCAGCCTGGCCAACATGGTGAAACCCCGTCTCTACTAAAAATACAAAAATTACCCGGGCTTGGTGGCAGGTGCCTGTAGTCCCAGCTACTTGGGAGGCTGCGGCAGGAGAATTGCTTGAACCCAGGAGGCGGAGGTTGCAGTGAGCTGAGATGGCGCCACTGCACTCCAACCTGAGCGACAGAGTGAGACTCCATCTCAAAAAACAAAAAACAAAACAAAACAAAAAATGAAGTCATAGTTTATAGAGTAAATACAGTTTAATAAACTTAAAGTTAATTATCTCTATATATCATTATGTATATATGCATTTAAATATCTCTGATTACACATATGATCACCGAACATATATTGATGAAAGTAGCACATAAGACACCCATAAAAGTAGAGATACATCTGCCTTCACACAAGAGGACTTAAATATACACTGACTTGTCCTGAGTTTCTCGCTCTAGAACTGAGACAGAAACATGTATCGAGGCATTCTGCTGCTTCTCTTTCTACCGAATTTTGCCCAATTAATTTTTTCCCTTCAATTACTTACAAAAGTCGGTGGTTTTCTATGGTAGGTGGAATAACGTTTCCCGCAAATCTCCAGAACCTGAGAACATGTTAATTTGCGTGGCAAAAGGGACCTTGTCGATATGATGAAATTAAAGGCATAGAGATGGGGAGAGCATCCTGGATTATCCAGGTGTGCTGGAATGAATCACATGGCTCTTTAAAATCAGAGACCCCTTTCCAGCTGTGGTTAGAGGAGCTTATCTGTCAGGGTGGGCAGACAGACTGGTGATGGCTTTGAAGATGGAGAGGGGGTCCAAGAGCCTGGGAATGTGACTTCCTCTAGAAGCTGGAAAAGGCAAGGAAATGGATTCTCCCCTGGAGCCTCCAGGAAGGAATACAGCCCTGCTGACACCTTGATGTTAGCCCAGTGAGACCTGTGCCAGACATCTAACCTATAGAACTGTACAGAATAAGTTGTGTCGTTTAAAGCCACCAAGTTTCTAGTTATTTGTCGCAGCCATGCGAGAAAGCTATCACCTCCTGATTCCCTCCTCCCCAGCCCCCCACGCCAATTCTGAGGTGACAGGTATGGTTTTGGCATATTCAGAATAGGTTCATAAAATGGAAAAACCTAGAAAAAAAAATTGTGGTTCTTTCTGGCCAGTATTCTCCATGGAGGAGAGCAAGAATTTAGTAGTCTTCCACTCATGTGCAGAATCCATGTACAGAAAGTGTGCTAATTGCCAGCTGTACACAGGATGTCCACCAGGCTATTTCCCTAATTGCCAAAAGAGGGAAAGGGAAACAGCGCGCACCCTCCTTTGTTATTAGGGGCATGCATTTGGGAAGCAGCTGTCTGTCTTCAGTTTGTGATAGTAAAACCCAGTGGTGTTATAGCTCATGCTACCTGGTAGGGTACTGACATGGGAAGAGTGAAGAGAGAAGTGAGTCTTGGACCTGGTTCAGACACTCTCTGGGAAGAGGAAGAACACAAAGGCCAATGAAAGACAGGCAACGCGGGAAGACGCATAGAGATAACAAGTGAATCATGAGCTGAGAGCAGGGCTGGGCTAGGCAAGTGCTTCCAAGAGTCCTCTGAGACCTGGTGCCTGGGGCTGGAGAGGCAAGGTAAGAGGATTGAGAAATAACAATCTAAAGGTTATTTGTGCACAGTGTTCTGGTCCTGCAGAGACCTACAGGCCTGTGTGCTTTCACTGCATAGCAGAGAATGGTACCCAGTGTCCAGCTGCCAGAACTGGTGTCTCTGAGAAGTGAACTAATGACTATTCATTGGCACCATGAACAAGTGGGCCAGTCATCCTTCAGCAAGATAATAGGTATCATGAATTTGATGATGCTTCAGGACTCTTACTAGGAAAAATGAAAGTCTGGGCCATTCTGAGATTACTCATAGTATCCTTTGTTTCTGGACACTTTATTGTTTAATTTTTCATCAAAGAGATTCTGGGCTGGGAAGGTTTGAGGGAGGTCAGACTGTAATAGAAAGGAACAGCTCCCACCACAGGGTGGTCCTTTATTAAGAAAATATGATTTTTTAAAAATAACTTTACTTCATGGAGGTGGGAGACCGGACCACAAGATCTGTTCCAGACTTTAGAGTCTGCAGCAGTTGTTTAAGAACAGCTTCTACCTTGAAACAATTCCCTAGGGAAGAGAGGTATGTGGGAAGTGCTGTGCATATGCCCTAATGCGCTTATGACACACATGCACACACATACACACACATACAGACACACATGCACACACAGGCACACACACATACACGAATGCATGCATATGCACACATGCACACACATACACATGCGCACACATACACATGCACACACATACACACGCAGGCACATAGAGACACACATGCACACACAGGCAAACACATATACGCATGCATGCATATGCACACATGCACATACACATACACACACATGCATGCATACGCACACATGCACACACATACAGACATGCATGTACACACAGGCACACACATATACACGCATGCATGCATACGCACACATGCACACACATAACATGCACAGAGCCATTCACTTACTATGGAAACACATAAACCTAAGGGAAATCTACCACTAGGGAGGCAACAGTTCGAGTAGTACAAAGGGGACGTTTGAAAAGGCTGTTGGAGATAAATTTTCTTATGAAGAAATTCATAGGCTCTGTACTCTTAGAACTAGGCAAAAAATCTTGCCTAGACAGCTGTTCCCCCACCCCAAGGTGAACAGGAATGTAGGTAAAGGAGTTTACATATTCAAAGGCAGCATCTCTTTCCTCCTTTCTGTTGGCCTCTCATAGTTTTCCCCTCATAGACGACGGCATCTCCCATCCCCTGCCCCTGCCATGGCGTTGAACGTGTTCACTTAAACTATATTGCTCTGTCATGTCCTGTGATCTTGAATGCAGGAGCTGCTGTGGAAAAATCACAGTTTACTCCTCATCCTAGTCTTCCAGTGGTTCTTCACCAGCGTCTTCATGGCCTGTGCTGATACACGTTTCTTAATTATTCTTTGCCTCATCTGTCTCTAGGCCTGTAATAGGGGCTTGGGTTGTGACACTGTCTTATTGCCCTTATAATGGTGAGCATGTAGTTTTATTTTGTCCCAGCACATTCCTTTTTGCTTTGCTTCGCGTAGCACTATTGGAATGTTTACTACAAGCAAGTCATTGCACTAAGTGCTGTGGGGGATGCAAAGATAAGAAGGGCAGTCCTAAAGGGAGATAAGACATGTATACAAAAATTCTATTATAAGACAGAAAGTGAACAGTACTCTGAAAGCAGTAGAGCTAAAGAACTATACTTCAGTAGGTGACATCCTGTGATCAAGGTCCCAGTGTTTAATCACTCTCACGCTCAATTTATCCTGTTATCGAACTAGATTTCCTGTTGCTGAAATAGAAACCTACTTATCTCTAGGAGGGCCACAGGTATTAAGTCATCCTTTAGTCTCGTCTTTTCTAGGCTAGACGCCAATGCCTATTTTCCATCCTTTTAATATCAGCCTGACTATAACAACTCTTCAAACGGGAAACCAAAATTGGACATAATAAAAGCTGACCAAGGCCTGGCTGAAGTCCCAGTGCTTCCTGCCACGTTCCTGTTAACACATCCTAACATCATTTTCACATTGATAATAGCATCTCTTAGAGAGATCATTCATTCAGTTTTGTGCTATATCCAGGGTTTTTGCTTTTTCTTTTTTCTTCTCCAAATGAATTGCTTTGTAAGTCCTATGCCCACTCTTACTCCTTTTGCTTCTCTGAATTCTAGTGGTTCTTTAAGAACCAGTTCCAGGCCTTACCTCTATGAAGTCTTCCTGGATTTGACTTTATTTCTTTCTAATTTATCTTGTTAGGGAGAGAGAGACCAGAAAGCTTGAGCCCACTCTTGTTTGCATGTTATTTGGGAAATAATTATGTTGCAATGTATGAGTCAGCTCCTCCAGCCAACTTGCTGTGAGACTCCCTGTTTCTGTTTAAACTGTCTTGCACCAATTACTTAGGCCGACTCTCTAAGCTCTTTTTAAAATCCAGGGTTTTTTAAACAACTGGACTATTTTCTTTTCCTGAAAAGTTTCTATCTGAAAAGGATCATGCCTCTAACTCCTTTCTGCCCTCCAACTTGAAACATATCTTTAAAACAATAAACGGTGCTTGGAAATAGCAGGGCTCTAACAATTTCTTGAATGAATGGTGGCTGGTGCACATCTACAAAATTCTGGTTCTGGTCTCGGTGAAAACGATAATAATAATACCTGCTTTATATAATTCTAGGAAAGAAGTGTGTACATGAAGAATGTGATTTCTACCCATAAGAAACTGAATCTAGGCCATAGTGATATATTTTAGAATGTAGATTTGTTGTTCATAGGTACAGGTTGTGAAGGAAATTATTATAAGGACTCAGGAGATAATTCTAGTGCAGAAGAAAAGGTCAAATCTTCAAAGGAAGCATATTAGTTCCTAAGCCACAGAATTCTCAGTGTGTACCACTCTTGTTCAAAGTGTCTAAATATTTCCACAATCATAAATTTATTTGTGGGTGTCCACCTTTTGCATCTGGATATTAAATTTACACATGGCTTTTATAGCTGGAATGAAATCCAGATTTTTTTCCAGTGATACCATATAAAGTCTTAAAAAATATTGATTTCCTTCTTTTTGGGGGGTGGTCAGACCTGGATGAAAGCATATTGCTCCTATTGCTAGAGAAATAATCCATTATGTGTTTCAGATACTTTAGGTGTTGTGCTTATTATTTACATTATATAATAACACTTTATTAGGTTCTGTTATATTTTGTAATAACCTCTGACTGGGATCAGCACTTGATTATGATCTACAGATAGAAATAAACGTATGGTGCCGGGTGTCGGGGCTCACACCTGTAATCCCAGCACTTTGGGAGGCAGAGGCAGGAGGATCACCTGAGGTCAGGAGTTACAGACCAGACTGGCCAACATAGTGAAACCCCGTCTCTGTTAAAAGTACAAAAGTTAGCCTGGCATGGTGGTGTGCGCCTGTAACCCCTCCAGAGGCTGAGGCATGAGAATCGCTTGAACCTGGGAGGTGGAGGCTGCAGTGAGCCGAGATCACACCAGTGTACTCTAGCCTGGGTGACAGAATGAGACTCTGTCTCAAAAAAATAAATAAATAAAAGAAAGAAAGAAAATATGGATAAATACAAATACACAGTCTTATTTGTTCATTGTTCCTGTGTATATACTTGTTTTTACCAAATAAGTTACAGTGTAACATTTTTGCTGGAAGGGGTATTTCCTACCACCACTTTTGCACCTGATACAGCCTAGGAGGGTGTTAGTTATATAGCAGATGGCCAATAAGTACTTGTCATTTTTTCTCTGGAGTGAAGAGGGACAACGATGGAGTAGAGACGCTGCACCAAGGTCAGTTGGCTTGTTTTTCCAAAGGTTTCTAAAGATTGGCCTTTTTTTTTTTTTGGAGTATTCATAACAGTTCTGCACCAGAAATTGGATCTTGGGAGGTCCAGAATCGACAGGTATCAGGAAGATTGATGAACTCACAGATGCACAAGAGACTGATGCCTTCTCTAGTGCCAATTAAGATAGAATAAATGCTCTCCATCTTCAGTGCCTGGAGAACTCTCATTCCCAACCAGGGCACCTCCCATTCCCCAAGCCAGGATGTTAGGAAGCTGCGTAGTCAATAGCGACTTCTTCATGAGTGTGAAGTCAGAGCAAAGCGGGGTGAAATCATCACAGGTAATATTTTACCCAAGCCAGTGGGAGACATGAGGAAACACTTCTCCAAGTGGAGAGAATACTTTTCATGTCACAACTCTGTGAGATTCAAGCCATAAATCTCATGTCACCACCCTGAAACTCAACCAACCCTGAGATTCAAGGTCTGTCTCATTTGGATATTCCTAGATCCCCAGGGCCAAACCAGGTCTTGAACTTGGCAGACATGCAGGCTTCTTCTACTGGCCATTCCTTTTTTTTTTTCTTTTTTGAGACAGAGTTTCACTCTTGTTGCCCAGGCTGGAGTGCAATGGTGTGATCTTGGCTCACTGCAACCTCCGCTTCCTAGGTTCAAGCAATTCTCCTGCCTCAGCCTCCCAGGTAGCTGGGATTACAGGCATGTGCCACCATGCCCGGCTAATTTTGTATTTTTATTAGAGACCTCACCGTGTTGGTCAGGCTGGTCTCAAACTCCTGACCTCAGGTGATCCACCCGCCTCGGCCTCCCAAAGTGCTGGGATTACAGGCGTGAGCCACCGCGGCCAGCTTCTACTGGCCATTCTTTCTTTACACTCACTAATATCGTGGATTACAGTTGGACTCCACTTGTTCAAATCTGGGAGACCTAATGCAGTTTGACCCTTATGAATTGTATTTATCAGAAATGCTCTTCTGTAGAATCTTAGGTATCTTTATGATGGTAGCCTAAGGCAGGAGATTAGAAATAGAGTAGGAGAAGAAAGCTTTTCCATTTTAAGATGCTATTTTACTTTGACATTATTGAGTAGTGAAATCAAGCTCTTATTAAGATTAAAACAGGAAAAGCAAATGGGGCCTTTTTTTTAATCTCACTAATTTATAGAATAACCACCAGCCTGGCAGGTTTTTAAGGGAAAATATTTAGTAAAAATATCCAATTTTCTCATTTAAAAGCCAGAAGCCATCTGGAAAGCTTTTTAATGTTAACACATTATGAAGACAACAACAACAAAAGATAAAATAGATGATACTTAAAAAAAATAGCCGACAGTCACTTCAAATTTGAAAGCCAATGATGTGAAATATGAATCCAGCTTTCTAAAATATGTTGCAAAGTAGAGAGGGCTGAAGTAATCTGAGATTCTCCTAAGTATTTTAGAATTCAGAGTCTTTCTAGGATAACTTCAAATTACCTTTCCTTCTGACTCTTTCCCAGTAGATCTAAGAATCAAAAATTAAAATTTCTTACCTAAGAAATACAGTTCTGAGGCTATTCGATTGTGCTTCTGGGTTTACGTACTTTGAGTGTTCCAGTTCACTAACTTTATTTTAATTACAAATTTTATGTTAACAAATTAACCAAAGGGTATATTTTATGATGAAGAAAATCCATTTATAAATACTCCTCCTCCTTCTTCCAAATAGTACCACTCAAGGAGCATAAACCATTTATAAAAATGCTCGACTTTACTGGAAAAAAATAATTAAGTCCTCATATCTTGATTAAAAAGTATTGGGCTCTAATGTATTACTTTCTTCTTTTTCTTTTTTGGTCCATCATTACATCCCAATATTGGAAAACCATTTACCATTTGAAATCTAAACTTTGAACTCAACTTGTATGTTAAACACTCCATTCTATTGTATGCTAAACATTCTATTATCAGAAAGAATGTTGATAAATACATGCCAGAGATTGGCCCTACCCTTATCCTACTTCTGCCCATTCTTCTGGGATTAACTGGATACTTTACTCCTCCTGACCACAAGCTTGATCCTTCATTAGAGAAATTTTTGATTATACAGTTTGTTCACTGTTGGACTCCTGTACGTTTGGCATAAACCCTGTAATTTGATGATTATCTGATTTATAATGCAGATACTAATTGCAAATATACCAAGGGCTTGAGTACCGGAGTAAATAGGCCAACAAAAGGAAATGGACTCTTACCATATTAATATCATTTGCCTCCACAATGCAACTAAATAAGCATAAGTGGTCAAAATTCTATGTTGTAAAGGTCCAATTATCCTTAATAATCAAAAAAATACATGAGATAAATCTCTTCATTTCTCTGGAGAAAAGATATGGAGTTGAAATTGCAATGGCTTGAAGGCTCAGCAGAGAAGTGATGAAACCCCAGGAGAGGCATTGATGGTGTCAGTGTTTAGAAGACACAACGAGTGTCACTAACATTTCTGCCTCCCTCACAAGTAGCTTAGCACATTTGTCACAGTTGTGCCTTGATACACAAGTGTTAGTGTTCATTCAACATTGTATGCTGGTCTTGGGGAAATAAAAGTGAGTAAGATGTAGTTTCTGATCTACGGTTGCTTTCAATTTGGTGGAGAAAACAGATACGAGAACAAATAAACATAAAATAGAGGATAATAATTAACATATGTAAAAAGTGCGACGTAAGACCCAAGGTGGGAGTAGGGTTCTCCTCGTAAGCACAGCACAGTTTCCTTCTGATTGGGATAAAGCCAGGATTTTAAATCGTCTGCATTTTCTCCTCAATTCACAACTAGAGGAAAAGGGAAAATAAAATGGCTTTGGTTCTTCTAATCTGCAATTGAGGTCCTAAGCCCTCTCCAGAGGTGACGGGCTCTAGGGAGGGTGACAGGTGACATTTTATTTCATTGTGTTTTCTCAGCATCTGATTTCTGAAAGACTAGAATACCTGACAGCCAGTCAGCTAGCATAAGGCAGCAGGGTTAGAAGTGTGAAAATTCCTTTGAAACACAGCACATGACCAGCATGAAACCTGCAACTCTACATATAGTTAATATAGAAGTGAATCCAGTGTAATCACCCAGGCACTTCAACATGATAAACGTACGTCATGCGCATTACCCTTTATACTTTCGATGACATTTTTTCTGTATCTTGCTTAATTTTCTCAGCCACCCTGAGAAGTGTTAGTTCTCTCTTATAGATAAGGAAGCCCTGATCTGCTGAACTTTTATCCAGTGTCTTTTCTTTTATCCTTGATTTAAAAGCCAGTCTCTTCAGCAGGAGTTAGAGGACATTTAGCTCTAATGTGATAATAAATTGAGAGTGGGGCCTCACACGATGCAAAGAAAAAAAGTGCCAGAGTTGGAGAAAATGACAAGGTTTCCAGATTTGACCCTGCCACTGACTGTGTGCTCTTGGACATGTTGCTCTACAAGCCTGGGTCCAATGATTTGGGCTTCCAACCCCCTTTCAGAGAACGTAGGAAAGAGAGTGTATGTTAATTTCTGATGACATAACCCAACTGGACACCAGAATCTGTCTTCTAGAAGTAATTCTGCACTTCAGGCAGAGTTCTCATGGAAAACTGACACCTTTCTGAAGCGCATATGTCTCTGATTTCAGCTCTACCATAGCTCTGACAATGCCACAATGAGACATCATTTATATGACATGAGGCACTTAGGGACTAAAGGATTTGGGAATTTCTCTCCAGCCTCAACCTAGAGTTTAAAAAAAACTTCATTCTGTTCAGTTCAAAAGCCGCTGAGCATCTGTAGCAATGATAATCCCTAGGTAGCCAGGATATGCTATGAAGATGCTGGCTCAGGGAAAATACACTCTCCTGCTTAGATAGGAAGAGTTAAAGGATCTTAAAAGGTAGTAGCAGGAAAGACAGGTGTCAGATATCAGTTCTTTCTACATCACAACTTTTGCGCGAGGCCCCTTAATAATAGGTCCTTTCTCATCTTCTTCATCAAAGGACAAATAGTGAGGGAATGTTAGATCCCCCAAATGAAACTCCACTAAAAAAAGATCAAGATCTACACAACAGTTTTGATGAGAGAAACAGAAGAATTGTTCAAGGAAGAAGTGGGCAGAGATATACATGTACTGTAGCTGCCAATTGTGCCTTGGGAAAGATGCAGTGTGATTAGACCTGATGATGCTTCTTGTCTTTGAATCAGCCTGATAACCCATCATCTCATCCTGCTTGTTTATTTGCTCACTTCTTGCTCAGTTATTTTTCATATTAGTCTCTTGAGTCTCCCCCCACCTCCAGAAAACCTTCCAACAGTGTAAAGTTTTCTGTGGGAATAAAAAATGGGTTGACTGCTGTTATTCTAAGCGGGCACAGTAGTGCTACTAGCTCCAGAAATAAAGGACTCTTTCATTACCTAGTGCTGGTGCCGGCTCTGAGTTATCTAGCTTTTATTTGGAGAGCCCCATGAAGCATGCAAAATTCCCACTGGACAAAAAGACCCAGGCTACCCTTAGAAAAATAAAAAGCACATATTGAACAATCTGCTGGAAACCGTCAGTTGAGTTCCTAAATGGTACAGGAAAACAGAAGCCAGTGAAGATGTGACATGGGATAGTAGTCCATGTCACCCACAATGGAAAATATGAACATTGGAAGAATTTCCTATTCTAAACAATGTGGGGTTTAAAATACACTCTGGAGACTCTCCTGAATGTACAGGCTTGTAGCTGCTATTTATAGTGACCGATGTGTACTTTACTGAGATTTTTATCCCAACAAAGGAACTGTATGTGATGTAGGGAGTTATTAAAATGGAAAATAAGCCCTCACATTCTAACCTAGTCATTGGTACACATCTCAAATGCAATGTCAGGTCTCACTAAAATAGATCAACTAGAAGTAAGCCCAGTAAAAATTATAAAATACCTTAAAAGAAATTTAATTTTGAAAAATGTTTAAGTCTACCTACCTGGTAACTTCCATCATGCTGGCAAAACATTAGAAGCTTATTCAAATGGTGAATACATACAAATGATTTATAATTAACAAATTAAGCTGTTCAATGTCAGTGAATGTTTTTAAAGTTATTTAAAAGGTTTAAAAAAAAGTTGTACTCTCCAGTACTTAAAAACTAAGCCATGGAATGTAGCTTACATATTTAACATGTTAACCAAAGACTTTATTTATAAATAATTCAAAGTTGTACTTTACTAATGTTCCTGAATAAATGATTAAAAATTCAAAAACAGTCTGCGTTAATGCAGGTTTAGGATAGGCTAAAAACTGATTTTCCACTGCTGATGAATAGTGCTCATTAGATAGCAAACTAGTGGAAAGAACTGATTTTATTCACAAAATATGCACATGATTCCTCTTTAACCTGATTCACAGATGAATGAGAATCCACTTACACAGCCCACTTACACAGCCACCACATTGGTCCAACATGCTCATGTTTCATGCCCTGTGGTACTTTCTTGCAGCACCATTTAGGGACCTTTGGGATAATAAAGGTCAAGAACTTCCTTGGAAGACTTGAAAGCAACTGAAGTCATCATTTCTGTCTGCCAGTTCCACCTGACCAAATGACAGCTGCAAATGCAGATCTGTCACTCCTGCTGGCCAATGAGAAAACCATAGGGCAAAAGAGAGAGGTTCAATATAAGTATTGGATAGCTTTCATTACATCTTTTTTTTTTTGAGACAAGGTCTCCCTCTGTTGTCCAGGCTGGAGTGCAGTAGTGCAATCATGGCTCACAGCTGACTGCAGCCTTGAACTCCCAGGCTCAAGTAATCCTCCCACCTCAGCCTCCAGAGTAGCTGGTACTACAGGCACACACTACCACATCCAGCTATTTTTTTTATTATTATTATTTGTAGAGATGAGGTCTTCCTATGTTGCTCAGGCTGGTCTCAAACTTCTGGGCTCAAGTGATTCTCCCACCTCAGCCTCCCAAAGTGTTGGGATCCCAAAGGAGTGAGCCACTGCACCTGGTCTGTATTTTTATTTTATTTTGATGAGAATTCTTTGTTCACACTGTATACTTCTTGCAGCTTTAGACAGCATAAGAACGTTTATCTTGTGTGTTTATTTTTATTTTTTCTTGAGGCAGGGTCTCGCTCTATCACCCAGGCTGGAATGCAGTGGTGCGATCTCGGCTCACTGCAACCTCTGCCTCCTGGTTTCAAGTGATTCTCCTGCCTCAGCCTCTCCAGTAGCTGGAATTACAGGCGCCCACTACTATGCCCGGCTAATTTTTGTATTTTTAGTAGAGAAGAGGTTTCACCATGTTGGCCAAGCTAGTCTAAAACTCCTGACTTCAAGTGATTTGCCCGCCTCAGCCTCCCAAAGTGCTGACATTACACGCAGGAGCCACCATGCCCAGCCTGTCCTGTGTGTTTAGAAAGACAAACTTCTTGCCCTCTCAGGGAAGTGGGCTCTCACTGACACCTTTACCTGAGAGTCTGGAGAGAATCTTTGGAATGCCTGGATCCCAGGGCCCTGGAGAAGCTAGTACCTAAATTCGTATGATCTCATTTCAAATTTTATTTTAAAATAAATGAATTATTCAGGACACTGGTTACCTCTGTGGGTGGGGAGGTGAAGGGAAGGGATTGGAGAGGGGCCTGGGGCATTGGAAATGTTCTAGGTCTTAGGCTGTATGGTGAGTTTATAGGATACGCATTAGGATGAGTTAGAACTTCCATATATATTACATAGGATTACTTTGTATGCATCAGTTTTTTCATAATTAAAATGAATAAATTAGTAATTTGGGATACATTTTTTCAAAATCATTTTGTAACAATTAGGCATATGATTTTCCTTATGTTATTATTACAATATTTATATATAATGTTGGCATTGAGAAGCTTCTGGTTGATGCTTTAATGGTAATGAAACCATAGATTATGCAATATGAAAAGAGAAATGATAATTTCACAAGGCAAAAAGAGTATTTTAAATATAGTCATCCCTCAGTATCAGCAGGGGAATATAAATGCTATGTACATAGTTGTTATACTGTATTGTTCAGAAATGATGACAAGGAAAAAAGTATGTACATGTTTAGCACAGATGCAACCATTGTAGGCCTAACTACATTTTTGATCTGGGTTGGTTGAATCCTCAGGTATGGAGAGCTGACCATACATGATTAATTAAATTATATACATACATACACATATGTATATATCATTGTGACAAAGACCTTGATATGTACCAGACTATTGCATGCTTTTGTCTTGATTTCAAACAAGTAGGGAAAATGGAAAAGAACTCTTAATAATAAAAAGGTAATTTTCTTTTTACAGGGAGACATTTATATCCATAATTCTCCCATCACTTTCAAGGTAGCTGCTAAAACAGATCTGAAACAGAGAAAAGATTAGACACTGAGCCATCTGACACATGGAGTTGTACCTTGTTCAGTGATACCCCAGATGGTAGCTGCCAAAAGGCTGAGTTTCTGAGGTGACCCCAGAGAGGGCTTTTCTGAGAGCGCCTTTCTTACCATGTCCTTCAGCCAGCAGAAAAACAGCAACAAGAGGTAACAGAATGAGCACTAGTCATGTTTTAGGGACTACTAAGTGCTTTATAATCTGCATTAAACCTTATAAGGAAGAACTGTTTCGATGGCCATTTTCCACTTGATGAAATGGGCTGAGAGAGGCGGAGTAGAACAACCATTTTGAATCCAGCTGGGATTCTGGGATTTGAATCTAAGTCTTCATGACTCTAGATCCTACTCTCTGAAAGGCACCTGTCCCACTCCAAATCTGTCCCATCCTCCCCAAAGATAGTAGTGATAAATGTAAAATATAAGTTTCTCTGTTAGGAATCAAATCAGTTCTTATCTTTTTCATATTTAGAGAGAAAAGTCATTTGATGAATTTTCTAAAAACTGGTAAGAATGGAGAAATCCTACATAACTTAGTTTCAAAATTAAGCTTTGTTTGAAGGAATCATGCTAACACAACATATACCAAATAAAAGACTTCCAAAATTGATAGAAAATGGGATTGTAGTAAATCACCAAAGTTTTTTTGTCCTTGTTGACAAAGACGCCAAACTTTGATTCCCAGTTCCTGACTATTAACTGGTATCATTCTGCCTATCCACTCATCTTTCTTTATTTTTCACTTTATTCACTGTAATCTGACCGAATCTCCTTTATTTAGAAACATTATCCATAAACGGTTTTTAAGTTTTAGAAAGCACTCTACATGCAGTACATTGTAGAATACACTCTTTTCCAAAATATGCTTTATTTTCCTAATCAATAGCCATAGACTTTTTTACATATAGCAAGATCAGGATGGCTTTGTTTGTCCAGGGGCCCACACTATGCAAACAGCTTAACTGGGTGATCTTAAGGGGATATGTCTCCTAGGCTTGAGTTTCTTAATATTTAACAGGCAGTTTTAAAATTCATTAGATCAGGGATTCTTGGCCAGAAGGCATCGGCCCCCAGGAGGTCTGCGGACGGAGGTTCATGATGCCACTGAATGTAAGTGCCAAGTTTGGTGGGTGCATATGTGCATTTTTCTTGGAGGAGGGTCCAGAGCTTTCATCAGTGCCTCAAAAATAGTGTGTGGTCCAAAACTGAATACATAATGTTCCCCTGCGGAAGATGATTCATAAGGTCAGAGACAGCCTTAAGTTTTTAAGAGTGATGATGTGACTAAGTCCCTGTCCTAATGATGTACAGTCTTGTTGAAAAAAGTCCAGTGAAAAGTCAAGAATAGTCATATCAACAGCCTTCTTTGCCTTAAGCAGGGAAACTCGATCTTCTCTGTTTCTATTTTTCTGCTAAATGGGAATAACACAGGAGATTTTCTGAGGGCAAACAAAACAATGACTTTGCCTACACATATAAGCAATTTACCTGAAGAAGCATAAAAAATAGTTCAACTAGGCACAATAGTCTTTGTTTAGTCTATTGCTGTTGCAGGACTTTCCTTAGTTCAGCTAAAGACAGGGTTCTTGTCTGTCCCACGGTGACGAAAATCTGGGCTCACAGATGGTTTAAGGGGTGAGCAAAGCATTCGCTCTTGTTGCCCAGGCTGGAGTGCAATGGCGTGATCTCGGCTCACTGCAACCTCCACCTCCCGGGTTCAAGCAATTCTCCTGTCTCAGCTTCCTGAGTAGCTGGGATTGCAGGCGCCCACTGCCACGCCCAGCTTATTTTTTGAATTTTTAGTAGAGATGGGGTTTCACCATGTTGGCCAGGCTGGTCTCGAACTCCTGACCTCAGGTGATCCACCTGGCTCAGCCTCGCAAAGTGTTGGGATTACAGGCGTGAGCCACCGCGCCCAGTGACAGATCTTTTAATTTGAAAGTATGTGGTGACTCACGCCTATAACCTCAGAACTTTGGGAGGCCCAGGTGGGAGGATTGCTTGAGTCCAGGAGTTTGAGACTGGACTGCGCAACATGGCGAGACCACATCTCTACAAAAAATAAAAAATAAAAGTAGAAAACTAGATGGCAGATTCTAACTTTCTTTTGTCCCCTGGAGTGATCAGTTTTCTGAGAGAACTGAAGGGAAATTTTGAGCAAATCTAGCTACTTTGATAATTTAGATAGTTTCAAAGGAATATCGTATTTAACTTCTTAATGGAAAATAATGTTCTGATGATAAAATAACAGTAATTTCATTTTAAAAGATTTTATTTAAAAATGTCAAGGTCCTGATGCTAAGCATTTTGAATAAGTGTTGGGTTTGCGTGTGTGAGGGGTTGTGTGTTGTATAATCATTCATTGGCTGTTTCTATTAAATCATGTAAAAAAGTCTCAGTGATACAGTTCTGAGAGGGGACTTTAGAGACCCCATGGATTTTAAAAAATTGCTTCTTTTTATAGTGTAGTAAAAATATTTACTTTCAAATGTCTAATCATCAAGCCATTTCAGAAGCCCATAAAAATGTATGAATGATGACAACAGCAAGTGTTTTCATTCCCTTTATTTATGTCTGTAAGCTTCTGAATCTGATAACGTAACTCTACAATAGGGGCCTTTCTTCTGATCAGTGAGAGGAACTCATGTTGGGTGCAGAAAGCAGATGCTGTGAACGTAATGAGCACATCTTGGAAAGTGAGAGAGCCATTTGTTGGGGAACCAAGCCCGGTGTCGGCCAAGTATGTCTGCTGGAGATTTTCTCATGGATAAAAGCATCACTGCTGGTTTCTCAGAAAATACATCACAGCTCCTCATGCCTGTAATCCCAGTACTTTGGGAGGCTGAGGCCGGTGGAGCACTTGAGGCCAGGAGTTTGAGACCAGCCTGGCCAACATGGTGAAACCTCCTCTCTAATTAATACAAAAACTAGCTGGGTGTGGTGGCGTGTGCCTACTCGAGAGGCTGAGGCAGGAGAATCGCTTGAACCTGGGAGGCAGAGATTGCAGTGAGCCGAGATGGTACCACTGCACTCCAGCCTGGCCGACAAAGTGAGACTCCTTCTCAAAAAAACAAAAATGAAAACAAAAAAAAAGAAAAAAAGAAAAAAAGAAAATACACCACAGCTCAACATTCTTTCGGCCAAATTTTTAAAAATAACTTAAACTGGTGCTAATTCTTCCAGCTGAGACAACACAGTCCTTCCTCAAAAACTGTTACCGATCACAGTCACTCAAAGCTCTTCAGTCAGTCACGCATTCCTGCCTTTCATCTTGCCTATGGTTCTTGTACCATCTATGATGTGCAAAACAATCCACAAGCCTTTCATATTTTTATTTTTTTATTTCCATGTTGTAGAGAATCAAATTAAATAATAATAATTAATAATGAGTTTATTGAATGTTTATTAGATGAATAACACTGTGTTAATACTTTCATGTCTTACCTTTTTACATCCCCACAAAAACCCAGTGAGGTGGATACTTTTACTACCCCCATTTTGTAAGGGAGGATACAAAATATTTGAAAGATTGAATAATTTGGTAGATCCCATAGTTAGTAAGTGGCAGAGCTGGGATTTGACACTATAGCTGCCCAGTGCTAAAGCTCATGCCCTTAACTGCCAACTGTACTGCCTGCCATCATTATGTGTCTTGGGGTTGCCTCATTCATATAGAGCAAAAATGTTCCATTCAGACATAGCTAATTCTGGGGCCGGCGGCGGTCCGTCTTTACTAGACACACATAAAATGTCTAGCACTTTTTTATACTTGCTGAACAGGAAGAGAACTGGGTTTCTCTCTCCCTCTTTCCTGGCCAGAAGTATGTATTTCCTGGTGATGCAACAGCACATCCACACATAATTCAGAGCAGACAGATTAGGAGTGCAGATGGGAAGAGACACAGAAACAAACAAATCAAGTGTTGATGAAGATGCACGTGGACCGGGGAAGAGGCACATGAAGGTGCACCAAGGAAAACAGAGATGAAGGCAGAGGAGAGGGATTGAAATAAAAGAAACAGAAAGGGAAGCAGAATATAGTGTTTTTTTTTGTTTTTTGGGTTTTTTTTGTTTTGTTTGTTTGTTTGTTTGTTTGTTTTTGCTCTGTCGCCCAGCTTGTAGTGCAGTGGCATGATCGTGGCTCACTGCAACCTCTGCCTCCCAGGTTCAAGTGATTCTCCTGCCTCAGCTTCCCGAGTAGCTGGGATTACAGGCACCAGCCACTATGCCCAGCGAATTTTTTTTTGTATTTTTAGTAGAGACAGGGTTTCACCATGTTGGCCAGGCTGGTTTCGAACTCCTGGCCTCAAGTGATCTGCCTGCCTTGGCCTCCCAAAATGCTGGGATTACGGGAGTGAGCCATTGCATCCGGCCAGAATGTATCTATTTAACTTTTTACTCCCCTGAGATTGGTGGAGAATAATAAACAGCAAAACTAAATTTTTATCTGTTTGTTCAAATGAGTAATTGCTTTTAAAATACAGTTTAATTTGAGATGTGAGCAAATAGTGCCTTTTGCTTAGAAACAATGCATTAAGGATTTTCACTGATTACTGCTCATTCCATTCTGCCTACTGAATTTTTTTTCTCCCTCTTTTGGTCACGATTGCTCTAAAGTTACTAATACCCTTAGAATAGGAGCTTAGTGACTACTGGGATACTGTCCCTACTGGTGACCACTGATTCCTATGGTTCGGTATAGTATCTTGCATTTTGTAGGTATTCAGCATCTGTATTTCTTTTTATGACAAAATGAAGTACTTCCTTCCTTTTTGCCAAATCTAAAGACCTTATCTCAAGAACTCAGAGTGAGAAAGCCAAATGGAAGACAAGGAAGGACGAGGTAATGGCATAAAAGTTGCACAGGCTAAGGGGCAAGACAAAGAAGGAAGTTTTTTTTTTTTTTTTTTTTTTTTTGAGACCGAGTCTCACTCCGTCACTTAGGCTGGGGTGCAGTGGCGTAATCTCGGCTCACTGCACCCTCTGCCTCCCAGGTTCAAGCGATTCTCCTTACCTCAGCCTCCAGAGTAGCTGGGATTACAGGCACCCACCACCATGCCTAGCTACTTTTTGTATTTTTAGTACAGACGGGGTTTCTCCATGTTGGCCAGGGTGGTCTCGAACTCCTGACCACCCACCTCAGCCTCCCAGAGTGCTGGGATTACAGGCGTGAGCCACTGCGCCCAGCTGGAAGAACGTTTTTGATGCACTACGTTTGCAGTCGAGGTTATTTGAAATGAACTGGGCTAAAACCCTTAGAAGGAGATATGTGGACGACAGAGTCTCAGGACAGCTCGGATGCAGTGAATAAATGCCAGTCCTAAGCACATGCAAGCCAGCATGGCACAAAGCCTTCAATTAGCTTGCAAAATAGTCTTTGAAAAGGTCTGTTTCTGAAGAATAAAATGTGTAAAAATTCGCTTTATTTTAATCTGTGGTTATAACACCGGGTAAAAGTACAAGTTTTAAATTATTTATCATTTCAAAGTAAAACTGCATCTGGCAATCAGACTCAATACTAATTAAATAAAAATAACAGGGTATTTTTATTTGAAAAGCTTTTATGGGTAAGGAAAGTCAATGGACTTTCTCTTCTCTGTAGTATACCCCATCCCCCACACTGTCTGCAGGGGTCAGGTGTACAAAGGCTGTGGGTCATCTCTAATAAGTATGAACCCATACGGGGTACATGTTATGTTTGAGGATACAAAAGTATAATTTCTTGATCTTTTTTTCATTTTAGATAGGTTGTAAAGCACTAAGCACACACTTCCCAACACTGTTACTCTGTGGGTCTATTCTCAGTACCCAAAATAGAGCTTGTAGTGGAATAGATGCCCAGTAAAAATGTGTTGAGAGTAAGTAAATGAATCTGCAGCTCTGAGCCTTGGAGCCACTCTATTTCCAGTAGTTGGTAACTGCCCTCCAGATCAGGGATGAAATCTTTCTTTTAGTTCCCTAAATTCAAAGAGAAGTTAAGTCTTCTCCCATCTGGGCTCAGGTATACTGCATAGGGCCATAGAATTATTTTTTTTCAAAACAGAAAATTGCCTTCATTTTTATTTGGCTTTAAATAAAGTAACATATGATCGTAGTAAAGAAAAATCAATAATACCAAAAGCGAGAAAAAAATTAAAGTGACCACCAATACCCCAGAGAAAATGGCTAGTCTTATTTTAGAGGAGGAAGCCAAGGTCTGGAGCTAAAGGAAGAGGGACTTGCTCAGGGTCTCATGTGCTCTTTGTCTTCAGATCAAAACCATGATTTTAGATGGCCTTGATTTCAGCTTCTGGCCACCTGTTTCCTGCACACACCCTGCACTTTCCCACCAGAGCTGGCTGAACCATGAAGCCTGACTTTCACTATTCCCATAAATGATCAGATTTTACAAAATCCTGAAGGGTGGTCATGGGCTTACCAAATCTCAGAATAGCAGAACTAGAAGGCTCACCTTGAAACATGGAAAGGTAAACTTAGTACAAGTATAAGGAATTATGTAAGTACTACTCTTAAGAAGAAAGAAAGAGCGAGAGAGAGAGAGAGAGAGGAAGGAAGGAAATGAATGGAAGCAAGAAAGAAAGGAAGGAAAGAAGAAATAAAAAACAGAAAAGAAAACAATATAATATCCCAAAAGAAGTAATACAGACAGAAATATAAATTAAACAAGGTTAGGATTAATTTGTGTAAGTTTATTTTAGGTTATTCAGGGTACATAACTAAGACTTACTGTGTACATTCCTTTTACATCTGACATTAAAAGAAGAGAAATTCTTCCACACAAAACAAAAAAGTCAAAGGAACGAACCACGTAGCCGTGCGGTCAATTCTTAAGCAAAGTCCTGAACCTGAAGAAACTGGGTTTATTCACTCTAATGACAGTATGGCTCTAACCACAGCACTTTAGTTCTGTCACACCTCTGTCAATGATTCCCTGACCCCCTGTTCACGTGGAAAGGAAAGAAGCTGACAATGGCAATCTAGCCTGATGCCCAGTGTCTACATCCTCAGTCCTGAGCCTCTCTAGCCACAACTCTATCAGGTCTGCCCCTACACCCTGGCCTGTCTGCTTCCTGATTCTGTTACACTTTGGTTTCCTAGCATGCTGTGAGGTATATAAAGGCAAGAACCATGTCTACTTCTTTACCACCATTATTTTTCCCATCCTGGCACACTTAAACCTGGTTAGTGCTTAATAAATAGTTGTTGGATGAAGATATTTTGTAGACTATCATGAGAACCTGAGGTGAAATAACACAGCATTGGAAGGAATAAGAGGTGTGGTTCACTGAGCCCGGCCACTGCCCGCAAGACTTCCATGTCCACCATGTCCACTCAACATTGGGCCTCATACTCTCCCTGGTTCTCCCCCATCTCCCTGGTACGTTGTCTTCTTTGATGGCTTCCATTATACCTTGATGACCGCTCACTTTTTCTACACTTGCTTTTTTGGGAATATCCCCTCAGCTTTTGTACTAGCACCACCATACTGTGTCTGCCCAAATTTATTACTCTAATAATAATTTCTCTCCCTTTTTGAACAAAGAGTGAAATTTCCTATCTCCACATGCCTGCAGGAAATCCCCTTTTGGATGTGGTTTCTACCTGAAATTAAACACTGCTCCTCTCTGACGATTCAAGAAGGAAATCCTCCATTTAGGACAAAGCAGAGACTTTCCTTCCAGCTCCTCAGATGTATATTCTTTGGAACCGTCTATAAGTTCTTTGCTCTCCTAAAAGGTTTGCTAATTCTCCCTCTGTAAAGACTCTCATATTTGATCTTTCTTCATTTCCATACTCACTGACCTGATTCAGGCCCTCATTACCATACTATCTCTTCCAGTGCTGGTATCCCCATATTCTAGTCCACTGTAGATAAGTTTCTCCAGCATAGTGTCATCGCACATAACTCCCTTGTTAAGTCTCTGTCTATTCCTTGTATGGCAAATAGGAACAGCCAAGATATACCAGTCCAATCCATTTTCCCTTAAACACTCAACAGGTTTCTTGCACCAGGATTCTTATTTCCACTTCTGCACTTTTGCCGGTGTCATTCCTTCACCTAGACAGGCTCCGTTTCCCTCTTCATTGCCATCATTACCTCCTCCATGGCTCACCTCCACCAAGAAACTTTCTCTGACTAGTTCCATTGCAGGATAATGACTACCTTTCCTTCTCTTGGCATGATTGTTTAGCTCTGGCTATGCTGCTATGCTATTTCTTGTTTGGCTAGTGATAATGGTTAATAATAATAATAGCTATCATTTATGAAAAACTATCATTTATGAAAAACTACTATGTGCTAGGTACCTGACTAGGCTATTTATGAAGCTCAATAATCTTCCCAACAATCACACAGGCTATGTAGATATTATGCCTGTTTTATATATAAGGCAACTATGGCTTAAAGAGAAATCATTTGCTCAGGGCCACACAGCTTGCAAATGGCAGAGCTAGGATTTGAACCAACAGAATGCAGGTACCATCCATAGTGCCTTGTGGACATGTTTAGTCAGTTCATGAATGCCAGCTGACTCTGGCCCAGTTCATCATAGGCAGTTATTTTATCTTTTGCTTTTGCATTCTCCATGCAAATAAGTAGAACATAAGAACAATACTTTTCATTATAGGTGTAAGTTTCCAGTTTTGTGCTGTGGTATCGTTAAAGTGTCATTTTTCATCTGAGCATTGGAGTTACTGGGAAAAAAATCGATTTGATTTTAAGGTCATTGTTTAACATTTTTCTCTCTGTGAATGCCTAACCTGCTTTCTCAAAAGAACATCTGATTTAAGTCGCATCAAATACCACACTGTCCTTTGTTCTGAGGCCTAAAATGTTAAAATATGTATTTATGCCCCAGGTTTTATATGCCAATGCTTTATCTCCCCAATTTGACCTCATAGCCACCACTGTAGAGGCCTCACACGACATTAACAGCTTCCAGTTACACCCAGAATCTCCTCGGTAACATAGCCCGTTATTAACCTGTACTATGCAGATCCCTAGAGTTGGATACTTTTCTAATAAGAATGAAAATTTTTCACAAGATTCATCCAGGGCTTTTTGCCTTTATATTTTTTAGATTGAAGACTCTCATGTCCTAAGTGGTTCCAATATTCAATACTTGACATTTTTTTGTCATTTCTTATTATATAAGCTTTTTAAACCTTCATTCACACATTACTTTTGTCATTTAAAACATTCCAATGTGAAAGGTATTGATTAAATGCAATTATCAATATGCAGTTATCAATTGATTCCTCTCAAATCTCTCTTTTTCTTGATTCTTGTTTGTTTTCCTTTTTTAAATGCTTAATTTAGAGTCTTAGCAGAAAAATTTTCCATAACTACTTTTGCGAACAGTTTGGTGTGCGATATGACCACATTTGGCCTCTCAAAAGGATGGTCTTTGAGGCCTGAAACCAAGGTTGTTAATAAGGGAATACAAGTATTTTTCACCCTAGATCCTTACCTTTCTGCTTCGAGTCGCATCTCCTCCCTCTTTTGCCTTCTAAGTTCTCTGCGACGCTCAAAATCATCCATGGTGTGATTTCAGGTTCAGGGAGACCAGATGATGTCTGGACCTGAAAGAGAGGAGGTAGAGTCAATATCATTGATAACTCAGTGTGTTACTTCTCCTGAGTTACTATGGGCCCTCTTTCCCATTTGTCATTCTCCTGATTTTTCTTTACTCTTAGAAAGCTGATAAGGTAGCCAGTGATCAATTTCTGACTCCTGAGCCGAGTTAAATTCAGTCTCATTCATGAATCTCCTAGAGACAAATAAGTAAGATCCCAAGATTATTTATTCTTTAAAAAAGACCTCCGGAGACAGAGAGGTTTTGAAGACTTGAAATATTGGTAGAATCACTTGAAATTCTAATGAATGATTTTGCTCTTTGTAACTTTCTGAACCCCAGACCAAAGTTATGAAAAAGTGAACAAAGGAGGAGGAAAACAGGAATGACAAACAGAAAAGAAAAGTGGCAAGAAGAGGTATTTGTAGGAACTAGGAGAAAAGTGAAAGCGAGAAATAAAATAATACAGTGTCTAGGCATATAATGTGCATATTCTCAAAGAAGCATCAGGATTTTAATAAAGACTGCAGCAGTAACATCATGAATAAACATCATGAAGCAACATTTTTAAAAGCAGTTAAGTGGTGATCAAGCTGTTTTCCAAGCTCTAAAATCACTGCTTTTCTACAGATGTAACCCAACCATTTTACCCTTTCCTACCTCCTCTGTGATGGTTTTAATTCCGGAAAGACCTTCCCCTTCCAGCTCTTTAAATGAGGAGCCCGTTTCCCCTGCGTTTCTGTGCCATGGAGTCAAGTATTCCAGAATTCCCCTGCAGCCCCCAAACCCAAAATGACTACCAGAAAGGGGGAAGCGGGCTCTTTTTGTCCTTGCTTTGTTTACAGAGCTGTCAGTGGTTAGTTAAACTCAGCCTGGAATCTGGCATTTAAGGCCTGCTTGAAGATTGTTTCCTGTGCGGAATGGGAGGCCTCCACTTCCTCTGGAATCCTAGACTCTCTGCTGCGCTCGAATCACAGAAATATTTTCCAGCCCTTTATGTGCACATGAGACGAGCCATTTGCCCTGTGTGAAAAAATAAGGAGCTGTACAAAACCTAAAGCCATCACACCTGAAGGCATCTTTGTTTGAAGGAGCAAAAAACAAAACTTAGATTTTGAAGCCAAGTTCAGAAACCTTCTTAAATAAATTGTCCAATTATTTTATTTTCAAAGGTTTTTTCCCCTCTAAAAAAACCCCACAAAAACAAAAATAAAAGTTCAGCCAACAAAAGCAAAACTATACAATGTTTGAATTTTTCCCCTTTTTTATCCTCTAGGGTATTATTAATGCTGCTTATAAATCTTTAGAAATTCAAATCTTGGTGTTTATTTGGGGTTTTAAATTTTTGATGTTTATCTATCTTACTCTTACCAAGAGTACTTCCCTAGGCTTTGCTAGTTATGAAGGAAACAACCCATTTTCCTTCTTATTATTTCATCGACCATAAAGAAATTTTTCTACACTTTCCAATCTAGTCTGTAATTATCTGAATGGAAAAAGAAAAAGTGATTTGAGAGTTCCCTAAGAGGGCATCCCAGGGCCCTTCTCCCTGGGGTAGGCTCCTGTTCTGACCACAGGGCAGGAGTGTGTGAGGACAGCCCTGTGGGCAGTAGGGTCTAAACTCCTGGACTCGAATGCCAGGTGCAGTGGGAGGGTAGACTCTTCTCTTCCTTCCATGTGGTCTTTTGTTGCATATAAAGTGCCTCTTGAATAACTATAGCAATAGCAAACAGACATGGGAAAAAGAGGTCCGTCTATAAGCAAACAATTTTACCTTTTAAAATTTATCCAAGTAGCT
This sequence comes from Homo sapiens, assembly GCF_000001405.40. NCBI lineage: Eukaryota > Metazoa > Chordata > Mammalia > Primates > Hominidae > Homo > Homo sapiens. The sequence continues at coordinate 134,865,901 of NC_000007.14, read as the reverse complement.
TGAAGAGCATCCTCTAAGCCTCTGTCTGGTTTTTGCTCCTACCTCATCAAATTTAAGTAGTCATTCTGGCTGTTTGTCAGCAACAGTGGTTCTCAGCCTATACCTCTGGTAGAGGTGCTAATGAGCAGTGAAATGAATATCTCCAAGCAGGCTGGAGATGCACATGGTCTGCAGAGCCGGGCAGTGTCTTGGAATACTTAAAAGGGAAGTGAAACTAACATCGTGAGGTCAGTTTGGCTGACCATCCTCACTGGCTCTTAACCCACGCAAATTCTTTTTCTCCTACCCATTCTCTTCTCCCACTCCTCACCTTCTCTTGCTTACTTGAGCACTTTTTCTTTCCCAGCCATAGAAAAACTACCTGCCATTTGAATGCTGCTGAGTATACATGTGGGGGCACCCAGAGGGAGAGAGAGAGCGTGTGCCATTTCCTACAGACCAGTGCTTTTCTAGGTGAGGCTTTGTGCACACGAGTGGGTGTAGCTTAGAGGAAAGCACAAAACCACATCTGTGTACCATGTGGTATGACTCTCGGTGGTGTGTGTGTCTTGTGTGGGGGAGAGAAGCTGTATGTGTTTATGAAAATGGCTCTCGGTATCAACCCAGGATGGGGCTGGAGATCCTCCTTCATCCCTGCACCCTTATATCACAGAGCTTTTCAGCCCTTCTCTAGCATCTTTCCTTTGTAAGAGGAGACATGTCTAGGTAGAATGGTAAGTGATTTTCTTTTTCTCTTCTACGTCCCCAGTCCCCAGGCAGTAATCCCTCATTTCCTGCCCTACCCCTACTCAGTGCTGAATTCTTTTCAGCAACATTGGTTAGGAAACAAACTCTCAACCAATGAAGGGATGAAAAGTCAAGACAGGGTGATTCCATCAGTCGTGAGGCTCTGGGTGTCACAAATAGAGTAGTGTGAAAGAGCTAAGTATTGATGTTAGTGACAGATGATGCGTTCTCGGAGAGTTTTATGAAAATCTAAATTTTTGTGCTGGAGGAGGGACTGTGGTCATGCTATTGAAAAATTTACTGAGGTGACTTCTTTTGTAAAGAGGGGAAAAACAAAAACCTTAACAGAGGCAGATGTCATTACCTATGGATATGTCTGTGTTTTCAATATGGATTCTCATAGATAGGATTTTCTTTTAAAACAGGGCATGCCTAAACTGCCATGATTAAGAAATAAGTCAGTGTTAAAGGTTTCAGGCCAGATGCAGTGGCTCATGCCTGTAATCCCAGCACTTTGGGAGGCCAAGGTGGGTGGATCACTTGAGGTCAGGAGTTCGAGACCAGCCTGGCCAACACGGTGAAACCCCATCTTTACTAAACACACAAAAAATTAGCTGGGTGTGATGGCAGGTGCCTATAATCCTAGCTACTCAGGAGGCTGAGGCAGGAGAATCACTTGAACTCGTGAGGTGGAGGTTGCAGTGAGCTGAGATTGAGCCGCTTCACTCCAGTCTGAGCGACAGAGCGAGACTCCATCTCAAAAAAAAAAAAGGAAAGAAAAAAGATTTCAAATCACCAAACACACTGCCCTTCCTTTTTTTTTTTTTTGAGATGGAGTTTCACTCTTGTCACCCAGGCTGGAGTGCAATGGCGCGATCTCGGCTCACTGCAGCCTTTGCCTCCCAGGTTCGAGAAATTCTCCTGCTTCAGCCTCCTGAGTACCTGGGATTACAGGTGTATACCGCCACACCCGGCTAATTTTTATTTTTAGTAGAGACGGGGTTTCACCGTGTTGGCCAGGCTGGTCTCTAACTCCTGACCTCAGGTGATCCTCCCCTCGGCCTCCCAAAGTGCTGGGATTACAGGCATGAGCCACCGCACCCAGCCTGCCCTTCTTTTTGAACAAAGCCACGAGCCTGCGGCCCAGGGGATTGGCATGATGTGACGAGAGGCGTGTCCTGCATCTTACCACCACGCCAGGGCTTCCGGGACTTTCCTCTCTTTCCTTTCCTTCCTCCTTGCTTTTTTTTCTCTGCCTCTTTTCAAAGGCAGAATATTGAGTGGTATTTCTTCTGACATTAAAAAAAATTTTCTCTTTCTTTGTGACTTTTTTTTCTTCTCTGTCTCCCACCCTGTGTCGGAAATGAAAGTATATTTATATTTATTAAAATCAATTTATGGCTCGTTTCCTTTAAAAATTTAGTTCAATAGCTGATGTGCATCTTTCAACCAAGAAATGTATTATGTTTTATATTCTTTTTTGCTGTTTTTCTTTTTCCCTCTATGGGCATGTAGCCCTCACTATAGATATTTCCTGTGATGCCTTTATAAGGGGAACTAGTAAGTTTCTGCTTTTGTTTGGGTCAGTGTTGGTGGCAGATAAGCCATTTTAGGTGTGTGTGGGTATGCTCACCTGTGTCACCTGTGCATGAGCACGTGTGTAAATGCAGTCAAGGCAGGAGATGTTTGTGAGCAGGTGGCTAACCCAGCACTCAACACTTAGGGACAAGGCCATGTGGAAGAAGCTAAGTCTTATCTACTTTTTGGGCAGTGCCAGTATTGATCTTGGAATGCAAGAAGAATAAAATCTGTTGTGTCAGGGGCACTGAATAAGTTAATGCAGCATCCAAAAGGAACTAACATTTATTGAATATGTACTATGTGGCAGGCTGTTTTTTAAGCCTTTAACATTTTTAATGAATAGACTTATTTCTTAGAGCAGAAAAAAAGCGAATAGAGAGTACAGAGTTTCCATATATTCCCCCCTCCCCAACTCCTGCCCACATTTTCTCCTGCATTTGGAGATAGAGTCTTTGCAGATGTAGTCAAGATGAGGTGATTAGGGTGGTCCCTTATCCAATATGATGGTGTCCTTATGAAAAGGGGAAATTTGGCACAGAGACAGACAAACACAGAGGGGAGATAATGTGAAGACATGGTGAGATGCCATGAGAAAATGGAGACAAGGAAGACCTAAGGCCACCAGAAAGCTGAGAAAGAGAAATGGGACAAACCCTTCCCCAGTGCCTTCAGAGGGAGCCTGGCCATGCTGACACCTCCATTTCAAACTTCAACTCTCCGTAACAGTGGGACAAGAAATTACTGTTATTATAGACCAACTAGTGTGTGGTACTTTGTTATGGCAGCCCTAGGAAACTTAGGAACATCTTGCAGTAGTGTGGTACATTTGTTCCAATTGACAAACCAGTATTCATGCATTATGATTAACTAAAGTTCATAGTTTACATTAAGGTTCACTCTTTGTTGCACAGTTTCATAGGTTTCACCAAATACCGAATGTCATGTATTCACCATAGTAGCATCATACAGAATAGCTTCACTGCCCTAAAAACCCCACCTGCTCCACTCATTTATCCCTTCCCTCTCCTTACTCCAAAACCCTGGCAATCACTGATGTTTTTATGTCTCTACAGCTTTGAGTTTTCCAGAATATCATATAGTTGGAATCATACAGTATGTCTGTAGCCTTTTCTGATTGGCTTATTCCACTTAACAACACACATTTAAGTTTCCTTCAAGTCTTTTCATGGCTGATAGCTCTGCTGGGCCATTAAAATATAAGTAATTTTACTTTATCTGGGTAACAGATCTGTGAGGTAGCTAGTATAATCCCCATTTTATGGAATTTCAAAGTGCATACACTTAACCACTATAATAGGACTAATCCACTATTTCTCTCTAGGATTTGTTTCCCATTTCAGGGAACAAACAAGAGTGCCCCAAAGAAGTTCTGAGAGGACTATTATCAGTGATTGCCACATTGATTCATTGGATCATATAACCTTAGGTAAGAAATAATCCTAAAAATTACCTATGCCTTCGGTTTACAACCTGTTTGGTTTAAATCATAGAATTATCAAGTCACAAAAGATCTCAATTGAATTAGCCTTCCAAATGCTTATTTCATCTCTGTTAATTTATTGTTAGTGCTTTGTAAAATTCGTAACTCAGGATGGCTGTATCCTCGACAGCATCATTGCATACTTTTCTTCAATATCTTAGTTTCTTCTCTTATATTGTACCTTCTTCATTACACATCTTCCTCCTCTAACCCACTGTATCCTCATTCACAACATCATCATTTCTCTGCTCTCGCAAGGAACTCTAGTCTTGGAACACTCAAAACCATTATTAGACAGGTCCTCTCTGACTAGCCATCATTTTGCACCCACTGTAAATTTCATGATTCAGCTACTTCAGTGAGGCCTCACAAAAACATTTATACAATCAATATACAATAAATATTTACCGCACAGCTACTATGTGCCAGGTACTGTTCTCGACACTGGGGTATAACAGTGAACAAGACAGAAAAGGTCTTTGCCTTCCTGGAATTGATAGTTTAGACTTTCTTGCTTCTTTAAAGTTCCACCAGGCTTGTCACACCCATCTTCAACCTTGAATCACACCTATCACCTGCTTTCTGTTTTGTGTTCTTGAGATTCAGTGCTTTGTGGGAGAAAGGGAGCATGTCGTGTATATCCTAAAGATTTGCATTCATTTCAGTTGGGCCATCGCTGCAACTCAGTGATGTTTCTCTTCATCCTACAGGTATTGGGTGATTTCTGGGTACAACATACTCCAGCAGATTTCCTACCTCTGATCTGCAATGATCATCGCTTACCTTGACCCTTTAACTGTTTTCCTTCACAAACCCTTGGCAAATAGTGACCTGGAATGAGACCTAGGAGACTGAGACTGAAGCTCTATGAGCTTTGTTTCTCTATAAAGTGAGCTGGTTGGAGAGATAATATTCAAAGTTTCATCTTACGCCACATAATAATACTATGGCTGTATACCTGCTTGAGCCAGCAAAGCTGGAGGTATCACACATGACATATCCATGCTTCTTCCTCCTTCCCAGACATAAATGTGTTGAGTATCTAAGTCTGTTCTCATTTAATTTTTTGATCTAGAAACCATTAACCTTCCTTTCAAGCTGATCATACCACAGCATCCTACATAAAAATATTTTATCACCTCTCAAATATGTCTTACAACTTTCTACCTCTACATTTTTACTCATTCTTTTTAATCTACATCTTCACTATCCATATTTTTATTCAATCATGAATTTCATGCTCAAATTTTACTTCCCTCATGATACCCTTTCCTGAGAACCCTAGCTTAAAAGCGACAATTCCCTCCTTGAATATCTATAATTCATGTTGATAATCAATAACACACTGTCAGCTACAGCTCATCAATTGTTCTCTTTAGCTAGTCTTTAAATATTTGTATTAGTATTTTACTTTCCATATGCTTTTGTTCTTAAGGCCACTTATGAAAAGATATAGTCTTTAAAAAAATTTTTCCACAATTGAGACAGAGTAGGCACTCAGAAATTGTAGCCAATTTGAGCCACTGGATTTCTATTCTAGATTTTACCATTCTGAGTATGGAAAATGTAACTCAAGCCAATTCATCTCTCTGTACTTTATTGACTGATCAGTGTTTACAAAGTGAATCAAAGACCTTGGTAATTGACTATGTATGAATCTCAAAAATTATATAAACCCACATTTGCAGTAGTTACACAGTAAATCTGGCAGCACTTTCTTTCCGACTGTACCAAATGAACTTTTGTTCTTTTCAAAAAAAATCAATTTGTCAACCCACTTTGCTCTTTTCTGAGCTCAATGGTTCATTTGGGATTGAAAAACCAAATAAACAAATGGATTATAATGTACAGTTTGCACTTAACTTTAGCTCAACCTTCACCATCTTGTTCCAAAAATCTGTGCTACTTTAAAAAAATACATGCATTTACCAAGGCAGGTCTGTCAAGAACAGCAGCATAGAAATAAGAGTGAATACAATCAACCTGAGGCACTTTGTCTTCTCAAGGTGTTTCTTTTCTCTAATCAATGGAATCCAACATACTAAGGGCAGGTTAACAGGTTATGACCTGTTTTTCCCTTGCCTTCCCCGCACAATCTCTTAGCATTACCATTTCTCTATTTGTACTTCTCCACTAGCAAACAGAAGACCTGGCAGATTTAACATTATTAAAGCCAATGTCTTTATGCCCTTTCTTTCACCTTCTGAGTAGCAGACAGTTTGAGTAGTTTAGATTTGTGAAATGATGGTTTTTGTATATACTAACTTCAACACTTAGGAAGACACCATGTTTAGGGACTTTAGGTTGCATCTTCAAGTGTTATCACAAATATCACCACCTTAATTTGGAGCACTTTATATTTTTCAAAACTTTATGGTTATCATTATTTGATCCTCCCAAGTAAGAAGAATCAATTCAACCCCATTTGAAGAAAGGAGACTGAGACATATAAAGCTTTGACATTAGCTCCTTAACCACTACAAATCAGTGGAAAACCAGGATTGGCATTTAGACTAATTTCTAAACCAACTTGAAAGTTTCTTAGAAGAATGAAGAGAAGTGAAAATTTGGGACACGACTTCTTCTGTTTTCTTTTCAAGCATTTAAATACTTTTCCTTGATGAACTCAAGGAGAATTAGGCTGAAAGACAGAGTTTAATGCTAAATCAGAATAGGCATGCTGCTCTATTGGCCACTAGAGAAGAACAAATGACACAAGCGTAAACCCTAAGGCAAGGTGGAAATTCTCCACTACCTTGTGTCCATGTGAGAAAAAATGCGTAGACTTGCAACAAATATGTAAAGATGCTTTCTAAATGTATGCCTGACTAACAGAGGCATTCACAATATTATCACACATAATTCAGATACAGGGAGGGCTGGCTCCAGCGCAACTACCCAAAAATGGGGGTGCATGGAAAGGGTAGACCCCTATCCCTGAAAAAGCCAGGGAGAAGAAGTGGCCATCTATTTAGGGTTATGGCGAAAATATATTTTTTAAGATTCTAAGGCTATGCTGTCCAATATGGTAGCCACCAGCCACGAGGTCATTTAAATTGAAAATAAATAAAATTTAAAATTCAGTTCCTCAGCTTCACCAGTCCCATTTCAAGAGCTCAGTAGCCATTATGTGTTTAGTGGCCCCCATATAAGACGGTGCAGAGAATGTTTTCATCACTGCAGAAAGTTCTACTGGACAGCTCTACTATAAGATCTTCCAACTCCTGGCTGGGCGTGGTGGCTCACACCTGTGATCCCAGCACTTTGGGAGGCCGAGGCAGGTGGATCACAAGGTCAGGGGATTGAGACCATCCTGGCCAACATGGTGAAACCCTGTCTCTACTAAAATTACAAAAATTAGCTGGGTGTGGTGGCGCACACCTGTAGTCCCAGCTACTCAAGGGGCTGAGGCAGGAGAATCGCTTGAACCTGGGAGGTGGAGGTTGCAGTGAGCCGAGATCATGCCACCGCACTCCAGCCTGGTGACATAACAAGACTGTCTCAAAAAAAAAAGAGATCTTTCAACTCCTAATATGAAATGATTGTACTGAGTGAAGTAATGCTATGCACTTCAGAGACATGAAGGTATGTTAGATATGGTTTCTGTCTTCAAAGACCTTACAATCTCATAGAAAAGATGTGGTAAGTTGTGGGGTGTTGTATGGGTCAGCATCTCAAAGCATGGCTGTGCTCTCATAATTCCCTCATTGGTACTCTCTCCATTTTCCTATGGAGGCTTTTTGGATGGGGGCAATCTAGCTGTGACTGGGCACTTGCAACTGAGAAAGTGAAATGCTTGGCAAATACAAAAGAAGCTGAGACACTGGCTGAAGAAAGATCACACTTCAAGTTAAGTAACAAGGCCCAAGAGTGGTTCACATGGAATGAAAGTTCAGAAGCCATGGGCCTTTCCCAGTTGTAAACATGCTGCAGAGATCACCATATTTTACATAAAAGTAGTTTAACTTGTGCATGGCCTTCTGGACTTGCTGAACTACTCAGCTAAAAAAAAAAAAAAGTCAGCAACTCATGTGCCTGCTTTTTGTGACTGGTTTGTTCAACTAACACTTCCAGTTTAGTGATACAGAGCCTTGGCCAGCTATCTTGCTAATATAAAGTAGGATAGCTTAGATGGCAGGATGCAAATCCATTTATAGTGCTGAAAACAATTCAAAGGTGTGTTCTAGAGGTGCTTTGTTAATAGCAGTATTTTTGTATGTGAAGGACAAGCTGTTACTGATCAGGGACTAATTATTCTCTAGTGAATTATTTGACTTCTATTCATCATGATCATCAAGTGTGTTTACTGTATTCTGGAACTGCAAAGCAGGTTAAAAACTACCTTCTAGAAGTTTATAATCCAAGGTGGAAAGGTTTGAAACCCAACTAAAGGATGTTATCTGCTATGTCCCTTGGATGTAACAGACATATAATTTAAGCATATATATTTACAGATAAATAATAAGTTGAAAAGTACTTAGATTGCTTCCTCTTTCTTTATATTTAGATAGTAATTTAGATAGTAATGAGTCATTTAGATAGCAGTTTCACTCATTTATTAGTTTGGGGATACCTGGACTTTTCCTCAGGTAGGGAATGGCTCACAGTTGGGGCCTGCTTAAGAATAGCACAAAACTGGCCGGGCGCGGTGGCTCACGCTTGTAATCCCAGCACTTTGGGAGGCCGAGGCGGGCGGATCACGAGGCCGGGAGATCAAGACCACGGTGAAACCCCGTCTCTACTAAAAATACAAAAAATTAGCCGGGCGTGGTGGCGGGCATCTGTAGTCCCAGCTACTCGGAGAGGCTGAGGCAGGAGAATGGCGTGAACCCGGGAGGCGGAGCTTGCAGTGAGCCGAGATCGCGCCACTGCACTCCAGCCTGGGTGACAGAGCGAGACTCTGTCTCCAAAAAAAAAAAAAAAAAAAAAAAAAAAGAATAGCGCAAAACCATAGGATCTTTGAACAACTGACTCAATAGCCTGAGTTTGTACTGATACCCATGTTGTATTTCTATTGGAGCACTTAGTCTATAGCTTGTATTTTAATTACCAAGTACATATTTGTCTTCTGTAAAAGGTTGTTATCTCTTAGAAATGATTACTGTCTTTCGTGATCCCTCAAAGTTCTTAACTGACTGTTTTTCTTATACTCCGCATTAGGCTCACACTTGTTGAGTTGGAACAGATGCCAGGGCAGTGTTTATTTGTTGAACTTAGTTGTTAAACAAATGAACTTGGCTAAGACGTTATCAAAAGGCTGTTTCTCTGGCTGAGCTCTTAGTAACCTTGGGAATGGTGGTGGTTTACTATGGAACTCTATTTTATATTCTGATTTGTAGTTGTGGTTGTTTTTCTCTAGTGGAAAAGAACTTGGTCTTAGAGAGACATTTCGATTTCAGGAAGAGGAGTATTAGGCATTTAACTGAGGGAATAGGTTTGTTCTTGGATGTTGAAAGAAAAAGAAGACAGGATGAATAAGAAAAGAAGAGAATCAGAATTCAGCTGATACACTTCAAATTTCCGCAGCCTTTGGAAACTTCTTGCTACCCCTCTATCATAATTAGAAAACACTGACATTCAGAGCCAATTAAATGTTTCCATCAGTCTAAAAAAACTGTTGCCTGATTTTGCTCTCTAACCATGCTCAGTAATTAGAAACATAAGGCACCGTTCTGGAGGTTTGCTTGGGAACCTACCCTTCCCAGGCCTCGCGTGGCTACCCATTGGCTACAGGACTTTTATCTTTTCTCACCATCTCTCTTAGGAGCCCCAGCCCAGATCACAGGAAAAGTGTGAGGTTGCCATGGGCATTCCTGGAAAAACTAGAAACTTCCGGTGCCACTTTAGACTTTAAAAAATGCAGAAGCTCACTCTGCCTGCCTGTTTCCTCGCTAAAGCACTATAGCTCTGTACTATACGTGGAAGGCAACAGTTCGAGGATTCAAACCAAAAGAGGCAAAAGGAGGATCTTTGTGACAACCAGCTTGAAATGGCATCCTTGTTCGCTTCGTAGAACAAGAAAGCTGTTCCAGCAGCTGATGTTAGAGTTCCTCACACTCTTGCTGAAAAACCTATACTTTGCAGAGTGTAGGATTAGAATACCATCTAAGAAGCAGCAGCAACAGCTTTCTACTTCTGACAATATCTACAAAGAAAATGGAAAAATACTTGTAATCAAGGACTTCAACTCGACAGTTACCTAGCTTGTCAAATTAAAACATGTGGCAACCACCGGGCTAAATATCTTGAAAGAATGATACTTTCTTGTTTTTCTCCCTGACCTAAAATCTCTTTGGAGTACATTTGCAATTCCTAATTTTTCACACTTAAACAAAAGCTGTCCACACTATGTTTAAAGATGACTAAGCAATTTTGTATTAAGTAACCAAAGATCACTCTGCCAATTTTAGAATAATTAAGTTTCTGCAGCCGAATATAAACAGTTCCAAGAACTACATGTGGCCTACCAAAAGTATATATTACAAGTAGTCAACCCTGTGGCCAGCTGGCAGACAGATCAACATGTTAAAGTAGAATTGTTCAGAATTTGGAGTATTATTTTTCTTTTCTCCCAATATCTTTTCTGCATCCAACTTTGTTTCTTTGGGAATGTTTTCAAGTATACAAAGCAAGAAACTATTGTGGGATTGCACCTCTTGTAAACGAATGAGCATTTCTCTTGAGATCCTTTGGAATGCACATATCATTCCCATTTCAATTCCATCTACACAGGAAGCCAAAGAAAAATGGAGCAAATGAATCCACCTTCGTACCCCTCAAGTGAGAGTATTCATATTGTGCTTGATCACCAGAAAGATCTGCATTGACCACTGGACAAGTGAACGTGGACATTAAGCCATAGGTCTGTTGAGCACCAAAACACCTTTCTGACCCTAGATCCTTGCACTGTGCATTAGTCTGCTCTTGCACTGCTATAAAGAACCATCTGAGACTGTGTAATTTATAAAGAAAAGACTTTAATTGGATCATGATTCTGCAGGCTGTATGAGTAACATGGCTGGGGAGGCCTCAGGAGACTTTCAATCATAGTGGAAGGCAAACAGGAAGCAGGCATGCCTGACATGGCGGGAGTAGGAGGAAGAAAGAGTGGGGGAGGTGCTGCACACTTTTAAACAGCCATAACTTGTGAGAACTCACTCAGTATCACGAGAACAGCAAGGGGGAAATCCTTCCCCATGATCCAATCACCTCCCACCAGGCCCCTCCTCCAACAATGGGGATCACAATTCGACATGAGATTTGGCAGGGACACAAATCCAAACCATATCACACTGCCTTTACCAGATAGCTTCGTGGGCCAGAATTTCTTGCTAATAAGGCTAAAGTCACAGATTTATCCCACCAGGAATGAGTTACTCATTTGAGGGGAAAAAAATCCTAAGCTATGGCCCTGTGCTATGACATTAATCCGGGCCAGCTATATGACAGATGTAGCTGACCACCTTAAATTGAGAAAATAGAGATGGTTAGTTTAGCCCATCCCGCCGTGACCTTCAGTAGCGTGTATGGCCAAATGAATGTGAGTGTGTCATTAAACAAAAGGCCCCTACATATTCAGCTGCATTATAAGTCCTGTCGTCTTCTGCATTATATTTAAATTCAGATACAATCAAGAGTGGCTGAGACTCTACAACCATCATCCCAATGAGAACTTTAATAAAAATATTCAATGCAGATCATTAAAAAGTCAGGAAACAACAGATGCTGGTGAGGATGTGGAGAAACAGGAATGCTTTTACACTGTTGGTGGGAGTGTAAGTTAGTTCAACCATTGTGGAAGACAGTGTGGCAATTCCTCAAGGATCTAGAACTAGAAATACCATTTGACCCAGCAATCCCATTACTGGGTATATACCCAAAGGATTATAAATCATTCTACTATAAAGACACATGCACACGTATGTTTATTGCAGCACTATTCACAATAGCAAAGACTTGGAACCAACCCAAATGTCCATCAATGATAGACTGGATTAAAAAAAATGTAGCACATATAAACCATGGAATACTATGCAACCATAAAAAGGATGAGTTCATGTCCTCTGCAGGGACATTGATGAAGCTGGAAACCATCATTCTCAGCAAACTAACACAAGAACAGAAAACCAAACACCGCATGTTCTCACTCATAATTGGAAGTTGAACAATGAGAACACATGGGCACAGGGAGGGGAACATCACACACTGGGACCTGTCGGGGTGGGGGTGGGGGGCTACGGGAGGGATGGCATTAGGAGAAATACCTAATGTAGGTGATGGGTTGATGGGTGCAGCAAACCACCATGGCATGTGTATACCTATGTAACAAGCTGCACGTTCTGCACATGTACCCCAGAACTTAAAGTATAATAAAAATAAATAAATAAAAAATTCAATAAATGTTTATGAAATATTCATGTACTAGCTACCTTGCTTAGTGTAGCATATAAGATGTGAATGCAGCTATTCTGCCTTCAAGTTGCTTGTAGTCTGATGGTGGAGATGGGCAATCAACAAATAAAATACAAATTAGGTTAATGTTAGGAAGAAACCTAAAAAGAAGAAAAAAAGAAGCTACTATGAGAGAGAACTACAGGAACGATCTAATGGTTTCCTATGTGTTAGAATAAGATCTGGGTGGTAATCACCTTTTCCAAAAGGAATGACATTAATATATATAGAGACATGAATTCATACGGGGAACATAAATTTATAAGACTGGAGTTTGTATTCATTCAACAAATTAAATTGACATCGAGTACATGCCAGACATTTGCTCCCCTAGGTGCAGATAAATAAAATTCCTTTCCACTTCTCTCTCCTAAATAGGTGGGTGAGGAGAAAAGCAACTAGTCAGATTTGAGGGATGGTGAACTAGTCTCACCCACTTCTTTCCCACTTCAGGTCCTACATAAGTCACATAAAAATAATGATCCATCAGAAACTGTTGCCAGAATTCATGCAGACCCGGGGAATCCACGTTAAGACATTAACTTCATGCAGCTAAGGTGGGAGGCATGAAAGAGGGCATCTTTCTAGACCCATCCAGCTCTGTGAACTTCCGACAATAAAAGCATGGTTCTAACACGCCATCAAGCAGAAATATGCTGATTTATTTTCAAATGCTGGTGCATGATTCCAAGAGACAAACAGTCCATAATAAATTTATCCCAGTGGCAGAACATCTCACAACCAGCTTTTCCACTTTGAGTACCACAAGCAGACCTTTTATTTGTTGACACACAGCCCCTGGACATTCATGAAAACAAGATGTTCTCTTGCTGCTTTTTAAGTTAAACAGATTTAAGTCAAGGTCTCAGCTCTCAGCCGAATCTTAAAAACAGATGTTACATAGCAAAAAGGCTACACTGACCCCAGCAATAAGAGGCTATTTCACTTGAACTTGGATATTCTTTGTCAGCAGAAGTGATCAAAGATGCTTTAAACTGGAGGCAGGAGCAGCCCAGGGTTTACTACTGTCTCCATTCAATGACTGCCTAGAAGGTCTGGGAAGCTGTTGGGTATTCAGGACTCTTGTTTTGGGGAATAAATGTGCTGGGAAAGGCTGGTGATTGGGAGGTGCAAATTCCTTGGTTTTGAATGGAGTTATTCAGGAAAAATGATCTTCCTCCCACATACCACCATCTTGTTTCTCTGCAGAACCCAGAAACTCACTGTGAAATGGCTCCACTCTATCCATCACATGATTCCTCTCCCCACCCTACCCTCCCATGCAAACACAACTTACAGCCAAGCCAAACTCCTGAATCCTGCAATAATTTCACCCTCATTTCTGCCTCTGGGCCTTTGTCTCTGGCTTCTTGCTGCCCATAACCTGAAGTGCCCTCCACTCCTGCAAATCCCCTATATTTTTCTAGAGTCCAGCTCAAGTCCTATCTTTATCCCAGAACCACCCTCCCTTTCAGCTTCTACAGCAATTATTGGCCTTGTTCTTGGTGATCAATACTATATGGCCTTGCTGTTCAAATGTTTTGTACCATCACTTTCTCTTGACCAAGTCTGAAGCTGCTCAGTGTCAAGGCCTACATCTCCTCTGACATCCCCTCACAGTGCTGAGTACTTTGCTGTGCAGTTATTTATGAATGGAAATATTTGCTGAGTTGAACTCATTGAAAAGCTTAAGAATTCTGGCCTGAGACTCCAAGTTCCAAATAATGTCACAGCTGTGATCCTTTGTGCTGTTTGCCCCATATTCTTGTTTTACTTCTTCTGGGCACATTATAGTATTGTGCTTGCCCCTTGTGGTCATCTGGGGCCAAGTGGCTAATTCTGGCCAATGAGTTTTGAGCAGAAGTATCATGTCACTTCTGGGGTAGACTTGCCAATAGGAGACCCTCCAAAGAGCTCTTTTCTCTCCATCATGGTTGGTAAGATTTCCAGACAGTCATTGTCAGTAGGGGTGGCTAAGCATGGATGACAGTGATGTGGACTAGAAACCCTTGCCTATCCAGGGTTAGTGACAAAGCATGAGTGATAAACACACGTTCATTTTGACGTTGCTGAGATTTTGGCTGTTTCTGACACCAGCATAACCTAGCTTGTCATGACTGATAGAGTCTTGGCCAGCTCTGACATTAGGTTGTACTCGTCTCTGTTTCTAAGCAAGTGCTTGCTCAGATTCCTGATTTCCTATTTCCCTTCTGAGACCTCTAGTTTAGAAACAGGGATAGGTAGGTTAACCGGAACACTGTTTGCAGGTAGAGCATCAGGGAGTGGAAGTGACTCATATTTCACTTCCTTATGGGCCCATCTCTTTACTCCAGTGAGCCATAAAACTGCCACTAACTGTTGCAGTGTTCGTGTATTATGGGATCATTCATTTATATCAGGCATGACAAACTCAAATAGCTTAAAGGACCAAAGAGGTAACTATTTGGGGAGTGGTAGCTTATGGGAAAATGGAGAACATATGCATCCCTGCATCCCTATGAGCATTCAGACTCAAAATTTGAAAAAAATGCTTGTATTAGTCTATTCTCACACTGCTAGTAAAGACATACCTGAGACTGGGTAATTTATAAAGGAAAGATGTTTAATTGAATCACAGTTCCACGTGGCTGGGGAGGCCTCACAATCATGGTGGAAGGTGAATGAGGAGCAAAGGGACGTCTTACATGGCAGCAGGCTAGAGAGAGCATGTGTGGGGGAAATCCCCTTTATAAAACCATCAGATCTTGTGAGACTTATTCACTATCATGAGAACAACACAGGGAAAAACCCACTCCCAAGATTCAATTACTTCCCACCTGGTCCCTCCCATGACACATGAGGAATATTACAACTCAAGGTGAGATTTGAGTGGGTACACAAAGCCAAACCACATCAAGGGTGGACAAGGGAAGCACATTTGCAGGGCAGCATGGGCCCTGGGTTGCTGTCTTTCACTGATGGCTGACCATGTGCCATGTTAGGCACTGTGAGGAGTTGCAAGAGTGAACCCACAAGCAATCCCATATAGCTTTCATTCTAGATGGATAAGTTGATTTCTTTCGACAACAGTTATGTAGCACTTACTATGTACCAAGCACAGTTCTAAGAACTGTGATAATATCAGTTTAAATCCTTGTGACAATCCTTATTATTTCCATTTTACAGATGAAAAGACAGAGGCCCAGAGAAGGTGAGTCATTGGCCCAAGGTCACATAGCTAGTAAGTGGTAGAGCTGGGGTCTACATCCAGGCAACTCAGCCCCAGATTGTGTGCTTTTAATCACAACACTCTGTTACATCTCACAAGACCTGTAAATGGATAATACATAGTAGACTGTAGCAAGGACCTCAATGATGAAATGATCACGTGATTGCCTGGAAGGATTTATGTTCTTCTACAAATGCTCTTACTAGGAGCTGTTTCCTGTCAGCAGGAGGCCTTGGCCTGCTTGATGTTAGGTTCCGTTCATATTTGATGTTTATTAATGAAGTAAAAATGAATCTTCTGTTTATGTTCACTTGTGCCTTGGCAAACTGATTTATTATTTCACTTAAGTGGGGTTCACTTTAGAAAATAAGCTGAATTTGTCTTAAAGCCTTAAAAAAATAAATGATCACATTTCACACTTTGACCATTTCTTTGCTTTGCTTACTTAATTAGCTTTAGACACGATGCTAAATCATCTCAGTATATCTGTGTCAGTTTCAGGGCAGATCCAGGTTTTGTGGGACCTGAAGATTATTTGAGAGGCCTTCTTGGAAAACCAGAATACAATAGTAAATGTAAAAAGTTAGGCATGGGGGTGTTGAGGCAGGGACCTCTCCCCATGAGAGGCCCTGCGGCTTAAACTCTACTGACTTCACGGTAAATTGGCTTCTGGTCTCTCATCTTTGATTCTCATGAGCATTTCATAAAAATATCACAGCACCCTTATTTTGCTTTTAAATTCAATTACTATCAGCTCTCCATATCCATGGGTTCTGCATCCATAGATTCAATCAACCAGGGATAGAAAAATATATTTTTAAAAAAAACCAACGCAATTAAAAAAACCATACAACAATAAAAAATATAATAGGAAATACAGTATAACAGTGATTTACATAGCATTTACATTTTATTAGGTGTTAGAGGTAGAGATGATTTAAAGTATACGATAGGATATGCATAGATTATGTGCAAATACTGTGCCATTGTATATCAGGGAACTGAGCATCAGTATATTTTGGTATCCTCGGGAGTCCTGAAACCAATCCCCTATGGATACAGAGGAAGCAGCATACTTGGAACTACATTATAATCTGCTTTTAACAACATTCTATACAAAAGTTAGAATCTAGGAAACAATAATGTAGGGGGCAATTATGCATTACCCTTCAAGTGATTTGCAGAAAAGTAGATTTACAGATATAGCCAGTGCATGCCTGTGTTTTGCCTATAAACCGCATAATAAAGTGTGATAGGTGGATGAGAGGGCAGAGAAATTTAAAATATTATGACCCTTTGCCAAGACGAAGCCAATGAAAAATAAATACAGTATTAGAAATCACAATTTACGTCACTGAACACGTCATTGGATTCACAAAATTTTCCATTGCATTTAATTAAAAAAAAGCCCATTTTATGGTAAGGAATACTAGAATTGCAAATGTAACACAGAACTAATATGGCACGTGAGATGGAGAAGGTCCAATCCAGTGATATCTGTAGAATGAATGAATTAACGACTGACTGAATATGCATATTTAAGGAAGGTGCTAATGGTGGTCACAGGCTTCCCTCATCAACCCCAACTTATAATTGCATTTTAAAATTTATAAACCATTAGCCAATAATGGGAGACAGTTAGCTAGATTCCCGGAGTCTCTCATAATAACAAATGTCTTTATATTTATAATTTTGTAATTCTGTGTGAAATCAGATTCAAAATCATGGTATCATATACTTATGGGAGGAATTCTTTGAGGAACTTGGAGAAAATACTCCTAGAAGAGCTTCTTCATTAGGGCCCAACATGAATGCAGTATGTTTGCATTCATTCTCGTCTGCATCCTGTGGATATGGTGAAATGCTTTCCCCCAAACTCAGGATGCCCCATTCCATGATATATCATATTTGGTCATTAAAGAACAGGATTCATTATTAACATTGGCCTTCTTCACTGCTCTTTAGCAAAGTGTTTTCAGCCAAATATATTAAACTAGTCAACTGCCCTTTTCCCCTGTCAGTAAAACAGCCAGCATCCTGAAATCACAGCTCATTTGTACCACATTGGCGTGAATATTCAGACTTCATTTGTCTCTAGCTCTTAGAGGCTGGTGTTAGAGTGCGTGATGGACATTTTGTTTTGAATTAGCGAAAGGGAGGAGGAAAGAAAAAATCCAAGTTATAAGTTTGGGCTAAAATATGTTTCAGGGAATGCAGCTCTGCCTTTTCCTCTAGGAAACGTCTATTAAAAAAAAATCCAGATTTAATTTGGCATTAAGTTGAGCCTGGGATACAGAGAATAGTAGGAAGGAAAATGTCTTAGGGCTTTTTTTTTTTCCCCAGACTGTTTGTTCTGCTTAAGTCCTATTTGAGTACTGTTGCACGGCGTGGTATGAGATGTTCACAACTTAATCCTGTTAGGCATCCTAAAGCAGAGTTCAGAAGCAATTGAGTCTGTGTCCTGTAACTGTACAAATGCTATTCCAGTTGGAACCTTAGGAAAGGCTTGATAGTTTTTGGTTCAAAGCTAAATAGCACAATCATTCTTTTCTCTTTACTTGTGTACTCACTTGCGCTTATGGGGAAAAAAAGCCTGGAAAGGAGTTCTAGACAAGAGCTCCTGGCACCGTTGTGTGTTTTTCTCCCTGCTGTATCCCCCTTCTCAGCACAGTCTTTCTCTGTCAATGGTCATGCCAGGCAGAAAGGTGTGTTTTCATGGAGGTGCCTCTTAAGACCAGGTGCAATTCCCTGGCCGGGGAAACACGTTTATTTGGGCAAGGTTACTAAAGCTGCACGTGGTGGTGTTGGAATGTCCTCTACCCTCTTTACTATGGAGGTTTCCAGAACGCTGGGAGTCCCATGGGACCTGTGACCTCGTGTCCCCTCAATCCTTAACCAAATCTGGACTATGCCCAGGCTCATTGTGGACTTTTCTTCTCATATCTCATGACAAGGACCCTGAGAGTGGTCTCCTTGAGAGGAGACTCCCAGGGAAGGGAGTGGATTCCAGACCTTCTCCCATATAAGCCTAGTTCTACAGCCACTACTAAAAACCCACAGGAAGGAATCTTAGTTTAAGAAAGATCCCTTCAGATCCTACTATAAAAAGCTTGGGCCCACCTGAACCAAAGGAGACTAAGGACTTTGTCAAGGTTTCCAGGGAGGCTCATTCTGCAAAACTCAAGAAAAGAAGAAGAAAATAAAAACCCAAGCTTCTCTTTCCACTCCATCTGGAGCTTCGACTGACTTCAAAAATACTGGCCCACAGTGGTTATAAAATCTCCCATTCGAAAACAAGGGCAAAGCCTTCGAAGTGCTTACAACTCAAAGCACTTCTTTTACGTGCTCATAGGAAAATGATCTTTCTCTCCAAGCCCACGAGCTGACTGAAATTAATGAAACACAGTCGGGAGGCACCTATGTTGGCCACTGGCCATCATTCATTGGAACACCCCAACTAGACCATTCATGGATTGCAAAGGGTTTCCTCTTGCTTTCAACATTTCTCATTTGATATAATTAGTAATTTGCATAAAATCACTGACCCAAGTGTCACTGACATTTTGGGTACCTTCGAGAAAATGGGCATCTTTTTCCTGGCTACTCCAAGAACACAAAGAGGAAAGTGTGGAAGTGGGTTCTTGAAGAAAGCTGGTATCTCAATGTACATTTAAAACAATTGGGTGAGGAGGGGGAATAAAGAAATGCAGGAGGTGGCTTCCAGATCTCTGATAGCCTCTTCTGCTCATAATCAGAAAATCACCCTGAAGCTCAAGGGTTTCTACTAAGGAAGGAGAACTAAGGGAGAGAGAAGAAACATAAAGCAAGGAGAGAACTTAAAGGAAAAGAAATAACACTTTGGAAAATAAAAGAGAGATGAATAAATACCTTTACCCCTTTTATTTGCATCATGCTAGCAGGGCAAATTAGGGAAATTCAGCCCAGGGGTAAATATGGCTCCGTGAGAAATGACATTTGATGGTGAGGCCTAGAGAGGGGAGGCTGGTAATGACTGTCAGGGGCCATGGCCTGGCCCCTCCACTCTCTGGTCTGGCAGGGAAACCCTAAAATACTGCCAAAGCTTATTCTGGGGAACAGGTGGAGTGGGACAATCAGCAGGGGACAATGGACAAAGGAGGGAGTTCAGGGCAAAAGAGGCACAGCCCTCCACCCCTATCTGGGGCCTTTACTGACTAAACAAGATGATGCTCTGTGACCATAGCGTCACAGCCACCTGACCCTGAAAACGACCTGCCTCTGTCTCTTTGGTCATTAAGGATTCTCATCCTGGCCTCCCCTCCT
Source organism: Homo sapiens (assembly GCF_000001405.40). Lineage (NCBI taxonomy): Eukaryota > Metazoa > Chordata > Mammalia > Primates > Hominidae > Homo > Homo sapiens. The sequence continues at coordinate 134,846,132 of NC_000007.14, read as the reverse complement.
GTCCATTCTGATCAGCTCTGATTGGCTGATGAAGAAAATGGGCCCAAAGGAAGTTTGTCTAAGATTCCCTGAGCAGGCAGCAGGGGAGTTGGACAATGACCATAGGTGGAGTTAGCTAGAAGGGAGCAAAGGTGGGTAGGAGAAGGCTCACAGGAATGGTTTGGGGCATAGCCCCCAAAAGACAGGACAGAGAAGGAACAAAATAGGTCCAAAAACACTAGGGGAGAAAAAATAGACACACACATTAGCTCATCTACATGTTCTCACACAGCTTCATTAGAAGTATCGTGCAGTGTTCTTCCTCTTGGACGGGTCCTTCTCCTGTTATCTAGCAGGAAAAATTTCCATACACAATTTCTGATGGAATCTTTAAGCCACTGCTCCTCTCCCTCTACACAGTCTTCCTTGGTGGCCTCATTCATTGACACACTGCTGCTTCCTGCCTGTAGGTGGTGACTGTGAACATCTCTGGTTCTCACCTGACCTTCAGACCTGCATATGCATTGTTTTCTAGACACATGCCCTTGCATGTCCCACAGGCTTCAAACTCAGTAAGTCCCTCTTGGATCCCCGAACAGTTTTCTTGTGGAAAGGCCACCTTAACTGGGGCATGCTTGTGCTATTTACTATTTCCTACCTCTGGGAGAAAGGTAACTCTCCTGCTATTAGTCAATCACACCTTTCTTTCAATTTTTCTCCTCAGCCTTAACTTATTTCTACCTGTCTTGGGGGGCAGGAAGTGAGGAGAAAGCATCTTTAATACTCATCATTTGGAGACAGTCTTAAAGCAAATAAATTGCAGGTTCAGAGGCTGCATCTAATCCTCTTTCCATTCATTCATTCATTCATTTAATAAATATTACAAAATGTCTACTGTATACAAAACCTCCTCTAGTGCTATGAGAGATGTAAAAGGCACACTCTCTGATTTCAGAATTTATAGAATGTCATAGGGAAATGAGAGCTGTACCCAAATGATTATAATACACTCTAAGAACTGCAGATGCTCTGAGAGTAATGTAATCGCTAAAAGAGTTCAGGAGGGGAGAAACAGAGGGAAGCCCACGTGCAATAAACAAAAAGTCAGCATATTAGAGAGGGAAAATGATGGTGGCAGCATTATGGGCTGAATGGTATTTCCCCCAAATTCATACGTTGAAATCCTAACTTTCAGGATCTCAGAATGTAACCGCATTTGGAGATGAGTTCTTCAAAGAGTGATTAAGTTAAAATGAGGTCTTTAGGGTGGGCCTAATCCAATATGACTGGTGTTTTTACAAGAAGAGGAAATTTGGGCACAGAGAGAAAGACACCAGACAGGTGTGTGCCCGGAGAGAGGACCACGTGAAGACACAGGGAGAAGGTGGCCATCTGCAAGGAGGGCCTCGAGAAATCCACCATGCCAACACTTTGATCTCAGACTTCTACCCTCCAGAATGGTGAGAAAAGAAATCTCTGTTGTTTAAGCCACCCAGTCTGTGGATTTTCACTATGGTAGCCTGAGAAAACTTGCATGGGGGCAACAGATAGAATTTTGAAACAACAATTGCCTGAGTGGTGTGCTGAACTCCTGAAGAACTTTTCTACCTACTGGAGCCAAGCTCAGCAAAACTGTGAATGAGTGAAATGCCCTTTGGTTTCTCCATCCTCTAAAGTGGAAATCCCCTCTTTCACCTCCCTAGGTGGTCCTTGTTCTGGTAGAAGTTTTCCTCCCAGGTGAGAGAGATTTGTTGAAAGTGAGGGGTACTTAGCACTCCTGAGATCACCAGTGTTTGCACAAAGGTGAGCTTATTCACCTTGGAAGGCTGACTCATGTTGTCTTTATTGATTCAAGTCACTAGCATTTTTCACAGGAAGTGAAGACTTCATGATTGATCCAGGACTGTTTTGTGAAAGATATTACATTGCAGGAAACATTTAAAAATAAAGCAAAAAAAAAAAATCAGATTACAAAACAGGATAAAAGACTTGATAGATCCTTCAAAACTTGATAGATTCTAACTGATTAATTAACTGGCAAGTAAAGTAGGAGGGCCACAGCAGAAAAACTGGTTTCTCACAGTGCATCTTCAGATGTAAGAATTTAGAATATCAGGCACAGAGGCTGTGTAATTCCTAAGAGCAGAGCCCAAAGTATTAATAAAACATAAACTTTACTCACAGGTCAGCAATCAGATGTCTGAGCCTTCTGGTTGGTCACCAATCCCTGTGGAATTTGATTTGATGATCTTGAAATGTTCCAATGATACCTGGAATAAAAGGAGGATGGAAACATAATTCAGTTGAATGAATTTTAGCTAATACAGACTATATATTTTCAAATATCATTTCTTCCTCAAGTACTGTTGTTAGTTAGAATCTAAAGGGAGAAGTAAGGCAGGGGTAGAAATAGCTATTGTGCATTTGCATTTTAAGGAAAATACAGTTATCGCAAAGTCCATCCATTTATTCTGAATAAATTATTCTGGAGAAGGAGGTATAGTTAAGACAAACCCAGGGATAGTATCTAATTGCCAAGTTTCTTTTTCACTGCTCCCAATCCCCTCAGTAATTTTATTTCAAAATTTGAGAATGAATAAAGGGAAACTGAAGGAAGAAAATGTTATAAGTGGAAAACTTTTTTGGTCTGTAGTGTCTATGTATGTCCATGAACTACCTTGTTAGTGAGACAAAGACAGAAAGGCTTTCAAGAGAAAACATAAAATGAATGGCAGAGTCACTAACAGTGGAGTTTGTCTTCAGATAATCTCTTTCCTTTCTATTTTCAGATTTAGGGTCTAAGGGCCAGAGAGTTGCTAAAGCTCTTACTCCCTGTTTAAGATCTTTCTCTCCCATCAGTTACCTCGCAACTTCAAATAGACGCCCGGGTGAACCATTCCTCCCTTGAGCCCTTTAAGCCATAGCTTTTAATGCAGTGCCCGACACACAGATGCTGGCTGCCCTGGCTCAGAAGCAGTTGCCAAAGGTCTCTGCAGGGAAAGCTGAGTCTAGACCGGAGGTAGTAAGGAAGGAAAAGGCCCAAGATGAAGGAAGACGGGAAGGGAGCTGGGCCCTGTTAGGCAAATGAGCCTGTCTTCCTCCCCGAGTCCCCATTGCAGCCAGTGGCAAACAGCCAGGCACTAGTTATTGCTCCTTTGATTTAACCATCTCCTCGGGCATGGGGAGAAATGAGTTTTATATGAAAACATTTACTATAGGAGAACCAAGGTGTAATAAAAAGAAAGAAGTAATTTCTTCCCTCTTGATCAGATTTCTAGTCCCCTAAGAATAGTGATTTTCTTAGAACCCCCAGGAAACCTCTAGCTAAAGTCATTCAGTAGCATGAAAAACTGTAACTAGCACCTTTCTAGATTAAACAAATAGAAAAACATTGCTAGCATATATTTACAGGAGATGGTTAATATCCTAATTTAAAATTTCTACTGCAAGTATTCTCAGAAAGATGGCATTTTCCAAATGGATACTAAGAGCAGAGGGTGAGATGATAACTTATTTCAACAGAGAATCATTGCAAAGGTTAAATTAGGGATCCTTTACAAAAATAAATAATTGTAAATAACTAACAAGAAGACCCAGATTTTCATTAATTTAAAATTTTATCTTACATGGTTGAATTAGGGTCTCTGATTTCAACATTACCATTTTTATAAAACAATTCCTCTGTGACTTTTTCATAATATGATTTGCTTTCATTATGGAAATAATAATAATAACTATTGTTTGTTAAGTATTTTTCAGTGGTAGGCCCTGTGCTAAGCACATTGCACACATTATTTCATTTGATGACTGTAACAACCTTGTAAAATACATATTCTTATCTTAGGATAAGCACTGAGAAGTTTCTTGGCTGAAGTCATTTGCCTGAATTCACCCAGCTAGTGGTGAGGCCAGTATTCAAAGCCAGGGCCTGACCCACCATGCTGGGTGTATTTGGTGGATACAGGAGCCCACTTGCTTGTTCACTGAGTGAGTCCTCTGCTTCAGGACACAGCACAAGGTGATGTACAAGGGCTCTGCTTCCATGGAGCTTATACTCTGCTGGAGTTCAGACACCATACATTTCTGATAGTGAGTGAGCAAATAAAAAACAGCAGGATGTAAAGAGGTCCACTGAGGGTCCCTGGAGGTTGGATGGTGAGGGATAGTCTCTCTGAAAAGGAGACATCTAGGCTAAAAACACATTTCTAGGAAGAAGCCCCCCCATGTAAAGATCTGAAGGAAGCATGTTCCAGGCAGAGCCCTTGAGAAGCCTGGTGTGAGGCTTTTATGAGATGGCTGTGTGCTCTGGGATCATGAAACTTCCAAGTTACTCAGTCCATGTGGGATTCAGGCTCATATGTCTGTTCGTAGAGTACACAATGCTGAAAGATGTGCTGGACACAGGGTCTTACCAAAAAACGATCCCCACAGGGCTGCCTTTGCTGGAAAGCATGAGGATCTGTCCCTGCCCAGAGATGAAAGTGCCAAAGAAGCACATGATCACCTTTGTATCCAGTGCCCAGAGGGATGGAGGTTCCCCACTCCCTTTTTTGCTAGGTAGACTTCAAGAGAGCTGTGTTCTACAGGCTTGCACGAGCTCCTTTCATACATTAGAGGATAAGGCAGATCATTTCTTAATAACAGACAGAAAAATGAAAAGCTACAGGACATAATCCTTAAAATGGGAAAGGAATGGCAAGTACCTATTTCAATCATAGTTGGCAGGAAGTCACATAATTTGTGGGGATGGAAATTAAAATAAAATATTTAAAAATAGATCGATGGGTTTTAGTTAGAATGAGCTAGTAATAATAACACATTATTAATTGTCTCTGCTTTACATTTATAGTTAAACATGGGAGCTAGGAGTATGTTAGAAGAAAAGAAATATATGATCTTAGGGAATTTGGGTCATTTAAATAAATACTAACAAGTGAATTGACCTTGTACGAGTCATTTAACCACTCAATTTCTTCATCTATAAAATGAAGCATTTGGAATAGATTTGCCACAGTACTCAATTCAGATGATTTATTTCTACCATCTTTCCACGAAAAAAATGTATTGTGTATGTGAATGACCTTGATATCATTTTGAATAAAACAAGTTCAACCAAGTTCCCCCTTTTCAGCATCTAACAGGGTGCTCAGAGAAGAGTGTTGCTTTTCAAGTCCACCTATCCCGACTCCTTCTCTATTATTTCTAAGAGATGAGTGCATTTTATAACTCTAAGAGAAATTATAATATATTACATAATAATATCTATTATTTATTGAATACCTACTATTTGCGAGGTATTTGATATCTGTTCTTTCATTTAATCTTCACAAGAAAACTGTGAAACTAGTTGTTTTTTATTATCCCCACTTGGAAGTAAGATTCATTGTCACACAGTTAATAAATGACAAGTTAGAATTAAAACCCAGGTTTGTTTTATTCCAAAGCTCCTTCCATGACAGGATACATGGAGCAGCCATAGCTGCCAACACTGACATTTTCTTTTACCTTTTTGAGTTCTACACAACATTTTTCTTTAAATGTTTTGGAGGAGATTGTTGATGAGTTTGTGGAATGTAGCTAGACTGACGTAGGTATCTGCCTAAATGGAATAGCTTGTGGCAGTCCAGTGCTTTCATTGAGAATAACTAGAAACTCTGGATAATATTCCACAAAACCAAAATTAATTTGGAGGCATTAGGACACTTGGAGAGTTCAGCCACGGAGAAGGAGCAAACCAGAGGTTGAAGGAGTCTTGCAAAATGGAAGATGAGTTGTAGATCAGCTCAGCCCCATTTAACTGAAGAGAACTTTCCCAACTCTATCAAAACAACCAGAAGGTAAGACAACCCCTGTCTGTAGAAAAGTAACATCATCCCGCACCTAAATGAATATCTATATGGAAAAAGGAAAATCAAAACTTGACCTCTATTTAGCATCATTCCCCCAAATTCTTTCAGATTGATTGTGGATCTAAATGTGAAAACTTACACATTTGCGCTTTCAGGAAAAAGAAAATCTCCATGATTTTGGGATAGGCAAAGATTTTGTAAATGGGACATAAAAATAAAAAAACTTGTGTTGCATTAAAACTAAAAACCATAAAAAGAGTGGAGATGCTAGCCATAGATTGAGAAAATATTAGCAATATGGATGACAAAGAACTTGTATCCAGAATATATAAAAATTTCCACACATCAAAAAGAAAAAGATGGATGATCTAATAGAGAAATGAGTAATGATTTCAACAGGCATTTCACAAAAGAGGATATTTAAAATTGCCAACAACTAAAAAATAAATCAGCCAGGTGTGGTGGTGCATGCCTGTAGTCTCAGCTACATGGGGGGCTAAGGTGGGAGGATCTCTTGAGCCAGGGAAGTCAAGGCCACAGTAAGCCATGATCGTGACACTGCACTCCAGCCTGGGGACAGAGAGAGACCTTGTCTCAAAACAAAAACAAAAAGACAAAAAGATCAACAAGTGTATGAAAAAGTGCTCAATCTCATTAATCATTAGAAAAATTCAAATTGAAACTTATGATGAACTAAAACTACATACCACTAGAATAGCTAAAATTTAAAAGACATAAATCAAAATGGTGGTGAGCAACTGAAATGCTCATGCACTGCTATGGGAATATAAATTGGCAAAATCACTTGGGAAAAAGATTTGGCAGCATGTGCTAAAGCTGAATATTTGTATACCCTGTGACCCAGAAATCTTACTTACAGGCATATATACAACAAAAGTCCATGCATATATTCACCAGAAGACATGAACTTGAATGTTCATAGCAGTACTATTAATAATAGCCATGAAAAGGAAATAACCTCAATGTCTATCAACAGCAAAATGGATAAATTGTGGGAGGCAAACAATGAAACCCTATATAGCAATTAGAATGATCTAAGTTTTGCTCAGGCAATCAATCTCAGAATCATAATGTAAACAACACAACAAAAATTACTATATGATTTCATTAATATAAAAACCGAAGCCCAGACAAAATTAATACTTCATGTTAGAAATCAGAATAATGGTTATCATGAGGCAGTGGCTGGGTGGGGGAAGGCATGACTCTGAAGGGACATTTAGGGTGCTTCTGAATGCAAGTAGTATTCTGTTTTGTGATCTGGATGCTGACTACTCAGTTGCGTTCATTCTGTGAAAGTCCATCACTCTGTACAATTATAAATTGTGCACTTCTCTATATGTTACACATCATTAAAAAGATTATTTTTAGAACATGTGAATAGAAAAAGATGAAACTTTAGTCTGGAAAGATGACAACTCCAGGGAATTTATGAGCTCAAAATATATAAAATCAGGAAAGTTCACTATCTCTTGTCATACATTGTACCAGTAGGAAAATAAAATAATAAAAAGAAAGACAAACAGTGAGAGAAAACAATAAGATAATACAAATCAATGTACTCTGCAGGGGGAGAATTGTAGTTGGGAAGGCTGGGATCAATTTGGCCAGTTATTTCTAAATTAAAAGTCAACACTGGATTATTTGCCAATGACTTAGTGAACTTTCCATATATGTATTTTGGCTTACCATATCTTAGAAGTGAAATATTGAATGTTTTTGCAAGTGGTCCATACCAAGGCAATCCAAATACAGGGACTACTTATCATCTTAAGAATGCCATGCAATTTCACCATCCATCCAGCCCTTTGCTTAGTATCCACTGTTTCTTGTCCTCACTTTTAACCACCCACCTTCCCCAAATTATTTCTTGTAGCTCTTTTGTGCATCAAGTCCTTGAACAATGTTTCCTCTTTATTTTTTAAAATTGTATGTTTCCATTTCAGATTTTCCCTATGTATCTTGAACAAATTCATCTATAGTATGCTTGTAGTTTAGTGTATAGGTTTATGTCTGTATGAGAATCTCTTGATTTTTATGGGATATGTTTTCTGTGTTATTAAGGAATTATTATGCATATGGAAATGTATACAGATATTTGTATAAATGAGTAGATAAGAGGGACAAGATGTATTAATATGATAATATGTTAGGAATTTAGCTACCAAACAGGCTAAAGTGGGAAATTAAGGAAATTTTTCTTATAATTAAAGAAAAAGTCAATTATTCAGTGAAAGTCAGAATTTTTGTGGCATTCTGTAGCAAACAGATTTATTGGATAGCAGACAAAGCTTTAAATCATTCAGTTGGATTGAACATAGATCTTTCCCATTAAAACAGCATGGAATTGTAAGACTGACTATGGGTCACATAGAACTCTACACTTAATAACCTAAGAGAAGCTCTTTAACAAAGATAACTAACAGGTATCAGCTACTTCAATTTTAAAATGAGGATAGTAATTACTACGCTGAAGGGTTTTTTTCTTCTTCCATTGTACTTGGTTAATGCCTCTATGGTAGCATTGCATGAGTATGGGCTTCCCAATGGTAAGGGCATGGTCTTATCAATCACTCCATACCAAGCATTTAGCATGTTCTCTGGCATATATCATATGCTTCATAAAAGTCTGTTGTTGGCCGGGTGCATTGGCTCACGCCTGTAATCCCAGCACTTTGGGAGGCCGAGGCAGGCAGATCACAAGGTCGGGAATTTGAGACCAGTCTGGCCAGCACAGTGAAACCTCATCTCTACTAAAAATAAAAATTAAAAAAATTAGCCAGTGTGGTGGTGTGCGCCTGTGATGCCAGCTACTCAGGAGGCTGAGGCAGGAGAATCGCATGAACCCAGGAGATGGAGGTTGCAGTGAGCCGAGATCATGCCATTGCACTCCAGCTTGGGCGACAGTGCAAGATTCCATCTCAGGAAAAAAAAAAAAAGGAGAACGAAAGAAAAAAGTCTGTTGTTGAGTGATGATTGAGATAACATATAAAGTACCTAGTATTGAACTTAGCATGCCATTGACCCTCGTTTAATATTATCAGCTTCTTTCTCTGCCTTCTTTGTTATTCTGCATCTAGAAAGTAGAATGGCTCAATTCTTAGTTTATTTCTAAGCCATCAGGTCCCAAGACTAGCAAGCTACCCAGGGAAATTTTGCTGAGTTCTTAAAATTTTATGGAGTGCAAAGGATATAGCTTACATGTATGTTCTCAGAGAAGCCCATATGGTAAAATTATGAAAAAAAAAAACAGATCTTATCCTGTTCTATGATAGTACAAAAGATGGGCTTTGGTATCTTAAAATGGTGCCTAATCATTGCAGCCTTTTCTCCTTTCTCTTGGACAATCATTGAATGAAGAGTAATCTGCGATGCTATTTGCATCATCCAAGATGTTTCAATTGTTAATAGAAGAATGAGGGTGGATTTTCACAGGCAAGATGATTTCTGATTGGAGAAGCAATGAGAATGTATCCATGAAGGTCAGATGTTTATTTTTAAGCTTCATGAAAAGTTCTGTACTTGTCTGAAGCAAATAGGAAAGAGAAAGTCGTTTGCGGTCTTATGAAATTTCTGAACTTCTCATGGGAAAGTAGCTGACGTCAGTGTTTGATAAGTTTCCCGTGGCTACAGGCATGAGAGACACTGAGAAAAATGTATCTTTCTCTTCACAGAGTCATAGTGTACCTGAAGTTTGAGCTGGGTATAACTACCACTCATCACGAAAGACCTAGTGTAGATAATAAAAAGTCCAAAGTTTGTGAAAAGGTAGTGGCAGTTGTTTCTCTTGCCTTCATCATCGTAATCATCACCACTGCCACTACCACTGTCATCATTATCAACGAGCACTGACTGTTGTTTGTAAGGCATGATGTTAAGTTACCTAAGTTTCAGCAAGTGATAAGAAATGGTGCACTTAATTTTTATGTATATTAAATTTTCCAATGGATGCAGTCTTCTGGTTCTCTTCTGCCTGTGTTCCTGTGTATGGCTTCCTAAATAAATAGAACTTATCAAACAGAAGCAACTATGAAGATTAGAACCCTCATGGTTGAGGAGGCAAAGCTGAGGAAACAGGATGGACATCTGAGCAAGGGTAAGAGTCATATCATTTATCTTTTTTTTTTTTTTTTTTTTTTTGAGATGAAGTCTCACTCTGTCACCAGGCCGGAGTGCAGTGACGCGATCTCAGCTCACTGCAACCTCTGCCTCCCAGGTTCAAGTGATTCTCCTGCTTCAGCTTCCTGAGTAGCTGGGATTACAGGCACCCACCGCCACACCTAGCTAATGTTTGTATTTTTAGTAGAGACGGGGTTTCACCATGTTGGCCAGGCTGGTCTCGAACTCCTAACTCAGGTGATCCGCCTGACTCGGCCTCCCAAATTTCTGGGATTACAGGTGTGAGCCACCTCGCCTAGCCTCATTTATCTTTTATCTGTAGAATTTAGCACAGCCTCCAGCATATAGGATAAACTTAATAATGTCCAGTTTGGCCAAATTGAACCTCTTTAATGCTATTAGACTCTCAATTTTTGACAATCTCATCAATAAAGGTTGTACTTAGAAATTTTCGATATTCACAAAGAAAGAGTGTCTCAAGTCAATAAATTCTAGTTCAGGCTACACGTCATCACGATCGGATTATCTATTGTGCAATTAAGTCAACTCTGAAAAATTTAGGCACACTTTATTGATGTAATAAATTCATTTCATGTTCCTATTTATAATATGTTCTTGTTTGTTTAAAGTATGCTTAAAACTTTTTCTAATGTTAGTTTTGACTACTGATTGAAATTTAACTACCTAAGGACAGGGCCATATATTTCCTTTATGGCCAGTTGCTTAAAGCAAGCAAAAAACAAAGCAAAATAACACCCTAAGTGGAATTATCCTGTTCCTCTTTCCCACGTTCCAACCAACTGGCATTGCCCACCTCTCCTCTCTGCCACAGAGCTGTGCAGTAAGACCTAATCCAGAGCCTTGAGCTCAGTCGGTGCCAAGCATGAAACACTGACAGAGAGAATCTGGGCAGCAGCAGGACACAGGGCTCAGGTCAGGATCTAGAATCACCTTGTCCTACCCTTGCAACCAAAAGCAAAACCATCAGTATGTGTAGCCTTGAAAAAATTCACTAGATGTCATTCCTCAGCATTTTAAAGAAAGGCAGGCAGTACTTTATCTCTTTGCACATTCAGCTGAAAGAGTAACTAGTGAAGGCTGCAAGCCCATAGATTAGATACAGAGGCCTTTGCACTAGAAAACTGGTAAAATATCACACTCACTCTGTCTGTTCATCATCACCCAGATATCCATCTGTTAATGTCTAGGAAGCTGTGGACATCGGCAAACACAGCAAAATAACAATGCACAGGGGACCATTTTGTGCACAGGGCCCTGGGAAGGGCCAGTGGAATTCCTCTGATCAGTCTCCTTTTGACTTTTTCCCATAGACCTTGTTCCTGCACTGAAATGTCTGGAATGTTTGGTAGGGATGAAGTGGGTTGGTCACAGGGCAATTATGCTTCTATCATCAATCAGATCAGCCATTTGTGGGCTGATTTCCAAGTGCCTAGTGACATCACAAATGGGTTAAGAATACAAATACATGGCCCTTTTACAGTAAACAGGGCTTGCATATCTCTATTCTTAAATGATTTTCATAGAAACCCTGGAGGTCAGTAAGACAAGTATTATTGGCAACATTTTATAAATAAGACCTAGAAAGGCCTAGAGAGGTTAAATGGTTTACCCAAGGCTTCTCAGCTAGTGATGGGAGGAGCTGGGTCTCCAAATCTGTTCTTTTTGTAGAACACCATTCTGCCTGTGTTTGATTAGTTAACAACTAAGTCCATTTAGCAGGAGCTGGTTATTTTTTATTTTAGGACAAATCAATCACTACATCTGTTTTTGGATATTGGAAGAATCCACTGCTCGATTTCTAACTGCCATCATGGGCTAAACAGTTTTCATATAATTATCTCAAGAACTGATCCTTTGTGGCCCTTGCAATCTGGCCTGTCTTTGCAGTAATCACACAGCAGAGAAAGTGTAACAAGCGATAAATACTTCAAGCAACCGTCCTAATCTCAAAGCATTTGAACATCAAAATAGATCTTCCATCAGGTATGGTGGCCCACCACAGCAGCTTTCTATGTGGAGTTCTGATCACAGTATTGTTGCTACTCTGACGTATCATCAGAAATGTGAGGTTTCATGTGATTTACTTTTTAAAATATTAGGAAGGATTCAAAGCTATCCATATAAACTTGATATTCATTCAACTGGATTCTAGGCATCTTTCTTCCGTGGAAGAAAAAGGCCTATTTGTCTTCCTCTAAGTGGGTCTTTTCTGTGAATGTCATTCCTCATATGGGGGAAAAGTTTGAGATTTGCTCTTCTACTATTCCTATCTCATGAGACAAAAAGTTAGGCCCCGCTTGGGATTCTATTTCCAGTTATTAAATGGGAGTTGCTAAGGAGACAGCAGAGATGGAGAAAGACAAGGTCACTGCTCTCAGAGGGCTAACACTCTAGTGGGCAAATAAATATTAAATTATTTATGTCATATTCACTTCTGTATCCCCAGTGTCTAGCATAGCTCTGATCACATAGCAGTTTCTCAATAAATGTGTGTTAAGTGAATAAATAAGTGAGGTCTCCAGAAGCTCAATTTTTTCCACTTCTAAATCTTGATGGAAACATCATTCTCCAGTGCCCTTCTTCCCAGGGCTACACTGAAAACTGACACAAGGTGGACAATGAGAATCTCACTGAAGAATAGTACTGCTGTTTTTATTGGTAATACATTAGCTGGTTGATGGTAACGTGGACAGTATCAAACTTCAGTCTTACGTGGCCACAAACTTAAACCCAAGCTGCTATCTTTTTTAAAATGTGGAATTTTAACCAGATGAAGGATAACGTGCAGATACAGATGGGTTAATGAAACCCATTTCCACATTAATAAGATATTTCATATTGAACATCCCATAATGTTTATCTCCAAAGGATAGTATTTTTAAACACAGCAATGCTTCCATTCATATGCCAAAAAAATCCCCCCAAAACCAGAAGTTTCACTGGGTTCAACATTCATAGCTAAGTGGATTGAATTAAGTGAAAAAGATAAATTAATTCAATAAAAATTTTTGGCAGTTGCCACCAAATAACTGTTGGGGAATTCTTGGTCTCTGTTGAAATGGCAATTCTGGCATTATGCAGACACAGTTATAGGCTAAATAGAGCTGATAAGTGTAAAACACGTCTTGCAGCTTCATAAGGAAAAGTTCTAAAACATACTGTCCAGAGACAAGACAATAATTCTTATATATCTGGCACATAAAGATGTGATTGTGACAAATTACTTTTAAAGGGTTAAAAAACAAATAACTGTGAATAACTTAAAATAACTAAGCTTGCATAGAAATGCTACTCCAGAACCTTGAGCAGAGCTACAACTACATTATGTGGAATACACTTGAAGAGTGAAGGAAGAAACCAAAAAAAGGAAAAACCTTAAACTTAGCCAGAATTTAAATGATATTGAGGCTGCACAGATACTTAGGTTGTTTTGCGAGTGTATTTCTCCCGCTGTCTGTCTGTGTTCCTTCATTTCCCGATGTGGCTTAAAAGAAAAACTCAGATATGAAAATCAAAACTGCCCTTATTATGTTCTTAGGCTGTTTGAACCCAAACAAGGGAAATCCAGGAGTGTGGGAACTTGATCATAAGATCCATGAATAAGCAATCACATTTTCACACAACTTTATACCCCACAGTATCTCAGGCAGCACTTGACAATTATTCATTGCTGGTTTTCCAGACTGCTTTTATTTCTATTTCACTCTACTGAAAAAGGTCCCAAATTGTTACAGGTAGTCAGTCATGAGCAGGGAGCAGGAGAGGGCTCTCCCACCACCCACTAGAAATGTCAGGTGATGGTTTGGCAATTATCCCTTTGCCTCTCTAAAAATGATAATTCACAGCAGCCAGAAAGAGACAATCTCCTGATGGTCCATACCTGTTAACATTTAAAAGTGTTAACTGAGTGCAGACCCCAGAGAGAAACAGCTTTCTGGAAATGCATATTAAGAGACAAAAATGACGAAGTAAGATCTCCTGGGTACTCTCTGCTGGAAGAAGGAAGAAAGCCTCAGATGGGCATGTGTATAACTCCCTAAATACACTGCGCGTGCGCATTTCTCAAGCGTAAGAAGGGCTGTGCGCATGCCCACCCTACGGAAGACGCATGGGGAAAAGACGGGCTTATAAAAGTCCTAGGATCACGGTTATACGGGACACTCGACCTTCTCTCTTTAACACTCACGTGCCTGCTTGGATGTCTTCCAAGCGCGCCTTTCTTTCCTGTTCTAAAGCCTTTTAAAATAAACTTCCACTCTTGCTCTGAAACTTGCCTCTATCTCTTTTTCTGCTTTACACGCCCCTCAGTTGAATTCTTTCTTCTGAGGAGGCAAGGACTGAAGTTGCTGTGGACCCCTACAGATTCGCCGCCGGTAACTCGCAGATAACTCGGATCTCTTCCACTAACAAAAATCATCAAATCTCTAGAAGTTATGCCATCTCTGAGTGCTATATAGATATACATTTTATTATAGAAAGTATACAAATATGCATTTTATTATAGAAAATACAGAAATTATGCAGAGACCGGGTGCGGTGGCTCATGCCTGTAATCCCAACACTTTGGGAGGCCGAGGTGGGCAGATCACGAGGTCAGGAGTTCAAGACCAGCCTGGCCAAGATGGTGAAACCCCATCTCTACTAAAAATACAAAAAAATTAGCCAGGCGTTGTGGTGGGCACCTGTAATCCCAGCTACTCGGGAGGCTGAGGCAGAGAATTTCTTGAACCTAGGAGGCGGAGGTTGCAGTGAGCCGAGATCGCGCCACTGCACTCCAACCCGGGCAACAGAGGAAGACTCCGTCTCAAAAAAAAAGAAAGAAATTATGCAGAAAATAATTCTAAAGTCTCTTTTCATCCTTCCCACCCTGAGATTACTTTAAAGTTTCAATATATTTCCTTCCAGTCTTTTTTTTCAACAAAGGTAAGATTCTATTTTAAAAACAAATGTGATGTTATGCACTCAATTTTTTCACTTATTATATTATACATATTTTTTACACAATTTTTAAAACATGATAACTTTACAGTTATATGTAATCATTCCCTTATCACTGGACACTGAGAGTATTTCAGGTTTGGGCTATTATAAGTAGTGCTGTGATGGACATTCTTGTACATAAATCTTGATCACTAAATCTCTACCACTTTGTTTTTGCATTGCTAAGTAATGTAGAGCTTAGTACTCTATCAGCGGCTCTCAGGGGAATCAAACTGATCATAATTTTCTTTCTGTGAACTCTTCTTGTTTCCACATACACCACTGGAGAAGTTGGAATATTTGTAGTTGAGTTACAGTAAATAACAGGAAGACAAAATGGTAAAGACTTCTATTGTCATTATTCACTGCCAAGATTATAGAAGCACCAAAAAAAATATATTGCCTTTAAAAATCTGGTTTGAGATCATATCCTTCTCAGGGACATGGATGGAGTTGGTGGCCATTATCCTTAGCAAACTAACGCAGGAACAGAAAACTAAATACTGCTTGTTCTCACTTATAAGTGGGAGTTAAATGATGAGAACACATGGACACATAGAGGGGAACAACACACACTGGGGCCTATTGGAGGGTTGAGGGTGGGAGGGGAGAGAGGATTAGGAAAAATAACTAATGGGTACTAGGCTTAATACCTGGGTGATGAAATAATCTGTATAACAAACCCCCGTGACACACATTTACCTGTGTAACAAACCTGCACATCCTGCACATGTAGCCCTGAGCTTAAAAATTAAAAAAAAAATAAAGATCTAATTTTTAAGATTGACTGATGCCTTGATAAATGAGATAATTCAAAGGTGTAGCAAATTAAATTATTAAAATCAACTGCATTATATTTGGACACACACAGAGGAAGGGTGAAGAAAGAATAAATTCTACGAGTGAGATAACACACATCATAGTAGAGCCTCTGGTGGTTTGAGAAAGCCTGTTAAGGAAATATCAACAGTGGATTTAATGCTTAGGGTGCAAGCATTCTGAAGATGGGTGTTAAGCTTTATACTTTTGTTTCCTCTCTATAACTCACAAAAAGTTCCACCACTACTCCCTGGCCCCTTTTTTTTTTCCTCAGCAAACAGGACAGAATTGAACACAGTCCTTGTTTCCCAAGTTTTTCCCATCTTAGCAAATGACACCAATATTTACCTGGTTGCTTAAGCTCCGGACTTGGGAATCATTTCATACACTTCCTCCTTCCTCATCTACCGTTACTCCCTCTACAGTAAATTACTAAATCCAGGTGATTCTCCCTTCAGGATATTTGCCTAAAATGGTTCATTTATCTTCATTATTGTTGCTGTCACTCAAATCCAAGCCACCATCATCTCATCTGGACTCTTCCTCCCAACTGGTCTTTCTGTTCTATCTTCCAGCCATCTGCAAACAATTACCCTTTTAAAAACATAAATCTAATCATGTCACTCCCATGCTTAAAACATTTCAGTAGCTTCATAGTGCATCTAGAATACAGATCCAACTCTTCCCATGGCCTACAATGTCGTGTATAATCTAGCTCAGCCTGCCTCTCCAGCTTCCTCTTGTGCCTCTCTCTTTTGTGATCCAGTCACACAAGCTTGCTTTCAATTTCTTGCATGGATCTAGAGCTTACTGGCCACAGAGACCAGAAATGAGTCCCTCACCATTACCTAATGACAAAGGCATACTTCTTACTTGGATAATTCTTAACCTTTCTTAAACCCACAAAGTCAAAGTTGGAATAGTACTAAATAATTGCAACACCCTGAAAACACCAATTTTTGTGTTACAGTACAATCAGATGATAACGTTTTCACGTATCCTATCCATTTATTGCCAAGGTATTGTAAATTAAAATTTGTTGCATTAGACATAGAGTTTTAAGATGTTACTTCCACGTCATTCTCTGTTGTAAGTCTCTGCTCTTTGTCTTCATGTACAATCACAATTTGCAATGATATTTATGTTTGGTTACTTATGTATTTAATATCTGTCTTTTCTACTAGACTGAAATCTCCATGAGGATGTATTTATTGTGTTTACTAATGATTCCTCAGCACTTTGCAGTTGCCTGCCATTTAGTAGTCACTCAATAAATATACATGGAATGAATGAATGGCCAACATGTATCTTGAAATAAAAATATTTCAAAAGAGTATCTAATGATAAGATGGGGGGGGAGCTTTATAGATTTATCATCTATTTGCAAAGATGAGAATAAGAGCTCCTAATTAAGAGCTTGGCACTTGCTAAGTGCTCAATATTCTGAATAAAAGAATGAATATATAGATGAATAATTATTAGCTGTCAAAGCAGAATATGATAAATCTAAATGAAAAGCAGATAACTGTATCAGAGCAACCAGGGGCAGACCTAAAAGCTATTTTCTCTGCTGCTACTTTTCTCCAAGTGTTGTAGTTTGAAAAACAGAAGGCTTATAATATGCTTTTTTGGTAATAGTTGAATCATGCATTATCTCATTGGATTTTCCTAAGAATCCTATGATATAGGTAGTATATCATCCCCCATTTGACAAACAATGAAATTAAGCCCAGTGTCTAGGATTACTCAGAATGTAGTGAATCCAGAGCTCAAATGCTGGGTTTCTAACCCACGAGATTAAGCAACGAGAACAACATTGGACAATTATGGAACAGATGATGCAGTTTTGTTCTGATTTCCTCTCCTATATCTGTGTTAAGGTTGGCTGGGCTTTTAAAAAATTGATTGAGTCTTTCAATAAGAAGCAAGCAAATACCCAAATCTCTCCAAGTCTTCCAGCTTAAAAATCTGACTTTGGTCTAGCTGCGATTCCGAATTCTTTTTGGATCAGTGAATTTTTATTTTTCTTTCCAGCCACATTTAAAAATATACTCTGAGCCACATTTGTCTCTATTGCTTTTAAACCAGTGAGAAAATGCTCTCAAGAAAACTGCCTTGGTGCAGAGGACCTACTCATACACCAGCCGCGATATTGGCTTATTTCCATATAACCTAATATGGTTAAGAAAATGTTTGACTGGAACAGAGTGAGGATTGCCAAACTTAACAACTTTTTAGTAAGAAAAGTGCCACAGAGTCCTCTGTTTAGACATAGTGTGATTTCAGTTCACATGCAGTGCTTATCTGTTCACATCAACGAAACCAAAGTTGTATTTCTATGCAGTAACAAAAGCCAGACACCTGCCCCCTTTGCCCAGTCACAGGCAAGATGAATAAATACAAGCTGCTCAGAAAGGCTCTTGGTGATAGTCTATTGAATATGTTGCCCTTGTTGGGTTATAAAAACTAAGTGACCTGGGGATATCCAATTCAGATTCTGTAGACGGTCCTGAGTTTGTGTTAAATCCGGTAGCTTTAAACAGAAGAATGAATGAAAAAAGTCATCTCTATCTGAACCTCAGTCCATCGTGGACCCTCCATCACCTTCCCCAAATAACACCTTTGACTGACATTTCTGTTTATTCTGACTCTCAGCACTCTGATAAATTTGGAATATCATGTGATGTGATATGGTCCTCACTCTTTCCTGTGCCTGGGCCATTGCCGTTGTCATCTGGCCAAGTCCAGAAAGGCTTTTAAAGTCAGGCAGATCTGGGTTTGAATTCTGGATTGTGCCACTTTCTTACTGGATGACTTTGGCAAATTGTTTATTTGCTCCATTGAAAAGTGGAGAATGCCTACCTTGCATGGTTGTTGTGAGAGGGAAATGGGGTAACGTGTATAACAGTATAGAACCTGGTATGGAGAAAAAGCTCAGCAAATGGCAAAAAATGCCCATTTTCTGTTTTTACTCTCTTCCTAATCTTACTACATTCTGGAAAATAGTGCTGGATTCATTTTCCCAACTAAGAATGTAGCAAATGAATACCCATTGGCTCCTGACATTGTCCTGGTCCACTGAGATAGGGAGATCTGCCTAAGATTTCAGCCTGGGCCAAGTTAAAGAAAAACTAATGTCAAAACTTCTATTGCTTCTTAGAGTTACTAAGGGCATAAGCCCAGGGTAGATAACTATTGTATTTTGTTTACATAAATATCCTGACCTTGCTTTGTGGTTGTAAAAGTTGAATGGCCCTGTCCACTCCAAAATCACATGGGAGAGAATTAAGGCAAAGAGCTAAAGAGTTAATTTTTTTCTCAAATTAAAATATTTAATTTTGAGCTGTGATCCAGTGTGGGCTGCATTTTAATGCCCTTCTATCACCATAAACCATTCATCAAAGTCTGTTAAATGCAGCAGCTTTGTGGGAATGAAGAAAAAAAGAACTTTTCCATGCTCAGAGTTAAGCAGGTAGAGGTTGGACTGAGGAGGTAAATGGGTGACTGGAATTTGGAGCAGGAGGTGACAAAAATATAAGGCATCCCACCACCTTATCTCTTTCTTGGGGATTCTCAGAAATATTGAGATGGAGGCCCCAATTATTTTATTTGGATCTGAAATGAAAGAATAATCCAGGAACAATTTGGGCATATCCAGGTTTCATACTTAGGAACAATGAACCAACAATACAAAACCAATATTATCAGTAAAATGTCTGTTATCATGATAGTTTAGGGAATTCAGGCAACAGTGTTCGTGGTAAAAGACCTCAATTTTAAGTCATGGTGACACTACTAACTTGCTTTGTGACCTCAGGCAAGTCACAAACTCTGCAAATTGGGTCTCCTAAACTGTAAAAAGTTGAAGAATGGACTAGAAAAGCTCCGGTGTGTGTTGATTAGGTGGGCTGGAGTACTTAGGAGATGCTTCAGGAAGATGATTGGCACTTAAAGAGTTAAGATTTGGATAACTAGAAAGGAGGTGTGAGAATATTTCAAACATGACGAAGGAGCAACATCAGCAGAACAGAAATACATCAGTTGTGGTCATGGGCAGCTGTGCTCGTGGGTGAGTACATTCAAAAGCCTGCCTGGGAGGGTGGGAGAAAGCAGGAATGTTGACCGGGTCCTTGGATATCAGTTTTGTACTTTATTCTTTGGAGCAGACAATAGAATAATAAAATTATCCTTATATAGAGAATTTAAAAATGCTAGTTTTGTTCACCCCTCTTTAATTTAAAATTTTTAAAGTAAACAGTAGTTTGGGGAGATTTTGAGACTAAGTTTTTTTTATATAAACAGTAGTTTGGGAAGATTTAAAATCAGTTTACAGGATGGAATGATACTTGAAAGGGCTAAACTAGAGTGTGTAGGTAAGTTTGGAGATTCTTGAAACCTGAATTAAGATGGTGTTGGTGAAACTGAAGGAAAACATAGCCTGAGACATTGAGAAATGTGCATGTATTTCTCCCCGGCATACCCAGGGCTCCTCTGGTCAGTCTGTACAGGGATCTACCCTCAGTTGCAATGCCCTGAGCTCTGACCCCTGGGTCTAAAAATTGAGCTATTAATGACCAATAAATCATTTGGGAGGTTAATCTACAGGAAGGGTCAAAACAATTTTTTATTGTAAGTATAAAATGACCTTGGGTTATTATGTGATGTAATATTTTACATTAATTGCATAATTGAATATAATTTTGCAGATTATACCAACCAACAATGAACTCTAAATGACTTCACCAAAAGGGAAATCTTCACATTTTTTCTGGGAAAATATACATAAGATATCTATAAATCCAAAAGTTAGAGTATAAAATTATCCTTATATAGAGAATTTTAAAATGCTAATTTTTCTCACCCCTCTTTAATGCTTAGATATTTTATAGCAATTTAAAGACCTTAAATTACCCTAATCACTTATAAAAATAAATGCTTGGAAAGAGGAAATCCAAACTTAAATTTATAGTTAACAAAGCAAATTTATTTTAATGCGGGTACATTACATTCTCTTAACAACTCTGCCCTGGAATGAGACAGAGCTGGAAGTGAAGTTCAGGTCTACCCAAATGTATGACTCCATCTGTTTTCTAATAAACTTGGCCATCATCTTATAAATGTTAATTACCTTACCCCTTTTCCCATGCTCCTTTTCCTATCCCCCTTTCTCCCCACTTTATCTAAATCTTAAAGCTTTGAAGTGATCATTTTAGGTCAAATAATAGAAAAACCTCTTTCCATTATAAGTATTAAACACTTGGAATCTATTACTTTCAATGCTGGTACCATGATAAAAATGTGCATAGGTTCAAGAGTAGTTTAGAGATGTTACTGCATAATAGATATTTAAAAGCCTCTGAAGGAAAGGTAGTATTCTTAAAGTCTCAGAGAATAACACAAATTCCAACAACAGTCTCTTCTTGCCATCATCAGAGACATCAGGCCCTGGAGCTCAGATCTGACCAAGTGACGTATATCTCTAGTTCTAATATTCTTTAACAGCGTAATATAATGGGTGTCAAATATTCTTTTAACCCTTCTGTTGAGAAGTTATCATCACAATAGAAAATGAAAAAAAGCAGAAAACTCCGTATGTACAATTGAGGGGGAACTGGGAAAAAATTACATTTATTGTAGGCCAATTGTGTATCAAATGCCACAGTATCTATTTAATGTCCCAAACATAGCACAAGGTCAGTGTTTGTTCTCTCCATTTATAGAAAAGAAAAATGAGGCTTGAAAGGTTAAGAGAAACTTTTCAAGCATCAGATAGAGGTGGAAGAGTTGAAGCTAGAATGCAGATCTTAACCAATCCTTCCACCACTCCAAAGAGAAACTCTTATTAAAGAAGAAGAGGAAGAAGAAGAAGAAGGAGAAGGAGAAGAAGGAGAAGAAGGAGGAGGAGGAAAGAAAAGTAAAGATTGTCCAGTCATACAATTATTTCATTCACTGTTGTTTGAATAGAGCAATTGATATCTTAAATCAATCTGATCAACTGCACAAAAATGGTTGGATTATTTAGAAGATTTGATTGAAAACCAGTTGTTTCAGCGGTCATGTGTAGACCTGGACTTAATAAATGACCACCTTTGAGTCCCCCAGCTGAAAGAGAACAAAAGAACCCAGAGGCAAATCAATGGCAAATTGCCACCCCAAACAAATTGCAGTATGTAAGTTCTGAAACTTGAATTACCCTTCAAGGATTAAAGTTCAAGACTGTGAAAAATTAAAAATGTTGCCTAGCCTAGGAAATAGCATATGAATCAAAAATCTCATTAGTAAGCTTAATGGCACTCCTAATCTTCTACTTTCATGACATCTAAACTGTTTTGTTATTCTTAATGGACCAAATCCCCCTTCTGGTAATGTTCTGAAAATTCTATTTTTGTGGCAATTTAAAAAATCATATGGCATGTTCTTTATATTTGGTTTATGTAGGAGTTAAGACCACTTCAAACATACTTTTCTTTCTTTGTCAGATGGCTATTTAATATTGTGTCATTCACTTGTTGAAATAAAAGTAAGTTAATCTGCAGAAATACATGAACACCCCAAAAGGATTGAATTGTATGTTTGAGAAATGATATATTTTTTTCAAAGTCAGACATCAAAGGCTCCATATTCCAGAAAGTTTATTTTGAGAAGCTTCAGTCAAAACAGTTTGGGAACTATGAAATGAGTCATTTTTTCTTGAAGAAATGTAACTTTGTCTATTCCCACTGCATTTTTGGTTTGGTAGGAGACATCTTTATTCCACAGGATTTTAAAAGCATGTTTAAGATTCCATAGGTTTAGTATTACATCACTAATGGTTCCTAATGAGATCCAGGCAATAGCAAGACGGGGGGAAAAGAACACACAAAGGCTGAATTCTACAACACCAAGCACCATGTAAAATGTGGAAAAATCTCCATGCTTTATCTATTGCTGAAGCTATCTGGATAAAAAGGGGGCAATTCATATTCAATCAACCAGACATGTGGATGACATGATACCCAATGTTTGGCTCTTCACAACCAGTCATCTAACAGGCTGAATTCTTTACTTTTCACGCAGATGTTTGCTGCCCTGTGGGTACGGTCAAAATGAACCATGTAAATATCGAGATATTTTATTCATCCCATTCAGTGCTTCGGGCCTTAGCTACTTGTTTGGCTTTGTTCTCATAGGCATCTTTTAGATGAAAATTACAGAAATTTTCCTTTTGAGATGATATGTACGTACATATAGAGGCATACATCTTCCCCAAGCTTCCAGCAATTTTGCATTTTAAGGGGGCATGTGGAGGGACAGGTGGGGTGGGCAGGGTGACCCACGGAGAAGTCATTTTTCTACAGACCTATTCACCAATTTCATCTTAAGGCAATTCCACATTGTTGACTTGAGTACAGAGCTTCTACATGTAAAGTACTAAACTAGTTACAGTGGAGAGGCAGGGATAAATTAAAGCATAGTTTCTGCTTTCAAGGAACACATGATCTAGCCAGGGAGATAGAGGCAACTAACTATATCGCCAAATAGAACATAGAGTGTAGAAATATAATAGAAAAATGCAATGAATGAAAACCATACTTAATTCTCTTCAAATGAAGTAGAATAAGTTGTCTGAAGATTTGGGGAGGAAGTTTGAAAAGGAGATGGTAAGATGAGAGGTTTTAGAAATTTAAAATATTTTTATACAAGGAAGTATCAATGCCTTATTTACAGTGAGTGTTAGCATTCACTCAGAAAACAACTACAGAATATGTTTGAGATTCCAGGATTATGTTAGACAAGTTAGTATTTTTTTAACAAATGCATAACTTATTAAATTTTGTCGTTTCTTATGAAAAATCACTATATTCTGAATTCAACTGAAGAATAAAATTTGTAGATAGATACAAATGTCTTTCTTGTTTGACAAGTGAACTGATCAATTCATATCTTGTTCAGACAAGATATGATTCTAGAAATTCTAGAAAGTTTCCCTTCATCCCATTTACTCATTATCATTCACCAAATAAAGCAGAAATAACATTTTCTCACACATCTGGTAAACCTCTTTTGGGCCTAGGCATTGGCCCAAATAAAAGATAGCCAGCAGTCCCTCATGAAACAGAAAATTCTAGAAATAAAAATGTCTGATTTCTCTTCAATATATAACCTTAACTTAGCAAGCAGTCTCGTGCCCAAGATAATATAGACCTGTCCAAGGGTTGGCACTGTCTCCAAGAATTGGGTGATGTGCCACAAAGTTGTCAGCTGTTTTGTGATTTTAGACTCAATAGTTTTATTGAGACTTACCCCTATAAGTTTCTGGCCAACAAGAGAGGTCGGTGTGCCACAATTGAACGAATGCTTTAAAGAATTAATTGTTAAACCTTTGAAAGAAAAAAGGAAATCATAGATAGAAATGAAGAGAGAGAGAGTCAACTATCTCTCTCTATAAACATCTATCTCTTTTATTAAAATGTTGTTGACTCTTGGCGGGGCACAGTGGCTCACGCCTGTAATCCTAGCACTTTGGGAGGCCGAGGTGGGCAGATCACGAGTTCAGGAACCGGAGACCAGGTTGGCCAACATGGTGAAACCCCATCTCTACTAAAAATACAAAAATTAGCCAGGTGTGGTGGTGCGCACCTGTAATCCCAGCTACTCAGGAGGCTGAGGCAGGAGAATCACTTGAACCTGGGAGGCAGAGGTTGCAGTGAGCCAAGATTGTGCCATTGCACTCCAGCCTGGGTGACGGAGCGAGACTCTGTCTCAAAAAAAAAAAAAAAATGTCGTTGACTCTTTTAAAAAGTTAACCCCAAAAAAGTATAAAGAACATTAAAAAAAATCACCTATATCTAGCACTCAGAAATAAATTGTTAACATTTGGTGAACAAAATTCTGGATATCTCTAAAATTATAAAAATAGATGGATAGGTAGAAATAGTTTTATAAATGTAGTCTAATATTTAGAAATATTACTTACAATAATTTAACAAAGAGAAACAGCTTCAATGATAGAAGTTGATGAACTAAAGATAAATGTTTCTTTACAATGAGATATGGGTTTTTAAAAGTTAAAATTATGAAAAAAACTAAAAGACTGGGCTTGTTGTTGTTTTAACTACAGATATTATCACTAGACATTATCTGAATCCCTACTATAAAGCATAGGGAAATTTGTACACTTACTTTTTTTCTTACAGTCTCTTTCTTCTCTATTTAAAAAATTATATTATTATTTTACATTGCCAAGGTATGTAACATTTACATGGTGTAATCACAAATTCCAACAGTTGCTTAGCTTTCATTTTATAATTGAGTCAGTTACGCATAAACGTAATCTAAGTTTAATAGAAAACAACTGCATTCTAGCCTCTAAGGGGAAGTAAATAGTTTGCATCATTTTTCTCCTCCCCTCTCCTTCACTGTTTACTGTGGTTTCATGTTACCATTAAAATTTTTCTAAGGAATGTATCCCTTTGTCCATATGTTATATTGTTAGTCTTTTAAAAAATCTTTTAAAATGATGGAAATGCTAATATATATTTTGAAGTCAACACTTCCTACAGTCCACGACCACCCCTTGCTACCCACCATGTCCCCTAGAATAAAATATTTGACCAATATGTCAGAGTATCACATAGATTTTTCCTTTGAAATTGGGCATCTAGCATTTATGGAAAATCTCATTTTAAAAGAGATTAATTTTTAAATGATATTAATTACTAAAGGTGCAAGGTAGTCCTTCAGAACATCTCAACATTTGTAGTGGGTAAAGTGTAGACAGAAAGACTTCTTCCAGGAACAGTGAAAATGATTTTTCTCCTTGTAATATGACGTTACTTCAAATATTTTGTATATCTTATAATGCTGTCTGGATAAGATCACCCAACATCTAGACTTTCAAGTATCTTTCAGCAGCTTTTAGACCGGAAGCATTTTATCTGGTGGATTAAATGTGTTCCACCAACTTCTACCCATGACAGATTTCTCCTAGATTTTATTTTTCACCTTTTTGACAACATACAACTGAATATTTTACCATGGAAACCAACAGATTCAGGAGTAAAATGTCTCCAGGGGCAATTTTAAGCATAGCTTTTAGGTCATTGTCCATCTATACGTACAAGATCATAGATCTGTCAGTTTAATCTTCTTACAATGTAGACAGACCACCCTCATCATTATGGGCTGAAAATTACACTGAGAATATGTCTTAGAAGTTTCTGGTTACCATCTGTGTAGACATGAACTCAAAATTCTCTCTTAGATCTGAATTTCCATGAAAATCCAACTAAAGTGAATAGAAGGGTGAAAAAAGAAGCACATTAACAAAATTTCAAAACCATGCCTGATTTTCATTAGATCCATTATTTCAGTTTCCATTCTCTTTTAGCATATACATTTATAGGCCAGTGTGTATTTTCATGGCTATCTTCATTGTTTTCTTAAAACCAGGGTTTTGTTTGTTTGTTTGTTTGTTTGTTTTGTTTTTGAGATGGGATTGTCACTATGTTGCCTAGGATGGAGTGCAGTGGCACAATCATAGCTCACTACAGCTTTGAACTTCTGGGCTCAAGCATTCCTCCTGCCTCAGCCTCCCAAGTAGCTGGGACCACAGGCACGTGCCATCACATCTGGGTCAGGAGCTAGAGGGTTTACGTATAGTCATCATTGGGTACTAAAATGTTTTTTACAAGGGCTTCTTAGATGCTGATTGAATTTCCCAAAGCTTGGTAGAGATGATTTCAATACATTGGACTGGGTTGAGGTTGTAAAGATAGTTAAACACTTTATTAAGCCATCTGGAGCATCCCAAACATTAAGGCATGGATAACATAAACAACGCATACATATTAAGCATTTCCTGTGTGCTAGACACAGTGCTAAGCAAAAAGCATGCAATTGTAAACTTGAGCGGTATGGCCCAAGTTCTATTAGGCTTGCAGTCCAGTAGGGATGTCAATATTAAATATTACAATGTGGTGTGATAACCCTGCTCTGGAGAGGGTATCAGGAATTGTCAGGGCACAGAGAAAGGTAATAAGTCAAACTTGAGTCTGTTAAGCTTTCCTTAGGAAGTGGTATCCTAAGGTGAGATGTGAAGGAAGACTAGGAGTTAGGTCAGCAAGAGGCCATGGAATAGAGTGGAGAATGCTTCTTAATTCCGCAGAGACTGTCATTCATGTTCTAGCATGTTCTACAACTCCAGGCCTTTTTTTCTTGCTCCTGGGCCTCACGACGGTTCTTACTTCATCTAGTCAGGCTCCCTGTTCTCAGTTGCTCTTGCCTTGTGTGAAATCAGAAACACTCGCAGAGGAAAGAGGAGAGGAAATTAGTCTGGGATTTTGGATCTGGTTTAGCGTGGCCAATTTGGATTTTCCTGTGACTGAACAGGATTGAAATCTCTACCTCACACCCATGGCACCCAGTCTCCTGTGTTTTCCTCCTAAAGTTTTCCATTACAAATAAACAAAAATGTTGGCATGTGAACTACTGCCACTGGTTGACTGCTTGGTTTCCATCTTGCAGTATGTCATAGACACCAACTTCACATCATGTCCAGCTGCCTCTCGGAGCTCGGCTGCCCACAGAAGCTCTGGCGCAATGGTGGGTCATTGAGTTACATTTTCCAGTGTGGAGTGATAATTGCAAGATTTACTGAGCAGAGAAATATGACCCATCAAATTCAGTCTAAAAATAATTTTTGCTCTGAAAAAGAAAATCGAATTACCTTGCTCTTCACTATGAAAAATTGGCTTCATCTGGGTCAAGAGACATGGAACCTTTCTTTGAAGTAGACCCTACATTCCAAAATATCACTGGCAAACTCTGGGGCCTGCTTCTGATTAAATAATTGACATAAACCTCCGCCGAATAAACACTGAACCCTTCAAAAACAGAGAAGTAAATGAAAAATAAAAATGCATCTATGCTTTAAGTAGAAGATCTTCTGCAATAATTTGTTACCAGAAAGCAATTTACTTTTCCTTTTGTAAACCAGCATTAAAACCTAAGAAGAAAGCACACTGGGTGAAACTCTAGTTGAAACTTCGAAATAGTCTTAAATCTATTCTACATATTATCAGATTTAATGTTGACCTTAAGAGAGTGCTTCCATATTTATGGTTTGCTATCTTATCCCTCAAAACTAAATTTATTACTCATAGAATATGAAGCTTAAAAAGTAAAATATTGTATTTTCCTGAGAATATTTTGGTCTTTAAATTGACAACAGTATAAATACATTGTAAGAAAAAAAATAGCAACCCAACTGTGTGTATGTATACCTTGCCTCTTTCTTCAAGGAATGCTATCTGTGCATATAAAACTCAAAAACAGTTAACCAAGAAATAAAGAAAAAGAGTAAACTCTTTTGGGTTTATTACAGATGAGGTTATAACAAAATGGGCTGACGGCAAGTGTGACAAAAAGTATTGTTTGAAAATTCTAAATCTTGTTGCCACAAAACTGTGACTTTTTAGAAATATATGGGGAAATTTTATTGTAATAGAATGGAATTGAATTTATTGAAATTTTATTGTAAATGAATAAAATTTTGAAGAGGTCTTCAATAATGGAATGAGTAAGATAATTACTACTTCACTTAGCTTTCTAAAAACTTTGCACCAATGGATTTCTGCCTTCCCAGATGATTTTTTTCTCGTTTAGCTTTTGTATACTTTGAAAAATAGAACAATGACTTTGTTCTGTCCTTCATAGGTTGGGATTTATAAAAATGATTTTGTGTGCCTCTGCAAAATGTGGAGAAGTACTGAATAAACAACAAACAATCAGGTGTTCTTCAGTTAAAGGGACAGTTTTTAGAGGAACCCCGTGGTTGTAATGAATTATTTCTTGTTTTAAAAAGACCTTCTTACCTGAATAACGTTGTGAATCACACGAATGTCAATTTCTTGGGTTTTGGTATTGCACTGTAGTTATGCAAGATGTTACTACTGGGGAAAACTGGGTACCTGGGACCTTTCTATACTATTTTGTAACTTCCTGTTAATCTTTTACTTTATTTCAAAATAAAAATGTTTAAAAATGAAAAAAATTAAAATAAATGTCAGTGGTCAAAAAGAGCAAATAAAGAAAAAAGTCCTTTCTAACCAGCTCAAGAGGGTGTATGTCCATATGTTGAGATTCTGTTTGTTAAATATAAGTCTTCTTTTAAGGTAGTCTTGTAGAAGCTCTTAGCAAGCTTGCCTACCTTGCATTCCTCCAAAGATGCACTCTTTACAATTTTGACCATAAAGGAGAATAGCAGAGATAAAAAATTTAAATAAAAATAAAACCGAAGCAGTAACAACATCCTAGCAAATGGGAACAGCTCTCCGTTGGTCTGTGCTCTACAATACTATTATAATATTTGTGACAACAAGTAATCCAATTCAATGAATTGTCTCTAATCCTCTGACAGCTACTTTTCCAAAAACAGAAGACATAATTTTTTAATAAAGCCAGGAAGGAAACAGGTTTCACAAGAGAAGTTCAAGAAGACTGAAGCTCATTGTTCTACCTTCTGACACAGTAGAGTCTCACCTATTGAAGCCATGGGATTGTCAATGAAATGTAACTAGTATGGGAAACAGTGGAAATGTCTTCTCCAGTGTCTATTTGAATACATTGATCCTATGATGGCACAGTTCACTTCAAAGTGTGCTTACTCCCTACATTTTACCCATTCGCCTGGAAACTTCTAAAATCCTCTGACCAGCTCAGTCAGAGCAACAGCATAAGCATAAATCTTCCAAATGAGTTAATGTTGCATATACAAAACAGTCTACTGATTGCTTAAATTGGCTGAAGAGAAAGGGGCTATTCAGGAATAGGTTTGGTTTCTGAGCATGTACACATGATCTAAGAATGATGTCATAAGCTCTTTCAAATATTTTGGGGTAGCTTTTAAATTGCAGACTAAATGGAACTAGTCAAATTCGCACCTTTTCCAGCATGTGAAAATTAATAAGTGGAAAATCCAAGAATCTAGCAATTTCCTTCAATAAATGGCTGCCAATGGACAAACTGTGAAGCTCTTGGATTGACATGGCCCCTGTGTTCCTCATCCTTACTTGATGCAGTGCTAGGGACACATCTATTGATTTGCAACATCACATTATATAATCAGACACTGAGATAAATTCCAATTTGACATAAAATTTAGCTTTTTTAAAGCCTATAGTCCATATTTGTGCATAACAAACTCTTGCATGATTCCAGAAAAATAAAATTTTAAAGCTGGAGATGACTACTCCTGGAGGGAAGTTATACAACTGAACTAAATTAGTAAAACTTTAGATAGGCTGAGTGAAAGCAGGATAGCACTGAGCAAAACAAATGTTCTGGATCTAGTTAAGAGGAGACAAGACAAGTTCACAAGTGAATGACCCTGGTTATCACAATTGCTATTTTGAAAGAAAGATTCTTAAGGAATTGATATTTTACAAAGGGGATATATGCCAGTTCGAGGATAGTTTTTAAAAAATTAATAGGCTTTGTTTTTCAAAGGATAGATATCTTAAAATGTTTTATTTGATAATTGGTTCTTTTGAGAATATTGTATATTTGTAAATGGTGGTAAGTATTCTGTCTATATTTTCATTTTCTCTAAACACCAAATTTCTCAGTTCCACTAATTCATTGAATTTTTCAGTTTAGTAAAAATCCTAGGCCTTGCTAGCTTCCAGAAGATAGGTAAAATTTTGGTATAGGACCTCATAGGCTCAGCTAAACATTCCTTCAACCTTAAAAAACATGAGAAATGGTTTAGAGGGTCACCCCTCTAAACAGTGAGACTTCAGATAGGTGAATGATATCATTACAGTGCATCAGAGCTATACAGCCAAAACCATGTTTAGTAAATATTCACAAAGCAAGAGTGACATGTACCAAAACCCCAAGCAGAGTTTTCCTTATCCAAGAACAATGACGGGAAACTTCTCCAGGAGGCACTGGGACTGGGAAGTCCCACTAGCACTGGGGAAAAAAGAGGCAGAAATTCTACAACTTGAGGACCAGCCGGAGAGACAACATGGAGTATATGTTCTCCTTTCATCTCTTCTTGTTCTTTGTGTCACAGACATACAAGCAATTTGATAGTTGCTTCTCAGACAATATGCACAGCCTAAATTCCAACCATATTAGTGTGTGTTGGGTTCTAACCCACTTCATCCCCAAAGGCCAGCTAGAGTTGCAGCAATCCTTGGCATCACTTGTCCGGACATGATGAGGACACAGTCACCTAAGGGACAGCAAGCAACCTAGTCAAAAGTACTGTGGCTGGCCCATGCTCCTGACATAAGAAATGAAAAGCTAGACCACGGCAAAACTGAGAATAAAGGGTAGGAAGCAGGGGCCAATGTAGGCCAATCCCAAAATCTAGGAAGCCACAGTTAAAGACTCAGATTCAGGGCTTGAAAGGAACCTAGATGTCACGTGATCCAGCTCCCTTATTTTACAGAGAAGAAATTCAAATTCAAACTGGGGGAGGCATTTATCCAAGGACACTCAGTCAAGACCAATACCCAGGTTTCTTGACTCTGTTGAGTGTTAATTCCAGGAGTCAACAGGCAAACAGTGAATCAACAATCATAGAGAGACTGTTGCTTCTTTTCCAACAGGGGTGTGCCTTCACTCTTTATCTGACCTTCTTCTGGATACAGCAAACACTTGTGGACCAGCTGCACTGAAGCATTAAACAAGGTATGGAATAAATAGCATCTTCCGTAGGGTTAGAGGAATGAAGGTGGTCCCCAGGGCTTTGTGTGCTCTTAGTAACCAACTCCTTCCCAAGCCTCCAATCAACCTCAGTAGAAAGGGAAAGGGAGCCCCAGAATTCTGTGTGTTCTTGGAAGGAAATCCCTCCACAGCAGTCCCAGTCTCACCACTACACTCTTCATGAGAGACCACTGGGACTGACTGCATGATGCCTTACATTCTGCAAGACCCCCAGGACTTCCAGCTCCTTGTGGAACCCCTACTCCCACAGCCAACTGGCTCTATGCATCTCCTGCTCTGACCCAATGTCTTTCCCCTTTCTGATTTCTCTGGAACTCCAGATAAGTCATTAGCCAAGACCCTGTATCTCAAACTCTTCTTTGAATGTTCCCTGCAACTTCATGCTCTATACTTCCTCTCGTGATTTATAGCTCTTCCGACAGCTTCCATACCCTTTGTATCACAGAGCCTGGAAGTAGACGCAATTGTCTCCTTGCTCCACAGCTATATTCCTTCCTGAAAATATTATCCTCTACCCCTCCTTGTTGCAGTCATTTCCTGATCCCTGCATTACTTCCCTTCATTTCTAGATGTTAGCTCCTGGTTTTAACTCTTTCCAATGCTACTTCTGCCATAATTCTCAGCGATTTCAACATTCATGTCTGTGATCATTCTAATACCCTGGCCTCTTAGTTCCTTGGGCTTCTGTCCTCCAATGATCTTGTGTTCCCACATGCCTCAGCCACCCACCGTCCTTTACCAGCTGACATCCCCTGATTCATCACTCTAAACACTGCTCTCCATGTAGCAAGCAGACAGGAAGCTAAATCCAGCTGGAGGAAAACACGCAGCTAAGCTAAGTGCTTTTACTTAAAATTTGTTACCAGTAATGTCAACTGGGTCCTTAGTGCTACCTGGCAAGTCTGCTGTTTCCCAAGTCCAAACATCCTCTGTTGCCTTGAAGTCTCCAAACCTCCTGCTTCCCTAACCTAGTCTTAGTTGAAGAATTTGCTTCCTTATTGAACTGAGAAAATAGAGGCAATCAGATAAGAGCATCACAGGCTTCTACCATCATATTTTCCAATATACTTACAGCTGAATCTGGATAGTTTGTCTTTACTCCTGCAACGATGCCTGATTTGTCCATGCTCCTATTGAAGGTCAACCCTACTTAGCTCTAGGTTTCATGCTCTCTTATCTACCCAAGGACATTGCTCTAGCAATTGTCACCTCTCTTATGCATCATCAATGATCTCTTTCTACTAGATTATTCTCATCATCATACAAGCATGTCAAAATATATCTAGTCTTAAGCTAAAAGAAAAAAAGAAATCTTCATTAAACCCATACAACTCTCCAGCTCCTATTCCAATCCTCTGCCCCTCTTTCAAAAAAAATTCTGAAAATGTTGTCTCTATTCACTGCTCCGAGTTCTTTTCCTCCCATCTTCTGTTGAACCCATGCCAATCAGGCTTTTTCTCTACCATCCTTGATGCTTTTCAAGATCATCAATATTTCTACATTGCCAAAGCCAATGATCAATTCTCAATTCTCATCTTAATTAATACATGAGCGTTTGACACAGTTGATCACTTCCTTCTTTTGGAAGTCCTTTCTTCATTTGGCTTCTAGCACATCTCACCCTCCTGGTTCTCTTTCTGCCCCATTGGCCACTCTTCTCAGTCTCCTTTGCTGGTCTTTACTCTGACCTTTAAATGTTGGAAGACCCTAAAAATTATCCTGGGACTGAGCTCCTCTATCTAATAACTCACTGGCTTGGTCTCGTCTTGTCTCTTGGCATTAAATACCATGCAAATGCCTGACTCCCAAAAAAATATATTCAGGACCTCTTCCCTGAACCCCAGACTTGTATATCCAACTGCTTATTTAACAATTCCAATCAAATGCCTAATTGTTGTGACAAATATAAAATGTTCAAAGCTGAACTACTGACTTGCACTCCCATAGTTCCTCCTTGTATGTTCTTCCTAAGTTTGGTAAATGAAAACACCATTATTCCAGTCTTTTAGACCAAAAACCTTGAGCTCATTTTTTTTTTTTTTTTAACTATTCTTTCCAGTGGTGCGCTGGTAAATGGATAATAGCAGTCTCTCATCTCTGAAGGGTGGGAAGTAGGAGAAGGCCTACTTCCTTGTGTAAACACTCCCGATATTGTCGATTTCTAGCTATAAGAATGGGCCCACTAAGTGGTCCTTGGAAACAGCACACACAAAATCAATTAAACCCCAATTTTGCATTCTGCTTATTCAGTCATTCTGTGTAGTTCCAACTTTGGGAGAAGTAGTTACAAGAACTCGAACCACATTCTTCTTTCTTTATAGAAAATAATAACTTTCTACCACATGAAGCTAGGTGGCTAAAGAGATTATCATAAGAAGCAGGAGAGTAATGGTAGCATGCAGCTTATAGGGAACATTTCCTATGACATTCTCAGTAACAATTTGTTCTCCAAAAAATGGCTAATTGCAAATATTTGATAAGTTGTTAAAAGTTTTCCCCAAACCTCCAAACCCTAGGGAAGATAGAGTGTTCCCAGGCCAGACAAAAACCTTTTAACCTTAAGTCCCTTAAACATAAATATGTTGCCAAGATGCCGAGTGGATATTTAAATCATCCACTTCCTGTTTCAGTGCTATCTCTCTGTTTTGGAGAAGGACCAAATATGTTTCATTCCTTTTGGCACTGCTTTCTTCATTTAAAAACGATTTATACTTTAGGGGTTTTGACTCCAGGAAAAAAAAATAGCACATATTTTGGATGTCACATTCTTAATGTTTTGACCCTTTCAAACAAAAACACACTATTCTGTAGCCAGTGGGGTGAGAGAACCAGATCGGGGTAGAACATGTCCAAATGGGCTTCTAAGTAACAAGTAAAGAGGGAAAATTGGCCCACCTACAATAATTTGTTTAGGAAACATTAAAAATAGCCCATTAAAGACACAGATTTTTACTAGATCGCTTGTAAATAGTTTTGTTTAAATGTAATTTAAGAGCATCTATCTAAGTATTTCCATTGTGCCTGAGTTATCAGTTAATTAAACTTCAAGTGTGATGAAAACACATCCAGGACTAGTTTTAGGAGACTTTCACTAAAATGAAGAGAGCTAAACAGAAGATTCTGAATGATGTATTTTGGACAGGGAGGGTTCTTTGAAGGTCCTCAACTAGCATAAGGATTGGTGAGATGTGAGCAGGGATAATTTCGGAGTATCCTGAATAGCTTTTTAACACAGTCCACTACCATTAGCCTGTATAGTTTGGAAAACTGTCCAGTTGATTCTGATTGTACTCCAGACCCCTGCCCCCAGTGAAGACTCCCTAGTGAGGCAGGATAATATTAGAAGTGTTAGTACAGTGTCAGTAAACAACCCTTTCTTCAATTAATTGAATTCAGTTCGATTCAGCATTTGTTGAGCCTCTGCTTTGTGTTTGATGCTGTGTTCGGCACTAGAATTGAGGGCAGGATATACAAGGATCAATAAAAATTGTTCTTGCCTTTTAATGAAGTAGGGAGATGAGAGTAGTAAACCCTATTGGTCAGATATAATACACGGAGGTTTGTGCTGTGGCAACCCAAAAGGAGAACCATTTATTCTCACTGGGGCAATAAGGAAGTGGTGGAGGTATATGAGCTGAACCTTGAATTATGGATTAATTTTCAATCAGTACAGAGTGAATGGAAAAGCATCCAAGACCAATGAAACAATTTGCCTGGCTGACAGCACATGTTGATAGACATGTGCTTGGGAAAATCTGTAGGCAACTTGGGTGGTTGGCCATTCCTCCATGGCCCAGGAGTTGCCAAGAGGCTAACTCCCACACACCTAGCTGCTGCATCGTCAGCTAAAAGAGGATGGGAGGCATTCTCAGACTGAGAATGCAAAGGCTGAGCACAGAATGAAGGCTTGAGCAGGCCTCACAGGTAAACTTTGGGTTTTATGAAACTGCTGCCGTTTCAAAAATTGGCCCACACTCATGTGGGTGCAGAGAAAGAGAAGATCTTCAGCTATCATGGGAGAAACCCTAAAGATAAAGTCAATGGTTTGATCCTCTGATGGCCAGTTCAATGGTTGTTGTAGCTCTCTCCCCAGGGAGCCATCACACAGGGGACACTCTTGTCCCAGGGTGCTAGGCAGGAGGATATTGACTCTTTGAAAAACAGCATGCATGTACCCTACTAATAGTGAGCTCATAATACATATTCTTATACATGAATTATGATATAACTAAATAAAGGGCAAATAGATCCTCCATCAGCTGTAATCTGCCAGGTGTAATCTGGCAGTTCAAAGGTGTACCAGAAACTGGAAAAATGTAGGAAACACTAATTAAGACAGCTGAGAGTAACCTATTGGCAGATTTGCTATCTCCGACCACTGATTTATTTCATATGAGTAGGATTTAAGTCAATTCACTGAAAATGCAGGATTGGACCAGTTGGGTTGATTAGGCAGCAGTTGGCAACTAGTCCCAATATGTTCACTTTTAGTAAGCATTTATGATCCTTAAGTTTATGCTACCTCTGAGAATAATATTAATCAACTTAAATACTTTTATAAAAATTCAATATCTACAAAGTGTTTTGGTGACCTTACTATTTCTGTAAGTCATCCAAGATTCCTTTTAAAAGTTTATAGTCTTTGGTTTTCTAAATATTGTCAAAAGATGGGGGAAAAACCCTTAAACTCAAGGGTGTTCTTGTGGAATTTGGCTCCCATGTCCCATTTCTGTCTGTATAGCTTAATTTTTTTTCTAGCAATGAAAATATGTTCTCATCACCTCTGCAATACAAAGCTGAATGTTGGCTCACAGCCTTTTGTGATTGTGAGTAAGCCGTCAAGGCATTAATATTTTAGGGCTCCAAAGTTGATTTGAGGGAATTTTAATCTTATTTTCTTTGTTTTCCAATGTGACTACCCTAAACCTCTCTTTTCATGTTGGAAAATAAAAAATGACAGATATGACTAAAACTGACAATAAAAACATACACAATTATACCTTGCTGAATGCACATTTTGTTCTAGATGGAGTTCTCCTGGAAAAGACATGAGCAGAATGTAACAAACATATCAGCTTAGTTAAAACTTTGTGGCTACAAGAGGAGGGAACTGATATTTATCCAGCCTCAACAGGCAGTGGCTAAATTATTTATATTATTTCATTTAGTTCTTATAACTCCCACCCCTCACCCCTATCTTTTAATGGATGAGGAAATGGAAGCGCAAAGGATTCAATATTTTATCTAAGTTCTCACAGCTAGGACAGACCCAGTGACTTTTGTATTACAATGAAGTTCTCTCTTATGCATCAGTTCTGACCCGTCAGCTTCAGCTGCCCAAAATACTACATTAAAAAGAATTTTAAAACCATAAAAATTTAAAAGAATTTAAAACCATGATTCATTAGCAAGAGCCCATAAGCAGGATTGTAGTACGTATACTACCTGTGTCCCCGGTATTGTACTACAGTGTCTCTCATGAACTTTTACTGGTAATTTCAGCTTAAAAGTAGGGTGCTGGGAGGAATATAAAATCCTCATGGATTCTAGCCTTCATATTCTTTCCTTAGTAAATATAGATATTCTATGAGATAGTCTCTCCCCTGGTTGTACTATTTTCTTAACATTAGTTTATTTTCATCCTAAAATATTCAACTACTTTTTTATCCCTTGGCAATGAGCCCCTCATCACCTAAGAGTTGGCTCAGCATTGTCACCAATGTTATACTGTTGAAAATTTGTTTTAAAATACTTCAGTGCAGACAATATATGTAAATTAATTCTAATCTGCACCCTAGGAACTGTTAGCATATGAAGGACTCTAGTCAGGAGTACACACTCCAGAAAGCCTAAGATTGATGTTTTCAATATCATTCTCTAAATCCTGAAGGTCTGCAAATTGGCATAAAGGACAGAGAAATAATGCTTCACCAGGCAAATGAGTGGGTGTTCAATATATGTGATTGGATTGGATAGAAAGACTTATTCAGGCATCTCCATCCTTGTGTGTACAGGGATTAAGAAATCTGACAAACCCAGCATTCAGAGGCGTGCCATAGATCTAGGATTCTATTCAGGCCTGTGCCCATTTAATGAAACTTTCTGGCCTGACTAGAACATGAGCTGGCTCTGCCATTAGAATATTGTAACTTTTGCCAGGGAGTGGATCTTTTGCTTAAAGTGCAAAAGCACTTGTCAGAGCACTTTAAAAAATAGAATGGGGGCCAGGTGGTGGCTCATGCCTGTAATCTCAGCACTTTGGCAGGCCGAGTTGGGAGGATCACTTGAGCCCAGGAGTTCAAGACCAGCCTGGGCAACATAGTGAGACGTTGTCTCTACAAAAAGTAATTAAAAAAAAAATTAGCCCAGCATGATAGCACATGCCCAAGGCCCCAGCTACTCGGGAAGCTGAGGTGGGAGGATTGCTTGAGCCCAGGAGTTGGGAGCTGCAGTGAAACATGATTGCACCACTGTACTCAAGCCTGGGCGACAAAGTAAGACCCTGTCTCAAAAAAAAAAAAAAAGATGGAATGGGGACTTTACCAAATGTATGGAACAGGCTTTGTAATTGTTTTTATGCCTATTTGTTTCATGTGTGGCAGAATTTAGTCTCTGAGACTTGTTTCCATTGTAACATATCACCTGGTATTGAGGTTATCTGGGAGGAAATGGTGCCTACATCTAAAAATTGGAGATAATCGGCCGGGCACGGTGGCTTACGCTTGTAATCCCAGCACTTTGGGAGGCCGAGGCAGGTGGATCACCTGAGGTCAGGAGTTCAAGACCAGCCTGGCCAACATGGTGAAACCCCGTCTCTAATAAAAGTACAAAAATTAGCTGGGCATGGTGGCGGGCACCTGTAATCCCAGCTACTCAGGAGGCTGAGGCAGGAGAATTGCTTGAACTAGGGAGGCGGAGGTTGCAGTGAGCTGAGATCGCTCCACTCCAGACAACTGTGAAGAGGCAGATTGGCTTAGGTCATTTCATAACACCAGTTATTATGAGAAGTCTAGTACAGACCTCTTCTTCCTCCACCCTCTTCATGCTCCCCCATATTCCAGGGTTATTCACTGGAATGAAGGAAAATAAGCTGTTTAAGAGCCAGAACCCTACAATTCTAAGCCACTAGACTCTAGCCTGGGGGAGTGGGGTGAGGGTAGGAGCAATTTATCCTTCTTGAGTTTAGAAACTGGTCGGAGATGTAATTAAAGGCCCCCTGTAGCTAGTAATAAAAGGAAGTTTGACACAGAACAGTACTGATAGGGAAAAATAGAAATCATTTCTTCTTTATACCCCCAGTGAGTTGAGACTCCTCAATAAACCAGTCATGGTATCATGGAAAGAATGTTGCATGGTTGTGCCAATGTTTTAATAGATATAAAATCTGAGGTCTTCAGGTCTCATATTCTTCAAATCCTCAAGGAGCAATATTTCCATTTTTCCCATTACAAGACTCATTTCTATTTAAAAGGTTGAGCATGGAAAAATAGAAATTAGGACCAGGGGCTAAGTCCTCTGCCCATGATGATGCTTCTCCACTTGCATACAAACTGAGAATCTTCCTCCGACCACAGCTGTCATGTCTGAAATTACCTTCAAAGCTAAATCTCCACTAGATAATTTAATTTTCCTCAATTAATAATGCAATCTGAATGAATAAATAGGTGAAATTTGGGGGAAAAATGATGGCAATGGTTATTAAGATAGTCCAAGGCAATCTGTTTCATTTACTAGATCTACTCTTTGGGAGCCATGTTGTGACAGGAAAAACTACCAGAAAAAAATTCTCCTTTGACCACCATGTTACACTAATGGACAGATATAGAAAAATAAGTATTATAAAAATTCTAACAGGAATTTTTTTAACAGAAAAAAATTGTTGGCGAAGGATTGATAATATACACACAAGCAAACCGAGGCACTATAATTTACTGATTGCTCTCAGAGTCCAGAATTCTGAATCAATAACTTTAGACTTTTGGTCAATATGGACTAAGCAGATCCAAGAAGCATTTCTACTCTGCTTCAAATGCATAAATGTTGCAGAAAAAATAAGCAAAACATTTACAAACAACACTTAAATGAGCTTGTAAGCAAGAGAAGAACATCTCCAGGTTCCAGAATACAGAGGAAACTCAAAGACAGAGAAGTTGGCCTGAGTTAAGGGTATGATAGCATTCATTGGTAACACGGCAGAAAACTGGAACTGAGCGCCTGTGTAAAGCCACAAGCTAGAAAGGTGGCATTTCATCTACGAACACAAATGGAAACCCTCTACCCATGACAGCCTACTAATGAGGAAGCTAAACCGTGGGCTGGGGGGAGAAAAACCCCTTTTTGTGGGAGGGAATGGGAAGCAAATATGAACTATCTGCTTAGGAATTCCAGCCAAGACACTGATGTGAAACATGGCCTAGAACCAGTGAAACTGACAGGGCCTACCAAAGGCAAATGGGGAAACTATGCCATGGGGATGGCTCTGCAATGCAGGTAATGCCCTAAGACTTCTCAGAATGTTGACCCTTTGCTTACAACTCAGAGGAAGAGTTTTGGAAAATCTTCTTTGGGGCCGGGTGTGGTGGCTTACACCTGTAATCCCAGCACTTTGGGAGGCCAAGGAGGGTGGATTACTTGAGGTCATGAGTTCAAGGCCAGCCTGGCCAACATGGGGAAACCCTATCTCTACTAAAAATACAAAAATTGGCCGGGTGTGGTGGCACGTGTCTATAGTCCCAGCTACTCGGGAGGCTGAGGCAGGAGAATCACTTGAACCCAAGAGGCAGAGGTTGCAGTGAGCCGAGATCACACCACCACACTCCAGCCTGGGTAACAGAGCAAAAAGAAAATCTTTGGATAAACTTGTTCAAGAAAAAGGATCTAGAGATATGGGTATTTGGAGATTGCCATGGGAAGAAAGATAACTGGCCCATTTTCTGCCAGCCAGCACTCCTGAACCCATAGCTTTTAATCAGCTTTTTACTGCCTTGCTCCTATATATGGACAGACAGCCAAGGATCACCAGGATTCTGAGGGAAGAATGAAAGACAGAGACTAGCACAAATAATAGAAAACAGGAACACAGAGAAAACTCAGATAAGGCAGGGGCAGAAAGGCACTGAAAATATAAATGATATTTCCAGGGGCATAGAGAACTACTGTATCTATGAAAGAGG
Source organism: Homo sapiens (assembly GCF_000001405.40). Lineage (NCBI taxonomy): Eukaryota > Metazoa > Chordata > Mammalia > Primates > Hominidae > Homo > Homo sapiens. The sequence continues at coordinate 134,805,454 of NC_000007.14, read as the reverse complement.
ATCAGGATGTTATAAAAAGAAATGTTCAACAACAACAACAACAAAGAACCCTTAGAAATTAAAAATACTATGGCTAAAAACAATATATAGCCAAAGTTAAGGAAACTCTCAAAAATTAGAATAAGATACAGAAAAGTAGAATATAGTTAAGAAAATACAAAATCAGAGAGTTGGTTTAGGAGGTTCAAGCTCTCAATAATTCAGTGACAGAGGAGACTGTGTGTATCAGAACATGGGAAATGAGGAGAAGGAAATTATCACCAAAATTATATAAGAAAATTTCTAACTATAAGATGTGTTTTTCTGGATTGAACAGGCCCATAGTATTCAGAATGAATAAAAATCCACAAACTGTCTCATCTGGGCTTGTGGCCCCCACCCAGGAGCTGACTAAGCTCAAGAGGACAGCTTCTACTTCTATGATTTCATCTCCGACCCGACCAATCAGCACTCCCAACTCACTGGCCCCCTACCCACCAAATTACCCTTAAAAATTCCCATCCTGAGTTATCAGAAAGACTGATTTTAGCAGTAATAAAACTTTGATCTCCCCTACAGCCGGTTTTGAATGAATTACTCTTTCTCTATTGCAATTCCCCATCTTGACAAATCAGCTCTGTCTAGGAAGCGGGCAAGGAGACCCTGTTGGGAGGTTACAGTGCAGGTATGTTTGGGGAAGTTTTAGGAAAAATGATTTCCAGCCTAGAATTCTATGCCCAGCCAATAAATTAATCAAGTATGTCTTAAATCAAAGATACTAAAAACAATTAAGTTCTAAGAAATGTTGTCGTCCCTGGACGCTTGTTCAAGATGCTCTTAGATAATCTTCTTCATCAAAACAAGAGTATAAAGAAGGAGGAATAATGGGAACCAGGAAATGGAGGATTCAAATTTCAGCCCACATACAAAGGAAATTCCTTTCAGTCCTAGGAAGGAAATGCCTCAGATGACTGTGAAGTGAAGATTTAGAACAGCAAGCTGTGCACCAAACCTAGAAAATGCCAAGAAGTTTCCAGAAAAGTCTCTTTAAAGAAAAATAATTGACAAATTACCTGATGTGTTTGACTGTATTAAAAAGGGTTTGACATTCCTGTCAGATACCCTGGGGCAGGCATTAATGATAGAAAACAAACAGGTAAAAGAAACGAAGTCATTATTAAATCATGGGGGATAGTAGCAAGGAAAGTGGTAATATAGAAAGAAAATGTAATCATAGTATACTATGTGGTAAGCTATGAAGTATTCATACAATTATTATAATATTGAAAGTATGGGGAAGATGCCGTATTGAACGGGGAGATTGTATGAATGTACTAAATCCTTATCTCCAACAGTAGAAAGGTAACAAGCAATGTCTAACATTAATGAAGCCACAGTAATCAAGACAGTTTGGTATTTGCAAGAAAAGACAAATGAATCTATAGAACAGAAAAGAAGCTATAGAAATAGAACCATGCCTGGCTGGGTGTGGTGGCTCACGCCTGTAATCCCAACACTTTGGGAGGCCGAGGCGGGTGGATCACCTGAGGTCAGGAGTTTGAGACCAGCCTGGTCAACATGGCAAAACCCTGTCTCTACTAAAAATACAAAAATTAGCCAGGTGTGGTGGCCTGCACCTGTAATCCCAGCTATTCAGGAGGCTGAGGCAGGAGAATCGCTTAAACCCAGGAGGCGAAGGTTGCAGCGAGCCGAGATTGTGCCACTGCACTCCAGCCTGGGTGACACAGTGAGACTGTCTCAAAAAAAAAAAAAAAAAAATTAGACCCACACCTATGCAGGAGATGAATGATTTTCAACAAGGAGTCAATACAATTCATAAAGACAAGGTTTTTTGACAGATTGTTCTGGAACAATTGGATAAATGAATGGGAAAAATGAAACTCAACTGCTATCTGACACCATACACAAATACTCATTCTACATGGACCACAGATCTAAACATAAAAACAAAAACTAAAAGTTTTTTTTAAATAGAAGATCCTTGCAACCTAGATAGAGTATGCAAATATTTCTTAAAGAGAAAAGAAAAAGAACTAGCCATAAAATTTTAAAGAATGATAAATGGGATTTCATTAAAATATAAAACTTTTGTTTATCAAAATACAGCATCAAGGAAATGAAAAGGTGAGCCACTGACTGGGAGAAAATATGTATTAATATAATACATATATCTGACTTGTATCCAGAAAGTATAATGAGCTCCTACAAAATAATAATAAACAGTTTAATTTAAAGATTGGGCAAGAAACGTGAATAAATCCTTCATAGAAGATATACATATGTTCAATAAGAACAAAAAATATGCCGAATATCATTTGTCATTAGACAAATGCAAAATAAGACCACAATGAGATACCACTAAACAACTACTAGAATTGTTTAAATTAGAAAGACTGACTACTCCAAATGTTGTTAAAGATAGGGAGCCACTGGAATGCTAATTTATTGCTTGTAAGTGTTAAAAACAGCATCACCGCAGTGAACAGTTTGGCAATTTCTTGTAAAGACAAACATGTACATTAGACTCAGCAATTCCACTTCTCAGTTTTAGCCAAAAGAAATAAAAACTTGTGTTTACACACACAAACACGGAAAAAGGTACTTGAATCTTACACAGATGGTCCTTGACTTACGAAGATTTGACTTTACAACAGTATGGAACTGTTGCAATTTCAGTGTACTTCAAATTTCAGATTTTGATCTTTTCTCTGGCTAGTGATATGCAGTACATAAGATTCAACATTTTATTATAAAATAGGCTTTGTGTTAGATAATTTAGCCCAACTGTGCTCTGAGCACATTTAAGGTAAGCTAGGATAAGCTGTGATGTTTCAGTAGGTTAGGTGTATTAAATGCATTTTCAACTTAAAATATTTTCAACTTACAATAGCTTTATCAGGATATAACCCCATCATAAGTTGAGAAGCATCTCTTGTATCTTTATTCATAATATCCCAAACTGGGAACGATTCAAATGACCATTAATAGGACAATGGAAAACAAGTTATGTATATTAATTCTATGAAATATTATTAAGTTTAAAAAATGAACTACTTATACATGCAACAACATGGATGAATCATAAAAACATTATGTTGCACAAAACAGACCAGATAAAAAATATATACTATTTGATTCCATTTATATGAATTCCAAGAATAGACACATGTGATCTATGGTGATAGAAATCAGAACAGTAGATGTGTAAGGTAGGCAATGTGGTAATGGAAATTGACATATATAGACAGATGTATATATATATGACATACACACACACACATATATGTTGACATATATATGGCAAACTTATACCTTATATATAGACATACATATATATATATATACTACACACATACATACACATATATATTACACTTAAAATCTGAATATTTCTCTGTGTGGAAATTTTGCTTTTTTACTTCAGTTACAAAAGTGACCAGAGAGAAAACATGAATTATATTGGCAGAAGACAGGACAGCAAGACTGACAGCCAACCTCTCCTAAATAGATGTGAGAAGAAAATGTAATAATATCTTGACTGGGTGTGGTGGCTCATACCTGTAATCCCAGCACTTTGGGAGGCTGAGATGGGAGGATGGCTTAAACCCAGGAGTTTGAGACCAGCCTGGCCATCATGGCAAAATAGCATCTTTTAAAAAAATACACGAATTTAGCAGGCGTAGTGGTGAGTGCCTGTAGTCCCAGCTACACGGGAGGCTAAGGTGGGAGAATCCCCTGACCCCAGAGGTCAAGGCTGCAGTGAGCCGTGGCTGTGCTACGGCACTGGAGCCTGGGTGACAGAGTGAGACCCTGTTTCAAAAAAGAGAGAGAGAGAGAGAGAAGAAAATGTGATTTCTTCAATGTACCAAGCAAAAATATTCTATACTCAGCTAAACGAATATCCAAGAGTGAGGTCTAAATTAAAAGTAAAAGCAAAAAGTGTATTTTTACAAAGTCTAAGAGCTTACAACCCAAAGTCACTCTCTAAAGGAACTACTAAAGAATAAGTTCAGCAAATAGGAATTTGAACCCAGAAATAGGGAGTGAGATGCTAGAAGCAAGGGTGAGCAAAGAAATCAACAAAATATATTGGTAGATTATTGTAACAATTGGCTGTTTTAAAAAAAAATGAATTTGTCAAGGTTTAAAAACGAAACAGATTATTAAACAATAATAGCTTATAGGATGAACACGGATAGTTTTGAGGGAAAATAAAGTTTATACTTTGTAATATATGCATATTAAATGTTAATAGAAATATTCTCTAGAATAGGGATGTATATAACCAAAACAGTAAAGACTAAAAGGGAATCAATAAACATAATAAAACACTAGGAAGGGAGAAAATAAAGACGTGAAGAATACACATGGGAAAGAAGAAATACAAAATATGATGTTAAAAATAAGACTAAATTACCTTGAGTCCAAAAAAATCAGAAAATATAGGGTAGGCACTTATACTGTAGGTTAGATACATTTCAAATAATATGCTCCTATGTTTTGTACAATAAATACATTACATAGGGTCTAAAAATTCTGGAAATTCAGAAAATAGTGTATTCATTATACTTTTTAGGGTTAAAAAATTGGACATTGCTTTAAATTTAAAGATACTTTACTTGAAATGTTGTCTGAAACTTGAAGAAAACATATTAAGCAAGTATTTTTAAAATGTGACTAATATATTGTTTAAATTAAGTTTGCCCTGTTTTCAGATTTTCAGACATCCTGTACATAATCCATAATAACAAATATAATGGATTTATCTCATACATTAAATGATAGAAATCTCTGTGACTAGATTTTGAAATTTATCTATATGCTATTAATGAGACCCACTTTAAGATAATTAGACAGAAATATTAAAAATAAAAGGTTTTAAATTTATGTAATAAGTAAATAACAAAAGAAACATGTAGCAATATTAATAGCAGACAAAATATGCTTTAAGATGTAAAAATCATAAACTTATGTGTATTAAGCAACATAGTTAGAAACATGAACAGTAATTATGGCAAATTTTATAAGGAGAAATTTTATAAGAAGACTGTCATAGATCCACAATCATTATGGGAGATTGGCACAGTTGTCTGAGAAATGAATTGATTAAGAAAAAAATTTTAATTAGTAAGAATATCAGAGATTTGAGCAATACATTTAAACTAAATTGAAAAAGTTTAAGCAAATTAGAAGCCCAAAAATAGAAGTTTTTCTTTTTGTTTCATTGTAAAATCTAGCATAAAACACTCAGCTTTAAAAAATCAAAACATTTGTATTAAATACTTTGACACAAATTAATTTATCAGCAACATTTTTACTTTTATTGTCTAGAATTTTAAAATTCTCTTTTTGTGTGCAAATGTTTAAATGATCTGCAATTTACCAATCTTTTTTTATAACCCTGATTTTCTATACCACCTAAGGATATATTCCTCTATAGGTTAACTAATTCTGCCTTTTTTCATCTTTTCTCTTGCATTCTGTTATTTTTCCCCAGTCCTCTCATTTTCATCCTCTTGGCCCTTTCTTATCAGATTCTGAGAGACTTTAAAAATATTTATGAAAATTTCCTTGTTTTTCTTGATGAAGAAAAACATATGAACACAATTTCCATCTAGCCACCAGCTATCCCCTCTGTGTGCAAGGGGGAACAACCTTGCCTGATTATTGTCATGGTATTTTCTACCAAGTCTTTTATGAATGTCAAACGGTACATTTTTTCACGTTGTGAAGCAGGGTCTCTTTATATACCAGAAGGCCAATCCGAATGACACGTGTTTGCTTTATCAACCTCTGTAAAAGTCTAGTGGTAATTTATATTGATTACATAATAAGAAACTTCATCCCTGGTACAACATGTTCTTTCAGCTGCAGAGCCACACCTGTAGAAATGCTAACTCACATCTGGTTCCATAAATCTGTTCTTTCTGATCCTCTGGAGAGATACTTTTATGTAAACTATATAGCTACATGTGGAACAGGAAAGACCAAAGCAGATGGCTAAACTTAGTAACCATTTCCACCCCAAGCCGTGAGCTCTTACTTTCTTCCTTGACTTTGATGTCTTCCTATTTGAGAGTTAGTTCAACCATTCCTTTCATGAAAGGTGTCTCTTCCCAACTTTATTTATACTTAGATGACCAATTCAAATTGTTGTTATTTTGAGGCTTTGAGGAAGTTCTCTGAGTCAAGAATATTAGTTTCACTCATTAGTAAGGGTTCCTCTCAATTAATTTTTTGATATGAAGATACCAAAGAAGATACCTACATTTCCTCATCGTGATATATTTTCAACTTTATTGATTCAGTTGCACATGTTTGATCATAACTCTACTTAAAATGAACTTTAAAAACAACTGTGATCAATCAAATAACTAGGTATCTTGAAGGCAGCAAATTTGTAACTAGTATTTGAACTACATCTAGAATTTTGTCCCCTGTGAAGCAATTTGTTAATGAAAGTGAAACAGTAGAAAAAGAAATCTGGTAGAAAGGACACCAACAAGACTTCTGAGGGAACGTTATAAAGCCCCAATCCAAGCAGATTTAAAACTAAGAGAGACCACATCTAGTCCAGCCTTTCCACCATAAGGTGCCACCCCAGAAGACTGAGATGCCTCTAGATGTCAGTCAGCAAGTTGCTCAAAGGCAGAGATTGAATTAAAAAGATTCTTTCCACTAGTGTCTGCTGGTAACTCGTATTTCAAAGAAAGCTTGGAAGCTCGGGATGTGGAATACGGTCATTGGGGTGATTTCTAAAAAGCAATCTCCTTTATAATTTCTCTATTTGTTACTAACAGGTATTTTCCATAAATTGTAGTGTTTTTAAACTGGCCAAAGTCTTTAGATCTCAAGATTTGGGGGAACGTCACTCAGGTCTTCTTTTGGACCTTCTATTAATGTCAAAGCTCTCACAAGTCACTGTGGTATGAAGCAACTTTAAGAACAGAGTTTCAGCAATTCAACAGCCAGGTAAATGTGTTCACTCTAAGGCTTCTGCCTAAAACTGTGAAATTGTGGGAGGGGGTGTGATGCTGGATATTACCATCTGTTTGGAATGACTAGTCAGATTGGCAGCAGCAAGAGGGTTCCAACATCTGGCACCAGGGTGGGTCAGGCTGAGCAATCTGCTAACGGTCTCAAGGGAAACAAACCAGAGAACAGAAGAGGCCTAAGGTATTACAGGTGGAAAGTCCTCAAGAGATTGTCAGTCCAGTAAGCATATGTTCAAGAAAAGAGTTAGCTTAAACCATTTTCACTCATGTATTAGAGTTCCAACTATATAGCTACAATGTGAACATTACATTTTCCCCATATGAAACATTTTTCTATTTTAAGGGGCTTAAAGAAACCTAAAACAATCCAAATAAAGGTTGGACTTTCATTAATAATAATGCATCAATATTGTTTTATTATTTGTGACAAATGTGCCTTAATGTTAACAATAGGGGAAACTGGGTGTGGGGCATATGAGAACTCTGTAATATTCTTGCTACTTTTCTGTAAATTTAAAAGTATTCTAAAATAAACTTTTATTTAAAGAACAATACAAATAAACAATTTGGCCAGCCATGGTGGCTCACGCCTGTAATCCAAACACTTTGGGAAGCCGAGTCAGGTGGATCACCTGAGGTCAGGAGATCGAGACCATCCTGGACAATATGGTGAAACCCCGTCTCTACTAAAAATACAAAAATTAGCCGGTGTGGTGGTGCGTGCCTATAGTCCCAGTTACTCGGGAGGCTGAGGCAGGAAAATTGCTTGAACCCAGGAGGCGGAGGTTGCAGTGAGCCCAGATTGCGCCACTGCACTCCAGCCTGGCCACAGAGCAAGACTCCGTCTCAAAAATAAAAAATAAACAATTTAACCCACCCACATGATTGCTCGTTCAAGCCTGGCTGCAAGCACAGTTGCTGGGGTCAAACATGCTTTTCTTCTACTCTTCTTAGGTTCCTGGAGCACTTTTACACTTTAATATATTCTGCTATAGATAGTAAAATCACAGATATTACAAAGCACAAGCACTTTCACATATGTGATCTCATGTGTTAGAAACTTAAATGCTGATAAAAGACAATTTTAGAAAATCTGAGGGCAACAAGAGTCTAAGAGTCTGCCATTGTGCACTATGTGCTTTGGTTTCAGATAAAGCTTTTAAAAAAGTTTTCTGGGTCGGGTGCAGTGGCTCAGGCCTGTAATCTCAGCACACTGGGAGGCCAAGGTGGGAGGATTACTTGAGCCCTAGAGTTCGAAACCAGTTTGAGTAATATAATGAAACCTCGTCTCTACAAAAAATAAAGTTTTTAAACTAGCCAAGTGTGGTAGCCCCAGCTACTTGGGAGGCTGAGGCTACCGTGAGCTGTGATCGCGCCACTGCATTCAAGCCTGGGCGACAGAGCAAGGCTTTTTCTCAAAAAAAAGAAAAAAAGAAAAAAAAAATTCTTACTACATTAGAGGAAAAGCTTCAATTGAATGGCAGTCTGTCTCAATCCTCCCTTTTCAGCACTGTAGGGTTTCAGAGTTTCTCCAAACAAGATGATTCTCAATATTGCTTTTAAAGATGAGGATGGGGCCAGTGTGGTGGCTCATGCCTGCAATCCCAGCACTGTGGGAAACTGAGGCAGAGGATCACTTGGGGCCAGGAGTTCAAGACCAACCTGGGCAACACAGGGAGACCCCTTCTCTACAAAAAAATACAAAATTAGCCTGGCGTGATGGTGCTGTGTCTGTGGTTTTAGCTATTCAGGAGGCTAGGGCAGGATGATTGCTTGAGCCCAGGAGTTCAAGGTTGCAGTGAGCTATGATTGCACCACTGCACTCCAGCCTGGGCAACAGAGTGAGACTCTATCTATCTCTAAGAAAATAAATAAATAAAAATGAAAGAAGGAAAGGCTGGAACTGGGGGTGGGGCAGCCCCAGCAGAGGGAGTCAGCTCTCGTGCATGAGATGATTATTGGAAACTCCAAATTCTGAACTCTGAATATGGGGTGTGTCCTTTATGAATATATGATTTCTATCTTCCCCCAAAACCAACCAGGAAAAGTCTTCATATTTCAAAGGAAGAAGAAAGGAAATCCATGTCTGTGTTTTAAGACACTTTACTGCCTAACATCCTTTTGTATTAAAGATCACATTGCTCCCCACCTTGGCATCATAGAGAAGGGAAAAGGCTGTTGGCAGTTTATAATTAAGAAGCCCGAGGCACAAGGAGGCCATTCAAAGTCACACAGATTATCAGCTGTGGACATGAGGCAGGAGCCAGGGCTAATTTTCTATTAGACCACTATCTGGAGTCTAGGGCTCCTACAAAATATAAGAGCCAAGACTTTAAAAACTTAAAACCTCATGCAAACACTCTCTCAAAAAAGAATTAGCAAGCTAGAAACTACTCCCATGGAAAGAGCCGTTGTTTTATTTTAACAGAATATCTAAGAGCAGAAATATGGAAAGGCATGAAAGTTTAAAAAAGTAAAAAACAAAAATAACTCTCAAACTCCTACACTCCTTGTTTCCCAGTTACTCAGACACAGGTGGGTCAGTGGCTCCAGGCTGGCTGGGGATGACTCTGTCAAGTCTTAGGGTCGTAGGGAGCTCTCTGGATAGATATTTCCATTCCACCGTCGCATCTTCCCAGCAGAGTGTGGGTGAAGTATTTTTTGTTACCATCGATCTTCATAAAAAGATATATATAAGCAAGAGAGCTATAGGCCACCATGGATAAAGCACAAGGCTGCCCAATCATAATAGCACATTTCCAGCCATATCAATCTCAGTGGGAGAAGAAACAAAAACTGGAAGAATGTGAAGAATGAGGAGGAAGAGAAAGAAAGAAAAGGAGGAGGGGGAAGGAAGGGAAAGAGAGAGGAAGGAAGGAGAGAACTTGAACAAAACCTGTATTTCCGTTCATAAAATATCTATTTCACTGTTGTATTAGTCTGTTCTCACTCTGGTAATAATGACGTATCCAAGACTGGGTAATTTATAAAGGAAAGAGGTTTAATTGACTCACAGTTCCTGGGGAAGTGTCACAATCATGGTGGAAGGCAAATTAGGAACAAAATCATGTCTTACATGGCGGCAGGCAAGAGAACATGTGCAGGGGAACTCCCCTGTATAAAACCATCAGATCTCGTGAGAGTTATTCACTACCATGAGGACAGCATGGGAGAGACCCATCCCCATGATTCAATTACCTCCCACTGGATCCCTCCTACCACACGTGGGAATTATGGGGGCTCCAATTCAAGATAAGATTTGGGTGGGGACACAGTCTTCTTTCCTCATTCTTTAATTTTTAGAGTATTTGAAAAAAAAAGAGAAAGAAAATTGTGGTCAAAATTCCCAAATAAGTAAATAAATAAATAAAAAAGACGAGAGCAGCTCCTGACAGCTGACACAGTGCCATTCTGTCAAGTATTTCAGGTATCAGTGGACTGGCTTCCAGCGACTTACAAGAGGAAAATACTCTTCCTTTCTCATTTTCAAGTTGGGAAGGAGTTTCAGGCCTTCCTTGCACAACCTTAAGTCTAAGGAATATCTGGAAAATTGAAGTGATTTTTCAGAATAAACCATAAGTTGCAGATGACTGTGTCATGAGAACATTTAAAAAGAACTGAAAAAAATATTTATTCTATCTTGTTGCCTAAAAGTTTATTGTTACTTATGTTAGACTTATAGCAGGCTGGGCATGGTATAATCCTAGTACTTTGGGAGGCAGAGGCGGGCAGATCACTTGAGGTCAGGAGTTCAAGACCAGCCTGGCCAACATGGTGAAACCCCACTTCTACTAAAAATACAAAAATTAGCTGGGCGTGGTGGCACACACCTGTAATCCCAGCTACTTGGGAGGCTGAGGCAGGAGAATCACTTGAACCCGAGAAGTGGAGGTTGTAGTGAGCTGAGATTGCTCCACTGCACTCCAGCCCGGGCGACAGAGTGAGACTCTGTTTCAATTGACAACAACAACAAAAAACCTATGGCAGCCATTGCTAGGCCTTTGGTATACATTTCTTTAGAGGATAAGATGATCCAGATTACTGAAGTCATAACAAAGGCAATGCACAGTTAGCTCACCTGTCACTTTCTTTTTGTCTTTCGGGTCATATGCTTTCATCATTTTTCAACTCTAGTGTACATAGGTACACCTATAGGAAATGCATCCCGTGCGAGCCTAGACACATACACAGAACATGCCTCCGTAACAGTAACAGGCATGGCTGCTTGCGTGGTGTAGGGATTGTTCTAGTCTCTGGGTAGAGGTGCTGAAGGGGTGAACAGTCCACTCAGGGCTCATCTGAGACCCAAAGCAGCTTGTAACATTTGGTGGCTTATTTTGAAGTGTGTGTGTATGTGCTCAGCTGTGCCTTGATTTGTTTCAGAAATGCAGGGACTATGTCCTGCATGTATCATGGCAGACAGGCATGGCCTCTGTGAGCTGCAGTCCAGTCTGTACCCAAAAGAAGGAAATCAAGGGAGAAGAAGAATTGAAGTGGTGAGACAAGATAGAGAGCAGAGTAGAGTAAAGTGAAGGAATGAGGAGGAGATAAAAGAAGACAGAAATACAAGAACACATAAAGCTTCTTGGGGTTGAAATAAAAAAGAAGGACCAGAACATAAAAGGTTTAAAAAAAAAAAATGGTACATAAATGGAGGGAGTGGTTGATAGGTGAAGAGAGATTTGTGGAAAGCAGAAAACCACACCATGGATAGAATAAGCATCCACTCCACACTGGGACAGTCCCACTTCGGGACTGCATTTTAGGGAAATTATTAACTGCCCCTTCTTTCCCTCTTCAACGTGTCCCAGTTTGACGATAAATGGTATAGTCATCCTGTCTATAGACTACCCCTGGCCTAAGACAGAGAAGCCATGAGCAGGACCAAAGCTGGGAAATGGGCACCAAGAAGAGCTTTAGGAAAGGGACAAAAAAGGGACAAAAAGGCTAAAATAAAATACCTTAAAAATAGAACATGGAAAATGCAGACAAGACACAATGTATGGGCGCTTGAAACCAACTAGAGCAAAGACAGATAAAGTGAGGAGGACTGTTGAGAGAAAAAGTATAAAAATTTAAGGATAGATAGAGAGGAGAGAGAGGAAAATAAAGACAAGAGACAAATGATTCAGAGCGCAAATATGTGTAGGCTTCAAATATTTTTCCTTGTGTCTGGGGATTTGTGGTTGTGATCAGCATATATAAAAATGACGGAAAAGGGCCACCCTCTTTGGGCCCTGTGCAGGCATGCACAAGGTCCCTCTGTGGCTGCCTCCCTGGCCCGGCCAGCTGCCCTGAAGCTGCTCCCCTCTCAGCGCCTGCCTCCCTGGCTTGCAGGCTGCCCTGGCCAAGCCTTCCCACTGAGCCCCGTCCTTGGCTCCTAAAGGCCTCATACCAGATGGTCTGCCGCCGTGGTTTCATAGCTGTCCACAGATAGGCCACAGTATGTGAAGCTGTACTTCAGTGCGTCATTTCGAAAACCTCTTTTGACTTTTAATGGGATCAGAATTTCATATTGAGAAAGGCAGAAAGTAAATGTCAAAGGCAAATTCAAAAGGCCAAGGGATTTCTAGCAAAGCATTCCCTTAGACCCAGTGGAAAGATAGAATACCAGCAGCAGTAGGGTCTTTGGCACTTGAGCTTCAGAAAATGTGCCATATGGATTTCTACCACCATTGTGAGTTGGGACATACTATGGGTTGAATTGTATCTCCCCCGAGTATTCATATGTTGAAGCAGTCCTAACCCCTAAGACCTCAGAATGTGACCTTATTTGGAGATAGGGTCTTTACAGAGGTAATCAAGTTAAAATGAGGTCATTAAGTTGGCCCCTAATCCAATACAACTGGTGTCTTTATAAGAAGAGGAGGCTAGGCTCAGTGGCTCACTCCTGTAATCCCAGCACTTTGGGAGGCCAAGGCAGGCAGATCACCTGACAGCAGGAGTTCGAGACCAGCCTGCCCAACATGGCAAAACCTTGTCTCTACTAAAAATACAAAAAAATTAGCCTGGCATGGTGGCGAGCACCTGTAATCCCAGCTACTCGGGAGGCCAAGGCAGGAGAATTGCTTGAACCTGGGAGATGGAGGTTGCAGTGAGTCGAGATGGCACTACTGCTCTCCAGCCTGGGCAATAAGAGCGAAACTCCATCTCAAAAAAAAAAAAAAAAAAAAGAAGAGGAAATTTGGATGCAGATACACGTTCAGAAAGAATGCCTTGTGAACACAAAGATAACCATCTACAAGTGAAACAGAGAGGGCTGGAACAGAGACTTCCCTCACAGCCCTTGAAGGAACCAACCCTGCTGACACCTTGATCTTGGACTTCTAACCTCCATCCAGAAATAAATTTGTTTGTGCATTTTGTTGTGGCATCAGATATGGTTTGGCTGTGTCCCCACCCAAATCTCACCTTGAATTGTAATAATCCCATGTGTCAAGGGCAGGGCCAGGTGGAGATAACTGAATCACGGCGGCAGTTGCCCCCATACTATTCTCGTGGTAGTGAATAAGTCTCAGGAAATCTGATGGCTTTATAAATGGGAGTTCCCCTGCACAAGCTCTCTTGCCTGTCACCATGTAATTTGTGACTTTGCTCCTCATTCGCCTTCCGCCATGATTGTGAGGCCTCCCCAATCATGTGGAACTGTGAGTCCATTAAACCTCTTTCTTTATAAATTACCCAGTCTCGGGTATGCCTAATAAACTAGTACTCCAGATGCAATCTGGTCCAAGATGATAGTTAGGAGAAGATGACCAGACTATTTACAGGTTTTTTTGTTTTTTGTTTTTTGTTTTTCATTTCCCTGGGGACACTAAGTGATGCCTCTTCGGATTATCTGAAAATGTGGGCACTCTGTATGGCAAGATGGAACTGGCTGTCTTTAAGGAAATAGTTTCAACTGTTCATGCCTCTGTTTCTCCCTTCATAAAGTTGGTTACTGAGCCTGCATTCTAAAGTGCCTGTTGTGGCCGGGCATGGTCCCTGTAATCCCAGCACTTTGAGAGGCCAAAGTGGGCAGATCACTTGAGGTCAGGAGTTCGAGACCAGCCTGGCCAACATAGTGAAACCCCGTCTCTACTAAAAATACAAAAAATTAACTGGGCATGGTGGCGTGTGCCTATAATCCCAGCTACTCAGGAGGCTGAGGTGAAAGAATCGCTTGAACCCAGGAGGCAGAGGTTGCAGTGAGCCGAGATCGTGCCACTGCACTCCAGCCTGGGTGACAGAACAAAACTTCATCTCAAAAAACAAACAAACAAATAAAGTGCCCATTGTGTCTGAGTCTTAAGGCAAAGAGTGACCCCGTGAATATTCTTAGCTTTGGACAAGAAGGTCAAACTTAAATGTAAAGTCTTCTTAATAAGTAGTATTTCTGATTTTATTTCTTAATAAGTAGTATCTCACCTGGGAAGGTGAGTGGACACTAATTTCTTTTGTAAATCAATGGACAGAGAAATACAGTCCTTGACTTTCTACCTGACCCACACAGAAGCAGCTCTGTCTTGGCCTTTTGAATACCTTTTGGATATGTTGGCCTTTTGAATACCTGAACTGATCCTCTGCCTTTTCTTAAAATTTGACATAATCAAACACCAAAACAGCTTGAAGTATTTGTACGAGTAGTTGAATCCTTTAGTGCCTAATGTCAGGGAAAATCTCCCGTTGAGTCAGGGAGAAGGATGGAAACTGCTTGTTAAACTATCTCTGGTACCAGGAAAAGAAAACACAAAACTACTTCTCTGGCTTTCTTTCTTTCTTTTTTTAATTTAATTTAACTGCTCTAGGTCTAGATCCTCATCTTGTCTAACTCTAACTTGAGCAACCTCTCCAGTCAATAGTGAAAGCAATGGTGTTTAGCTCTGTTTCCTTATATGGCAGGGAATGACAATGTGCTTGTCTAGTTGAACTGCAGTATGGCTCCCTGACAAATTATAATGACTGGTTACGGAAACCTCCTGCTCTGGTTTCCATCGCTTTCTTGGGGGAAGACACAGAGCAGATAGCTGTAGAGAATTGGAGAGGGTTGGAGTTAGGGAGGAGCTTTGAACAGCTCTGGCATTTTCCAGCAGTGTGACTTTGGGCAAGTTATTTGATTTACTTTACTGCTCTGAGAGAGCAGTCCTCAACCAGAACAGTGCCTGTCACATAGCTAGTATGCCAGCAAGGTAGCTGAATGAGCTAGCTTATCTTCTCAACCATCCTTAACCTGTGAGGACTTCAGATAACTATCAATCCATTGCTCTTCAGTCTCTCTCCCAAGTTCAGTACTTTTTCTCCAGATAAATTCCAATTTCCTTCTCCCCTCCCTCCTCTTCCCCCTTTTCCCTTCCTCCCTCTCTGTCCTCTCCTTTCTCTCTCTCTCTCTCTCTCTCTCCTTATTTCTTTTTCTCTTTTCCTCTCCCTCCCTCTTTTCTTACTCCCTCTCATTCCAGGTCTAAAACACTGAAAACCTGCAAAACAACCCAATCTCAGGAATAATACAACTCTTTAGCTATACTAGATAAAATGATTTAAAATGTTAAAGGCAGCATAGATTTGTTGATAAGGGCAAGCAGGTAAACCTTCTGGTTGGAAAGGACAGTGGAAGTTGTCTGCTTCTGTAGAGCAGCGAGGTTCGTGCTTCAGAGACAGAAATATCTATTTAGAAAGTCTGTAAGCTGATCTGAAATAGGACTTCCTAGAACTTGTATCTATTGGTCCTAGTCTTACCTCCTGGAGACCCCAAATGTAGAAGCAGTGAGCCCTTTTTAATCTGTCTACAGGATGGCCTAGAGGAGGCAACAGGGGACAGTGTGTGGCTAAGCCCCACGCTAACAGGTAGCCTCCACAGGAAATCACAGCCAATAGCTGACCATTTGTAATTGAGTGTCTATCATGTACGTGCAAAGCAGTTTCAAGATATTACTTCTAGTAGTTGTGACAACTACAAAGTGGAGGAGAAATCATCCCCATTTTGTAAGTGAAAAAAGTGGTAAATTTGAGATTCAAACTCAAGTTCTCCTGACTCCAAAGTTTGTTCTCAAATAGATCTCAATTCTTTCTAGAGCCACATACAAAAGAGGAGTCTCAGTGACGTGGAGTAACTAGCAAGAGGCAGCATAGCACAGTGGTAAAGAAGGTGGGCAGTGCCTCCAGATTATCCCGGGTTTAGATCCTGACCCAGCTACTTACTAGCTGTGGGACCTTAGCTATATTACTTAATCTAATCGTAACTCAGTTTCTTCATCTGTAAAATTAGCTGTTATGAAGATAACTTATTTTATTTTTACCTAATAAAAATCTACATGCTACTTAGCATGTGCCAGGCACTGTTCTAAACACTGAACAATGATACAATTCATGAGGAATCAATGAGCTCCAACATGAACACTGGCTTCAGGTATTTTTAAAGTAGAAATTGTAGACTTTTTTTTTTTTTTTTTTTTACTTTTTGTTTTTTTCTGAGACAGGGTCTCACTGTGTCACCCAGGGTGGAGTGCAGTGGTACAATCTCAGCTCACTGCAGCTTCGACCTCCCAAGCTCATGTGATCCTCCCACCTCAGCCTCCCAAGTAGCTGGGACTACAGATGCACACCACCATGGCCGGCTAATTTTTGTATTTTTTGTAGAGGCAGTGTTTCACCATTTTGCTCAGGCTAGTCTCAAACTCCTGCCCTTAAGCAATCTGCCTGCCTTGGCCACCCAAAGTGCTGGGACTACAGGCACGAGCTACCACTACCAGCCTGACATTTATTTCTTTCACTCATTTAACTCATTTATTAATACTATGTGCAGGACACAGCACATTTTTAGGTTCAAATCACAGCACTGAAAAAGCCAAACAAAGTCTCTACTTTCATAGAGCTTATGTTCTAGGAGCATGAGAAATAAATAAGCAAGCAAACAAACAAATATGCAATCATAAGCATACATTATGAATATGCATGTAACTGAACCACAGAGGTATTCCGCTTGGCTCTCCAATGCAGAGGCTAATTTTACCACCGCATCCCTTAGGGTCAGTGATGTGCTAGTCAATGTTTAGCAACAAGTTCTTGGGTGAGGGGAGGGGAGTCTGCTTTGTAGCATGGGCTGATTTCTGTGGTGTAATTACTTCCATCATGGTCAATTTCAAGTTCTGAATATGACATCACTGAATGAAGAATTGGGAGGAGAAGCTCAGTTGCACAGCATTTTATACAGTATTTCCACCATATAGCCACAATAGATGTAACTAACCTCAAGAGAATAGATAATAGTGAAACATAGCAAAATAATTAGGAAGAGTTTTGAGTATTTATTATCTTGGCTCTTCATATAATGTGTTTAATTGTAAGTTTATATGATTTAGTTTTTATAATGGCTGTGTTTTACAACTGGCTCTCAAAATTCTCGAAAGTTTAACAATGAGCTTTTGGGAGCCAGTATGAGTTTGGGGTGCAGAGAAAGTGGGGACAGTGTTAGAGATGAAGGAGACTGAGTCCAGATGGTGCCATTGTACAGAGGTGGATTCTAATCTAATTCCTTTTTAGCTCCTCTTCTCCAACAAGCTCTGCTTCTATGTACACACGGAAGCACCTGCCCTCTAAACCGAAGAGCATGGGTACAAATATAGTAACAATTTTGACATTCTTACTAGATCAGGTCACTCTTGCAGAGAAACTTTTGGCTCTCCAATCTTTAGTGAATATAATCCATGTACTCAGTGCTCTGAATATGGTAGATTCTTCTGTGCAATACAGAGGATGTAATTCCTAACTGCCGAATAAAGGAAGAACCTAGAGATAAATTTTCTGTCCTTCTGCAAAAGCAAATTATCCCCCATCCATGCACTCAAAGTCTCCTGTCTCTTAGGGTCCACATACTTTCAAAAGGGCCACCCAGGGAAGCATCTAAACCAGGGGCTGTGATGACTCCTGCCCTAGAGAAGATGTAGGGGTGAGGGTGGAGGTGGAGGAAGCTTCTCCCCTCTTCAGGATTTGTGCATCCTCACCACAAAGTGGAAACAGAGAAAAACATCTTCAGCTTTTCCTAGGAAGCGAAATATCTGCTCAAAACCTCCTAAGAACAGAAATACTTAAAATTTTTTTTCTCCTAGATTCACCCCTCCCCCTAAGCCTAAATTTCCCTTAGTAATGATGGCTGGAAAAGGAAGTGGGAAATACCATGAGAAATTTTATTCTTGCCACATTTCCAGTCCTTTACAAAAGCAAACACTGGAAATCTCATCAGAAAAATTTGACCTTACAGGGTTGATAACTTTGTGCTTAAACTGAAAAAAAAGCAAAACTAAAGGTTTTGCTCTTCTGGCCAAACGGATTATTTGGCATATGCAACTATAATTTTTAGAAAGAAATTATTCAAAACTAAAGAAATAGGCTTCTGAGGAATAAGTAACTACATACATCTACTATCAATTATTTTAACGATAGGTGCACAGAACTGTTTCTGAGCCAGGATGTTTTATCAGAGTCACCAGGGAACTTTTACAAACTACAGATGCCTGGACCCCCTTCTAGACCTACCGAATCAGAATCTCTAGAGGATAGGTCTCAGGGATGTGTATTTTCAAAAAGCTCTACAGTTGATTCTGATTAAGATACTGGTTAAGATGCATGGGTATATAGGCAGATTGGGCAGCATTGTATAACCTAAATTTGCTAACTGTTAAAACATGCTCTCTTACTATCAGGGGAAGTAATGTGGTATATTGAAAAGGTTAACTGCTTGGAACTTAGGAGCTGTGTGTTTTGGAACTATCTTACCACTAATTAACTGGATGACTTTGGTCAAGTCACTTGGTTTGTTATTTCATTCAACAAATATTTATTGAGATTCTGCCGTGTGCCACGCACTGGGTATATACGAATGAAAAAAAAATAGAGGTTCCTGTCCTTATATATCTGACAGACCAATAAGACAGGGCAGACATTAATCGAAGAAACCTACAAATACATACATAATTTTACTTGGTGTGGCTAGGCTTTGGAGAATAAAAAATAGATCACTGGTTCATATTTTAAAAAGAATTTCTACTTAAGATCCCAAATTTCCTGTCCCAACCTTCCCACACATAATATAATTATATGTTTTAAGTCCACTCATTAATAAAACACAAAAACACAAACTTAAAAGCTACTATGAATTCAATAACTCTTTTAAATAAATTAGCATTTTATCATTATAATGTATGTATAGAATTAGAAAAATAGTAGCACATATGATGTAAGATATATTATTTACTCAGAGTAGCTTGCCAAAAGCACTTGCTGCATATACAGATTTGTTTACCTCTTGCAATGACTTTGTGGCCTCCCAGGGATCCACCACCCAGAGGTTAAAAACCTACAGACCACATTAATGAAGACTAAAACATGGTACTTGAGTAGATATGGCCCTTCTCTTCCACAACAGATATCACTATCAGTGACCACATTTTCCCCTCCCCTCTGAGCTTAGATTCATCCTCAGAATCCTTCTTAACATGCCAATTGGTTGGAGCTGGCATACAGATGAAAAGTTATATGTACTCCTTGGGCTGAATGAGCTCCTAAGGTCTTGCCCAGCTTAAAAATTCTATGAATTTATATATTCAGTTCTGTTCTGCTGCCTTGAGAAACACAAATGCCTTCTCCCATGTTCATATAAAAGTACCCCAAATATTAGAAGATATTTATGTGGCCTCATTTTCTTTTCTTTGGGATAAACAGCTCTAGATCCCTTATCGGTTCAGCATATGTTTTGCCTCCTGACTCCCTCCAGCCTTTGATGCTAACCCTAGAATGCATATGTATCCATGCCTTTCAGAAAAATGAGCCCAGAACAGAGCACAAGTTCCCAAATGGGATCCGAACTATGCAGAACTCAGGGGATATTTTAGTCCACTTGACAAACACCATGATGGGTGCTCAATGGATTAAAAATTACATAGCAAATATTGCTTAGATCTGAAACTTCCAGTGATTAAGAGTACACCAGCTTTTATGCATTCACCTTATTATGTACTGTGGTTTACATTGAGTTGTGCTTGTTTTTATTTATTAAAATTGTTAAATGATTACATATTAAATCTTCAAGACTGCTTTCATTTGAAGGGAGCCATATCACATGGAAGATTCATATGAAGTTTCTTGCCAACAATAATATCCAGAATGTTTTTTCCCAAAATCTTTCTGAGATGGATGATTCTTATCCTTTCAGTTACCAGTGGTGCAAACTTCTAGATTAATCTCCCTTAACACTGGCTCAGTGGGTCACAGTGATCATCAAGAACTGTGTGATCATTCATTGGGTGTTTGCCTCTCTAGGAGTTTATTCACCTCAAAATTCAAATGATTCCCATTGAGAGCTGTTGGACATTTCAGCTAATTTGCCTTCCATGCTCAATTTCTCTTCTAACTAAAATTACCCATTGAGCTCTTCTTTGCCCAGGGGTGACCACTGCCTGGATTAGAGTAATTCATCCTTAGGCGCGCCTGTGCCTTTGATGTCCTCCTCCTACTAAAGGATTTGCCAAAGACAATAGTCTTTGACTGAACCAATCAGATCTCCTCTCTCAGGACTGGACCTGGAAACACAGAAGAAATTTTCCAGTTGATAGAACAACAGAAAGAGGCAGACACGTGCGCTGAGCTGAGTCACACTAGTGGAAAGGGATGGAGTAAATATCCATGGACCGCGGCTGGGATCCTCTCACCCACCTTGACTCTAACTCTACTCTCTTTGGGCCCTGGTCCTATTTGGGCTTCTGCTCTTGGATATCCCTGTGATTTCATCCGTTCGTTAATCTGTGTCTTACAATCCTGGCCCTTTACTTGAGCTACCAAAGTTTGCTCACATAGAGGTCTATTTCTTCCTAACACTGGGCCATGTGCTCTCCCAGACTTCACCTTATTCATCCATACACTACTTCACTAAGCTCTGCCTGACTTCTGATTTTTGCTGTTTCTTCTTTACTCACCTGGCTGTCATGCACAACTTAGCCCATTTTTGTAACTGATATCCATTCTGGCTTAGACTGGTCCTCCTGACCCCAGTGGAACTAATATCTTTGATGCCAACTGGTCCTTGGCCCTCTTGGGCACTTTGCCTTGGTCCTTCTGGTCTTCAGCACAAGGTGAAGTCAGCCTGGTTCCCCAGCAATGTATCTTGAGACAAGCGAGGGGGAATGTTATATGTGGGTGTCAGAGGAACTAATTATATATTCCTGCTTAATATGTTTCTCTCCAAGTGAGATTATTCCCTTTTAGTCAAGTGCTTTCATGGAGTATTCACAAAACAATGCCAGAAGCCTCAGGATACCATCAAAAAGCAATTTATCTTCAAGTTATACATCATTTATACATATACATATATTTTCAAAGAAAAGCCATGTACTAAAATGAGTGCCCGATATACTAAAATCTTTTAAAAATGTATTTTCCTTCAACTATTCCCTTACTGCTGCTTAGCAAGCCTTTTATTAACTTCTGGGTGTTCTTTTTACGTACACTTAATAGCAGCCATTCCTGGATTTCTCTAGCCCCCACGAGCTCCCCATAGAAAATTGCTTCTTTTCTGGAAATGACCTCTTTTTCTTTGAAATGGAGGTCATATGACGCAATCTCCACCTATATATCTGTGTATTTACCCCCTCTTTTCTTCCTTCCAGATCATGGACACCTCCACTCATGTTCTGATCCCATCCACCCTTGTCTTCTATGGGAATCCAGATCTGACCCCACTCCCCATCTTACATGCCCCAGCTCAAAGGTCTCTTACCTGTCAATCATGAAGCGTGGGTTTACAAAGGGACCTTAAGGGTTCACAGTTTTTATCAGATTCTCAAAGGTTTCCATAGCAACAACACAGGGAAGAACAACACAGGGAACAACCTCATCACCCCTCCCTCACAGCCCAGGTCATAGTTTCCCCCCGACCCCGCTCCCATAGCCTTACCCACAGCCTGCCAATTATGAGTTTGGGGTGAGAAGCAGAGTGGGTCCTTACCACAAAACATGCTCTGACATCTCCTCTGTCTGTGCAAGTGGCTTTCCCTAGCTAGAACCTATCTGTGCTAGAGTGTTCTGCTGTACTCTGGGCCTCATCTTAGAGCTGGCCCCTGCAAATTGTCAATGTTGGATCAAGAAAGCTCCCTATCCGGTACAGGGATGGGGGAGCTGGGGAAGAGGTTACAGGTGGAGGCCTGGGGGTAAGGAAGTTAGGGATGCAACTAGGGTCGGTTACAGCTGGGAGCACTAAAGACAGAAGCAAAGAGGTGAGAGGCGAGCTCCGTGGAGCAGTCTGGTTTCAATACCAACAGGAACCACAGCCAGGTGTTCCTGCCTTCCTTGCCCTTCCTACAAGGCCCAGGCATGACGTTCCGGGGTTCATTCCATGCTTTTGGCTGGAGGCAGAGAAGCTGCCTCAATTACTTAAGGGCTTTCTGTTGTCAGCACTTTCTCACTGGTCTTATGCTCAAGTGGATCTTTGGATTTCCTGGTGCCTTGTACCACTGATGGCCCATCTTATTCCACTTCCTTATATTTGTGTCCTCTTAGTCTGTGATCATCAAAGTAAAAATTCAGACAACATTGGGATAGACCAGTATTCACTGGACACGGCTCAGGGCTCTAGAAATAACCAGGAGCGAGAAGATATCACTCAAGGGTCCTTAAATACGAGAAAGGAAGAGATCATTAGGGATACTAGGTAAGAAGTGGAGGATACCAGCCAAGATGAGCATAATGTCCAGAGGACTCAAATGATAGGCAGTTCAGGGTATAGAATCTGCAGGGAAGAGGGAGCAAACAGCTTCATCTCATTTGGACGTCTTAACCACTGTGGGACATCGGAGAAGCATTACCAATGTCCGTTCTTCACTCAACAGATGAAGTCAAAAGCTGATGATTTCCTCAAAAAGGTCAGGGTTACTTAAGCAGAGGAACCAATACTAGAACTGAGATGTTGTAGTGGTTCTCATAAGTTAAGCCTGTGCCAAAAGTTTCTCTTTAAACTACCCATCTACTCAGGACTTATGGGCATCTCTCCAATAGCAAACTTGGATTAGCCTGACAGATGAAGGACTTTCAGTAAGGAGCTAATGGTATCTTCTCAGGCCCTAAGAGAACTTAACGCAGAAAACGCCCTTTTGAAGTCTGAAAATTCTTTGGCAGCATCTTTCTAACCTCCTCCTTAGTCCTACCATGCTATTTGCATACCACTCTATCAGCATTTTTCCTGTCCCCCGACCACATTTCTGAGACATGTGATAGACTACAGGCAAATGGGGAACTAGCAAATCTCTTTTCATGCCCATCTCTGAATCACTTTTGCGTCTTGCTAAGGAATGACTAACTGGTAATCATGCTATCAAGAAAATGGCAAATGGAGACAATTACATGTGTTTCTACAAAAATGCCTGCTGAGGTGCATTTTATTTATCAGAACAGAGAATACCTGGGCTAGATTCTGGACCTTTACATGGCTGGCCATAAGATCAACTTATTCTATCTACCTAAGACAAGGAGATTCTCAGGCCAGTCACAGGAGCCAATTAGAATTGTTAATGATTCTCATAATAAGGCAGTTGCCTTACTGTCAGGAAATGCTTTCATGTATCTCATTTAAAATCCTTTAAACTGCAGTTTGAGCCTGGTTCTCCTTCTCCTAACTTTAATATAAGAATTGTGTATTTACTTAAGGCAATCTTTTGACTGGAATGATTTAAATTACACCTTCTATTTGCTTCGAATACTTGAAACAACCCTGCACTTTACTTATGGATCAATCCATTGTACATACATTCCTTGTGTGTCCTAGGATCAACTCTTAGTGACTTTTTGTTCTGGAATTTTGTGATTATATTTCTGAAATGAAAGTTACTGTTTTCATTGTGCTCCTTTGGCCTCACTATGTGGGGAAATGTGTTCTAGGTAACATTCAACAGGAAGGAAGTAGCACAAAGAACTGCCTAAAATTCAGCATAAACTCAAATCCTCTCACTCTATCTCTACCTATAACAGCAGAACACCTAAAGTGTTACTTGGAAAAAAATGAGTGTTTTTATGGTTGTTGGGGGTGGGGAGCCCAAGAGAAGGGGGATGGGGGATCTGGAGAGAGTGGTCATAGCACAGTTTGAACTTTCAGGGATTCGGAGATGTTGGTTTCAAAATGGAATTTATCCTCAAATCCCAAGATTATAGATCTCCTTCCAAACTGCATTCCCTTCATGGTTTAGAGAACAGTTAAAAGAAAAATTGCTCTCCATATTTTGATTGACATTAAAAACACTGTGAAAATAGTTTGGAACTTGATCTCTTCGAGGGAAGGACAGTAATTAAACTATAGCTTTTGCCTGCAGCTTTTCTCTCACACTTACTCAGAACTGTTCCAGGGAAGGAAATTCACAAGGAATTCTGTTCTCATATATCACTTCTAGAAGGAGAAATAGGCATTCCCAAGAAAATTATCCCCAAACTTCTAAATACAAAGAGAAAACTTTATTTAATGAATCTCAACCCCAAACTACCGCATTGCATGGAATAAAATCCAGTTGAATCAGTCATTTGCAGCTGGTAGTCTTTAATAGCCAGCACTACTAAAAAATCATCAGATTTACCCTGCTTGCCATATAGCATCTAGTCTTCACTCAGGTTCTAGCTGTATATGTCTGGTTTTGACAAACACATTAGAAGGATTTTCAGTTTACAAGTCCATCTGCATAGTCCTGTTAATAGAAGGCATCTATAAATATCAAGCACTTTGTTCTCATCCACTTTTTTTGACCATGTATTGCCACAGCACTAAAATTCCCCCACCCCTTGCCATCAGCTCTTTCTAAAAGGAATTCCAGGCTACTACCAACTAGCTGCCTTGTACTACTGTTTCAGACACCCAAATATGTCTATCTAGATATAAAAGCCTGCCTCCTTCCTTTCTGAAACACATTGCCAATCGACATCTCTTTAGATTCTCTAGACACACTCAGGCACACTTTCAAACAGAAAAAAAGATTTCTTAAAAAATAGTTTGGTAGGACGTTAAATGTGCTTTCTAAAAAAACACACCCACTAGCGCATGCATTCTCTTGTTATTAGGTTTTATAGGAAACAGACCAGCCTAGGCATCTTCTGTCTTAGCAAATATCCCATCAGTGACATTAACCCAACCAGTGCTAGGTGCTAGTGATCTCTCCATCTCTGACCGTATTTCCTTGCAACTCTGGAAGTCTAGTTTTAAATACTGGCAGCAGACTATAACGCAAAAGCCTTTGGTTAAAAAAATCATTCCCTTTTGGCTTCTCATCAACCTAAAGGATTGTTGATTTTGTTTTTAAAGCAAAACCTCTTCAAATCTTTGGCAATAAAAGATGCAGAAGAGACTGTGTGAGCAGTCTGGTGCAGTAGGCTTGCTAACACTGGCCTTTGGATATCAGGTATAATCTCATATGGCTGTCCTAAACAAAAGGCTATCCTAATCAAAGTTGCCAGTGTTCCCTAAATGTAAGTCTCTATATGGTCACTCTTCTTGTCCCAATTCTAAAAACAAAACTGGAAATCTCATCCTGTTTGCCTTCCGGGAATATCCGTATGGCAGTGAAGCCCAGTCAGGCTCGGGAGTTTGCATGGTTTATTGCCTTGAACATTCTTGCATCTCCAGCTACCTTAGCCAGGAATGTTGACTGAAAGCCGGAGAAAGTCCCCAGATTCTCTCTAGAAGATAAAAAAGAAAGCCTTCTGTGCCTTACCTTGTAGTCTGAAACTTCTTCCCGAGGACTAAGTCGGAAAGGAAGGACTGATTTCTTTAAGCAGGAGCACAGCCAGAGAGCAAGCAGGCGGGCAGGCAGGCAGCCGAATACACACTGCTCTATTCAATAAAACTCCAGACCGCCCTTCCTTGGCCCCTCCCAGAAGTCCATGCTAAGTGAACACATATCCCCTATGTTTACAGTCGGGAGGCGGTGGTATGCATTGTCCTGTCGTTTTTCTAATAGGCAGCCAATGACGACACCCCAGCCAAGGTGGATGCAGCCTGCCTGTGGAGATGCCTGTCATTCCCTAGGCATGCTCAGGAAATCACTCATCAGAAAACCCAAGACCTAAAAAGCTCTGAAACTGCGTGCACGCTGCCAAAACCAGCCTGCTCCATGCCCTTTTTTGGTTATCCTTAGCAGGGCCTCTGGAAGTGAATCCATTGTCAGGAACAATCATAAGAAATGTTAATCTTGGAGAAAGAGGCTGTCTTGTAGAACACAAATGCAGCAATAAAAAGAAAGCACAGTCTCTGAAACAAAAAGTTAACAGATCAGTTTATTGGGCGTGGGGGTGGGGAAGGCTTCTTACCAGAGGGAGTCTTAATAGTATATTTCTTTTCAAAGTACTTGCACATACAAAATGAGTTTAAATTGTTATGCAATTCTAAAACCTGAAGGAGACAGGACCCGGGTCTGCTGAGCAGACTAAATTCTAGCCTGAAAGAGGCACACCTCCCCAAAATACGTCTGCATGTGTTATAAAAATAAGTGACCAAAGGGAAACCAAAAGCGTAGGTCTTTTTTAGCAGGTAATACTGGCCAGAATAAACCTAAGGTCCTACAGGCTTGGATATCCTCACTGGCTTCACTTTCCTCTCCTTATCTCTTTTGTTTCCTCAGATTTGGTGATGTGGAGATAGTACTAGAAATTCCTAGAAATTGATGCACATCAGAGAGGGTATGAAGAGACCCACCACCTGCTTTGGGCTGGGGTAGACAGATGCATATATCCCGCAGAGGTGACATAATGTTCAGGTGACGTCTTGAAAGTGCTCCGACCAACTCTTCATGGTTAGGATGTGTGCTATAAGAGGGTCAGAATTAGTAGATGCTAATGAGAATTAAGGTAACTGGCCCACACATAGTCTTGTCCTTTTCAATACAGAATTCACTCAATTAGTACTTAATTAAAATTGAAATCCCCTTTTTTTGGAGCACTTACTATTTGTCAGGCCTGGGGATAGGTGCAAGATCTATGTCTCATTGTTATATGTTTGAGACTGTTTCATCACTGACCAAGAAGTTTCACAATATTTTTCCTGGCTAATTACAAGTCCAGATACTGGTCTTTAAAAATGGGAGGTTTTACTATATGCCTTTCCCTGTTTATGAAGATGTGACTTAGAAATGATCTCTGTTTACGAAAATGTCCCTGCCCTTTGTGCCTCTTTTAGAACAGTTGGGAAGTAGCCAGTTCGCACTGTTGGTTTCCTTCTTCAGCCTTCCAGCATTAACAAGTTACCCAGAGGCATCCATATCAACTCTCTACACTCATCTCTTTTTTGGGAAGGTTGCTTCCCTCCCCTCTTCCTGACTGCTACTGCTGCACAGCCCAAAAAACTATAGCTGAGGCTCCCAGGCAGAGGGAGAGATGAGCCTCAGGCATCCCAAGAGGAATGCACTTTCCCAGAGAAAAGAATAAATAATGGTTGGTGGGAATCATACAGTCAATGTTGCATTTCAGGTACACTGTGGCACAAGCAGGCATTTGTGGAACACCACTGTTTATAAAATTGTTCCTGTGGGAAAATGTCTTCTGATCCCAGATAAATGATTTAGAAATAAATTTTCGGAACACGGCCAGTTTTGCTGATGGGGACATCCCATATCTGACAGGAAGGAAAGATAGAATAATACTACATAGTCTGGTAAACTGCTGGGCTTGAACATATTGTAGGGCAGACATCAGGAGTTCAGAAAACAGCTGCAATTGGTGATGTCTGTGCAAAGATATGACCTGTGTCCAGAGACGTTCCGGGTGCATGATCTCCAGGTGGTATTCTCCATAACTCAGTGAGGCCTGTTTGAAAGTGCTATTTTCCATTACCGCTGCTGCTTATATCCTAAACCACACTCTCCCTGCTTGTATAAATAATGCCCTTTGGTGGAACAGCATCAGGGTATAATTTTGCAATCTATGAATAAAATAAATACCAGCTTTCCAGAGGAAAGAAAAGTTGTGCTACAAATGGGGAAAATATTATCAACAGGAAACACGGCAGGGACCTGCATTTTGCCTGGTTTTTAGAAGATAAATGGCTAAATATTTTTGGGTTATGTCTTTTGATAAAAAAAATAGTATGTTTCCATAGATAAATTCTGGATATCTCATATATAGGGTATAGTAGATGAGTGACCACACAACCTATTTTATGTATTTGAAATACACTTATCATGGAGGAACTATATAGTTGAAGAATAATTTAACAAATTTCATGTAGTGTGTACCATGATATTGAAAAATTCTTCTTTCTTTGTCCTTTTACTTTTTTTAAACAATCAAGAATTTAAAAAAGAAAGGAAGGGGGAAAAAAAAAGATACATGTTGCTGAATCTCTGCCATGGGAAATTTTACTTTCATAGTATTTACTTTTTCCAGAGGCCATTTGTAAACAGCCCTAAAAATACACGAGATTTATATAGGAAATTTCTGTGAAATATATTTCCCAATTGGATCATCCTAGATAAAGGACTCCTTGTCTATCATAGGCTAGATCAACTTAATCGAACCATAATAAATCTAAAAAGACATTTGGAAATATCTGGACGATTCTTTATATTTTTTTAGTTACAACTGAGTGTTTGCGATCATGTAGATCAGTAGCAAGAAATTATATTTTGCTTGCATGTCAACTTGGGAAAAGTAAAAATAGGCCATTTTTTTAATTCAAAATTAGTTACTTCATTTAGTCATGAAAAACATACCTCCTTCCACCTTAAAATGCCTACTTTATTCAATAGAAAAGAAGATTTGAAAGTTTTAAAAGGCAGCAGAACACCCTTTGCCAGATTCTTTTAGTCAGATAAAACCTTTGCCAACACCCAGGTTTATCAAACAATAAAAGCAGGCTGGTAGAATCTTGATATCAAAATTGGACACAAAAGTACCAAACACAATAGAGAATTTGGATTAAGTGCACTTATGAATGCAGATGAAAAAATTAGTAATTGAATCCAACAGTGTGGAAAAAAGAGATAAGACCAATCCAGAGATGGTTTAAGATCTGAAGATCCACTGATATAATGTACAACATTAGCAGTTTAAAAATAAAATAAATAAGAGAAGTAGAAAAAAGAAAAGAGAAAGATCGTCTCAATAGGTGAATGATACTTGGTAAACTTAGTAATCACTTTGGAAAAAAAACTCTTGGAAAACTAGAAATAGAATCTTTTTAAACATAATGAGAGGCATTTACCAGAAATATATAGCAAACGTCATGCTTAATGATAAAATGTTAAGAGCATTCCCATTATAATCAATGAAAAGACAAAGCCACTACTATCTCTTCTACAACTAAAAAAATGTGCTAGATACCTAACCAAGACAAATAAATAGAAAAAATAGCCACTGGGATTAGAAAGAGAAATAAAGGTCTTTATTTGCTATACAATTATCTGTGTAGAGAATTTGAGAGGATCTATAAATATATTGGAACTAATAGAAGAGCTTAGCAAGATTGTTGGAATTAAGTTCAAGATGCAAAAACCTAGAGTTTCTGTAATCAGCCATCTCTAATTTTTAAATGTAGTGGAAAAAGATGCTATTCATAATAACAAAAAGTGTTCATTACCTGGGAATAAATGTAACAAAATATGTGCAAGAAAGTTATAAAACTTGAGTTAAGGGCATGAAAAACCTGACTAAATGGTGAAATATGTCATCTTCATGAATGAAAAACCTGAAAGTTGTAAAGATATATATTCTCCTCAAAGTAATCCATGCATTCATTATTCTTTTCTTTTTTTTTTTTTTGAGACGGAGTCTCGCTCTGTTGCCCAGACTGGAGTGCAGTGGCACGATCTCAGCTCACTGCAAGCTCCGCTTCCCGGGTTCAAGCTATTCTACTGCCTCAGCCTCCCGAGTAGCTGGGACTACAGGTGCTCGCCACCACGCCCGGCTAATTTTTTGTATTTTTAGTAGAGACAGGGTTTCACCATGTTAGCCAGGATGGTCTCGATCTCCTGACCTCTTGATCCACCCGCCTCGGCCTCCCAAAGTGCTGGGATTCCAGGCGAGAGCCACAGTGCCCGGCCGCATTCATTATTCTAATTAAAATCTCCAAATGACGTATTTTGTAGAACTTGACAAAACAATAGTAAATATTTTAAAAGTAAAGACCTAAAAATAGGCAAAGAGGTTTTTTTATAGAACAATTCTAATTAAGATAAGTGCTATTCACACAAGACTAAACAAATAGATCAATAGAATAAAGCAGAAAGCCTAGAAATAGACCCCAGCATATATGAATTATTTTAGAGGAAGTATTACAAATAAAGAAGAAAAGGGTGGATCACTCTATTAATGGCAGGGTTACAATCAATTTTGTGGAAGCAGAAAATTTAGATTCAAAGTTTCTACTACACACTATAATAAACTAGGTTATATAAAAAACAAACAGAAATGATTAGAAAAAAATTGAAGGTGAATTTTTTTTATCATAGGGTATATAACATAAAAAACAGAATTAACAAATGAAAAGACTAATAAATTTGAGGATATGGTTAAACACGGCAGATCACATAAGAACACTCATTTAATTTCTGCTTCCCCAAACCTCTCCAGACTGATAGTAAAGCAATAAAAAAATCATAAATAAATCCTACAAGACAAAGAGCAAAGAGTACCTGAAAGGAATTAGCATAAGTCCAGATGTTAGGCAAATTTTGGACTATGGAAAATGGACAGATGGCTGGAAATGGACTCAACAGAGCTGAGAAACTGAAATCTGGTCCTGTGAATTAGGATGCCAGCAAGAAGGACGCTGATTCAAGCCTCAGAATCGGGAAAACCTCGGAATATGGAAGCCCTGGGAACCTCTGAGGACAGGCGGTGGAGCAGAAAACAGATTTGTTGTAAGTCTGGGTAAGGAATAGTTAGAAGTCCAGATAGCGTCCTCTACCCCACACAACCAGGTGAGCATCTCTCTCTCAACCAGACGGAAAACTGAAGTTTATTCTGATTCTTCTTTGAAGTGCTGGGCTCAGAGGAACCAGGTGAAGCAGTGAACAGGGAAGAGGCTGAGTGCTGAAAATAAATGTTTAAATGAAAGCCAACTCGTTGAACACTGAACATCTCCAATCGCCTCACCCTGCAGGGCTCCCAGGACACCGACAATCAGGTTTGTATCCCACAGACAGGAAATTGAAGGATTCCATTCCAGAGAAACTGGCATGCTCATGGAAAAAAAGACCTAAACTCACAGACATTTGAGAGACATTGTCCAGTGCACTTTAGTAACCCATTTGCAGCAACTTCCAATTGGCTACTTAGTACCTCACTCTTTTTTTTTTTTTGAGATGGAATCTCACTCTGTCACCCAGGCTGGAGTGCAGTGGCACCATGTCAGCTCACTGCAACCTCTGTCTCCTGGGTTCAATCAATTCTCCTGCCTCACCCTCCCAAGTAGCTGGGATTACAGGTGCCCACCACCACACCCGGCTAATTTTTGTATTTTTTAGTAGAGACGGGGTTTCCCCATGTTGGCCAGGCTGGTTTCAGTGTCCTGACCTCGTGATCCGCCTGCCTCGGTATCCCAAAGTGCTGGGATTACAGGCGTGAGCCACCTCACCCGGCCTACCTCACTCTTAAATATGAGCATCACATTAAGGAAAGAGAGATTATAACAAACAACAGAAACACACACACACACACACACACACACACACACACACACACACACAGAAGAGAGGTTGGGTAGGAAATGGAAGAAAACTTGGAGAAAACTACAATTACAGTTCTCAGTGAGATAAGAGAAGATATTGTATCCATGGAACAAGAAAATCAGGCTTTAAAAAGGCACTTTCAGAGAACAGAAAAGAACGCTTGTGTATGAAAAGTATGATGGCAGAAATTTACAAAAATTCAACTCAAGAAATGCAAGATAAGGTTTAGAAAAATCAACTGGGCACGGTGGTTCATGCCTGTAATCCCAGCCCTTTGGGAGGCTGAGAAGAAGGAGCCTAGGAGTTCAAGACCAGCCTGGGCAACAGGGCGAAACCCTGTCTCTATGAAAAATACAAAAATTAGCTGAGCATGGTGGCACACGCCTGTAGTCCCAGCCCTAGGGAGGCTGAGGTGGGAGGATAGCTTAAGCCCAGGAGGTGGAGGCCGCAGTGAGCCATGATTGTGCCACTGCACCCCAGCTTGGGAAACAGAGGTAGATCTTGTCCTGAAAAAAAAAAAAAAAGTTCAGAAAAATCTTACAGAAAAATGAAGAAGAAGGCAAGCTGGAATAGAAAAGATAAAAGATAAAAACACTGCATAATTACACCTGAGTGTACATAAAAAAGAGGACAGAAAAAAAATAGTAAGAAGAAAATTATCAAAGGAAATAATAAAAGAAGACTTTTGAAAACTAAAGGATACAAGTTTCCAGATCCAAAGGGCCCAATGGGCCAATACAGTGAATGAAAACATATTTCATTCTGAAATTATCAAGTTCCAAGGTTATATGCTTCACCTGAAGGGGGAATAATACTTTGGAGTGAAAATTAGAAACCAAGAAGGAGGACAAAAATCAGGAAACAGAGAATGCAAACCCAGGATAGAGGTGAAAGAGTCCCATAATGGTAAAAGAAAATCCCAGGACAATAGCTGTATGGCTCATTAAGAAACAACCATTAGAGACGGCAGCAGTGGATGCCAGGAGGAATGTTTTAAGGAAAAGTGAGGTAGACAGATTATTCAATGTATTCTTGGCAAAAGCACTTGCAATAAGTACACAGAAAATAAGCAAATGTAAGATTGAGGTCATTATAATTTAAAAAAATTTGTACAAGAAAGGAAAAGTAATCATTGGATACCATATAGTTCAACTGTAAGAAAAATTTACCACAATCGTAAGAATGTAAATATTGCACATTGATTTTTACCAAAACAAAGATGATGTAATTAGATTCAGAGGATAGCAGGCAAGACCATGTTAGTAGGATGATGCTGGGGAGGAGAGCCAAACCTTCGTTTTCTTCAGCAAGAAATCATAGATAATGTCTACTATTGAAAATGTAATAAATAGCAGAATTAGTATGTTGTTTAGGCTCGTGGAAATAAATGCCTAAAAGAACAGTAAGGCTGGGCACGGTGGCTTGCTCCTATAATCCCAGTATTTTGGGAGGCTGAGGCAGGCAGACCGCTTGAGCCCAGGAGTTTGAGGCCAGCCTGGAAAACATGCTGAAACCTCATCTCTACAAAAAGTCTAAAAAATTAACCAGGTGTGGTGGTGCACACCTGTAGTCCCAGCTACTCAGTAGGTGAGGTGGGAGGGTCACCTGAGCCTGGGAGGTCGAAGCTACAGTGAGTCATGTTTGCACCACTGCACTGCAGCCTGAGTGACTGAGTGAGACCCTGTCTCAAAAAAAAAAAAAAAAAGTTCATTTATTCTTTGATTCACTCACTGAACAAATATTTACTGAGTTTCTACCACATGCCAGGGCCTGTTCTAGATGTTGTGAACAAGATACATTTTGATGGAGGGAGGCAGATATACACATTAGTTAACACATGAATATATAATGTCAGGCAGTGGTAAGCGCTATAAAAAAATTTAAAAAAAGAGTAAAGGAATAGGGAGAAACAGGGTAGTCTTTTCTGAAGAAGGTTTTCAACAGAGACATGAATAAAGTCAAGGAACAAGCAGTGAGACTACATGAAGGAAAAGCCTTCCAGAAGGCAAGACAGCAAGTGCATATTAAATAAATAGCAACGAGCCCAGGGGGACTTGGGGAGGAGTGAGAGCCAGTGGCCAGATCCGCCATCCAGAGGCTTCTAGCCGTGGTAAGTACTGCGGGGCTTGTTCTAAGATGGAAGGTCATTGGAAGAGTTTGAGGCAGGAAAAAAAAAAGCACTGTGTCTACCTTGTCTAGAATAGGGGCGAGATTGCCAGAGGCAGAAACAGGAGGTGATTGCCCCCTCCCAGGTGACAGGTGCTGTTGTGGGCTAGGGCAGCGGTGCTTGGGAGCTGAGAGAGCATTTAATTCTAGGACATGGAGATTCACTGATGGCTTAGATGAGGACTGTGAGAAAAAGAGAGGAATCAAGAGTGTCTCCTGTTATGGTCTGAATAATGGAGTGAATGGGAGTGCTATTGAATAGAACGGGCACCCCTGAGGGGGACGGACATTTGCAGGGAGGGGTGGAAATCATATTAGACATATTTCAGGCATGTTAAGATGTTAAGAGGGGAGGGAGTGTCATATGCAAATCTGGTGTTCAGAAAAGGGATCCAGGCTTGAGATGCACATTTGCAAATCCTCAGTTTTTAGATAGGATTTAAAACCAGGAATGAGTTACCTGAGGGAGTGCAGACAGAAAAGAGCGGAGATGTGGGAGCTAACACCCCAATATTTACAGCCCAGAAAAGGAGGCTGAGAAGGAGCTGAGAGCCATTGCTCAGGGGAAGAGGCAGTTGAAGGAAGGGGTGGTGTGGAGGACTCCTGCTTTTGTTAAAAGTCATATAGTATTATTTAACTTTTCAAACAATACAGCTTGTGATAGATTGGGTTATTGTTACCCGATTCACTTCCTCTTTTAATGGAATTCCTTGCAGCACTCTAAGTAGGCGGACTTGACCATGTGGTTTGCCTTGAGCAGTGCAACGTGGCCAGAGGTGACGGCGTGCCTGTCCATGGGGGAGGCTTAAAGAGGCGTCACATGTTTGCTTTTGCCTTGAACACCTGCCCTTTGCTATGATAACAGCATTCCCCCATGCAGTGGGTTGAGCAGTGCCCCCTGACAATATGTTCATCCAAACATATAGGACCTTATTTGGAAATAGGGTCTTTGTATATATAGTTAAGGATCTCAATATGAAGTCATACTGGATTGTCCAGGTGGGCCTGAAATCCAACCATAAGTGGCCTTATAAGAAAAAGAC
Organism: Homo sapiens; assembly: GCF_000001405.40. Taxonomy (NCBI): domain Eukaryota; kingdom Metazoa; phylum Chordata; class Mammalia; order Primates; family Hominidae; genus Homo; species Homo sapiens. The sequence continues at coordinate 134,770,591 of NC_000007.14, read as the reverse complement.
AGGGAGATTTGAGATACACAAGACACGGAGGAGAAGAGGGGGTGAATACAGAGGCAGGGATGGAAGCGACACACCTACAAGCCAAGGAATGCTGAGGCTTGCCAGTGACCCCTAGAAGCTGGAAGGGAGGCGTGGGGTGCAGTCTCCCTCAGGGCCCCAGAAAAAGCCAACGACCCTGTTGACACCTTGATTTTGTACTCCTGGCCTCCAGAACTGTGAGAGAAGAAATGTGCATTGCTCTAAGTCACCCAGTTTGTGGTAATTTGTAATAGCAGCACAGGAAACGAATCCTCCCCAGATAGTGGCTGCTCTGCAGTTTGGTTTCCAGAATAAGAAGACACATGGAGCGGGGCTGGGCCGGTGAGTCCAGTCAACACCAGCAGAGCTACTATTTCCCAGGCCTCATGTGACGGGAGCAAGAAACAAATGTTTGCTGTTGTAAGCCACTAAGGTTTGAGAGCATTTTTTCTTTTTACAAAGAGAAAGGTAATTAATATTTATAAATATTAAGTGAGAGTTAAACTAAAGAAAAAAATTTGGTTACATCAAGAAATAAAAATTTCTGTTCAAAAAAAGCCACCATCTACAAAGGGAAAAGAGAAGCCAAGAGAACATTTTCAATGTTTAAAACACAGAATTAGAATCTAGACTATTGGCAGAACATGGTGGCTCCCACCTGCAATCCCAGTACTTTGGGAGGCCGAGGCAGGAGGATCACCTGAGGTCAGGAGTTCAAGACCAGCCTGGCCAAAATGGTGAAACGCTGTCTCTACTAAAAATACAAAAATTAGCTAGGCATGTTGGCGCATGCCTGTAATCCCAGCTACTCAAGAGGTTGAGGCAGGAGAATTGCTTGAACCCGGGAGGCGGAGGTTGCAGGGAGCCAAGATCACACCACTGCACTCTGCACTCTAGTCTGGGCAACACAGCAAGACTCCATCTTAAAAAAAAAATCTAGACTATCAAGGAATGCCTACAAATCAACTGACACAGAGAGAGAGAGTGTGTGTATAAGAGAAAACCCAATAAAAAATAGGCATAGGATAAACAGTCCACTTAGAGAACACTGCAAAGGTCAAAAGCCTTGAAATGATGTTCAATTTCATTAGTCATCAGAAAAATGCAAGTTAAAACAATGACAACCAGATTGGTAAAGAAAAAAAAAGTTTAATCACGCAAAACTAAACGTTGTTGATGATGTACAAATTCTTATACATTTTGGATAGGAAAGTAGATTGGTGCATTCACTTTGTTGAGTGATTTGACAATATCTAGTGACTTTCAGTATGCACATCTATATTCTGTAATCCCATTTCTAGGTATATCCTCTTGGGACGCCCTCACACTCTTAAGCCAAGAGACATGTCAAAGGAAGCTCATTCGAGCATTGTTTGCAGTAGTAAAAACATTGTTAAAAATGCTGCAATAGCAATTGACAGGGGAGAGGCTACAGAAACCATGATATATAACATAATAGCTAAATATCTAATTATATAAATATATGTATAATTATAAAAATATATAATAGCTAATACCATATTATATATGGAATAGGATGGGGTATTATACATAATAGCTAAAATGAATGACCTAGATGTACCTGAAACTCAGAAGCATATTGAGTGGGAAAAAAGAAGCAGGTTGCAATTGGAATTATTCCATTTGTATGAATCATTTAAGAATGCATATGAGAATGGACTAGAACCACATCAAATTTAAGATAGTTGTTGGCCATGAGGGAGAGAGGGGAATGGTACTGCTCTTGAAATTAAGAAATTTAAAATATATCAGCAATGCATAAAAGAGGATCTTAAGCAATTATGAAAAAAAATTACATCTGTTAACACTGCAGAGTATGTACACAGCTGTTTGTTGTGTTATTCTTAAGCTTTTTGTTGTTTTGTTTTTTTTAAAAAATTGCAATATAAATGAGACATTCTCCCCCCAGAGAACTAGCAATCTGGTCCTCTAGATTACTTCTCCGATGTTCCTATGACATCGGGAAAAGCCACTGTGCTTCTTTGTCCTCAGGCCAACAGAGTAGCTCACTTGGGGCCAGCCCAACTAGCAGGAGAATGGACCTGCCCTGACTGTGAGGTCCTCAGCTTAGTCACACATTTGTACAAAGGCTTTGACACCATAACATCAATAGTCACTCTTTAAGGAGTAATAACTTAAGCCACAGCCTGCTTAGCACCTGCTCAGCACTTGGTGCCACCTGTTTTATCAGTAGGGTGCAGATGAAATGAGAGCCTGCACTGACCCACTTTGATGGGGCCAGTCTCCTGGAGCGGCAGGTGGAAGAAGAAGGGCACTGATGGTCCGGAATAAGGCTGAGGACCTGACAAAATGAAAGAGGACATGATCAGAGAAGACCCAGTGTAGATGAAGGAGCTCCTGAGATAAATGGTACTGTTTCTCACTTCCATGGAACAGGACTGGCCATCCCCTCAGCCTTCCTATAGGAAGTCTCTGTCTCCTTATTTCCTGAGCTATAGAGGATGACTGGATGTCTCCATGTTCCACCCTTCCCAGTCCACCCATATTCATTGCTGTTGGATTTGCTCTAAGCTTAGAGAAAGCAAAAAGTTTCCAGAAATTTCTCCCAGTCTCCAATGGGTATCTGAGTCATGCAAAGCTGTGGCTAGAGTTTTCTCAGCTATTCATTTGTTTATTCATTCATTTATTCACTCAACATCTGAGCATCTGTTACCTGCAAGGCTTAGTGTTAGGTTCTGTCCTTGTTCTAATCTTGTCACTGTCACTTTCATATAATCAGAAACACGGTGTGTGCCTCTAGAGAACTGCTGTTCTAATGGGGAAGCTCTGACAGGCACCAGAGATGGACTCCAGGATGGCAAGTCCTGAGAGAGACCATTTGGCTCTGCACGTCTGCACGTGCTTACCCAGCCATGCACGTTTCCTCTTCCCGTTCATGCTCAAGGAAGCCTGTCTGAAATCCAACCAAGACTGTTTGGTGAGGCCTGGCCTCCCCTCCTAACCAGAAAACACACACTTCACTCATTTCAGAAAAATAAAAATAAAAAAGCCAATCTTATAATTGGCTTTGCATTGCAGGCATACTTGTGAGGGGCGCAAATAAGAAAACATTTAAAATATTTGATCTATTTTGGGTGAGGTTCTGTAGCTTTGGCCTAGCCGACTGTCATCTGAGAGGCAAGAAGCTAGAGATTTCTCTTGGGGGATAGACTATTTTTAAGATCGGAAAAATATTTTTAAAGAGATTGCTGCGTCTGGCGATAACTGGGGAGAAATGGCTGTTTGGACTAAGCAAACTGTGTGATATAGATGCGTCTAACCACTGATCAAGCTCTGCTGAGGTTTGATGGATTTATGTCACACACGCACACACACACACACACACACACACACACAGAGACAGAGAGAGAGAGAGTGTGTGTACACGAGGGAGAACTGAAATATCTTTGCAGCTTCGCGGTCTGGTCCCTTTCTGAACCCTCACTGGGCCTTTCAGCTTCATTTCACCTCACGCTGCTTCCTGCTCTTTCGTCTCTCTGTTGGTCCCTCCTCTCTGTCTGTAAACATGTCCAAGGGTTGGGGTGAAAATACCTTTGACTGACTCTTGTTTCTTTTAGCTCCAGTCTTCTCTTTCCTCTTAGTGTCAAATTTCTCCAAATGATTAGTTTATGAAGCAGCCCCTCCCCATTCTTTGTCCATGACCTCAGCTCTTGATCCATGGCCATTTTGTCTTCAGCCTCCCTTCCTCCCTCCCTGTCTGCCCGCCACGATCCCTAACTCCTCTTGCTTCTCTCTTCGTCTTTGGTGGCTCCTGACGCCAGTGTCTAGCCTATCGTCCTATCTCTCTGGCCTCTTGACATTTTCTTCTTGTGCTTTCTTTTCCCTAAACATGGGCATCCTCCCAGGTCCAGGCTTGATCTCTCCCCTAGAAACCAATAATACCTACTTCACAGGACAGAAGTAAGAATTAAATGAAATAAAATGCATATGAAGCTGCTTTGCGAACTAACTGCTCATCTACTTACACACAATAAACATTTATGAAGTAGCTTCTCTGTACTAAAACTTTTCTCAGTCCTGATGTATTAGGCCATTCTAGCATTGCTAAAAACACCTGAGACTGGGCAATTTATAAAGAAAAGAGGAGGCCGGGTGCGGTGGCTCATGCCTGTAATCCCAGCACTTTGGGAGGCTGAGGCAGGTGGATCACCCGAGGTCAGGAGTTCGAGACTAGCCTGGCCAACATGGTGAAACTGCATCTCTACTAAAAGTACAAGAATTAGCCGGGTGTGGTGGCCTGTAGTCCCAGCTACATGGGAGGCTGAGGCAGGAGAATCGGTTGAACCCAGGAGGCAGAGGTTGCAGTGAGCCAAGATCGTGCCACTACACTCCAGCCTGGGTGACAGAGTGAGACTCCCTCTCAAAAAAAAAAAAAAAAAAAAAAAAAAAAGAAAAGAAAAGAGGTTTAAGGGGCTCATGGTTCTGCAGGCTTTATAGGAAGCATGGTACCAGCACCTGCCCACCTTCTGGTGAAGCCTCAGGAATCTTTCAATCACGATGGAAGGCAAAGCAGGAGCAGGTGCTTCACATGGTGAAAACAGGAGCTAGCTAGAGAGAGAGAGAGAAAGAGAGAGAGAGAGAGGTGCCATACACTTTTAAACAGCCAGATATTGTGAGAACTCACTCACTATCCTGAGGACAGCACTAAGAAGATGGTGCTAAATCATTCATGAGAAATCCATCCCCATGATCCAATCACTTTTCAGGGCAGCACCAAGAAGATGGTGCTAAACCATTCATGAGAAATCCATCACCACGATCCAATCACCTTTGAGGGCAGCACCAAGAAGATGGTGCTAAACCATTCATGAGAAATCCATCCCCATGATCCGATCACCTCCTACCAGGCCCCACCTCCAATACTGCAGATTACAATTCAACATGAGATTTGGGTGGGGACAAATATTCAAACGATATCACCTGGGAATACATTGATAACTGTATGAGACACTGTACCTGCCCTTCTCATAAAAGGGGTTTGCCTTTTGCTGGCAGATGTACATGGAATCGCATAAGTGCAGTAGTGGGGCAGGTGTCCCACAAAAATTCTGTGCAGTGGGGATTATGTCAGGCAATCAAGGAGGAAGAGGTCATTCCTATCTTACTAGGGTTTTAAAAAAAACTCATTTGTTCTCATGTTGTTAACAATTAGCTCTTGTGATAACAAATAATATGCATATTTATACCCTGAACTTTTCTTTCTTTTTTTTTTTTTTCCGAGACGGAGTCTTGCTCTGTCATCCAGGCTGGAGTACAGTGGCACAATCTCAGCTCACTGCAACCTCTGCCCCCGGGCTTAAGCAATTATCCTGCTTCAGCCTCCAGAGTAACTGGGATTACAGGCGTGCACCACCACACTCGGCTAATTTTTGTATTTTTAGTAGAGACAGGGTTTCACCATGTTGGCCAGGCTGCTCTCAAACTCCTGACCTCATGATCCACCCACCTCAGCCTTCCAAAATACTGGGATCAGAGGCGTGAGCCACCGCGCCCAGCCTGAACTTTGTTTTCATTGCAAATTAATGCACTTACTCAGACACCTTCAATATCATCTTACTACCAATAAGATAAAGTTAAGGCTTGGCTGAGCATTTTAGGGGAATCAATAATCATCCCTCTGCTTGCTTTTCCTACAATTCCCTGCACAAACTTCTACTTTCTCCCTCTCTTACCTCCTTGGCACCAGCCCCACATCACGTAGTGCACCTCCTGCCTCAGTGACTTCAGTCTTGGTGCTTCTCCCGCTTCACATTTGCCCACTCTGGCTCCAGACCCACATGAAAGCTGCCTCTAAAATCCCAGCACCCAGCTCACACCCTTTCTCGGACAACTTACAATCCAAGAAGTGAGGTCAGACTCTCATTTTCTCTTTATCATTTACTGACTTGAATTCTTTGATTTGATTGTATTTAAGTATATCCATCCTGTTTCCCTAACTAGATTAACAACTAATTAATTAATAGTTGAGTGATAGCTAATGAATAACTAATTAATCAATGAATAATTGACAAATATTTCTTGAGTGCCTGTTATGTGTTACTCTATTAAGCCCTAATGCCATTGTGGTGAACAAGGCAAACACAATTTTAAAAAATCAAGTCTATATCATAAAATCATCAGTCATATATCATCCCTACCTATATTTCTCTTTTTTTCTCTTTTTCTCTACTCCCTTTCTGAGCCAGAATTTAAAAATGCAAACAAAATATGAAGGTACCTTGACAAAATTATTTATATTCAACTTGTACACAAACCCAGAACCAAATCTGAGAATGCAAGTTGGTGCCTGGGGAACGGTGAGTGTGGATTTGGGTCCAGGCCAGGAGCCCTGGAGTCTGGTTGTTTGTTGCTACCCTAATTAAGAGGTGCAGGTGTCTGGAAAGGGGAGCTAATGATACAGTCCTCCCACATGCCCAGGAATGCCAGGCATACCACACACAGAACTACCCTTGTATGGACTTTGGGGACACTTTGTTACATGTATCTTCTGGAAGGCAGAGAAGTAGTAGCCATAATAATAACAAACACCTAAGTATGGCTAAGGGCTGATTTAGAAACTAGAATGCCAATTAGCTAAGTTAAAGTGGGAAATACTTTTTTTTTTTTTTTTTTTTGAGATGGAGTCTCGCCCTGTCACCCAGGCTGGAGTGCAATGGCACGATCTCGGCTCACTGCAAACTCTGCCTCCTGGGTTCCAACAATTCTCATGCCTCAGCCTCCTGAGTAGCTGGGATTACAGGTGCCTGCCACCACATCCAGCTAATTTTTGTATTTTTAGTAGAGACGGGGTTTCACCATGTTAGCCAGGCTGGTCTCAAACTCCTGACCTCGTGATCCACCCGCCTTAGCCTCCCAAAGTGCTGGGATTACAGACGTGAGCCATTGCGCCCAGCTAGTGGGAAATATATTCTGAGAGGGAAAACTCAGGTGGCCATTTATAACAAGTCTTCTCTCCAGTGGACAGCCCCTCTCAGGACACAGAGAAAGAGGTGTTAGGGAAAGTTCTGACCGAGAACCCAAGAGGCTGGCCAGTCTGGAGAGATGGCTCCAGCAATCTGTGGTGGCTGATAAATTGCCCCTCTTTAGGGATATTTCTGTCTGAAAAACTAAGCCCCATTGCTTGAAGAACTTCTTCTCCCTAAAATAATACCAGAGGATTACTCATATGTTCTTTTTGCTCAAACTCCAAAACACTTGCCTTCTCTTTGCCTGCCATTTACACTGCCTTCTTTCAAGTAATGGAACTCATGTTTATGTATTATGCTTAGTTGAATATTTCCTGATGTTTTATAGGAATCTATCTCCTTAGAAAGACTATCTCTAAATCTCAAAATCACTTTGTTGAATAGTTAATTTCTGGGAAGTTTTTATTTAAGTAGACTATTTACAATATGTGACTCTAGATAGATAGACTGAGAGATCGATTAGATAGACAGACAGATAAATAGTTAGATTAGATAGATAAATAGATAATAGGTAGATAGAGGTATAGATAGATAGAGATATGGTCCTAGATCTAGATCTAGATCTAATTGAGCAAGTACTCATTTCTGTATCCCAGCATCTGGTATAATATCACACAAAATGTTATGGGATGAATGAATTTTAGAGCATTTTAACTTCCTGATCTCATTTCCAAATTGTGGGATTCTTCTTACTTTCAGAACCCTATATAATTTGGATCTGTGTCCTGGCTCAAATCTCATGTCCAGTTGTAATCCCCAATGTTGGAGGTGGGGCCTGGTGGGAGGTGATTGGATCATGGGTGTGGATGTCCCCCTTGGTGCTGTTCTCGTGATAGTGAGTGAGTGCTCTCGAGATCTGTTTGTTTAAAAGTGTGTGGCATCTCCCTGCTGTCTGTCTCCCTCCTCCTCCAGCCATGTAAGATGGGGTTGCTTCCCCTTTGCCTTCCACCAGGATTGTAAGTTTCCTGAAACCTCCCCAGAAGCCATGCAGATGTCAGCATCATGCTTCCTGTACAGCCAGTGAAACCGTGAGCCAATTAAACCTCTTTTCTTTATAAATTACCTAGTCTCTGGTATTTCTTTATAGTAATGTGAGAATGGACTAATACAGAACCCTTAGCTAGGAGGGCTTTTAGCAACTCTCCCAATCCAGAACTCTAACACTCCTCCCCTCCCATGGAGAAAACCCATGCTCGAGACTGCCCAAGTTCAAAGAGACCATTCTACATTATCTAGGCACTAGAGCCTAGAGCCATAGAATATATCTATTTAGGGCCAGATGCTCCCTTTACCAGGCTGGAGTGGCAAGGAGAGCTGGGACTACACTCACTTAGAAGAGAACCTGGCCATTTCTATTTTCTGCTTCCTCTTCATTTTGCTGGCTGGTGGGCTTTGGACCAGCCTTCTTCCTCAATGCAGTAATAAGGTCCAAGATTCAACCGAAGATTCAACTGTAGTCCAACTAAGATCAGTTGGAAGATACCCTGCATTTGGAGGCCAAGGCTCCAGCCAATAGGAAAAGTGCTCTTTCGTCCAGTACTGGCCTCTGTACATATTTCTTCCCTTGGGAAACTCACAGAGAAGGTTGCCTGATGGTAGGGAGCCAAACTGGGGGTTCCCAGGTCCGTTCCTGCTAAATACTACCCTTTTAAGATGGTTTATAAGCTGCAAAGACCTGATTGCAAATATTTCAAAAATAATAATAATAATACAAATAATGGTAAATGTCTATTGGCATTTTTCATCCAACGGGTTGTGCCACCCATACTATCATCACTTTTCTTTTCTATATCCCCATGAAGTTAATTGGCAAATGTTATAATGTTCACTTACAAGAAGCAAAGACAAGTTTAGAACCTGACCTCAGGACACAGGAAGAGTTCTAACACAGAAAGAGTGCAGATTACAAGTTAAGCAACTTGAGAAAGTCACTTAATCTCTCTGAGTTTTAGTTTTCTCACTTGTAAAGTAGCTGCCTCACAAGAGTTGATATGAAGATCAAAGAGATTAAGAAATGTGAACATGCTTTGTAAACTAAGAAGTAGTTAGCTATGTTATCAGCACAAAACTGAGATAAAACTCAAGTAACCTCCTGACTGCCAGTTTTATTTTTTTTAACTTTAAATTAATCGACTGCAAATTTTCCTTCTACGAGACCTTGAATCTCAGTAGATTATGGAGCAGTGGTTTCAGCAGCAGCCGCAGAACTTTTTCTGATACTTGTCATTCCAAAGAAATTGGTGAAATTCCACTGCGCGCAGAGAGGAAAACACTAAAGTTTTTTTCTTAAATGTCAGAACAGGATATCATTTGGAAAACTGGGTTGGAGCAGGGGGTTGGGGTTAGGGAGAAGTAAAAATAAAACTTCACGCAGAGCCAATTTTAGATGAAACTGTGGAGAAGGTAAAATTTGTTTTCAGAATTCTGTTTTTCTCACTTCTTATGTCCTAATGATTTATCTCTGACTGGTCACATGATACCCACCTTTCTTGGCATCATTTGTCTAGCATTTCTCCTTTTCACCGTTCGCTGTTAAGCCTGACTATCCCCAGACCTGTTCTCTAAGAGGCCTCCTCTAAACTAGAACAACTAACGAAGCAGTACTGAGTTGCTAGTGCTCAACAACGTTTACTGTTTTGATCTGTCTGAAAAGACAGGGTACCTACATAATAATTCCGCACATATACCTCTAAACCTAAAACAAAAGTTAAAAAAGGAAGAAAGAAGAAAAAAAATTTGCATTCTGGAACTTTGTTCTTTTGTTTCGTTTTGTTTTATTATTTTTATAACATCCTCTTATCTTCTCCCCACTGTAGGCGACCATCCTATTCTATTTCCTGTGTATTTTCTATATTGCATGTCTTCTTCCAAAGTTGTAAGTATTACTTCATATGCATACATCTTTAATTTATGTAAATGCACTGTTTTATATATCATCCTTTTATTTTTCTCTCTAAATTCTATGTTTTTCAGACCAAAAACAAAAACACCATTTGCCCAAATAAAATCTTTCAATTCTTTAAACTCAAGAGAGATACTGTAATAGGAAAAACTTCAGTCAGTGTGCAAGTTATGATATAAAATATTTTGGAATCAAGGGACAGGGTCCTCTTAGCATCCTTCAATTTTCTGTCTCTCTTCTGCCTCTAATTTGTCACATATTCCAATACTATTACTTTGCTTAGGTTGTCATCATTGCTTATGTGATTTTATGCAATAAGCAGGTCTCCCTGCCTGCTCTGCCTCTCCATCCCCAAACCCCACCCTCAATCCATTCTTCTGCAGCTAGAACTGTGCAAGCGGGGTTATGCTACCTCCCTATTGAAAACTCACATTTGATTTCCTACCACACTCAGGGTACAATCCTATAAGTCCCTCTGTAATCTTGCCCTTCTATCTCTCAGACTTCATCTCCTACTGCTCCTGTGCTCTCTCCCTTTGCTCTAGCCAGAGTAGCCTCTGGTTGTTCCTGCAACACACTGAGCACCTGGCGATCCAGCCCTCCATCTTCTTTCCTCTGCCCAAACTTTCCCCTGCACATATCTTCATAATTTCTTCCTGCACTTCCTTAGATCTCTGCTGAATGCCACCACATCAAGGAGACCTCATTGACCCTATGTGAAAAGAGAATGAGAATGAGAACCATCCTGCCACATTGCTTATCGCCCACCTTGAGTTATTTTTCTTCTTGGCATTTATTGCCGCTTGACATACTGTATATTCAATTTGATTACTTGTTCATTGACTTTCCTCCACCCTTCATGAGAATGGAAGCTCCTTGAGGGCTCATTCTTTGTCTGTTTTATTTGTTGCTTTATCCCCAGCACTAGTTCTTGGCACATGGTAGGATGAATGGTTCATGGATAAAGGTTAGTCATCTACAAATAACTTAAAAGGCCAGCCCTTAATAATTTAGCTCCTAGCCCTCTGTCCAGGGGCATCTTGGACATCCCTCGCGAATCTGCCTTCACCCCTGCACACACATGCGCACATTCACTCTCCACTCTAGCCAGATTAAACTGTTTTTCATTGTCCTGAATGTGCCTTGCTGCCTCTTGTCCTCAGGTTTTCACACATGCTGTTCTCTCTGCCTTGAGCACTGTTCCTCCGTATCTGTGTCCAGCTAGCTCCCCTCTGGCCTTCTAGGTAACCTTTATGACTGCCCAAGTCTGAGTTAAGAGCCCTCCTAGCCCCCACACAGTGAACTTCCAATGTAATTGTGCTCATTCTCCCCTATTGCAATCACCTTGTGACTTTTCAGTCTCTACCTTGCACTTAGACTTTTGAAGACAGAGACAGATCTATTTTTTTCTCATGAACTCTGCAGTGCCCAGAAGAGAGCATCAGTAAATATTTGTGGAATGATTGGTCTCTTACTAGTATATTCTAGACTCTAGTTTGCTAGAGGGCATTGCCTGTAGGTTTAACTTGTTCTGAGTAGCTCTTTATAAACGTGATGGTCATGCATTTTGGGGCTGAAGTCTATATGGGGTCACAGTACACTAACTAGAAAGATCCACAGACTCTCCAAGGTGTTATTTTTACCTTTAGAAATAGCCACAGGGGAATAAATGCCTAATAATTGGCCTGTAGGAATTTTTAAACAACCTTGATTTGGAGAATTGCCATGTGCCAGGATTTCCATCAGCATAAAGGGGCCTAGGGCTGGGAAGGAAGGGTACAGATGTGGGTGCTGAGCTGAGTGACAGGTGTCTGCCTAGATCCTCTGAGCTATTCTCAGTGTATGTTCCCAGGAAGAGACTGTCAAGCCCTGTGTACATGCAGTTGTCTCACATGTTACTATGAGAATAGCAATAAGGGGAGTCTCCTTCCCAGCATCCCTTTGAGGAATAATAAGTAAATGTTACTTAAAAAATAAAACTGTTTCACAAAGTAAAACAGACTTTGGAGTAAAGAAACAGCCAGCCAGAATTCCACAGGGAGCTGGAAACTGTTCCACATTTTAACCATTCCCATCTGTCTAATGGGTGGCAATTAGTAACTTCTCCACTGCTGTGTTCTTGGAAACACACACACACACACACACACACACACACACACACACCCCAATGGGAGCTGCAGATATTTAAAAGAAAGGAGAGCTAACTTCACATGCTTATATCCCAAATGACCAGTTCACTTAAAGTTTAAATGTACATGAATTTTTCATTCATTTGCTAGTAATATGATTAATATGGTTGATTATATATGTTATAAATGTGTGTGCCTATATATTTATAAATGAAATATACTAGAGTCAACAGGCAGTCATCCCAGTTCTAAAATGAGATGGTTCAACAAGAAAGTCCCTAAAGTGTTTTCAGTTCTAACAATCCATAAGTCTTGGAGTTTTGACTTTAGCTTTGCATCATCTCACACAGGCTTTAGGAAAGAAGCATAGAGTTGCACACAACAGTCTGAATCAGCTAGCATCACCCGCACACTCAGCATGTGGAATGTACTTGTAGAAAGTTTCTGGGTGGGCCCACGTAAACTGTGTTTGCTATACTGAACAGAGTCCCTGTGCTCAGCTGGTTACAAGTTTGACTCAAGGTACGAGCCTTGCATTGTCATCAAATAGATGCCTGTGCAGAATCAATAATACCTGTGTGGATAAGCAAGCCATCCTCCTGTAGAGCCATTCTGAAAGTTTTGCTGGACTCCTTTTTTTTTTTATTTTTATTTTTTTAGACGGAGTCTAGCTTTGTCGCCCAGGCTGGAGTGCAGTGGTGTGATCTCTGCTCACTGCAACCTCTGCCTCCCGGGTTCAAGCAATTCTCCTGCCTCAGCCTCCCGAGTAGCTGGGATCACAGGCGCGCACCACCATGCCCGGCTAATTTTTGTATTTTTAGTAGAGACAGGGTTTCACCATGTTGGCCAGGCTGGTCTTGAATTCCTGATCTCGTGAACCACTCACCTCGGCCTCCCAAAGTGCTGGGATTACAGGCATGAGCCACTGCACCTGGCCTCCATATTTTTAAAATAGTCATACAGGAGACCATTTGAACTCTTGTAAGACAAACCCTGATAAGAACTCAGGCCTGGAAACTGCTAGAAGTCTCCAGGCTAATTACATGAGTAACGTTTGCAGTCTGTGGAATGAGGTCTTCAAGGAACACAGACCTGCAAATTGTAAGCATCAACAAGCGAACATACAGGATAGATAGTAGGATCTATCTATAGGCAGAGCCAGGAGGATCTTTTTGGATAGAGAAACGTAGAGAATGGAAGTGGGAGGTGGAAGGAGAACAGTACTGTGCACTGCACAACTCCAGGGGTCGTCATTCACATTCTAGTCTACGTAGGCTGTGCTCTCCAGAGAGAAGGAAGAGTAAAGTAAGTGCAGTTTTCATTCAGTTGCACCATATGGAAAGCCAATATGGAGAATAATGTTTATGCTTCAGGGGTTTATTTGATAGCCAATAACTAAACAACTAAGTGTCTCAGGCTTAAAAAAAAAGCCCAAGAAAAAAACTAAATTGACTCAAAATTTTCTGGCAAAGAAAGCAATTCATGCCAAGTTCTAATACCATATGCCTTAAAACAGCAAGAGCAAAACAGCTACTCTGAATGAAGCAAATCAGTAAAGTGCCTAGAAAAATGAGCGTAAGTGGCGGTTTTCAAGTTACGCATAGCGCTACTTTCAGTCATTCTGCATATATTTATTCACTGACTACTATTTGTCAAACTGTGCTATTGGATGGCATTTAAGGTTCCTACGGGCCCATGGAAAAGCTCATATTTATATTTTTGAACTCTTGTTCTAAATTATCAGTTTACTTAAAAGATATATGAATTAATTTTATTAATACACTATGAATCAAGTTATGAGTTTCAAGTCATAATAATATTCAGGAAGAAATAAAATCAAGTTGGCTGCTTCACTGGACACCAAGATCTGATCTAAGAATCATGCAGGTCCTCAATGTGGGAGCTTTAAAAGATAACAAAAGGGTTATTTAGACTGAGCCTCCTGTCAGAAGTGAGAACTCCATATAATTTATAATACATAGTTTATTATAACATCAAGTTATATACTATGAATTAAACTTAATATAGAGTAGATTTTTATTTAAACCCAAACTCTCACTAATAGATCATGATAACCCATGACTACTGTAGCTAAATGAATAATTTCTCCAAATATAATTTTAATCATAAGAACAGAATTCAGAGCCTCAAAATGGACCTACAAATATAGGAAAAAAATGCCATATGATAGAGATAGTATTTAATTTTTGAATTTTTTAGTTTTAGGTTTTTTTTAATTTTTAGTTTTTTTTTTTTTTTTTTTGAGACAAAGTCTCACTCTCGTTCCCCAGGCTGGAATGCAATGGTGCGATTTAGGCTCACTGAAACCTCCGCCTCCCAGGTTCAAGCAATTCTTCTGCCTCTCACCTGTAATCCCAGCACTTTGGGAGGCCGTGGCGGGTGGATCACCTGAGGTCAGGAGTTCAAGACGAGTCTGGCCAACATAGTGAAACCCTGTCTTTACTAAAAATACACAAATTAGCAGGGCATGGTGGTAGAGGTAGTATTTTAGTTAAGGGATGTCTTTTGGATGTCTATTCAATAATTTGTTGGTATTATTGGTTATCCATTTGGACAAAGATAATGTTTAGATCCCTATCTCACATCATCCACCAGTCATTTCCAGATAGATTAAATATATGAGCATAAAAAGTAAAACTATAAAAGAATCAGAGGAAATACAGGAAAATGTTTTACTTTGGGTAGGAAAGATTATCTTAAACAAGACTCAGAAGGCAAACAACACAAAGGAAAAGAATGATAAATATGACTAGAAAAACAACTTCTACACTGTGAAAAATAACACAAGTAAAATGTAAAGACAAGAGACAGAGTAAGGATAAAATATTTACATATTTATCACAAACAAAAGCTGACTGCCAGTTATGGCTGTGCAGGCTGTGTACTGTACACCACCGGGGGGAGCCATTCAAGTAGACTACAATGTGAATTGTGCCCTGAAGGAAATCCATAATCTATAAATCACTCCTATATCAATAAGAAGAAAGATAAGCCACCCAATAGAAAAATGGGCAAAGAATATGGGAAGTGGATTCATAGAGGAGTAAAACCAAATAATAGTAGGCATACACAAAAATGTTCAATCTTACTTGTAATCAATGAAAAGCAAATTGAAACAATAATGAAGCATATTTTCACCACGCCAGTAATGAAAAAAAATACTTAAATGCAAACAAAGAAATACCATTCCAGAGAAGCAACATTTGAAATATGTGGCCGGGCATGGTGGCTCACGCCCGTAATCCCAGCACTTTGGGAGGCTGAGGCAGGCAGATCACTTGAGGTCAGGAGTTCAAGACCAGCCTGGCCAACATGGTGAAACCCTGTCTCTACTAAAAATACAAAAATTAACCAAGAGTGGTAGTGGGCGCCTGTAATCCCAGCTACTCAGAAGTCTGAGGCAGGAGAATAGCTTGAACCTGGGAAGTAGACATTACAGTGAGCCCAGATTGGGCCACTGCACTCCAGCCTGGGTGACAGAGTGAGACTCCATCTAAAAATAATAATAATAAAAAAAAAGTAAAATATATAGTAGTGTTGAGTAGAGTAATGTAAAATGGTATTCTCTTGCCTTACTAGGTGAGGTATAAATTTGACAATACCTATTTAAAATAAAAATTCATCTACCCTATTGTCTAACAATTTTACTTTTCCTGATCGTCTCTAAAGAAACCTTCACACACACATATAAGCTATACATTGTATTTATACAATTGTTTGTAATTGTATACATTGGAAACAGCTTATTTGTCCATAGTTAGCGTTTAGTAGTTGAGTAGAATGAACTCTATATGTGGTGAAATGAAAGATCTCCATTATAGACTGTTGAGTGAAAAAAAGTAATTTTCCTAATGATATATGTGGTATTATTCCAGTTATATAAAACACACATGAAGCAATATCATACATGTATTTTCTTGTATGTCAAGCAGTCCTTCCGGGACTACACATCTGTTAACAGAGGTACCTCTGGGAGCCAAAAGGGATTATACATGGATATCAGCAGTGGGTTTTAGGTTTACCTTTCATATTTGGTTGAAAATTAGAGCATATGTATTATTTTATAGACATTTTCTTTTCAACTCACACTTCTGTGCTTGTACCTTGAGACAAGGGTGGTATTAAAAAGTCATGAAGAAGACATGATACAGAATTTTTTAAATGACAGCAGCAATTTATAAGCGACAGTGGCCAATGCTAACATTTATAATACACACTTAGGTTTACCTAAAGAAGATGGTCTTACTCATCATTTTCTCTTCTCCCTTCTCTTTATAAAGTCTCTCCTTTCCACATCTCAGGCCCCAGCACAGGAACCTACCCCCTAGTCACCTAGGCTTTCTCTCTCTCACTCTGTTGTGACTTCCTCACCCAGGATTCAAACCCAGGCTGGTTTCATCCTATGACAAGAAGATGGCTATCTAGATGGATGGGCTGGGACTTCATCTCATCCCACAGAAGTTACGTGTTAAACAAATATGGTCAGGGCTGCCTGTGGAGATGTCCCCAGCCTCCTGCCAGAGAGAAGGGACTGGAAGTCAGAATCTAACTGAGATGGTTGAATCAGATGCCTGCTTCAAGTCAATGCAGCTAGGGGAGCTTGCAAAGCCAGAGTTTGCAACAGAGTGGGCAAATACTCAGAAGGAAATACAAATTTCTGGAGTCAGAGCAGGCCAGGGAGGGATCAGCCGGCATCTGGGTATCAGAAGCGTTAAATTATAGACAATAGCTACAAGACAATTTGTAGTCAAGGACCAGCACTACAAGGCAGGAGAATAAAGAACATGAAGGAGAAAGGGCAGCAAGAATGGGAAGAGGCCCCACCGTTGTCCTGTGTGCATTTCTGCATCTCTGCATCTCTGCCTTGCAAAGTCATAGTCTTTGCAAGGCAGGAGCCACCCTCAGGGCAGTTGGCCTAGACCAGTGCTTCTTACCTGGTGTGCTTTAAGAAAACTAGTAATGCCTAGGCTGCATCCCAGTCTAATTAAACTAACATTTCCTAGGTGGAGCCGGATGTCAGTATTTTTCAAAACTCCCCAAGTGATTCTCCAGGACTCAGATGCATTGCCCTGGCCTTACAAATTTAGAGTTGGTGATTGGTGGCACCTGGCAGAGGTGAGGCATACAAAGCGTAGAGAATCCTGGGAATTCACTCCCTCAGAACAATTTCATCTGATTTTTTTTAGCAGATGAGATGATACACCTATTTTTTTTCTATAGAAATTAAGGTGGCTGCTCTCATTATTTGCTCATATGAGAGTTTAGGCCCAGGGTTTATCAAGTCATCACAATTTCTGGATCCTTCATTTCAGTTCTCTTTTCAGAGCTGAGTCTTGTCTTTTTTCTCTAGACAGGCTCCCACTCCACCCCAAGGCCCAGCAGATTTTGCAGCATGGACCCAATATAGCATTCCATTAATTATATTCTGTCTGAAAATAATACATTCAACACTGAAAAGTGTGAAAAGTGTTTTTTTTTTTTGTTTTTTTTTGTTTTTTTTTTTTCGATACAGAGTCTCGTTCTGTTGCCCAGGCTGGAGTGCAGTGGTGCTGTCTCGGCTCACTGAAACTTCCACCTCCCAGGTTCAAGTGCTTCTCCTCCTTCAGCCTCCTGAGTAGCTGGGATTATAGGTGCCCGCCACCATGCCACCACGCCTGGCTAATTTTTGTATTTTTTAGTAGAGATGGTGTTTCACCATGTTGGCCAGGCTGGTCTCGAACTCCTTACCTCCGGTGATCTGCCCGCCTCGGCCTCCTAAAGTGCTGGGATTACAGGTGTGAGCCACTGCGCCCAGCCTGAAAAGTGTATTTTTGATAATCGGTGCTAAGACTGGATTTATATTCTGATCTGACATAAATCAGGCTCGAAATTTATTGGCAGAAATAGAAGTTGCATAATTACTCGGCTGTGGTTATGCATTCTTGACACATTTATCTCCCCGAGCCTGAACTCTGTACATGCATGGACACATATGAAATTCCCCACTCATAATGCCTATTTTCTGGCACTTGGAAATAGATTTATGAAGGTACCACTGTATAATATATAGTTTCACTTTTATAATTTAGATGGTTTAGGGTAGTGATGAGAAGAAGCTAAACTTTTGTGTGCTAAAATCATAACTTATTCCTTTGAGAATCTGAGACTGGATGTACAAATGCAAACACAAAATGAAAAATAATTAATTTGGAAATTATTTGACTGGTTATTTTGACTAGCAAATTTCTTTGGCATCAGGCCGAAAGCTTCCTTTTCTGACAGGCTGAATACTCTCTACTTAGCCTATATGAAATAAGCATTCTGTCCAAGTCACACCCCCAAGATGATTCATCATGCTCTTGAAAGCTATTCCATTAAGCTCTGAGGTCTCATCTTCCTGATTCTTCTGCCACTTGAAGATCCATATTAACTTTCTCCTGGAAATCTCCTCCCAGTATGTCTTGAGCTAAAATATTGCATGAATGACATTTCTGAAAAGAAACTATACCTTGGGTGAGGAATCAAAGGACTCAAGAGTATAGATGACAAACTTTTTTTTTTGAAACAGGTATCACTCTGTCACCCAGGCTGGAGTGCAGTGGCACGATCTCGGCTCACTGCAACCTCCGTCCCCTGGCTCAAGCAATCATCCCACCTCAGCCTCCCAAGTAGCTGGGACCACAGGAGCACACCACCACACCCGCCTAATTTTGTGTATTTTTGGTAGAGATAGGGTTTCGCCATGTTGCCCAGGCTTGTCTCAAACTCCTGAGCTCAAGCGATTCACTGCCTCGGCCTCCTGAAGTGCTGGGACTACAGTTGTGAGCCACCACGCCCAGCCCTAGATGATAAGCTTATATGATCATTTTTTCTACCAACAATAAAGACTTTGAAGAGAAAGAAAAATCTGTGGGTTGAATGTACAATTACAAAGATGATAAAGAGAAGTGATATTTATGAGACAAAGCCATGGTTCTAGGTACTGGGATAAATGATGTATTCTTGGCGAGGGAAGGATATTTGACCAGAGTCTGGGTGATCCAACTGAAAAACTTTAAGTAAAGGAAGAAAGAAGGACAATCACCTTGATAAACCTATGAACATGGTTCCTATGGAAGACAACAAGTGTAAGATGAGAATATGAATAAGGGTATGGGAGATGCCTGGGAATCGCACCCCCAAAATATTGGAAGACAGAGAGGAGATGGAAATAATGCTAATAGCCTTAAAACCATTATACTAATAATAGGTGTCATTGATTGAGCACTTAGTGACTGTATATCTCTTTTCATCTTGGGAACAACCTTACAAGGTAGGTATTGTTGTTACTTTCATTTCACAGATGGAGAAAAATGAGGCTTATGGAAGTTAAATGACTTGCACAAGGACATGTACAGGTGGTAGGTAGAAAAGCAGGGATTTGGACATGGGCAATCTAGTCCAGAGGTCACTATATCATACTGTCTCAGTGTGCATTGTAAGTGAACCAAGCTTGAGGTTACACCATAATGTGATTTTTTGAGACATGGTGGGAAGGGGCTTCAGATTAAAATACAGTGATGGAGAAGCATGCCATATTCCCAAATGATAGGCTGTAATAAGGGGAGACTGAATGGTATGATATGTCAATAAGATATTCATTTGAGTAACCCAAAAACAGAAACACTGTGGAGAAGTGAGTCAGAGAAAAATGTAAGTGACCTGCTCTGGAACTTTGGTATAGGCCACCTGACCAGAAGGAGAAAATTAATCATGCATTTTGAACAGATGAAAAAAAAACAATATAGAAGTAATGTATAGAATTGGTAATTGAATATATATTTTATACAGTGGTGATGAAAAAATTCAAATATTGGGTATGTGCTAGAGAATTTGGTGGATATGCTCTTGACTTTTCAGAAGAAAGTGAAAGTAGATTTTTTTTTCTGTTAATAGCTAGGAATGGAAAGGATAAACATAGTCAAACATGTACCTCAGCTTTTGAGATGGCAGGATTTTTAAGTCTGCAGAAGCTAGGTATGGTTCTCCCAAAAGAAGGTACCTAGAAATGGCTCAAATACAATTCTAGCGGTAATCGGTAATATATGGTTCTACTAGGAAAGAAACTTGTGTCTTGGGACGCTATAAGCAGAACGTGCCACTTATAAAGTTGTGACCTCGCAACTCCAGACCCACGCTCCTGTATTCCACTGAGGCTAGGACTCTGCACAGCACCTTTCTGCTTGGCCAGCAGACACCCTGTTAGGCTCTGCCAGTAGGGGGCACCAGAGAGAGAGACCACAAGCCTGGATGGAGGAAGGGACAGGGGTTCCTTGCTCCTGTTGGTGAACAGGTCTTCAGGTCACCCCAGCAATGGCAGTGCCTTCCTGAAGCAGCAACTAAATCTAGTTTGCAGGGTTTGTTTGTTTGTTTGTTTGTTTGTTTTAACACTTGCCATATCAACCTTCCAACTTGTCCCCCAAGATAGTTGGTCTGTGTCTTGGAAATCTGGGTGTAATGAGGCCACTCTTTCAAGTTCAGAGACACCAACACCAGCCCAGCAGCTTTCTGGGAGCCCTCCCTGAAGTTTCTATGGTTCCCTTATAGAAGGCGCCTGTTTACTGGGAACTGCATTCCCTAAAGCGAGTCAAGAGCCAGCTCTTTCTATGAGAGTAAGAACCTGTTTTGTGTATCCCTGAGAAACCTATGTCAGTTCTTTAAATTAAATTACAGAAATATAGTCCACCCTTCCTTGGCATCACTGAACCTTACTGCTGTTTTCTGGAACTTTGAAAAACTCTGTAGTTTTGGCGAAACAGAATTCCTTCATGGTGTTAGAATGAGCACCTGGGTCCCTGGCTCCAGGTGCATCTTGACCTTACACAACAGGCATCCCCTGAGGCGGGATCATTCCACATCCATGCCTTACCTCACTCTTCTGGCCTTGCTTTTTTTCGCTCTTTTTGCTCAGGCTGGAGTGTAATGGCGCGATCTTAGCTCACTGCAACTTCCTGGGTTCAAGCGATTCTCCTGCCTCAGCCTCCCAAGTAGCTGGGATTACAGGCATGTGCCATCATGCCCAGCTAATTTTGTATTTTTAGTAGAGATGGGGTTTCACCATGTTGGCCAGGCTGGTCTTGAACTCCTGACCTCAAGTGATCCGCCCACCTCGGCCTCCCAAAATGCTGGAATTACAGGCGTGAGCCACCATGCCCGGCCCCTGGCCTTGCTTCTTAAAGACCCAGTCCTTGCTCTGCATCCTTGAGTCACTTCTATCTTTGGTTCCAGGGCTGAGAGGTGTTCCTTTGAAGACAAACAAATAAGTCCCTTTTCTCTTTTCATTCATTGGGCCTCATTAGACTAATCTCCACTTCTTGAAATATTATTTCTCACTAGATTCCTCTTTCCAGAAAGTCCAAACTGGGTTGTCTTATTCCATTTGAGCTGCCACAACACAATACTATAAACTGGGTGGCTTATAAATAATGAAAATGTATTTCTCACAGCTCCCGAAGTCGGGAAGTCCAAACTCAGGGCAGATTCAGGGTCTGGTGAGGATCTGCTTTCTGCCTATAGACAGTGCCTTCTTGCTGTGTCCTCACATGGTGAAAGGGGTGGGGGTCTCCCTCTAGCCTTTTTGATGAGGGCATTAATCCCATACATGAGGACTGCTCTGATGACCTAATCACCTCCCAGAGGCAGTACCTCATAATACCGTCACCTTGAGGGCTAGGATTTCAACATGAATTTTGGAGGAGAAACAAACATTCAGACCATAGAATTTCACCCTTGCCTCTACCCAAATTCATGTTTGTTTGTTTTTTTGGTTTTTTTTGGGGGGCGGGGGGATGGAGTTTCACTCTTGTTGCACAGGCTGGAATGCAATGGCACAATCTTGGCTCACTGCAACCTCTGCCTTCCAGGTTCAAGCCATTCTCCTGCCTCAGCCTCCTCAGTAGCTGGGATTACAGGTGCCTGCCACCACACCCAGCCAATTTTTTGTATTTTTAGTAGAGATAGGGCTTCACCATGTTGGCCAGGCTGGTCTCGAACTCCTGACCTCAGGTGATCCACCCACCTCAGCCTCCCAAAGTGCTGGGATTATAGGCGTGAGCCAGTGCGCCCAGCCTCATATCCTTCTTGCATGCAAAATATATTCATTTCATCCCATGAGCCCTGAAGTTTTAACTCAGTCCAGCATCAATTTAAAAGTCTGAAGTCCAGGGTCTCATCTAAATGTCATCCAAATTAGATGTGGGTGAGACCGCAGGTACTATCCATCCTGAGCTGTGAACCTTTAAAATTAAACATGTTAAGTGCTTCCAAAATAAAACGATGGGACAGGCATAGGCTAGATATTCCCATTCCAAGATGGAGAAATAGTAAAGAAAGAAGTG
Organism: Homo sapiens; assembly: GCF_000001405.40. Taxonomy (NCBI): domain Eukaryota; kingdom Metazoa; phylum Chordata; class Mammalia; order Primates; family Hominidae; genus Homo; species Homo sapiens. Next base: position 134,748,159 of record NC_000007.14, on the reverse strand, counting down.
GCAAGTTCTGCGCAAGTCCAAAATCTTAATGCTCAAGCATAATCTTTTTGGCTCAGTGTTCCACTGTCTAGGTGCTGGGGCAGAGGTCCTGCCTTGCAGACCCACTGGGATGGCAGTCCTACCTCTGCAGCTTTGCCTGCCTTCATGGCCTTGGACAGCCCTGCCACCATAGATTTTCCAGGTGTAGCCTATGGCACAGCTCTCTCTGTTTGGAGTTGAGTGCCTGCAGTTCTCCCAGATGGGAATCACATGCTAGGGGCTCTACTGGTCTGTGGTCTCTGTGGTGTCCCCACTCGCATGGTTCCACTGGGTATTGCCTTAGTGGGGACTCTCTATGGTGGCCCCACCTTTGTGGTATTTGTCTGCCTGGGCCTATGGCTTTCCAGGGCATTCTTTGTAATCCAGGTAGAGGCAGCCATGCCCCCATGGCTTTGCTGGGTGCCAAGCATGCTGCACTGGAGCCACCTAAGCTGGCCCTGGGGCAGCCACGGGGCACAGGCATGGAGTGCAGGGAGTAGAGCCCCTGATATAAGGCTGCTCTGGGCAGCGATGGCCTTCCTTTGATATTGTTCTGCACTCCAGGACCTATGATGGGAAGGGCAGCCCCAGTGATCTCCACAATGCTTTCTGAGTCATTCTTAATCCATTGTCTCGAACAATAGGTCCTGGATTTCATTTAAATTAAATTACAGAAATACATAGTCCACCCTTCCTTGGCATCACGAATCTTACTGCTGTTTTCTGGAACTTTGAACAACTCCCTCTAGGGTTGGCGAAACAGAATTCTTTCACACTGTCAGAATGAGCACCTGGGTTCCTGGCTCCATGTGCATCTTGACCTTAGTATGAAACATCCTCTGAGGCTGGATCATTCCACATCTGCACTTTATCTCACTCTTCTGGCTTGCTTTCTCAAAGACCTATTCCTTGCTCTGCATCCTTGAGTCACTTCTTCTATCTTTGGTTCCAGGGCTGAGATGATAAATGTCCCAATTATCTTGATTAATAGCACCTGGCTTCCATTGAGATGACAATCTATACTAACCTTCTTATCAAATAATCATTTGGCCACACCCTTGTTCTCTTCCACACAAGTTTTCTCATATTTTTTCAATATGAATAGACTAAGTCTTCTAAAATTTTAAGCTCTACGTTCCTTTTAATTAACAATTCCATCTTTAAATCATTTCTCTCTTCTTGCATTTTACCATGAGCAGTCAAGAGAAACCAGGCTACATCTTCAACACTTTGCTTAGAAATAGTTTCAGCTAAATATTTAATTTCATCACTCACAAGTTCTACCTTCCACAAAACACTAGGACAAGAACACAGAGAAGCCAAATTCTTTGCCACTTTAAAAATAGAATTGCCTTTTCTCTCGTTTTCAATAACATATTCCTCATTTCCATCTGAATGGCCTCATCAGAATAGCCTTTACCGTTCATATTTCTACTAACATTTTCTGTTCATGACCACTTAGGTGTTCTCTAAAAAGACTGAGGTTTTCTCTACAGCTCTCCTTTTTTCTTTCTGGGCCCTCCAGCAGTATTGCCCTTAATAGTTAGTTCACCACAATATAGGCTTTTTCTAGCATGCACCTCAAAACTCTTCCAGCCTCTACTCATTATCCAGTTCCAAAGCTGCTTCCACATTTTAAGTATTTAATACAGCAGCACCCCCACTTCTCAGTACTAATTTTTTGTCTTAAACCGTTTGGACTGCCAGAACAAAGTACCATAAACCAGGTGGCTTATAAACAACAAAAATGTATTTCTCACAGCTCTGGAGGCTAGCAAGCCAAGATCAAGGCAGATTTGGTGTCTGGTGCAGGTCTGCTTTCTGGATTACAGACAGTGCCTTCTTGCTGTGTCCTCACAGAGTGAAGGGGACAAGGGGTGTCTCTCTTCAGCCCATTCCCATTCATGAGGGAATTGGCCCTTATGATTTAGTCACCTCCCAAAGGCATCATCTTCTAATATTATCATCTTGGAGTTAGGATTTCAACATATGAATTTTGAAGAGACACAAACATTCAGACCAGAGCATGGGAGAGCATTCAAATGACAGATTCCAAGCTTTGACTCCTGAAGGCACCATTTCTGGAAATTCCAGTTAAGCTCTTCCTACTACCTTTCCCATAGGTTCTCTTCAGTCAACATGAACTAATAGCAGTGGCTTTATCGACCCACACAACCATGGTAGATAACACCATACATCACAAGTTGAGAAATAAATACCACTATCACCACAACAAAAGGGTTTCCAAAATCTTCCAAAACTCTGGGATGCTCAGCAAAAAGAACAAGAATTGCTTATCTATTAAGGCCACATCATACCTTGTATTATAAAGAACAATTGGGAGATGAAAGGCACAACTTCTGGGACATTAAAAGAAGATGAAGTATATTTTAAGTTGCTATTTCTAAAGTATAGCAAAACGACAGTTCCTCCAGAACTTTTATTAATGTAGCCAGGGAAAATTTATCAGAGAGGATAGGTCCATGAGGTGAGAGCTGAACGGCAATTGCCCCTTGGAATTTAAGTTAAATTCACCTCTCTAGCAGATGTTTTGATTTAAAATAGTTACCTTTTGTTCAGCTTAACTCTCAGCTCCCAAATCTTTCTGCTTTCAATTCTTCAAGGAAGGCACCCCTGAATACAATGCAAGGGAGGGAGTTTAATCCAGAATTCTTGAAAACAGCTTGATATTTTCAACTAAATCCAGTAGCGGAATGCAGACTTAACTGGCCCCACCCAATTTCTCCCACCCAGATATTTTTCCTTTTTGTCCAGCAAAGTTTCCTCTGTTCCAAAGGAAGAAAAGGAAGAAAAAGAAAAAATATTTGCTTAAACCATTAAACTCTAAACTAGTCAACTAATTCTGACCAAATTTAAGATGCCTGATACTGAATTGGGATGGAGAAAATAAGGGAGGTATTTATTTGATTAACTTTTTAAATGGAGTTTTAATTTTATCTTCTCTGGTAAGAACACCTAGGTTATAGGTTACTGCTGTACAGCAGAAGTGGGTTTGGATGCATTTATTTTATTAATTAAACACACACTTATTGTGTGCCTATAAGGTGCAAGGTACAGTGCTAAAATCCATGTGGAGGTACAAAGTGAAATCTATCCTAAATCTTGCCTTCGTGGAGCTTATAAATCAGTAGAAGAGATTAGATAAATGTGATTAGAGAAATTTGAACATAAATTACTATGATACGTGGCACAATTAAACACATGCCTGAAAGACATGGAAGTAAAGTTCTATGAGAGTCCAGAGAAAGGTGGGCTGCTTCTTTTCTCCAGGAGAGGCTTCCTGGAGAAGAGGCATTTCAGCTGCCCTTTCAAGAGCAAAGAGAGAAAAGCCTTCCAAGGCTCTTCAAGGAAGAGCAGAAACAAAGGGTGTAGCTAAGGAAAGGATGAGGCTCCTCTAGGGAACGACTTGCAGGTATTTATCATGGTAACCAAGCCGACTCTGCCAATGTTTGGTGAAGAATATTGCTCTAGTAAACTTACTTTAATTAGCTTACTTTAATTTTTCTTGGTTTCTGGAGGAATTCAGGTAACATCTACATATGTGATGTTACCTCCTCTGCTTTCAATATGTCCAACATTTCATACATAAAATTATTAAATTAATCTTGCTCTCTCTCATTCTTTCTGCACATGTACACACACACACACACACACACACACACACACACACGACTTCCTGATAGAAAAAAATAAAATAAATGTTTAAAACCAACTTTAAAGAGGCAAGACTTCTGATTTTCTTCATTAAATAACCAACCTGCATTTCAAGCTGCACACTAAATCCCATCAGAGACATCTAGAGGTAGACCCAGTCTTGCCTCCTGAGAATGAAGTCAAAAGATTTCAGGCCTGAGAGCAGGCTTGAATATTTCCTCAGCCACTTTACCTCCCCTAGAAAAGCGACAGTTCTGTGTAACAACACCCATTGTCTGCTTTAATAAAAATCTCTCTCATTACTACAAGCTGCTACTAGAGAAGGTTTACCATTGGCCAAGGGCTTAACCTTGAGGCCCTGTTCTTGCATCTTCTCTCCTCGGTCTTCCCCTCGACCATGGCTGCTGCAGGAAAAGAGGGGTCCGCTGTCATCCAGACCTTAACACAGCCCGCTTATTTTTAAAATGATCACAAACAACTAATCTGATTGGCTATTTTTCATTGATTGTATCAGAAGACTTCAGTGGGGAAATTAACCAACTGCTTGAGGATCATACTAAAATAGACCTCAACTTTACGCATGTGAATTCTTCTGCCCCGGGGAACAAGTAATTTCTGCTATGTGATTGTGCAAATAAACTAGATTTAAGTCTTATATTTGTGAGAAACTCCACAAGTAAAGTCATGCAAATCTCAAAAGGTGAATTCAACAAAAAGTGGACAGAAGTTAGACTACAGACACTGTCACAGATTATGTTAGGATACAGATATTTTAATAACCAGCAACACTTTTCTGATTGATTCCAAGCTAATAGTATCCAGCACATGCTGCTTATGTCTCTTTCATTAACAAAATGCTAAATTGAGTCATTGCACAGAGAACATCTCCACTTTGAAAGAGATGTTCGACAAAACAGCAAGATCACTTTACCAGGCATCAGAGGAAAGAAGTTAAGTATTTGCTGAGCTCTCAGAGAAGGAAATGAACTCCAATTCCCACCCCCCTTAGATTTGCTCAGGATTGTGAAGAGCTGAAAAACTTCAAAGTATAACAAAACTGAGGCTCGATTTTAGAAATATAAAGCATTTGGAGTAACTAATTTGGCCAAATATTTATGTTTTGGTGCATAGTTGAACTGCTTATCAGACCTTCAGGAATTCTTTGTTTTTCATTTTTGTGCTTTTATTTCCTCTCCTATCTTCTCCTCCCCTCAACAGAAGCAAAACACCCTTTGGCAATGAAAGTTGAAGATGCTTCTTCATGGAAGAACCAAGCCAGGGCCAAGGGGGCTGATCCCCAAGTTTCCGCCAACTGCACTTAAAGCAGTCATCTTCCCCTCCCACTAGCTCTCTTCTGAGAAGTGCTGGGAAATGTGGAAATCCCTAAGGCCTCCCAGGAAAGAAACAAAAATCTTTTCCTATGAGTATAAGATCTTAGATTGACTTTAAAAGGCTGCTGTAAAGGGCTGGCTTTTGTGGCTTTACAAACTGAGGCAGAAAGGTAGGCAGGGAGGGTTCCCAGGAGCCTCCATATCTGGTGGACCTCTCTTCCCACTATCAGTACTCACCAGCCTTCCCTGCCACCTCCCACAATCTCTCTGCAGTCCTAACCTTAAAGAAACAGAACACTGCTCAGGGAGATGATGCTCATTTATAAAAAAGAAGGGTAGGTGTTAGTTACACTGCTAACTTCCAGTGGAGACAGGGCAAAGGGAAGGCACTTGGACAGTCTTTGTGGGAAATTATGCTGAGATGTTCGATACTGGTAAGAAGGGCAGAGGAACCGCTGTTTCTCCTTTAATCTCCAGGCTGACCTCTGCTTTCAGGGCTGCCTGCGGTGACAAGTTCTGCATTTCCTATTAGTTTCTTCACCTTCCAGCCCTGGGGGCTGCTGAACCACACCAGAGATCCCAGGTGGGCCCCAACCAGCCCCTGCCAGCAGATCTCTACTGCTCCCAGGCTTCAAAGCCCACAGGACTTCGAGCACATTCCAAGACATTCCACAGCTGGGAGGCTGGGAGCCTGGAATGTCTGGATCCCACAGAGGGAAGGTGTCCCAGCATGCTCCCCCATCCCAACCACATTTCCCCAAAGATCTCAAAGCATTCTCCAAGGGTGATCTCATTTACTAATAGACATTTATTTCCATTTTCATCGTTACTGTTAGGAATGGCCTTCTTTTGCATGAATGTCACTTTGAGTTTTTTCACATAGCCTATCTCATGGTAAGAACATCACCTTGGGAACCAAGAACCCAGTTATTACTAAACTACTAATTGGATAACACTTAAGCCCTTTCCAGTGCACAGACTTTTGAAATTTAACAATGAAGCAGCAAGGAAATGACTGTTCCAGTTCCACCCATTGAAAGAGAAAAATGTAATGTGGGGCCAAGACATACATCACAAATGTGTGTGTCTGTGTGTGTGTGTGTGTGTGTGTGTGTGTGTATCAATACCTCATAGTGCTAGTGCTACTGCAGTTTTCAGGACTTCTATATCCTTAACTGTAGAATGAAGACAATAACACCACCTTTCAAAGTTCTTGTGATCTTGCTATAGTGACTGGAACATAGTAGGCATTTAATGAATGTTTGCTGAATAAATACCCTGATGGGTGAATAAACATAAAGTTTCAGGGTTTGTTTCCTCATCTCTTAACTTGCCACGTTTAATTCACAAGGCAATTTGGAGGATTAAAGGACATCCAGGTTTTTAAAAATGGCTTTTGAAAATAAAAAACGAACTGTAAAAAACACCAGATTATTATTGCACATGTGACTACTAGCATTGGTGCCCAGGTGTGTCAAAACCTCATGGATCTATATCTTTTTTTTAAATATGCATTGGGCACTAAAGCAACTCCCTGTACAGGGAGTAACTCTGCCTTTTTGGTTCTTTCTATAGCTTTGTTTTTATGTGTTAATTGACTCAAACCCATTAAAACTATTGAACATGAATTGAGTGCTTGAGATCAAAGAGTTTCAGAGCTAATATGGTTTGGCTGTGTCCCCACCCAAATCTCATCTTGAACTGTAGTCCCATAATCCCCATGTGTCATGGGAGGGACCTGGTGGGAGGTAATTGAATAATGGGGGTGGTTACCTCCATGCTGGTCTTGTGATAATGAGTTCTCACAAGATCCGATAGTTTTATAAGGGGCTTTTCCCCCTCTTCACTTCTCCTTACTGCTGCCATGTGAAGAAGGACGTATTTGCTTCCCTTTCCACCATAACTGTAAGTTTCCTGAGGCCTCCCCAGCCTTATGGAACTGTGAGTCAATTAAACCTCTTTCCTTTATAAATCACCCAGTCTCAGATGTGTCCTTATGGCAGTGTGAGAATGGACTAATAATACAAAGCTCAAATGGGCAGATAGCATGTGGGATAGGAGTATCAGTCCTAGAGTCCAAATGACTGATTTTTGTGCCCTGACCCCCAGATTTACTAAGGTACCTAACCTCGCTATGCCTCAATTCATCCATAAAATGGGGACACTAGTAGAATAATTTCATAGAATTGCTGTGAAGATTGAATAAGATCCATGTGTAAAGCATTTAGAGAAGTGCCTTGCACATGGTAAGAATCCAATAAATGCTAACTCCAACCATTGTTGGTGGTATTGCTATTATTATCCCTTTGCTAATGAGCTTGCAGTCTAGTGGAGAAGACAGACCATAGAACAAAGCTGGAGGAGTAGTGCAGCACGAAAAAGGTTACCAGCAGTATGCCTTGGGTGCAGAACCAGGAGACATCTTTATTCACAATCCTCATCACCTCCTCTGCGTAGTCTCTAGTTTGTCACTGTTCCAATGTACACAGAATTTAAAAATAATGTCCCAGATTCCATGTGAGGAGCACAGAGCCTAACGCTTCTCACGATCATCACACAATGCTTCCATTAATGCAGTAAGTTTGTGGAGCCATATCACACTGTTGGCTCACATGAAGCTTTTGGTCAAACAAGACCCCCAGGGCCTTTTCACATCAACTGCTGCCAAGTTGCATGTTCTCCATCCTGTATCCCTATAATTCTTTTTTGGACCTAAAAATAAGACTTTGCATTTATCCTTATTACATTTTGTGTTTTTAGTCTTGGCCCAGCATTGCAGCATGTCAAGATAATTCTAAATCTTGATTCTGTCAACTCTCTTATGTCTTTTTTTTTAATCCCCTCCAGACTTGTGTCATTGCATATTTGATCAGCATACCTACTACTTCCTCATTCAAGGCACTGATTCAAATGTTGACCAAAATGAGGCTAAGAGAATAGTCCAACAGTTCAATTGCAGAGCCCTCAGCATACTTAATTGTGTCCACTAATCATTTTGGGTATGATTGTTCAAGTAGTTTTAAATTCATTGAGAGGTATCCCTATTTCATCATTTTATTCAAAATACCTTGCTGATATGAAGTTACACTGGGTCTATGACATTCTTGAAGATTATTTTATCTGAAATGTTCCTGAAATGCTTGTATCTCCCTTAAATTTTATAAGAATATCAATTTCTACATCTAGATTATCAGTGAAGAATGTAGTGGACATCATTTAATAGGTGACTTAAGAATAAAATTATGCCATTTGATTGTTACTCTTGGACTCCAATTTGAGGCTTTAGTTTGAAGGTGCATTTGCTAGAATATTTGCCTGCCTCAACAAAGAGCCTCCAAAATCTCAGTGGCTTAAGACAACGGAAGCTTATTTCTCACTCACGTGAAGTCACATGAAGTGATCCTGATTGACAGGCTGCCTTCCATGTGTCATTAAGGAAATCTAATTTCTTCTATTTAGTGGCTTCCTTCTCCTCTTGTTCTTTGCAGTTCTAGGAAGTCAGCAGTTAATGGGGAAAGGAGACAGATGATGGCATGTGGAATGTTTTTATGGTCCAGGCCTGGGAGTAGTGCACATCAGTCACGTGACCACCCTACCTGCACGGGAGGCTGGGAAGTGCATTTCATGTATATGCCCAGCAAAACCAGAAAGTGAACAGCAAGCTTGGCTTAAAAACAGATAGAAAACATAGTTTAGGTGGGACTCACATGCTATTTCATGTTAAGTATGGTATTAAACCTGACAGTATAGGGGGTTGATGGATCAGAAGTGATAAGACCTAGGTTCTAATTCCAGGTCCATCATTTATTGGGTAAATGTAACCTTGGATAAGTCACAGAACTGTACAATTGCTAGGCTTAAGAGACTATCTTGGTCCATTTTGTCCGTTGCTAAATCCCTTTTGTTTGTGCCCATTTGTGTCACATTGTGTGGGCTGATCTCTTCCATATAGTTTTTGCTTGTTTCCCACTATAGAAAACAGACAAGCTCCAAAAACCATTCAAAGTAAAGCTCTGCCCCACTTACGTTGCTTCTATGACTTGAAGTCCAGTCACCAATGTTCCCTCCATAATTAAACTTAAGCAGCAGGCATTGAGTGCCTGTCGAGACCAGGACATGTGCTAAGTTGTGGATTGATACAACGAATCCTAAAATAAATAAAAACACTTGCACATGGTAAGAATTCAAAACTTCAGAATGAATTCAAAACTACTTGAACAATCATACCCAAAATGATTAGTGGACACAATTAAGTCTGCCCAGGGCTCTGCAATTGAACTGTTGCGCTATTCTCTTAGACTCCTTTTGGCCAACATTTGTATCAGTACCTTGAATGAGGAAGCAGTAGGTATGCTGATCAAATGTGCAATGACACAAGTCTAGAGGGGACTTTAAAAGAGACATAACAGAGTTGACAGAATCAAGATTAAAATTATCTTGACATGCCGCGATGCTGGTCCTATAGTTGAGGATCCATCTGACAGTTTTATATACCAGACAGCTCTCATCTAATTTGTTAATAAGAATTTTCAACAGCGAACAATCAAAATCTTCACTAAAACTACTAGAAAATATATTTAATTGGAGGCCAGATAATAGATGACCTTAAATGCAAGGACAGGGAATTTAGACTATTCCACACGCAACACGTGGGCTGTCAACAATTGTTAAGCCAGAAAATCTCACAGTCAAACTGAAGAAAACATAAAGCGTAGATGAAAGAACCTCTAATTCTGATGAGATGGCAGGCTGAAATCACTGGGAAACTCTGCCTTTTGTGTATGCCTAGGATTTGAGGATCAAATATAACAAAACAATTTTTTATGCAAAACTAAGATCACAGAAAGAAGGGGAAATCACAGAAAGAGAAAGAATGAAACCAAGCAAGTTAGCGTGTGAACTGATTCTCCATTTCCCGCAGAATTGGAGTGAGTCACAGAGCTTCAGATTCTGTGGAACTTGGGTTTTAATGACCACAGGAGATAAAGCATTGAGCCTGAACAAGATGGGGGTGGAAATGAGACTTCCTCATAAAGCCAACACCCTTGGAGGCCTGAACCGTCAGGGAGGATATGAACCAGAAAAAAAGAAATTTCTCAACCAGCATAGCAGGATGACACAGAAACACATTTGTCTCTCTTTGTGGAAAAAAACATCTTTCAAAATCTTTGAGAATATGAAACTCTGGACCTACTCTACATACGAATTTGGTTTTTAAAATTACCCTATTGGAATAGCCCAGAAAGTTCCAAGCCAAGAAATTAATGTAAAAACTGGTCCCTGGCTAATAATATTTTGGAATGGCTGGCAGAAGCAATTACAAAAATACTCCAGAGAGACATTCCACCATCCAGAATGCAAGGTGGTTTCACAGGAGCAAGCAAGCCCACACGAAATGAGCTCACAATAAAAGGAATTACAAAACACTGGAGGAAATAATCCATCCTGGGCAGGAGTCTGTAGATACTACTCACATTAGAATTCACGAGCACTACCTCCTGCCTCCCAAGAAACCGAGGCTCTAGAACAACAACATAAAAGATAATACAAAATAAGCATGTTTAGAATGATTGAAGACATTACAGAAGGAAAGAAATCCACAAGATAAACAATACCATGACCAAAAAAAGGCAGATTTTTTTTTAAAGAACTAAATAGAAAGTGTAGAAATAAAATGCATAGTTATTTAAACTAAGAACTTAATGGAGGCCAGGTGCAGTGGCTCATGCCTGTAATCCCAGTACTTTGGGAAGCCAAGGTGGGAGGATTTCTTGAGCTCAGGAGTTCAAGACCAGCCTGGGAAAGTTGGCAAAACCCCGCCTCTACAAAAAAAAATTACAAAAATTAGCCGGGTGTGGTGGTGTGCACCTGTAATCCTAGCTACTCAGGAGGCTGAGGTGGGAAGATCGCTTCAGCTCAGGAGGTCAAGGCTGCAATGAACTGTGATAGTGCCACTGCACTCCAGCCTGGATGACAGATCAAGACCCTGTCTCAAAACAAGTATATATGTAGTTACCATTAGCCAAATCAGATGTCATTTGCTTGAAGATATATATTTCACATATATATTTGAGATATATATCTCTCAAATACTTATCCAGATATATATACATAAATGGATGAACTAAATAGTAAATTAGATACATCTGAAGAAGAATTAGTGAACAAGAAGACCAAGCTAAAGCAACACAGTGAAGGTAGCACAGAAAAATAAAGGGTTGAAAAATTTGGAAGAGAAGTTAATATAGAAAAGACAGCATGAGAAACTTTAATGAAGTCTAAAATGATTTCTAGAAATGAAGAAAGAATGGAGCTGAGGCAATATTAGAGAAAGCAATGGCCAGAAATTTCTAATTGGATGAAAAGCATGAATTCTTACAGCAAAGATGCATAGTGAAACTGAATAGCGTATATAAAAATGTATCCAGGCCCATCCTCTCTGTGATGTACCCACCATCAAGCACTGTCAGTCTTTGTTCTCTGGGTATTTAAGGTCGTCTTGACAGTTACTATTAGCCAGATCAGATGCCACTGGCCAGATGATATTACTTAGCTTTGTTCTTTAAGGGAGAGAGAATGAGACTCATTTTGCCTATCTGTAAGAAAACATGTGATTTCTCTTTGGAGTCTCTAAGGCATGGAAGGAAAGAGAGAGGTCCTATTGCTGAGAAGCCCCATTTTGCAAAGGATCAGTCTGGGAGTCTGTAGAGTGTGGAGCTGCATGAATGAAGTGGAGGGAGCTGAGGGTGCATGTTCGTGTGTGTACATTTTTCTGTAGCTCTATACTCTTACAGACATAGGCAAGTATTCAAAGGGTTTCAATAGGCTCCCACTGACCTCAAGCCTCTATCATGAGATTTTTGAATGTCATCCTAAATGTTCAGTTATAATACACTTATTCTCTTCATTTGAGGGGGATATTTGCTTTGGATTTTGTTGTCAATGGTGATAGTTTTGAAGCAGAAAGGAACCTTTGCCTCCACTCTTTTCCTGCAATAGACACATAAAGGAGAAAGGCTTACATTCCCATTTCCCACGGAAAGCACTGTATGCAGGAAGCAATGAGGCTCCAGAAACTGTGAAAAAGATGTTTCCTTTAATAATATTGCATTTTGTCTCTCCCTATTCTTGGGTTTTAGGTATGAGTCGCTCTTACAGATTTCTGCTCAGTGTGTTGGTGGAATTTTTCCTTTTAGTAGTAATATTGTCGTTATGCAGTGAGTACTCTTCAATGTCCCCAAGGTATTTCTGCATAGGATAGTGTTTAAGGACTTTATCAAACTCCTTATAAAGTGTACCCCAGCTGGACTTTTTGGAGTTATATATCTCTACCTCCTAGCAATGTTTAATCCCAGGTAGCCACAACATTTTAGAAAAAAGTTCCAAATTCAACTTGAATGTCAATTGCCCTTACGGCAATAGGACAGTGTGTAAACCAAGTCCCAGGAGCAATACTAGAAACCTCATAGTGCTTGGAATAAGTATGTAAATTTATTTCTGCTAAGAACAAGTTCCACTGAGAGCTACACACACACACACACACACACACACACACACACACACACACACAGAGGGTAGTGGGGAGGGAAAGAAAGAGAGAAATAGCATTCCTGTAGGAGTGTTTAACTGTTATCCAAATAAGTGTGCTGTATGATACACACACACTCACCAGATTGTACGCATATATGGCATTACCACCCAAGTTTATGTTTCCAGGTTTACTTCAATATTTCACCCATACAAACTCAGTTATTCAAATATACTGAATGGTGTGTGTTAATATGCAATGAACTTTCCCATCAAGACCACTCCAAACAGATGAATGTATCTACATTTTGAATCAAGTGCTATTCAAAACTACATCAATATCAAGGCACTTCAAAGAGATACACTCATGCTGCCTCTACCTGACACCAACCATCTTAATGAAAATTGAAAACAATGAATGTCAAACACCAGTTTTCATATCCAGATACAAAGAGTCTTGGATGGCACAAAGTGTATTTCTCCAGAGAACAGCGCCACCTTCATCAGCAACACAACCATTCAGGAGTGGTTCTCTGCCATTTTCAGACACAAGGTCTTCCTGCATTGGTACATGAGGGCATGGACGAGATGGAGTTCACTGAGGCCAAGTGCAATATGAATGACCTGGTGTTTGCCTACCAACAGTACCATGATGCCACGGCTGAGGGGAAGGGAGCGTTTAAGGAGTGGGATGAGGAGGAGGTGACTTAGAGCCTTCTGTTACTGGGTGTATTGGTCTGTTCTCACATGCTAATAAAGACATACCCGAAACTGGGTCATTTATAAAGGAAAGAGGTTTAATGGACTCACAGTTCCACATGGCTGGGGAGGCCTCACAGTCATGGTGGAGGGCAAAGGAGGAGCAAAGTCACATCTTATGTGGCAGCAGGCAAGAAAGTTTGTGCAGGGGAGCTCCCATTTATAAAACCATCAGATCTCGTAAGACATATTCACTATCACAAGAACAGCTCGGGAAACAAAAGGCCCACCCCCATGATTCAATTACCTCCCACCGGGTCCCTCCACAATGTGTGGGGATTATGAAAGCTACAATTCAAGATGAGATTTGGGTGGCGACATAGACAAATCATATCACTGGGTAAAGGATGGAAGTGGCACGAACTCCTTATTCACTTACACTCTTTTCGCAGATAGCCATGTCTCACCATGTGTGCACTTGCTGTTCTTTGTGTCTTCACATGGCATGCTGTGAAGACACCTCAATTAAAGCATTTCCATAGTAAAAACAAAAAACCCAAAAAACAAAAACCACAGTAAACAGTAGTACAAAGTAGTGCACTCCTAGAAACCAAAATGAACAAATTTCCTCATGAATTTTGGAGAGAAATAAAAATCTGGCAGCTTGGATATGATTTTAAGAAATAATTCTTTATAGGAAACATTGTTTTAATTTGATGATAGCCTCTGGATACCCAAAGAAATTAGAAGTGTGTCTATTTTCTCTGTGACCCTCTCCTCATGCTATGGAAGCTCAAGAATAATTTGTTTTCCTGTGTGATGACCAGCTTCACCTCTGTAAGGCTCTGGTAATGTCACTGCTGCATATTAATGGCTTTTAAAGTTTAATGTAATGGGTTAATATAAATAACTATATAATATATGCTATGTATATTTTATATTACTATAATATAGCAAATTTATACTATATAAGTTATATTATACAAACTGAAGGTTATATATTATTACATAGTGACTTCTATATAACAATTATGACATTATATAATTTAATATCATTTAGCAGACCTATTTTGTTTTTTTTTGTTTTTTGTTTTTTTTTTTGAGACAGAGTCTCGCTCAGTCACCCAGGCTGGAGTGCAGTGGTGCGATCTCAGCTCACTGCAGGCTCTGCCTCCCAGGTTCACACCATTCTCCTGCCTCAGCCTCCCCAGTAGCTGGGACTACAGGTGCCCACCACCACGCCCGGCTAATTTTTTTGTATTTTTAGTAGAGACGGGGTTTCACCATGTTAGCCAGGATGGTCTCGATCTCCTGACCTCATGATCCGCCCGCCTCAGCCTCCCAAAGTGCTGGGATTACAGGCTTGAGCCACCGCGCCCGGCCTAGCAGACATTTTTAAACACCCAATATGGGTATTGTTGTGGGGGATAAAAAGACGTACAAAATATAGTCCTCAGCTTTAAGAAGTCTATAGTTTTGTCAAGAGGATTTGGGAATTCTGAAAACAGTTCTGTGGCTTCTAGAAAGACATTTTTCCCATAAACTCCTCTGGGCTCTTGTGCCACCCGTAACTCATCTCCATAGAGAAGTGAGTTACCCAGATCTAACTTTTCAGAAAGGAACCGATCTGGAGGTGTTGCTGGGGCTCCTCCCCTCTGCCGTTTGCTCTTGAGCACTGGGTTCCATGCATTAGGAAGCCTATAATTGTAGCACAACAAAGCCACTTCCTTCAGAGACAGTTTTATTAAAAATAAAGCATTGTGTTTTGATCCTATCTGCCGCTCCTTCCCCTCTCTTCTTTGGTTCAGCGCTCAAGAGGAGAGGAGAAGGGTGTAATTTATTGGAGGCCCCTGCAGTCCCAATAGGAGTGAGATGTGTAACAGGTAATTCTAACACAAAGCCTAGTGTGATCAGTGTCGTGTGAGTTCCAGAATGCTAGGAGATCATCAGCAAAGGAGCGTGCACTCCTGCCAAGAGATTTGCTAAGAAGCACAGCCAGAGCGCACATCCAGGCCTGGGCCCATCCCGCTTGAGAATTTCTTATGTGTGACGATACATTTAGTTAGTGATTAAGTACACTTGAGTTAGAGGATTTTTGTTACTTGCTGTCTTTAGATATAAAAATATAGCATGGGATTATGTGGTGGTAGCTTAAGTAAAGAACTGGAGTGAGAAACAAAAACTCTTGAGAAATAAAATTGGAAGTGTCATTTGGGGACAGAGGTAGAGAACCTGTCTTGGTCCATTCAGGCTGCTATAACAAAATATCTTAGATTTGGTAATTTATAAACAATATAAATTTATTTCTCACAGTTTTGGAGGCTGGGAAGTCCAAGATCAAGGTACTGGCAGATCCAGTGTCTGATGAGGGCCTGTTCCTTATAGATGGCACCTTCTGTGAGTCCTCATTTGGTGGAAAAGCCAACAGCCTCCCTTAAGCCTATTTTATAAGGGCACAGATCCTATTCACGAGGGCTCTGCCCTCATGGCTTAATCGCCCCCAAAAGCCCCCACCTCTTAATACTATCATATTGGTGATTGTTTCAACATATGAATTTCACCAGTACTCAAACATTCAGACCATAGCAGGTCCCTAAATACATTGTGTAAGCTTTAGGCATTGGGTGGCCCTTGAAAGTATTTGGGCAGGAAAATGCCCAGCTTAGACGTGTGCTTCAGAAAGACTGATGTACAGCAGTGTGTCAGGTATAAGTTGCAGCTCAGTAGGGTAAGACTGAAAGCAGAGAGACCTGTTAGGAAATTATTGCATTAAATAAGGTAGGAGAAAGTCAAACCATGAACTAGAGAGCTATCAGTGGAAATAAAAAGAAAACAACAAACAGAAAAGCTATGTTTTCAACAAAATTGATAGGACTTGACTACTAATCAGATGTGAGACAAGAAAAGAGGAAAGAATGAAAGATTTTATCAATCTTTTGAGCTGGTGCCATTAGAAAGAAAAATTTTGATGAATAGAAATTGGAAAAAATAAACAATGTGTGTGGCAAGGGATAAATTTAGTCTGAAACCCATTAAGATCAGCACACTGTAGAATATATGGGTGGAAACTTTCAGAAAGGAGTTAGTAAAGCCAGACTGCAAAGAGGAGGTTTCAGAAATGTGTCACGAAGAAGGAAGAATTAAACATGAGACTGAGTGAATTCACCAAGAAAGCAGAGAGAAGAGAGAATGCAAAAAAAGGTCAATAGCAGATTCTTAGAAAAAACTTATATTTGGAGCTGGAAAAAAAAAGGAAGTGGAGGAGACACAGGGATGAAAGGGGAATAAAAATAGTACATTATCAGGGAAGCCAAAGAGGGTGAGAATTTCATAGCGGGACATGGTTAGGAGTGGAGCAACAGGGTCAATCATGTAAAGCAATTAAGCAAAATGAGAACAAAATAAAACACTGCATTCAGTAACTGACTGATCACTGATCTTTAATAATATTATTATGGAGCATTCAGAGCTGAAGCCAGACTGCAGGGATTAAGAATGCCATGGGTGGTATCAGAAAGGAAGCAGATGACAAGTTGACTTTTCAAAGAAAAGTTTGAAAGACGGTGAAGAGAAAGCAAGCAGGGAAACTTGCTTTAGGGAGAGAGACAAAATGGAAGAAGAGTGTTTTTATGTTTGTTTGTTTTCATTGGTTGGCTGGTTTGGAATAGCATAAACTTGAGCATGATTACAGAGGAGCAAGATCCAGTGGTAGAGCCAAAGAGAGGGTAAGAGAGAGAGAGTGTGGAAGAGCATGTGGAAACTGATGGGGCAAAGCTTCAAGGCAGGCAGGAGGAGATGTTGGGAGGCTCCCAGCTGGATGTTGGGAGGCTAAATGGCAGGTTAGCTGTGGAGGAGGAAGGTGCTGTAACATGGGTGAGGTGTGCTGTTGATGACAGAACCAGAGATATCTAGGGTAGACGGCATGGAATGAGGGAAATAAAGGAGGTAGACCAGATGCTGGAGGTGGCAATAGATGAACAATGAGGTAGGATAGGTGGGGTGGGAGAGGCAGGTGGGAGCTAGGAGAAGGAGCTTTTCCTTTGGGCCCACATAATCTAAAGCTGGATGTCTCCCCCTCAACCCCCAGGCACATTCCAGCCTGTCTGACATATAAAATCTTAGGAATCATGAGAGCCAAAAGTCTATTTTAATCCTAAAGTTACCATCTCCATTGCTATTTTATAACTTGTGTTGTTCCTAATTATGGTATTAACCAGTCAATGTTTTATTTATTTTTTTATTCTAAAAGATGAGTCAGACCAAAAAAATTATAAATAGACTAATCCATCTTGCTAGTTTCTGTGTTTCTTCCAAAGACTGGATGGCAGAGAGAAGACATTTTTGAGATATGATCTGTTATCAAAGTGCCATAAGTCTGGGCTTTTCAAGGAGCTTGCACCACAGTGTGGTGCTTGCATTACTGCTTGTAAAACCCGTGGATAGTTCCTAATGCTCTTGTGAGGATGAAAGAATTGGGAAGTTGGGGTCCTTACATGATGGATTTGTCAGGAGCCTTTCTGTTTTCCTCCACCAGTCCCTGGTCTGGTTGGGAAAACGAAAGGGTTGTTTGGTATGATTTTGTTTCTTTCGGTTCTCTTTACTTATCCTCTAATGTTTCTGGATGTTTGATTTATATTTAGAGGCAAACGCTGTGAATGTTGTGAGAAAGAGAGGGAGGAAAGGAGGGAGGGAGGGAGGGAGGGAGGCAGGGAGGGAGCAAGCAGGGAGACAGAGAATGAATGAGGACAGGATTTGAATCCTGGTTTGGATTCAGGCCTTTTGCTGAATGGGGCAGGCTCCCAGAACTAAAGTTTCAGATTCCCTTCAGAGCTAAGACATTCCCCAGGCAGCAGCCGCCTCATGTCCTCTGCTCTCTCATCTGTGACTGTGTCTGTTTACATGGTGCTCTGGGAATCTCTGTCTTCAGGGACCGCACTCTGGGGCTCCGGGTCCACAGAGCCCACCATCCAGGAGCATAAATCCCATCCAACTCTCCATCCAGAGTCTAGATTTGACCCCAGCAGCTTTCCTTCTTTCTGAGAAAAGCAGGGGCTTTTCTCACTGTTACACATGTTGCTATCTTTGCTTTCAATAGGCAGCAAGTAATTCTCCACCTCCTTAAGCATCACTCAAAGCTCCTCTTGATATTGCCCCTGTCCTCTGCCTTTCTTCTTGGACTTCAAGGTAGCAGAAAGAATCTGCTGGTTTTATTGGTGACTTCTTCAGAAGGCAGTGTCCTGTGGCAGAGGCCATCTGTACAAGAGGGCTGTGGCCTGCCAGGCAGAAAGAAGGGAGGCCCTTGGCCAGGGGGAGACTTGCACTGTACGGCCCTTCAAATCTTCCTTGTGTGTCCCCTCACAGGCACAGTTCCCATCTAGACTTGGGCCTGCCCTCGGGGGCTGCGTGCCACACCCTTCTCCCGTTTATGGGTACTTACCTGCCCTGTGCCCTGTGCCACCACTATCCGAGGTGAGAGGCAGCAGAGGACACAGATTAAACAGGTAGACATCGGAAACCACCTTTGGGATTTTGAGTCCCAGCTCCACCATTTACTAGCTGGGTGACCATGGGTGAGTCATTTGACTTCTCTGTCCCTTACTTTCCTCATCTGTAGAAATGGAGTAATAATACTACTCTATGATAGGGCTTGTATGAAGAAGAATGTGCTAAGTTGTGCAGGAAGCACTCTGTAGTGCCAGTAAGTAGTAGTTATTACCTAAAATCTCACTCCTTGAAGGTGTTAAAAATGATGTCTTTTGGCCAGGCGTGGCAGCTCATGCCTATAATCCCAGCACTTTGGGAGGCTGAGGTGGGCAGGTCACTTGAGGCCAGGAGTTCAGGATCAGCCTGGCCAACATGGTGAAACCCAGTCTCTACTAAAAATACAAATATTAGCCAGCCATGGTGGCAGGTGCCTGTAGTCCCAGCTACTCAGGAGGCTGAGGCACCAGAATTGCTTGAACCAGGGAGGAGGAAGTTGCAGTGAGCCGAGATTGTGCCACTGAACTCCAGCCTGGGCACAGAGCAAGACTCTGGGTCAAAAAAAAAAAAAAAAAAAAAAAAAGAAAAGGTATATTTTATCAGTTGTTCCTCCTGTGATTTTTGTATTTTAATCAGAGCTTCATGGAAGGGCCAAAGGAATTAACCTCAAGGGATAGAACGATAGGGACAGGAAGAGTCTAGAGATCTTTCCATCCCAAATGCAGCTGTTGGAAACACTGGTCTTTCCAGTCAGATACTCTCTGGTCTAATGCTTCCTTTGAATTAAGAAGAATGGGGGTGACTGCTTAAGAATCATCACAGATCTGTTCAATCAGGTTTAGCCTAAAGCTGCCTCCTTACATATTTTAAGTTCGGCCTAAATGTTCCTCTGTATATCGTCAACTATAACAAGTGGAGGTGTAAACAGACTGTAGCCTACACTTGTTCAAATCACTGAGTTTCGGCCAGTTAAATGTAGCCACTGTCCAAACTATGTTCAGATAAGGCAAACGCTGAGCTGTAACCAAGCAGGTTGTTTCTGTGCCTGACTTCTGTTTTCTGTACCTCACTTTCCTTTTTCTGTCCATAAATCTTCTACCACGTGGCTGTGCTGGAGTCTCTAAGCATACTCTGGCTCAGGGGGCTGACCGATTCGTGAATCGTTCATTGTTCAATTGAACTCTTTTAAATTTAATTCAGCTGAAGTTTGTCTTTGATCAGATCAAGACTTAATCCAGGAAGCAGGTTGGTCAGGCCAAATAGGCTCAACGTCATTCTCTACATTGAGTATTATAGCACAAAGAACTCATCACCATTCTCTTTTTAGATTTTACTTTTCTCCATGCTGAATACAAAGAAAATCAGTTGGCATTTAATAGGACGTCCATAAAGTAACTAATGTTAGCAAAGAAAAATCACCAAAAATAGGAAGTTCATAACACAGACTTGGATCGTTTACTTCTTCAGGATCACTCATAAACCTCAAATATGTCTGACTAAAATCTACTCATTAGCAAAGTTAAAGAAAACTTATGGAAGACCACTCATTTGGGCCGAGCTTCTTCTGCACTAGGTCCCAACAGACCAACCCAAAATAGAATCATTCATGCTAATGCTCCTCATCACCAAACTGAGAACTAAGCTTTTCACTTGTACTATGTGAGAAGTCAGGAGAGAGATGATAGCCAAACCCCCAGACAGGCCAGTTTTCCCAAAAAACCCAATGAGATTCACAGCAACCAGCCAACCTGAGCCGGCATGTGAAGGAAGTCCGCTCTGCTTTAATCCGTGCAAGGAAAGTAACCTGATGTTAACCAGGTTTTTGCCCCATGCTGTTTCCTTGTTCCTCCTGTTCAAGCTACTTTTTAAAAATGGACTTTGCTTGTTCTTCCTGCTCAAGCTACTTTATAAAAATGGACTGTTCCCGCCATGCCTGGCAGAGCTCCTGTCTATTTTGTGGACTAGATGATGTTCAGTTTATGAACTAAGAAAAGCTGGTTTGATAGTTTGATCTTTAAAACTCCATTTGTTAAAATTTTGTTCTTTGACAGGAGTAAGAAGCAAAGACGGGTGTGGGCATGTGACTAGAGGGTCCTGAGGAGCAGAAGATGAGTTGCATGTGCTACGATCGCCTGTTTGACTTGCAAAGCACATGGCTCTCACTAACATCAGTAGAATCTGAATCCATGGAACAGATCTTTGTCAATTACTATTGTTATTAGTTTTCCTTTTTATCTGATAGTTCAGATTCTGTACCCTCTTCAGGTTTCCAGAAGATTTCTTTTCCTGTAAATCTTGATGAGAGGCAAAACTTGCTTCCCACTGTAGAAGTGGAAGGCTCATTTCCCAGTCTCCCTTGCAGTTGGGGTTCAGAATATGACTGAGCTCTTCCTGGCAGATGCACCCTTCTAGTAGTGCAAAGAAGCTGTGAGGAGGAGGAACATTTCTGGAGGTTGGCGGCAGTACTGCCAACAATGTGGACTTTCTAGTGACAACAGTGGCTGAGGAGCACCAGATGTGGAGTGATGGTGACTTCAGGGGTGAGCTGTGACGTCCAGCATTATCCTCACTAGATGGGCTCTGGAGCAAGATTTTAGCTGTGGTCCTGGCTGCTGCCAGGCCTCATTTGTCCCTGTTCAATTTCTAAGCCTGGTTTTGAAGTCTGTGAAATACACAATACCCTTTTATTAAATGCTTTTTCTGCTGAAATCAACCACATCTGTTTGAGTTGTTTGCAATTATAAAGCCCTGACTAATACAACTGGTGATACAAATTTTTTTTTTATGGTGATGGCTAGAACTGCCAGCTGTCTGCCAATGTTCTCCTTTTTGTCCTTTTGTAACATAATTCTGTATTTCAGCTGTATCCCTGGCAGCATCCGTGTCCTGATCTTTATATATATATATAATATATTGTATATTATATATCTAAAGCTATATAATATATATTATATATCTAAAGCTATATAATATATATTATATATATAAAGCTATATAATATATATTATATATATAAAGCTATATAATATAATATATAAAAAGATATATATTATATTAAGTTATATACATATAATATATAAAGATCAATTAAGATTATATATGCTAATATATTAATATATTCTTATATATTTATATATGCTTATATAGTTATATATGCTAATTGTATTATCTGAGTCTTTTCTGAATCAGTTTCAGCTGATTTTTCTTCTCCTTATGTGTTGTATTTCTCAGCTTTTTTTGCATGCCTGGTAATTTTTGGTGGGATGTTAGCCATTGTGGATTTTATCTTGTTAGGTGCTGAATAATGGTGTATTCCTATAAGTATTCTTGGGTTTTGTTATAAGATTCAGTTAAGTTACTTGGTGTATTAGTCTTCTAATGCTGCTGTAACAAATTACCCAAATTTAGTAGCTTAAAACAATAGAAATTTATTATTTCACAGTACTAGAGACCAGAAGTCTGAAAGCAAAGTGTCATCAGGGGACCCCATAGAGGTTTTAGAAGAGAATTCATTCCTGACCTCTTCTAGCTTCTGGTAGTGCCTTGGCCACGTCACTCCAATGTGCCTCTGTCTTTGTAGCACCTTCTCCTCTGCGTACATCTAATCTCCTCCTGCCTCACTCTTATGATGACACTTGTGGTGGCATCAAGGGCCCAGCCAGATAATCCAGGATGTTATTCTCATGTCAAGATCCTTAAGGTAATCACATCAGTAAAGACTCTTTTTTCAAATAAGGTGACATTTATAGGTTCCAGGGATTAAAATCCAATGTCTTTGGGCCACCATTCAGCCCATTGCCCTTGGAAATAAATTGATCCTTTCAGGTCTTGTTTTCAGCTTTGTTAGGTGGGACAAGAGCACTGAAGAGTGATATTTGTCAAGCACCAACTGTTAGAATTGGGGGTACCACAGAATCTAAGGGTGATATTAATGCTATACATGCTCAGGAAATTGAGGAATTGCAAATCCTGCCCTAAATCACCCACTTTTGAAAAGCCCTTTGAGAGAGAGATGCATACAAATTATAAAACAGACAAAGTGACACTTCGTTTTCAGGATGGTTTGGATCCCACATGGAATGTAGAATCCAGGGAGATAGGTTGAACCCATGGACACCTCCTTTTGTTCCATGGATGACAGGCCTGAGGAGAGATATCACTGTCAATTTCTGCACTAAGATCCAGAAATATTGAATTAAGGAAAGGCTTACTTTGAGGCCTTGAATAGAGCTAGTCTGGGCTGTCCACATAGGTACTCAGGCCAGGGCTGTGGCCCTGGAGAATGGTGTTTGAGGAGTGAAAGAGATTACAGTTCTTTCTGGCTGTCAGGAGCAATCCCTAGGCCACCTCATGTCATCATTCTCAGAAATTAAATAGAAAAGGGAGGCCACAAGAAGAGGGGGTTGACTGCACCCACCTCTTGGCTCCTAGACACAGGGAATTAGCTGAAGCTTTGCAGAGGAAGAGAAGGATGCAGAAGCCAGCCTCCTGGTTAGGCACAGGACCTTGTTCTCAGCACACTGATGTCCCCCTGGGTGTGAATGGCTGATACACGTTCTTAAGGCCATCCAACCTCAGAAGAGGAGGGAGAGGGCAGTAGAAAGGAGGAAGGAGTATGGAGCTCCCCCTGGAGGAGTGCTGGCTGAAGCATACTGGATTGTTCTAAATTCACTTTCCTAATCTTCCTCTGTACCTGTTTCACAAGCAATGAAACTGAGGCTTAAAGAAGCTAAGGACTTTGGGAGACAGTGTGGTATAGAAGAATCGTGGACCTTGGAGTCAAACAAACCAAGAGTTCTTTAGCCAGCTACTGACTATATGATTTAGCTAAACTATTTTCATGTGCTATTGTAAAAATAAAGTGAAATCATATTGCATATGCAACACTACCATCAAGTCTGGCATACAGTAGGTGTGCTGTAATCTTAGTTATTTTTCCTTTCTTTGTCCAAGGTCACAGAGTCAGTCCACAGCTGGAGGAGCTGAGGTTCAGACTTATATCTTTCTGAGCTACAACCCCAGGCGCTCTCCCCTCAGTGATGCCTTTCTCTCAGCTTCCCCTGAATATTAAACCTAGGTTCCCTTCTCAAAGGCCTTTCCCAGCTAAGCTGGTTAATCTTCATATCCAAGAAACAAGAAGATGGTTGCTAAACAACCCCTTTTTAGGGCTAGAGTGCCTTCCCTTCCCTAAAGTGTATTCACTCTCACCTCCGGAGAAATATAAACACGCCTTGGTGAGGGGCTGGAACTCGAAGCTGGCCAGGCTTGCCCTTTCCCAGTGATTCTTCAGGCTCACAAGGGAAACCCTTGAAGGGAATCCCTCTGGGCAGCAAAGTCCATCCCTTTTATGGACAGATTCTCCTGCTGCCGCATAGCAAACCCTGAGCAAATTTTTGGCATGCAAGAGGCCCCACATCTTTTTGTCTAAAAGGCAAATATGCTTCTCTGAATTCATAACAGCAGCTCAGTTTTAAAATATTTTTCAGATCCCATTGAACGCCTCCTCTATCCAGGCTTTTCTCAGACTCAATAAACAGTAGGATTCTAAAGCCAAGAGAATCCCCCTACTTCCAACATGATTTTGTCCAACTGGCTACCTCTAAACTAGGCTTTCTCAACCTCAGCACTATGGACATTTGGAACAGGTGCATTCTTTGCATTGTGGAACATTCAGTAGCATCCGTGGCTTCCACTCATTATGTACCAGTAGCACCATCCCAGACTGCCCCCAAAATTGTGACAGTCAGAAATATTTCCAGACATGCCACATGTTCTCTAAGAGACAAAATCACCCCCACTTGAGAACACTGCTTTAAACAGACCTGGAATGAGGTTTAAAACTGGTTTTGAGCTTGCAGTTTTCTGCAAAAAAAAAAAAAAAAAAAAAAAAAAAAGTTACCTTTTCTACTGTACTTGACAGCTTGAGTCATTAGTGAATCAAATGGGAATATTGGGGGTATTGAGTATGGCTGGATTTAAGGGTGCCAAGAGCAGTGGTATATAGCATGATATTGAGCACTACCTTATTTCTAACTCAATTAATGTCAGGACAAGAGGACCAGGGTAGGGCTCTGAGCCATACTAACCCTAAACTACCCAGAAGATAGACAGAATTTTCCTAAGGGATTAAAAATCCTAGGCCAAGATGCAGAAACTGCAGAGAAACTTCAGATTACCCTAAATGCCCTTTACATATGTGATCTCATTTAATCTGTGATATGCCTCGAGGAGGTATAACAGTTATATCTTTTTACGCAAGAACTGAAACTCAAAAAGATTGAGTAATTTATCCAAGGTCGGTCAGCTGATAACTGATAGAGATGAGCTTCATACTCAGGCTTAGCTGTGGGGGTGATAGTTAATATTAGAAACCAATCCGTGTTAGTGCTTCCCTTGGCTGGTTAGAATCCTGGTGCCTCTGGAATCACTACAACCCCAGGCAGCTGGTAGGTCTCATCCTGATAGCTCTCATTCTAGAGCAGCTGGGCTCTCTGACAAAGGCCTCTGGAAATTCAGCCCCAGAAGTTAACTGTGAGTCCCATTTTCCTAAATTCAAAGAAAAGCTGACTTGCCTTTCCACTATATATCTAATAGAAAAGGCCTCCCAGCAGGGACTGTGGGTAAATGGAAGTAAAAGGATAGCAGAAAGGAAAGGTGGAGGGGGTGGAATAAGATGTAACAAAGGAGTGAGAAATAAAACTACGGTAGAGGCCAGGCACGGTGGTTCACACCTGTAATCTCAGCACTTTGGGAGGCTGAGGTGGGCAGATCACGAGGTCAGGAGTTCGAGACCAGCCTGACCAATATGGTGAAACCCTGTGTCTACTAAAAATACAAAAATTAGCCAGGTGTGGTGGCATGCTCCTGTAATCCTAGCTACTCGGGGAGGCTGAGGCAGGAGAATCGCTTGAACCTGGGAGGCAGAGGGTGCAGTGAGCTGAGATTGTGCCACTGCACTCCAGCCTGGGCGACAGAGGAAGATTCCATCTCAGAAACAAACAAACAAACAAATAAATAAATAAATAAATAAATAAACAAAATCGAACTACTGCAGAATGCACAGCACAAAGTTGGAAAGATGAGAACACTAAAATCAAAAGATTAGAAGAAGAAGAAAAGAGAAAAGAGAATGGTGAAAGGGTAAGAGAGGAAAAAAGTGGCAAAGAGAAGAGAAACTTGGCCGGAGGAAAGGAACAATAGAAGAGAGGGAATCTGCTCCAAAGTCATCTTTGTGGCTATTGACTCCTGGTGAGCTTTAAATTTGAACACGACCTGTGAATAACCGGCAAGGTGTCTGTGCACAAATCATACAGTAAAGACTTCCACGTGTTAGGATCCAGCCATTCTAGGATATTCACTTAACTAGAATGTTTTAGCTGTGCTCTAGCTTTAAGAAAGAGAAAAACCATCAGAGGAAAAAGCTACAGTCAGGGAATGAAAAGAAAAACCCCACCATAGATCTTCAGGGTAGAGTCACACTTGCTTAGAGCCAAACGGAAACCCCATCACAAAGTATTGAGACTGCGTTCCATAAATTACACAGCACGAGCTACCCCACTACTATCAAGTCTTACCTATGTGATGAAAAATATTCTTCAAGTACTGACTCCAAATCTGATAGGATATTGTGGTTACCATATGTTGATCATTTACCAGTATTCCTACAGCAATAATGTTGCAAGGAATACCATCATCTCCATTGATGGAGATGGAGACACTACCGCCAAGAAGGGTGGAATAACTGGCCTGAGGTCACACAGCTAGTCACTGGGATTGGCTGTAGACCCCCTCGGTCTTTCCCCTAAACCACATCCACCCTTCACCCCCCCACCTCCCCTAAACACACACAGCCATGGGGTTGTATTTTTTGCTATAGTAGAACAGTAAACCCAGTAAACTGTTCTACTATAGCAGTAGAAACCAGCAGTAGAACAGTAGAAACTGTTCTACTATAGTAGAAACCCAGGAATTCTAAGTTTTTTAATCCACAAAGGCTGAAACAAAATCATGCCTTGTGCTCAATTCATAGAATTGCAGAATTCCAAGGCTGGCAGGACTCCAGGGTCATGAAGTACCCCATCCTTTTTTTTTTTTTTTTTGCAGATGACTTAAACCAGGCTCAGTGAGTTGAAAGGCCCAAAGTCACTGCAGTTAATCAGAAAATTAAATTAACTGAAAATCGCCGTTCTTGAAAATATCCTATTCCCAGGCATTTTCTTGCACCCCTAAGGGGAACATTCTTCTCTTCCAGAGGGCTGCTCCACTGCTCTTGCCACAACTGTGGGGGACACAGGGAGGCCACAGAGCCTCCTGTTCCAGCGGCCTATAGCGAATATCAGGAACAGCCCCAGGCTGTTGGGCTACAGGTAGGGAGAAGATTCAGAGGGTCTGTTAGGCAGACCACAGCTTTGCTAAGAAGTTACATGGCAAACACCAAATCACCAGTTCTCAACTCTTTGTTTGATGCTATTACTTTTATAATCTATGGTTCCCTTTAAATCTAGTGTAATATGACAAGCTTATAATTCAAAACACATTTGTACAAAATGTAAAATACACACTGTACAAGCCCATGAATATAAGACACAATGTTCCCTTCAGGCCTCCTACTGAAAGCAGACAACACTTCTTCAAATCATCTGACATTTCTTGTCTGCTAGCTTGAAGACCCTTCATTCCCCACTCTCTGTTGTTTTCCTATTGACCAACTGCTACATTTCATGTGGGTCCTCTTGCTCATGTATGAGTGCATGTTAAGCGTTTGTTTTCCTTTAGGACAGACATTCCCTGCTGTGTTTTTCCTGGATTTGGACTATTTTTACTATTTACTTTATGTTGCCATGGAGATGGGGAGATCACAGATGTTAAGCGTTGGAATCTGGGGCCACAGGAGACATTTATCATTGTACTTTGTATGAAGTAGGCTCTTGTTCCCCATTTCTGCAAAGCCTCATGTTTATTTTATAAAGAAGTTACTAATGAGGACTCAGGCCTAATAAATAATGGGAAACTCTGCTTCACCTCCATGGCACATGCTTATTACAACAGCGATCTTATTAGGAAGGAAGGTAGAGCTCCTGAACACACAGAGATTAGCAGCCGTCAGTTTTTTCCTCTGCAGGAAATAGAAGGATGCATCAGAACAAGGGGCCCATTCATCATTCTTTCCCAGCTCCTTGAAGAAGAGAAACTTTCCCAAATTATTTCAACTATGCTCTGCAAGGAAAAAAAAAAAAAAAAAAAAGAGGAGGGCTAACCAGAGTGCCACTGTCGTCACTAACAAATGTTTGCTGATTACTGGTGAACAAAGGGTGAGTCTGACTTCAGCAAAATACAGTGGGTGAAGTTTACAAAGGCTACATTCTAAAAAATACTAAACATAGGTGCTGAAAGCATACACGCTAACCAAAGCGGGGGTTAAGAAACCCAGCTTTTATTCTTTTGAAGGATCTGTGTAGCTCAAAGTACAACTGAGTTGAAACAGAGATACAAACAAGAAAACAAACACTCACTGCGGGCATCTTTGGCGATTGATGTGAACATTTCGGGGGCATCTTTGGTGATTGATGTGAACATTTCGGGATTTGAACATTTTGGCTTTTGAACAGGTAACTCTCAAAATTCATTCCCTTAAGACTCAACCAAGGTAACTTTTGGCTTCTGTCACCTTGTCCAAACCAGATTGGGGTCCTTAAAAGCTCTTTTTTGCACACACACAAGGCCGTTGACGTCCAAGCAAAACAAAATGGACAAACACATATCGGACAATGGCCATTGATGGGCCCAGCTACACTCTTCCTGTGCTTGGAGAAATCTCTCCTATCCCCCCTCGCAAACTACCGGTTTCTTTCCCTGGACGCTGTTCTCTGCCTGCTCTTTCTAGGAGACAATGATGACTGCCCCATTTCCCTGGACTCTAGCCCTTTGCCTGATTGGTACTTTATTTAGATTGGCTGTTTGGCTCTTCCTAGGCTTCACCCTGGGTGCTCTGCTACTTTTTACAGGTCTACACCAAGTTCCTCTGGCGAGCCTCATAACCCTGTTCTGCTCCCAACTCTTGTTGTAGGGACCCCAGCCCTCTATTTGCCCTGTAAAGTTATTTGGACATATTTTTTTATCCCTTTTTGTCTCTCCTCTTTCTATTTTTTTCTTCCTTATTTATTCTTCACTTCTCCCTTTCCTTCTTCTCTGAAGCTTAAATTTTCTCTTTAAACAATCATTTTTCCGTTCCCAGTGACCTTCATAATTTGGTCTGAAAGTTAATATTTCTGTAGCTAAAATGTTTTAAGAGGCAATAGTGGCAGAAAGAACATTGGACTAGCTTCAGACCTTAGTTCTAACATTTGTGAGCTGTAGGATATTGGGGAAAATAATGTCCTTATACCTCAGTTTCTTCATTTGCAAAATGGAGATAATACTCTATAGTGTACACAGTAGTCATGAGGCTAGCATGGGTGAGAACCACTGATAGGTTCCCAGTAAAAGGTAATTATTTCATTCAACTTGACTCAAAAATTTATTTGGCAAGTGTTATTCATCTAGGTATGACATCTAAGCAATAGTGACAATATTTTGGGGAAATAAAAACTCCAGAAACAGTTGTCAAGAACTGCTAAGGGTCTTAGATTTTACCCTTCTTGAAAACTAGCAACCAGTATAAGACATGAGACTTCTGGGTCAGAGACAAAGAATTTTATTATTCACAACAACAGCAGTAGCCAACGTCTTCTGATTGCAACAGAAATTTGTACAGTAATTTACTCTAATTTTAAAACAGCTGAGGCCAGGTTTTATGCATTTTTAATGCATAACAAGCCTTTTATAAATCATCTGTATTTTACTACTTGTCTCTGCTCCCATCTCAGATACATCATTATATGAAACATTTTTTTCCCATTAAATAAACACATGTATACAAATAAATATAAGTATGTAATTTATAGCAGTTGAGTTTAGTGATTAAAAACTCAGGTTCAGAAGTCAACCTGCCTCGGCTCAAATCCCAGCTTAACCACCACAGAGTGACCTTGGGCAAGCTATTTAACTTCTCTGTGCCTTTTTGTCATGTCTGTAAAATGGAGATAATAACAGTGTCTACTTCATAAGATTGATGAGTGGATAGAATGTTATAATCCATGTAAAGTGCTTATGACATCAAGCTTACAATAAATGGTAGCTATTATTAATAGTGTAAATTCACACAATCCTTTGGATTTCATCTTCTTTCCCAAGAGGAGGATTTAAAAAAATGTTTTCAATCTAGAACTTAGGGTTTCAGAATAAATCCACAGGCACTTATAAAAAAACTGCTCTCCCATTTTTCTTCTCTTACCATGAACCAACTTTAGATTGATTCTGTGTTTAAAAACAAAAGGGAAAAAGAAAAATAGGTACCAAATGAAAATTCTACCTTCTGGAAGCATTCACATAGTTAGTATTGTTTTTTTTCCATGACAAGAAGAATGTTCTTTTATCTAGAAACCATCTATATTGCTAGCATTTTCTCTTTGTTTTAGCTGTAGTCCAAGCAAGTTATTTACTAAGAAGCTAAAAATCGGAAATATATGTCTCCATATTTATGTTTTCTTAGTCATTTGTTTTTTAATTCTTGAAATCTCCAAAGGCAATTGGCACACACAAAAAAATCCTGGGGCTTAAGGAAAATGTTTACCAATCCATTAAACATATACAAGCCCTGGTTATAATAATTGTGCCTTCTTTCAAGTGGAGCTGGCAGGGCCTTCCCTATCATGGAGTCAAACTCCTCACTTTGACTTTATGGACCCGGAGCCTGAGCACAGGGAGGCGGGCGAATGCTCCAGTCTGAGCAGCCAAGTGCAGCTGGATTCCAGTGCTTTCTCTGCATCACACCATTCCTTCTGCCTGGCCACCTTCTATCCCCTTATTTTCCTTCATTCTCAGGATCAAAGCAGGTACATTTAGTTGGTATTGCATGAAATGCGATGTGTTGAATGAAACTGAAATGTGTTCCGATTTCATTCCTGGTGCTTTCTTGGCCATTGTAAGCAAGGTACCAAGGTCACTCTGCTTTTCCAATTGGGCTTTTTCAGCTTATTAAAACTACAGTGGTCCTTTGGGTGGTGACACCATTATGTATGGCACTGTTATGGCAGATACATGACATTATACATTTGTCAAAACACATAGACCTATGCAACACAGAATGAACCCTACCCTAAACCATGGATTTTAGTTCATAATAGCATTATTGGTTTTGATTAATCAGTTTTAACAAGTGTACCACACTAATGTCAGATGTTAACACTAGGGGAAACTGTGTGTGTTGAGGTGGGGGAAAGAGACGGAACTCACTGTACTTTCTGCTCAATTATTCTGTAAAAATATACCGTCCTAAAAATTAAATATATTATAGACAGATAGATAGATGATAGATAGATAGACAGAGTCTAAGATAAGTATATATATAAAGCTTCAGTGGTCAAACCTTGTTATATTTGAGAGATAGTATGGTAATGGAGCTTGTTTACCAACAACAATAACCACAAAAAATCGAAGACCAGTGATTTCTTATCTCATTTGGCATTGGTCTTTGGTGTGAAAAAGGTAAATTCTAGAACTCACTATTCACATAATCCATATCACACATCAAAGTCTACAGTATAAATACTATTCCTTAATAAAACTGATAATTTGCAAGGCATGGTGCAATGTAGTTTTGAAAGATGCTGTCATCTTTTTAATAACTAGCTCACATCCACTCTACCTGCCATGAATATTTGAACTCACTTTGGTCATGGTGTTGACATGAACCCTTCTGGCTGAGTTTTTTCCCTGACATTGTTTTCACTCTGTCCATTTATATTTTTGCTTATATTTTTGCCAATTTATTTGATGGTGTGTTAAAAACTGATTCAAACATCTAAAAGTTTCTTCTTCTGTCATGTACATTTCAAGAGTTTAGAAAATAATAAATCTTTCTCATATTTGCCTGCATGGACTTACAATACAAAAGCAAGCAACACAGAGTCTTGTCCACTGGAGCTATCAAAATTTCACAAAATTTCAGCCTTTTAATTGATTCATTAAACACACTGGGTGATAATTCTTGCATCTGAGCTAGTATCTTATGAGACAGTGAGAGTGGTTGAATTTTTATAGTAGCCAGTTGCATTGTTTAAACAGATGGTTTAACAAAACTACCCCTGATGGTACATTCCATTTTCCCTCAGAGTACATCTACTTAGAGTCATGCTGAATGTGACTTTTTATTGTAAGATTTAATTTTAGTTCATATTCCGTTTTCTAGGTACAGTAAGTTCAAGACACACTGTAAGATACCAATAACCTTATTTTTATTCTCACTATATTCTGTTTCAAAATACCATTGTATGGCTGCAGCAGACCAGCATGGCACATGTATACATATGTAACTAACCTGCACATTGTGCACATGTACCCTAAAACTTAAAGTATAATAATAATAATAATAAAACAAAATACCATTGTAACTTGGCAGGCATCGTAAAACTATTTTGCAAATTTTTACTGCATGAAGTACATCCAGTAACTTTTAGCTCCATAAAAGGTGAATCCCAATGACAAATAATTATTAATGTTTTCCTTGTCTCTGCATGACTTTATGAGAAAATTTTCCACACATGGCCTTCATTGACTGGCCTTCGACCTGGTCAGACTTGTCATTTTTATCTTGATACATTTCTTATTGTAAGCATAATTATCCCATTCCCACTTGTGGGGCAGAGGAAAATAAATATAAACATAAACTCTGTCTCATACACATATACATATATACGTATAAAATTTATAAACCTGAAGGCAAGAAAGTTTAATTCATTAAAACTACTACAATATGTTACTGCCATAAGACAATGCATAACATGTCCACTTGTATTGGATAACTGATTTTCACCCCAGAAGAGAGCACAATGCTGACCATATACACCCAAGCCCTACCCAGCAATTTAATGGAGCGTGGTCTTTCCCATGTTAATAGAGGGTGTATACTTGCAATAGTTTACTTTTGGGTACATGCACAGGCCCAAATTCAGGGACAGATTATAGCAGACCTACATGATCTGTTCAAAGACACAACTGTAAGACATTCAAATATATACACAAGAGCGAAAATATATTTCAAGAGAGAAATGCTGTTTCTGGGTTTGAACTTAACCAAGCTCACCCAGTAGTAGAAGTCACTGTAGTGGTGGTCTCTAGTATGTTAAAATCTGGTGCATGTGAAATTTGAGTGTGTATTTATTATAATTTCTTTTTCTAAAGAGTTGAAGTATATATATCTCACAATGAAGCTAGAGTTTTGTATTTGTGGAATCTTTGCAACAAGGCATAGCCTTGCCCCATGGGTAACATATGGCAACTCATTGAAGGAAAGAAGCTGAGCCAACTAATAAGGAAAACGCAGCTGCTCCCCTACTAGGCAAAGGGAAACCACAGCTGGTATTGAGGTAGGAGACTGGCAGGACTTGTTTTCCAGACCAGATAGGAAACTGCCCAGAACCAGCAAGTGGCACCAAGAAAGCAACCTGTACTTGCCCTAGCTGCCCATCAGCATAAGACACTCCTGCCAGTGCCATGACAGTTTACAAATGTCATGGCAACACCCGGAAGTTATCACCCCTTTCCACCACAAAACCTGGAAGTTACCACCCATTTTCTAGAAATTTCTGAATGACCTATCCCTTAATTTGCATTTAATTAAAAATGAGTATAAATACTGCTAACCAACAGCCCATATGCTGCTCCTCTGAGCAAACTGCCTATGAGCTAGCTCTATTGTGCAAGGAGCAGTCACTGAGCAGTGACACTGCTGCTTCAATAAACCTGCTTTCTTCCACTGCCAGTTCACTCTTGAATTCTTTCCTGAGCAAAGCCAAGAACCTGCCTTGCATCAGTACTGGCATGCAGAGAGGCAGACAGGAGTGGCCTAAGATGAGAGCAAGGTGGGCAGAGTTAGGTCTTCTCGATGGAGAAGTGGACAAACTTGAAGAGGAGGGACCTGAAAGGACCAGGGAGAACCTGCCAGAGGAAGGACAAGTCGGCTGGGAGGTGAAGGAGCATGGGATCTATCTACAATATGGATCTGCATGTTCTTGGGGTACCATGCAGTTGGGCTGGAACTTCTTCCTCTCCTCTAAACCAACTGTATTAGGCCATTCTCACACTGCTATAAAGAAATACAATAATTTGGATAATTTAGAAAGAAAAGAGGTTTAATTGGCTCACGGTTTTGCAGGCTGTACAGGAAGCATGGCACTTGGAGGCCTCGGGAAACTTTCAATCACGGCAGAAGATAAAGGGGAAGCAGGCACATCTTCCATGCCTGGAGCAGGAGGAAGAGACAGAGGTGGGAGGTGGGAGGTTCTACACACTTTTAAACAACCAGATCTAGCAATAACTCACTCTCAGGAGAACAGCACCAAAGGGGAAATCCATCCCCCTGATCCCATCACCTCCCACCAGGCCCCACCTCCAACATTGGGGATTACAAGTTGACCTGAGATTTGGGCAGTGACACAGACCCAAACCGTATCACCAACCCTCCCCAGTTCAAGACACTTTTTCTCTCTGCAGTTTGGAGTCATCTGAAATCACACCAGTTCTATTTCCTTTTCTTAACTTCATGAGTTTGGGCGTGCATTTTCTAAGCTACTGTTCTGTGGACCATCATTCCACAGGAAAAAACCTGTTTCCCACCAGAGATTAATATTAAGCTGAACTAAAATCAATGAGTTTCTTTATTGAAGGATATCAAGCCTTTATTATACCAATTTGAGGGGGGAGAATTTCCTAGGGGGGATTTATTATGTCATGTTTTCCATACTAATTCAATTTAAAAAAATGTTTCTTTTTGTAGCATACCTGTTAATTTCTCCTGAAACTCATGTCCCACAAAACACAGTCTGAGAAATCCTGCTTAGTGTAAGGCGCTGCATGTCCCGGAGCCCCCAGCTTTCACTCACCAAGGCAGCAAGTCATTCCCAACCTTCCCCACAGTCAGAGGGAACTGCATGTTTGGGGGCATGTTTGGGGGCCATCCATGTTTCCAACTAGATCCCTTAAAAGGAAATTATTTACTATGGTTATTTTCCACAGCACCATCCAGGTGAGAAGGAATAGGGGCTAGGTCAGGTAAATTTGGATTAGAGTGGAAATTAACATGAAGTGTAGGTTCTAGGCAGGCATTAAATAGAACTACCAAAGGGGTGTCCACAGGGTGTCTAGGAAACGAGGAATGAAAAGTGAGAGAGAGG
This sequence comes from Homo sapiens, assembly GCF_000001405.40. Classification (NCBI taxonomy): domain Eukaryota; kingdom Metazoa; phylum Chordata; class Mammalia; order Primates; family Hominidae; genus Homo; species Homo sapiens. The sequence continues at coordinate 134,713,157 of NC_000007.14, read as the reverse complement.
ATTATGAACACCAATGTCACTTATTTCCTGATGCTGACTAGTTAGGAAGTAATTTGGGGAAATCACCAGAACTTCGTCTGTCAATATGAAAGGTGGATTTAAAGTTCCTTTTCTGTTTTTGTACCTTTACCCTTCTCCCAGGTTATATATATCTGAGTCCCTTGTATATTATAGACTGTCAATAAATCCTTGAATGAAAGAGGGAAGGAGTGAATGGGAATTGCGTTAGTTCAAATTATAAAACACATAAAGTTTATTTTCAGGCATGTTTTCCTCTTGGATTTTAACGACTTTCTTCTCTTCTTTCCCTCTATTATGTAAACCCCACTCGAAGGCACGCCTGATTCCGTCTTAGACTGCTGTTTTATTCAAGGGTAGTTTGTTATTTCAATATGGGTCAGATCTCAGCTAAAAGACTGACTCTCTGACCTTATGGTAGGAAGAATCCCTTTGAGCATCAAAGTCTCCGCAGAGCCCTGCAATTTTACCACAAAAGAGAAAACCCACTCTTGAGTTCTGAGGATGAACAAATGTAAAATGATGAATTGATAACCCACCATCTTTAGTGTCTACTTTAATTCTAGAAGACATTCCAGGGATTGTCCCAGGTGGGACATTTTCCCAGAGACACAACTCCAGTGTCTTGAGCAGGAGTGTGGCTGCTTTGTGGGTGACTACAGGGCATGCAATGCGTGTATCCAGTTGAAACCACAGGGAAGAATTCTGGTGGCCGGGATGTAATTACCCAGTAATCTGGGGCATTTGTCTTCCGGGTCCCATCTCTCCACCAGTCCATAATCAAAGCAGGGCATTATGACTGCGCCAAGACAGATTCCAGACTAAATATTTTAAAAAGAAGATATTGTTGGCTGGACCTCCAAGTGAGATAGTTGAGAGAGATGTCTGATGAAGCAAAAGGTTTGGAGGAAATGGTAAGAGATCTGTACTTGTTGCTTGATTTTAGAGTATGCTGAAAACGAGTACTCTAAGCATTGTTTCAAGAATTAAAAAGGGAGAATGACAACTAGAGCAGAATCTTGCCTCAAGCCTCTCTTGGGAATTTCTTTTTTTCCTCTTTCCCAACTTCCCTCCCTCCCTCCCTCCCTCCCTCTCTCCCTCCTTCCCTCCCTCTCTCCCTCCTTCCCTCCCTCCTTTCCTTCTTTCCTTCCTTCCTTTATTTGGTACCTATACACCAGGAACTGTGTTAAGGTTACAAAGATAAATGGGAGCTGGTTCCTGCTCTGAACGTGTCCAGTGATCCCTTTCTCTTCCCTCCTCCACCAACCTTGCCTGAGCCTTCATTGTCTCCATTTTAACTTTTCTGTATTTTTTCTACACTTTACATAACAGCCTGTATTAGTTATAGTTTTCCAGAGAAATAGAACCAATAGGATATATATGGAGAGAGACAGACAGAGACAGAGAGAGAGACACACACACACACACACACACACACACACACACACACACACACACATATATATATATATATATATAGAGAGAGAGAGAGAGAGAGAGAGAGAGAGAGAAGCTGAGGTTGATTTTAAGGAATTGGCTCACATGATTATGAGGGCTGGCCAGGCTGAAGTCTGCGCAGCAGGCAGACAGGCTGGAGACCAGGGAAGAGCTGGTGTTGCTGCTGAAGTCCAAAGTCGGTCTGAAGGCAGAATGTATTCCTCTTTAGGGGACCTCTGGTTTTTTTCCTTCTTAAGGCCTTTGTGATGAGGCCTAACCACATCCTGGAGGATAACTACTTTACTCTTAGTGTAATTTAAATGTGAATCACCTAAAAAATACCTTCACAGTGACATCTAGACTGGTGTTTGATCACATATCTGGGTGGCACGGCCTGCCCTAGTTGACACGTAAAACTCACATCACACAGTCCCTCTCACCACTGACACCAGCATCCTCCCTAGACTCTGTTTCTTCTCGGGATTCTTCTCTGTACCTTACCCCACCTGTCCTCCCAACCACTTCCCTCACCCTCACAGGAACCCCGAGGCAACAGTGACAGCAGCTGACATTTACTGAGCTCCTCCTGTTTGCCAGACACTGTGTCACATGCTTTGCACGGATTTCTTACTTAATTCTCACAACTCTTTGAAGTAAGCACTTTTGTTATCACCTTATCTCAGCCAGAGAGGTTCGAAACCTTGCCGGAGGGCTTAGAGCTAGAGTACAGTGGGGCAGGGATTCAGAAACCAGTCAGCCTGACACCAGCCTGGGGGGTTCACTGCTGGGCCACACTGGCACCCTTCACATGCAGGGTGGCCCCTATAGGAAGCCTCCTCCCCTTCCCTTCCCCCTCCCATTGAGACTGTGAAAATCCTCAAGCACGAGAGGGTGCAACTGCTGGTTCGGTTAACCCCATGGGACAACACAGGGAGCGTGACCTTGGCGGTGGCAGAGCATGCGGGTACCTCTATGGGATGCCCTGCCTAGAGCCCGTGCTCCCCTACAGAGCAGGGCAGGCAGGGAAGTACAACCCAGTGTTGCCCTGGGGAAAGGCTTCCTGAACCCTGTGGCCAGGCCACAGCAAAACCCACTGCCGTGAGGCACTCTACAGTCATTTACAATCATTCTGGAGTAGAAAATCAATGACATGGGGAAATGTTCATGATACACTAAATTAAAAAGCCGGTTCTGCCTGTAATCCCAGTGCTTTGGGAGGCTGAGGTGGGCGGATCACCTGAGATCAGGAGTTGGAGACCAGACTGGCCAATATGGTGAAACCCCACCTCTACTAAAAATACAAATATTAGCCAGGCATGGTGGTGGGTGCCTATAATCTCAGCTACTCAGGAGGCTGAGGCAGGAGAATCACTTGAACCCTGGAGGCAGATGTTGCAGTGAGCTGAGATTGCACCACTGCACTCCAGCCTGGTGACAGAGCGAGATTCCATCTCAAAAAAAAAAAAAAAAGCCAGTTTCTAGAAGTTTGTAAATATGAGCTCTCAAAGCATGTATTACACATATTACACATGTAAACATACATATAGATGTGTATAAATATATGTACATACATAGAAAAAAACTGAAACGCTAGGCTCAAAAATGAAGTAGGATTATGGGTGGTTATTACTTTAGTCTTTATGTTTTCCTGCATTTTCCAAATTTTCTACAAATAAATATATGTTGTAGAAATGTAAAAAATATTGTATTATTCTGCTGCAATTAAAAGACTGGTCACATAGGAAGACATTTTGATACTTAACTGTTTCTGGGCCATTTAATCCTGTACCAATCTATTGTTAAAAATTAATTCCTGGCCGGGAGCAGTGGCTCACGCCTGTAATCCCAGCACTTTGGGAGGCTGAGGCAGGCAGATCACGAGGTCAGGATTTCAAGATCAGCCTGGCCAACATAGTGAAACCCTGTCTCTACTAAAAATACAAAAAATTAACTGGGCATGGTGGCGGGTGCCTGTAATCCCAGCTACTTGGGAGGCTGAGGCAAGAGAATTGCTTGAACCTGGGAGGCAGAGGTTGCAGTGAGCCAAGATCGAGCCATTGCACACCAGCCTGGGCGACAATGCCAGACTCTGTCTCAAAAAAATAAAATAAATAATAATAATAATTCCTGGAAATACAGGGCTCAAAAAATCCATATTGAAATTATTGGTTACAGATGGGATGTCAGTCCCTAAAGAGATAAGGTGGCCAGCCTGGGAGGGAGCATCAGCTCTCCCAAGAGGAAAATAATCCAACAAAGGTGTTTGGCTTAATGTCAAGAATTTCCATTGCAAAAATATTTTCCATTCTTTAAACAGAGCCTAATCCAAAAGAAACTTCAGATGCCCATGATGGTACTTTCCATTTTAAATCTCCACCTCCCGCTTATTTCGGTCTCAATAGCATTCTTGTGCTTTGTGAATGGTAAAGAAAAAGCTGGAAATTGTAAAGGTCTTTTTCAAATTGTCACCCATTTTATTAATCCCTCAAGTTGTAGTGGTGTGACTGAGTTTTTAAGCAGCATTCCAGGACTAATAAAACAAATAAGAGCTGTCTACTTTGCAAAGAGAAAAACTTATTCCAATTAACTTTCATGGATCCAAAAGCTTGTAAATCTTGATGTTATTTTCACAGGCTATGTATATGCCTTTAAATAACAATAATAAATAATCATACCATGTATCATATTATTTATACATTATCCCATTTATGCTCAAAATGTTCCCAAGACTCTGTATAACTTCTGTGGCATGAAGAAACCAAGGCCTCAAGCTGTTAAGTTGTTTGCCCAAGTACTCACAGCTGGCAAATAAGAAAGCCAGAACGTCTGCCTCCAAACAGAGTGTACTATCCACCTCACACTATCTCCTTCACATCTTAGAAGGTGGCTTGAGGTTGTGGAAACAGCCATAAGTCATTCAGACCAAGGTCTCATAAATTAAAGGGGTCATTCAACCAATGGCTGTCAGTGAAGAGTATTGAATGTGCACCGTAGTCAATGTATGATTCTATTTGGGGAGATGATCAGATGAATGGTCCCTACTGTTACCAAATTGAGTAATGGTATTTGGTCAAAAAATGATATGGGGTGGGGGGTGAAAAGGAGGTGGGGATGGTTAATGGGTACAAAAAAATAGGAAGAATGAATAATTTGATAGCAAAATAGGGTGACTATAGTCAATAATAATTTAACTGCACATTTTAAAATAACTAAAGGAAGATATAATTGGATTGTTTATAACACAAATGATAAATGCTTGAGGGGATGGATACTCCATTCTCCATGATGTGGTTGTTACACATTGCATACCTGTATCAAAACATCTCATGTACCCTATAAATATATACACCTACTATGAACCCACACAAATTTAAAATAAAATTTGAAATTAGAAAAAAATGAGGTGCCACTTTTAATATAATGAGACTGTGTGTGTGTGCATGTTGTAAACCTACTCCAAAGGCCTTAATTAGCACCTACGCCCTTGAAGGCACTGGGGACATTTTAGATATTGGGCAATGTGTGATTATCCTCACAAAAGAGGCTAGTTTCAGACTGATTTCACAATGCATGTTTGGTCACATTATGAAAAGTAGTCTGAAAAACTGAAAATGCTGCTTTTGTGTATTGATTTATTAACTTGTTAGTCAGGACACATGACTGTCAAAACCTTACCTATCATTAATACTTTCAGAGTCAAACTAAGGATTGACATTCAGGCACTATAAATCTCATATTTCATTTGCCCTCTGTATCCTTTTAAAATATATTACCTTTGGTTTGGAGTGATTTGAGGGTTTTCTTTTTTTAATTGGTGTTGCTATCTGTCTATCTATCTATCTATCTATCTATCTATCTATCTATCATCTATCATCTATCTATATGTCTATCTATCTCTGTAACTATATATTAGTTAGGAGCTATTTTCTTTTTTCTTTGAGATAGAGTTTTGCTCTTGTTGCCCAGGCTGGAGTGCAATGGTGCCATCTTGGCTCACCGCAACCTCCGCCTCCCGGGTTCAAGTGATTCTCCTGCCTCCTGAGTAGCTGGGATTACAGGCATGCGCCACCACATCTGGCTAATTTTTGTATTTTTAGTAGAGACAGTGTTTCTCCATGTTGTTCAGGCTGGTCTCGAACTCCCGACCTCAGGTGATCTGCCCACCTCAGCTTCCCAAAGTGCTGGGATTACAGGTGTGAGCCACCATGCCCAGCCTAGGGGCTGTTTTCTAAAAAATTGATATCTGAATCCTTCCTGTCCAGATCTTCATAATGTTACATTCTAGATCACTTATTTTTTGTGTGACTTTTCCTAGGAGCACTTGGTAATGTTGCCTTAAATATTACACTTGAAACAGAAAATTCACTAGGCCTCTAGTAAATATCAGGATGCTGATAGGCTAAGATCAAATTAGATGGTGTGGTATAGACCAAGTAGAAATGACTCTTCTGTATCAATTAACATATGTGATTCTTTGATAGTCCCTAGAAATAGGCCTTTTAATGTAGAGTAACTAGTAAATTTTACGCTAGAGTCCTTAAAAATAAAAAAGATTGCAAAAAACCAGTCATAATTCTTGATGGTATGATTCACTAACTTCTACCCTTCTGTATTTTGAACTTCTAAATCCAGGCCATATAGCAGTGTTTCCCAAACTTGTCTGTAATGAAGTTTTTACTGGTTCACAGAGCAGTTAGAAAAATTAACACATAGAGTAAATATAATAAATAAATGTATAAATGTATTCATGAATTGGGATGTGCTAGTTAAGCTAAATAATAATGCACCTCTAATATATAACCCTCAAATCTCAATTGTTTAACACAATAAAGGGTTATTTTGCAGTTCTATCACAGTCCATGAACGTGAGGACTGCTCCGGTGGTCATTCTGGGACCTGCACTCCTTCCATTCAGGGGCTCTGCCATCTTCTAGAACCTGGGAAGGGAGGGTAGAGAGGACACACGTGCACCTAGCCACCTGGCCCGGAGGAAGCATGCATCCCTTCTGCACTCCATTGCTAAGAACTAGTCACATGGCCCCACCTAAATGAAGGCGGGGGGTGAAAAAATGCAGTCCAGCAGCTTATGCTCAAAGGAAAGTATGCAGACATTAGCCAAAACCTAGCTGGAATATGCCACAAGGTTAAGGCTACCTATCATCCTTTCTTGGAAAGGAGGCTCTTTTATCCTTAGTCTATGTTTTTATCCTCCTTTTGTTAATGTGGAAAAAGTCCTTTCTTTTGTGGAAAACTGCAGCCTCAACTTGGGCTCAAGAGATCCTCCCGCCTTAGCCACCTGAGTAGCTAGGACTTCAGGCACACACCACCAGGCCCTGCTAATTTTTTTGCGTGTTTGTTTTTTGTACAAATGGAGTCTCGCTATGTTGCCCAGGCTTGGTCTTTAGCCCCTGGCCTCAAGTGATCCTCCCACTTTGGCCTCCCAAGTATTTGGATTACAGCAAAAACCAGGGTGCCTGGTCCCTAATTTTAAAATGAATTCAAAATACTAGAACCACTGGCTTACAGAACACTCAAATATTAGAAAGCTACTGCTTGAATTTACTGACTCACTTCATAAAACTACTTCTAACTTTGAATGGTATAGCATTTGGCCACAGGTACTCTTTGAAATTGCAAAATATTTTTCTGCTATTTCTTTCTAGAGACTCCAACAGCTACATAAGTGCAGGAGAACCAAAAACAAAACAAAGCCCTTTTTTTCATTGTTCGGTTGGCAGGAATAATTCATTGTTTGGTTGGTAGAAATAATCACATCATTCTAGTATTCTAGTATTCTCCACTCATCAAAACCATGTGCTCCCCCAAGGGATCTGGACACATTACCAGGAAAGTGGATCCCATTGGAATTTAACATCAAATGTTGCAACTTTAGTAAAATTATATTTGCAAAAGCTTTTCTAATAAATATAACTGTGCTTCAGAAGAATGGTCAACAGTGGAAGCAGCTGTTACTACTGGACGCTTTTTAGCCGTGTTACTGTCCTCTGCTTACCTGGATCTGTTAGGATGGTCTTTCCCTATCATTACAGACATGTCAGTGATCCCACAGAGTGTCCAATTTTCTGTCTAGCACCAGAAGCACCCTCCTGAGAGGGACACAAATCTATACCGGCACAGTTCTCAGCATGTGGTAGCTGCTCACTACATGCTGAATGAAGGACAGAGATCATCTCTTTCTGGTATCAGCAGATTGGCTCCTATGTTCTTGTTTGCTGTCCGTTTATTATTTGTACTTGCAACTCTGCGAGTTGCTTCACTCTTCAAAACAGGCTTGAGTATATCACCACCCAATCTCTTACAACCATCCCTAACAATCATTCTTGTTGTTCATTGGCTGATCTAAAGATTTGTTAAGTCAGAGTGGGATAGGGTGACAATTTGTAACACTTCTTTTCAATTCCCAAAGATCACTGATTTTTCTCTTTATTGGGTTATAGACAATAATGTGCACTCTTCCCTTAACCCACTGATTTGTTTCCACTCTCCAACAACAGTAAAAATTATAGCAATCCTATGTTATGCATCTTCTATGTTCCAGAAACAATGTTGGGTGCTCGACATAAGCATATCATCTCATTTGACACTGACCTTAACTCTGCGTGTGGGTGTTATTAGCCCTGCTTGATAGGTAAGGAATCTGAGGTTCAGCGAAGCATGCCTCAGTAACCAAAAGTATCGTATTATTTTCATAATTATATTGCAGTGTGGCTTTGAGGTTTGGCAGATGTGAGCTTGAACCCTAGCCCTGACACTCACTGTAGTGGGACTTTGGATGAGTTGCTCAACTCTCCTGGACCCATTTCCCCGGGGTGCAAGGAGTCCCAGTGAGGGCCAAGAACTCCCTTTGGGTGTGAGGAAGAGGGTTTGCAGGTGGTACCATGGAGTGTATGGTTCTTGATCAGTTCACCCCTCTCTAGGGTACTCTGGGAAGGTCAAGTTCTCAAACTCCCCAAAGTCTCAAAATCCCCAAGAAGCCCCTTTCTGGAATTTGGGGTTTGCTTATGACTCCCTAGGAGTAGCTGAAGTTTTTCTAAGAGGACACGAACTTCTCACATTTCCTGAAATACTTTTCAGAGGGGTCTCCAGGGCCCACCTCAGAAAAAGTCTATTGGCAATGAGGTCCTGTGGTTTCTCAAAGTTAAATTGTGATAGGTTTGGCCCTTCCATCTGTTCTAATGAGCAAAGGGACTTCTTTGCTTGGTAGTTAGCCCTGCGTAGTGGGTGTATCCCAGGTCCCTACAACATTCAAAGTACTACCACACAGTGTTTACTAAGGTGACCCAGGAAAATTTCTTTAGCCATTATATGCAGAAAAAAAAAAAAGTGGAATGAAATCGCAGAAAGGCTTAGCCAAGGGCACTTTGAAATTCACAATACTCTATCAGAAAAGTCTCTACAGAAACAGTACTCCTGTAGGCTCTTGGTTATAAATATTTAAAGGTCTGAACACACGGAATGCCAAATTTGTCTATCGGCTCTGCAAATAAAACAACCTATTAATTATCCATTAGTACTACACATTTCCTAATTTATACATGCCTCAAATTGAGCTGTCCCTCCCTTATACAGTGGTTTGGCTGCTCCCTGGGGTGACCTAAGTGAGTCAGCTGCAAAGGAGACTGATGCTTTTATTTGCAGTTTGTTCTCAGCCTTTGACCTCAAAGAAACTGCTTTCGTAAGCGGGTAGGACTCTGCTTGGTGGGGGTGGCAGGGGGCAAATGCTTTCAGAACAACCCATCAGTGACATCCTGTGACCTGCAACGAAAGGCCTATGAGAGTAAGGGCCTCCTTTCTCAGCACGCCTTTCTCCTCACCCTAGTAATGCCTCAGACCATGTTTACGCCAGAATTAACATACTTCGGGGAAGCATGCAAAAGGAAATCAAATCTCCCTTTGCCTGGGCTTTGAGAATTTCTGAGCGATTTCTCACCTCCATTCTGCCTTATGCTTAGCTCTCTGAACACGGTGGCTTAGAAGAAGAAGCAGCACTGAGATCAAACTCTGCTTCTCTACCCCGAACACCTTCTGTCTGAAAAGAAGCAGAGAAAAAAGAAAGAGCTGGTCCTTGTTTTGTCGGTGAGAAGAATGGACCACATCAGTGGTTCTAAACCTGAAGCCTAAGAGTCAGCTGAGATGCTGGTTAAAATCCAGATTCCTGGGTCCCATCCCCAGTGGCCCTGGTTCATTAGTTCAAATTCCCCTGCGGATGGCTTCCAGACTAGCTTCTAGGGAGACATGGTAATCACTTAGTCCACCCAAGCTGATACAGCCTAAGGTTTTATAGGTCATTGACCCCCGCTATTCCTGGCAGCCTGGGGCCAGACAGCCAGTTCTCATCAAGCCTTTAACCAGTCACTGCCTCACTGATGTTAGATGTGACCTGGGCTTCCTGGTCAAATTCCTGATCATCCTGTCTTCCTCAATAATAACAACTCAAAGTTCCCGTGTTCTTCTTCCTCTGTAGTCAGAGATACCTTAAAAGCAAGGCAAAGAGAAACAAGAGAAGCTGGTTTATAGCTGAAGGGAAAGGCTCTTTGATCCATCTTTCTCTCACCACTGCCTGCTCCTTCTGTTCCATTCCTTCCTGTAATAGGCACAGTCATCATTTTTATGTTTTTTAAATAAATAAAAGCACAATCATGTCAGGGCTGAGCAGCACCTTTGAGAGGATCTGATCCCCTTCCTTACTGTTCAGGCAAGAAAACTGAAGACAGAGGTTAAGGAACTTGCCAAACGTCACAGCCAGCAGAGGTAGTGGTGGGATTTGAACCCAGGCAGTCTGGCTCCAGCACGCAGGCTTGTAGCCAGAATGTTCCACAATGCATAGATGCAATAAGAAAGCTGATCTAATAGCACAAGACAGGCGAGCATAACAATGTCGGGAAGACCCATGCAGAGGGCAGGGGAAAGGTTATCCTTGTGCTATTCTTGTAATTTTGTTCAACAAAATTGTCAGCATGTGGGCAGAAAAAGAGGCAAAGCCACACACTGTCTTAACCATTTGTAAGCACAGACTATATCACAAAGGGGATTAAAGCTCACATGGTCGGATTCTGGCCTCTCTCACTCCCTTCTCCTAACTCACAAGAAGAGTCAGGCAGCCTGGGCGGGACCGGACCTCTCATGGGCTCCAGCAGCCTGGAGTTCTTCTTCCCATGCTGCCTCTTCCCAACTGCATGGGTATTGTTTCTTCTGTAAATCGGGGAGAGGATTGTTCAACGGGATTACTGTGGGTGCTTTCCAACTCTGAAGTTGCAGGTGTGTCCCACCCTTGAGTGGCAGGGGTAGCTTTAGTGTAGCTTTCTATGCAGCTGAGGGGGACAGTAAATGCATGATCACATGCATTTTTACAGACTGGTTTTGGGTCGATTCATACCTCAAACTCCATGATGGAGAGAACTTTCATAGCCCTTGTAGCTCCTCTCAGCATCTAGAGCAGGATTCTGCTGGTGACAGGTATTTAGCAAATATGGCAGAGTGGCTGTTCCCAGGCCCAGAGCCACTTGCGGGTCCCCCAGAATCTTGATAAGACTCCTCCTTCCATAAAGCTTCTTCCCCACTCCTCCTATCCAAGACTGGATTTAGGGGGCTCAGGATTCTACAAACAAAGCTGAGTGACCCTGTGACCTTGTCATCTCACAGTGACTAGACAAGAAGATAGCCTATCTATCTCCCTGACTCCTGGGAGGCTGCTCCTCCTGGTCTTTATAGAGGCCTGGCTGGAGACAAACTATTGGCCATTTTGCTTCTTGCTTGTTTTGCCTTGGGTTTTTCACAGTTTTCTTGATAAAACAAAAGGTGTTCAGCCTCTTAAAGTTTTTGCCCAGTTCTTACCCTTGACAACAGCACCTCATCACCAATAGTCAGTAAATTTCATTTCTCCCATATCCATATTTCCCTTGCTTCCAGGGTAGGGGAATGGGTTTTGGCCCTGGTTTCATACAGCTGCAGAATGATTTCCAGAATGACGTCCCATGATGGCCATGTGAGAGGAAACAGGCACGAACTGCCACCTGGGAGTGATTTCTGGTGAGACATTTCATCTTCCATGGTGGCTGGCTTAACAGTCAGGCTGGTGAAAGCCAAAAGTTCATCCTCCAGGAATGTTCTGGAGGTTATGCCGCCTGGAGGTAAAGGGTTATTCTAAGCCAGTCTCAGAACTTTGGACCTTTGATGTCTAATTCAATGGTTAGAACATGGGCTAAATGCTTTTGATCCCTAGATGGGGCCAGTGAGCTTGGTTTAATTCAGTGGCCTAAAGCCCACCACTGACTATGTTGGTGAATTTCAGTGTAGTTATTCAACAGGAAGACCAAAAGGAGAGGCTTCACCTCAACTCCTCTCAAGCTGGTGTGCTATCCCAAAGCAATTTGAAATGCCGACATTGATTTGGCAATGATGTATATGAAGGAAGAGTTATGAAGCTCAGTATTAAAGACTGACGTTTCTACTTCTTCCATGCTTTCGTTATGTTAATGTCGCCTCCACATTACCTTCAGATGGAAAGAAAGAACATCACATGAATGGTCAACTACAAAAATTAACTATTTTCAGTCCTGGATTAGGTAAAAAATAATGTATATGGCAAATCATGAAGTTAAGTATTTTCCAAAAATATTTTTTACTGCCTTAACATACTGGAAAAGCAAAAGAATAAAGATGTTCTATTCAAGAATGTAAGTTTATAAATAAGTGGGGGAAAGAAAGGAACATGAGGCCGGGTGCAGTGGCTCACGCCTGTAATCCCAGCACTTTGGGAGGCCGAGGCGGGCGGATCACCTGAGGTCGGGAGTTCGAGACCAACCTGACCAACATGGTGAAAACCCGTCTCTACTAAAAATACAAAAATTAGCCGGGCGCAGTGGTGGGCACCTGTAATCCCAGCTACTTGGGAGGCTGAGACATGAGAATAGCTTGAACCCAGGAGGCGGAGGGTGCAGTGAGCCGAGATCATGCCATTGCACTCTAGCCTGGGCAACAGAGCGAGACTCCATTTCAAAACAAAACAAAACAAAACAAAACAAAATGCAAAAAAAGAAAGGAACATGATCAGGGAACTGGGAGGACCTGGGAGAGTGTGAGTCCACATGGATGAGGATCCAAGCTCAGAGAGGCCATGTTCTTTCCTAAGGTCACACAGCTTAGATAAGGGTTAAAATAAGAGAACATTTAACCCATTTATACCCGAGATTGCAATTTTTGAATTTTTGCAATCAGACCTTGGTGATGACCCTAAGCAGTAGGATATAAATAACTCCCACGTGCTCAGCGTTCCAGTAATGGAACACTAGGCATAAATGGGTTTTAAACAAGTAAAAAGAAAAACTCATTTTTCTGATTCCTAGTATAGTGCTTGTTCCTCTACATAATGTTGCTGTCTAGATTTTTTTTTTTAGATTGTTCATCCATTTTGGAAGCCTAATTGGCAACATAATGGAATTTTCTGAAATCCACAGAGAGAAAAAAAGAGCCAACTACATTCAGTTTTTTTTTGTTGGCTTGTTTTGTTGGAATGTATAAACAATTCACCAACAGACATCATTTCATAGTCTGAAAGGAGTGGAGAATTAAAGAGATTTTGTGCTCAACCTCTCAGTAGAGGAAAGCCCTGTGACATCAATGCACAAGGCTATGGTTGAATTATTTTGGATTTGAGGTATGTGTGTGGGATTTGAGGCATGAAAAGAGGTAAGAGAGGAATTAAAAGGAATTGTTGCTTTCTGGAGAGCCCCGAGTTCAGATACAATGACAGTGAGCTGATCTACGTCTCTTCTTATAAGGAAAATACCATCACTCAGCTACATTTCTGAGAAAGAGAAGCTTTCTGTCTAAAAGAGGACCACAATGAGTTTGTTGAGCTAAATGACTCTTTTGAAGGAATGTTGTAACAAGGAATGGCTAAACGTGATTTGAAATCAGCTGGGTTATTCAGAAAACTTGCCTATTTACATGAGCGCATCCAGCCATTCACGGTTGCCCACGTAGTGCAAATCCTTTTGCTTCTCCATCACTGGAACGCCTTTCCTTGGGGCGAGCCTCTTCTCAGCCTTCAGGAGCCAGCTCAAATTGCACCTAATAAAGTGTAGCCTTCTCATACTGGCCCAAGGCCAAACTCCTTTGTCAGCTTTGCATCTATACCTCAATATGGAATTTACCAAAATGATTCCTTTCTGCCTTTCCTTCTCCATTTGATCATCAACTCCTCAAGATTAAGGACAGGGTCATATTTATCTTTACACCCTAGTGCTTAATACAGTGCCTGTACATGTGATGGTTGATTTTATGTGTCAGTTTGGGGGCACAACAAACGTCATGCACTGTTGTTTGGTCAAACATCAGCCTAGATGTTGCAGAGAAGGTATTTTAAAAGATATAATTGATATTTAAGTGAGTTGACTTTGAGTAGATTACCATACATCATGTGGGTGACGCTCATCCAATCAGCTGGAGGCCTTAAGAGAAAAGACTGAGGCCCTACAAAGGGGAAGGAATTCTGCCTCCAGACTCAAGTCTGCAATGTCACCTCTTGCCAGAACTTCCAGCCTGCTGGTCTGGGCCTGCAAATTTCAGACTTGCAGTTCCCACACTTTCTTTTAAAATGAATCAATCTCTGTCTCTCTATCTTTCTGTCTCTCTCCATATATATGTATATGTCCAAATATATATGTGTATATATTGAATCAATATCTTGTTGATTCTGTTTCTCTGGAAAACATGGAGTAATACAGCACATGTTTAGTAAGAGTTTAGTGAACCACCAACTTAATAGCAAGGAAAAGGAAGACGGCAAGTAGGGCTGAAGGCTGGACGGGAGAGGGAAAATGCTGGAAAGTATATGAGTAGATAGAGATTGAATAACCAGGGAAGAAACTGCATGCCACTCTTTTTAAGATAATGATGTCTACCTTTATTATGCACCTGGGTACCATATGTGCATAGAAATATTTTAATGCAATTGGATTTCCTTGTATTTTAGAGACTCTCATGTAAATATCAAACTGTAAGGTAGAATGAGATTAAGATATTTAAAAAGGGATTTAGGCCAACATAAAGCACATATAATAAAGGGTATTTATGTTTTATGGAGGATTTTCTGGAATCTTTAGAATCTTTGGGGACTGGATTAAGTCCCTGGGATTCCTAAACCCTTAGGAGTCCTCCAACTATTTTCAGTATTTTAAAAGTCACATTGAAGTCCTACCCCTGCCTGCTAAGCCTGCACAGTCTCGTTAAAATGTCAAATTTTGTTTGCTTTGGGCTAGAATTCTGTTAACCAAGTTTGATGGGGTTGGTTATCTTTTGCTGCCCAATATCTCTAATTGGCAATTGCACATATCTTGGAATAACTTTTTAAAAATGGAAGCATGGATAAACTAATTTTAAAATGCAGGTTGTTCGATAGCAAAGTCTTTTAAAACAAAGGAGGCACAAAAGGTGGAGAAAAAGAGGTAATGAAAGGAGTTTCTAGTGATGGGCAGGTGAGGAGCCTCATAATGGATAATTACTGAGCTCCTGAAAGGCCCAAGAGTTGAGTAAAGTCAGTGCAGTATCTGGTTAGCCACAAAGTTCACGGTGGTCCAAAGTTAAATGTCCTGAGTTTGCACATGCAGCCAAACTCATGCACAGATGCCACTAGAGAGATGGCTCAAGAGAAGCCACCACAGCAAGCCAGAGCATCCAGGTGAGATGCAACATGCTTACGGCAACTGCAGCAGCACTGTTCATTCAGCCTCGACCAAGGTAGGCCAAGGAGCTCCACAACTCAGCCCAACTTTGGGCCCCATCTCTGCCCCTCACTAAGCCTTTGACTTCTTTGTGCCTCAGTTTTCCCATTGGTAAAATAATTGATAATGATGGGTTCCAGGGTTGTTGCAATAAATAGTGTAACATATAAAGCACCCAGACCAATGACCGGAACAAAGCAAGCCTCCAATGCAGGTGGATTCTTGTTACACCTTAGGCACTGTGCCAAGAATCTTGCACACACCTTTTCCTAGTCCCCAGAACAATCCCCCAAGGAAAGCACTATTATTGTCTCCATTTCACAGATGAGTTTAAGGAAATTGTCTAATGTCACTCAGCTCATCCGTGGCAGAAACTGGACTCAAACAAAGCCTTGATATTACCAACCAGGGTGTGCCTGCCTGGGGGACACCAACTTACCTCACTCACTGTGTGCCCTGGGGCAAGTCACCTGGCCTCCCTGAGTGTGCATTCTTTCATCTGTAAAAGTAGAGGGTTATTTTCCAATTTCAATAATATATGTATTATGGTTATGTATGAGGTCATCATTGGGGAAAGCAGGGTGAAGAGCACATATCCACCCTCTAGACTCATGTTTTAACTCCTCCTAAGCTAAAATGATTCCAAGTAGAAAGTTTACAAACCACTGTAGGGATACACTACTTGGCAATTTTCCTTGTGTTGGGCACATACATGGTGCTCAATCAGTGCTTCTCGATGTGATTTGTTTGATTTCTAGACGCTAGAATGTGACCAGTACTGACCATATTGGTTTTTTTTTTCTTTTTTTTTTTTATTATACTTTAAGTTTTAGGGTACATGTGCACATTGTGCAGGTTAGTTACATATGTATACATGTGCCATGCTGGTGTGACATGAAAAACAGGTCTCTACAAAGTCTCTTGATTTAAGTAGCAAAAACAAAGAATCTGAGTTGATGGAAGCATTTTATTCTTTAAAAAAGTATCTCTCGGCTGGGCGCGGAGGCTCACGCCTGTAATCCCAGCACTTTGAGAGCCCGAGGCGGGTGCATCACGAGGTCAGGAGATCGAGACCATTCTGGCTAACACGGTGAAACTCCGTCTCTACTAAAAATACAAAAAAAATTTAGCTGGGCGTGGTGGGAGGCGCCTGTAGTCCCAGCTACTCGGGAGGCTGAGGCAGGAGAATGGCGTGAACCCTGGAGACAGAGCTTGAAGTGAGCCAAGATCGTGCCACTGCACTCCAGTCTGGGCGACAGAGCGAGACTCCATCTCAAAAAAAAAAAAAAAAAAAAGGTATCTCTCATGGTATTAAAATTTTACATATTTAAAATTAAAAGAAAAAAAACTAGGAGGTTGGAGGCAGAGATCTTTAAGGCCCCTTCCTGGGGTAAAACCCTTGTTCAGGATAGAACAAGCCACTCGTTGCAGGTCCCCTCCCCAACCCCCCTCGAACAGAGGCGGGGTTCTGTGCATGCCCTGCCCAGTGCCTGAGGCTGCCAGTCACACCTCCCTGTCTCCTTTCAGTTTAGACACTGACCTCCCTGGTAAACATGAGTGTGTCCAACTTCTACCCTTGAAATTACTGTAGCCGCCTTCGGGAGCAGCTGGAAACCCTTTCTGCTAGGTGTGTTTTGTCTGATCACATCTGGCCAAGGTGGAGGTGAATACAGAACTAAACAGCTCTCTTTCTGTGTCTTGGGGAGCAGTGAAAACCTGGGCTCAGGCAGGTGGGCTCCAACCACTTTTCCCAGAAATAGCCACAAAGGGGTTCTAAAGAAATAAGTAAATAAAAATAAAAGCCCAGTGTTCTCTTTTTGATTGAACACCCCGTTAACTACCTGGAGTTTTGTTCAGGACAGAGAGCTCTGTGTCTCTTAATTTGTTACACAAAAATTAAGCAGAGCTGGACACATGAGTCAACCTCTCTGTGCCTCAGTTTCCCCATCTGTTGTCAGTAAGCTTCTGCTCTGTGAGAAGCACTTTACTTATATGCTGGAAAGGGAGGGCATGGGAGGGAAATAGAATAGAAATGAAGGGCTTCTTTTTTCTTATTTTAATCCGTGGCCACACTGTAAAGCAGCCCATTTTAAAAACTCGGCTGTCAGAAGGAAGTCAGCAAGACCATACCAGTGGGGCCAGGACCAGGCTGAACAGAAACAATTGACGCGGTTCTAGCTTGGTTCCTTCACAAATAGCTCTCAGTGGGAGCTGCTCCTCAAGGCCAGGCCTCCTGGGTCGTCCTGGGCGTCAGATGGAAATGATTTGGGCACATCCGGTATGGCCTGAATCTGATCCTTAGGGTAAGATCTGAGAAAGAAAAGAAAGAGAAGGAAGAAGGCAAACTGATTCCCTTAAAAACTATGCATACTGAAAACTTGATATTTAATGCTCGCCCCTTAGAGCTGTATTCCTAATTATTGGTTTGTAAGACACAACATGATTTTCCCCCTAATTCTTTCCAAAAATGCATTCCATAAATGGTTAGCATCCCTGCCAGTGGCCTCAGTCGACTCACATACCAGCTTTAAGGTCAATCCCTTTGAAACCAATGAATCAGTCCCTTGAGTTAGGGGATTATTTCCAGATTCCTATAGCTGCGGGCCTTTTTTTTTTTAAGTTGAAAATGATCATGTTTCTTTGTAGCTGCTAATTTTTAGAGAGAAATAGACAGTGGCAGCAGTGCATGTACACAATAGCTGTGACATCCTCTAAGGCCCCTTAGCACACTCTAAGACACTCCACCACCCACTTCCTTGTTGCGTTGGCTCTTTCCTAAGGGCTCAAAACTCTCTGTGTTCAGAATGTCCAAGAAATTTCCATACATGTTATTGAGGTTTTGCCATTATGATTTGTCATATTACGGAGAGGTGGTGAAACATGGTGGCTTAACACATGGGCTCCAGAACAAACTGCCCAGCTTTGAAGCCCAACTTTGCCACTTGTCCCTGTGTGACCTTGAGCAACTTACTTAACGGCTCTGTGCCTCAGTTTTCTCACCTGTAAAATGGGATCATATTAGTACCTACTTTATACACAAATATGTATAAAGTGCTCAAGCAGGGCTTAGACAGAATTAGTTCCACACAAGTGTGAGTTACTATTACACAGTGTTTTTAGGTAGGGCTTTGCACCACCAGGGACTGCTCTGATGACTTTTAACCATCAACATGGAAGATGACCAGAAGAATCTGGGGACAAATGAAAATGCATGCAGAGAATGAAAGGAAGGATGCCGAGTGGCTTTGTGACTCTTCTGAGGACATTAAGTTTATTTTCTTTAAAAAAGGCTGATGACGGAGGGAATTATAGACTGTAAGTACCAGGGAGTGCTCAAAGACCACGAGGCTCTCCTCCTTATCGTAGAGCCTGTTGTCAGGAAGTTGAGTGCAGAACTTGTGCCAGCCCCTGGGGTCTCTCAGTCCTCAGCCCCTAGGCCCAATTCTTCCCATTGCTCGGTGCTGCCTCTCCTGGGGGAGAGATGTAATGCCAGGACCGGGTCCTCAGCTCTCCTAGTGTTGATTCTACAGCACTCAGATGGTTGGCCTTGTTTTGAGTTTCGTCTTCTCTGATTCCCTACATATTTTTTGCAGGACCATTTTGCCCAAATGCAATTTTCTCACCCCACTCCCAGGCTTACGAGTCTCTAGGGCTTCCCTCCTGTGTGTGGTGTGGCTTTGGACCTGACTCTAATTTTTATGGAGGCTTAAAGAAGCAGTTTCATTACTTCTCATTTTTTATGTCACTTCTTATTCCATCTAGTGCTTAATAATTTGCTTTCCCCAAGAGTAGGTGCTCAGTAAAGGCTTTTTGCCAACAGAAGGGACATAGGGGCACTGAAAAGTTGCTCGACATAAGTATCTCCAAGGCTACTCAGTAATTTAATAGCAGGTATAGGAGAAGATCACAGTTTCCTCTTTGTTCTCTCTTGTATCTGATGGGAATAGGAGGTGGAAGGGTGATACCTCCACTTAGAGAATACAGGAGACATGTTTATTCTGACCATTTAAGTCATCTGTGACATAGAGTGTCAAACAATATTTATTCTCAGGCTCCAGTGGGATGGCAGAGATAGAAAAGAACAAGAGGCAGCCTAGGCTAGCAAGGAGGACCTGAACTGGAAGTCAGGAAGTTATGTGATTGTTAGTAGAGGATGTAATGATTAGAAGCTATTCTTAATCAAAGAATTCTTAATAAAAATTCCTAGAACTTCCATGCCTTCAGCAGCTCACGCAGCCAAGAAAGAAATTATCCACGCCCTGGGGGAACCTAAAGCCCATCAGCTCCCTCGCTGCCATGTGCAACCCAAGCGCGGAATAAGGCTCACGGGACCTGTGCCACATACTGAAACAGGACTGCCAGCTTCCCAAAGTGGTCAGTGATGCTCCTCCAACTGCAGCTACTCTTTGATGACCTGGAGGGGTGTTTAGTCATCATCTGAGCCAGTGCAGTTCAAATCAGCCCAGGGTTCTGATGACGCACCACATACACAGGGGGAGGATGTGGGGAGCTGAATGGCAGAGTCCTGGGGCCCCTCCTTCATTTCCACAGGGCAGCTCTGCTTTCAAAGACAGGGTTGTGATTTAGAAAGAAGAAAACCTTAATTTAGAGCCACTGCTTTGGGGAATTAAGTCTCAGAGATGAAGTAATGGGCTGCAGGTCATTCAGCCAGTTGGTAGCAGAGCCTGGGGTAGAATCCAAACCTTGAGCGCCTCGTGCCCAGTCCCCTTCCACTTCATTCGCTCGTGCTGCCAAGTGTCTCATTATACACATACGTCTCAAATAACGATGCTAGAGGATGCTCCAGTAACACTTTTTTTTTAAAAAAAGCATTACAAAAGAAAGCACCAAAACGTCCACAAAAGCATACACAAGGTTATTTATCTCCAACAGCCCAACGCGACAAGATAGCTTCACACCCAGCTTGCAGGTGGACTGTTCTCTCTCCTCTACCCCAGCTGAAGATAAAAAAGGCCAGCCCTTGGCACCATCAACTAGTCAATAACTTAGTTTTCCAGGTCTTTCTTAAAAAAGACAGTTCCTCCTCCTCTTTAGCCCTTTTCTCACTGTCAAATCAAGGAGGAATCCGCCACCAATAAGTTTACTGGAACCTCCATTGACTGACTACTTTTCCATTGTGAGTAAATGTCTTCAGAATTCTCTGTTCCTTAGTGGTATGTGCTGTTAAAATTTTATCTCTAATGATTCCAGTAAAGACTTTTTATTAAAGGAATTTCGAACATCCATGACAGAAACAAGGGAAGATGCTTTTTCTCAGTGGTTGGGGAAGACCTGGTGATCATATTAGGTGTTAATTCAAGCTGCACCTCAGGTGGCTTAACAGCAAATCCTGTTTTGATCTTTTAAAGGCAGAAATCCCTCCCTAGTCATCGGGACCTATGAGTAGAACTTGAAGCATCCTTTGTTGGTTTTTCAACCACAGCCTGCCTGATAAGCCCCTCCACGCCTTTTGCCAGGATTCTGCCTGGTAGGGAAAGACACAAGGGCCATGATGGCACCCTCCTCTTTGGCCCCTTTCCTATTCTACCAAAAATCTTGATTTTCCTCTGCCTCTGCCAACTCCTCTGTGGTCTCAAGTGTTCCAGGAAATGAGGAGTAATTCTTTAAATCTTGCTTTAAAAGGGGAACACCATGTGACTCCTCCCTGTGGTGGGTGAGGGGTGGGGTGGGGAGGCTGAGGGGGCTCAATGGTGCCTGTAGAAGTCCAGGTTCAGGTCTCTTGGGGGAGGAGGAAGCTCTGTCGTCCCTTCCACTCAGCATCAGCCAGCCTGGAGACCGCATCAGATTGGCATAGCTCCCTGGAACAGTCTCCCCTTCCCTTCATCCTCCACCACCGCACCCCCCCACCCCACCGCCTCCCGCCCCCGCCTTCTCTTAGCTCTTCCCTCCCTCTGCCCCCAGGCTCCTACTTGCATTCTTTATATCTTCTGGCATTTTTCATGTTGTTTTACTTTGTATTTAATAATAGCTCTGCATTCTTTTCTTTATCTGAAATCAAGGCTCATACCTGCATCATGCGTTCACTTTGGGAGTAAAATTTATGGCCGAACTTGCCATGGGGTTAATTGCTTTTCATTAACTTCATACTTCTTAATTATTACAAATTATTTGCCTGTACTAGAAATAGTTCCATCCTGTGCTCCAAATTTACTAGCCTGCAATTGCAACCAGAAACGGGAAGTCTTGGATTGCCGGTGCTTGGGGAGTGAGGTTCCCAGCTTTATGCATCGGAGTCTGACCAGACTGAGGGTAGGAAGACGGTGGGTAATTCTAGATCTTTAGACTTCAAAGCCCAGATTAGGGCCCGTAGGCCAAATAAAAATTGAATTTAGCTTTTCTGAGCCATAGACTGTTCTGTGTCTCAATTCTCAAATCTATAAAGTGGAGTTAGGAAGACAGAAAGACACGATGTGTATATTTAATAACAAGTTTACTTTAAAATCAGTTTGAAAAACCTATACTTCACATAATGAGTGGGGTTTCAAAAGCAAGAAAGAGAAAAAGTATACCCACCAAAGGGGAGGGCAGAATAAATCCCAATGGAAAATTTGTGCCTTTCTGTGGTTGGAGTCATTTGGTCAAGAAATGATGAAATTACAAATTTCTGAAAAGGGCGTGTGTGTCGGAGTTCCTGAGGTCCAGTTCTCAGCATGGTACTTGGGCAAGGCCAGTGTTGAACTCTGAGGAAGAATAAAGAGAAGGAAGTGGTCACGACCAGCATTCTTTGCCAAAACAGCAGTGCCTCCATGGCCTCGTACTGCCCATGAGTCTCTTCATCTCATGGATTTGAAGCAAGCTCTCTCAGCAAGCCTGTACACCCATTGTCCCTTGCAATGTGATTCGTCCTTTGACTCCTTAGATGGGAATGGTTGGTAAAAAGGGAATCGCAGCTGGAGGTTTGTGGGAACTGGCATATTCAGACTACACAAAGGCCCTGTGTGTGCAGACACAGCCACAGCTGTGGGAGCCAAGGGCCTGGCAATGGGGAGAAGTAGGTATTTCTCAGTGCAGGAAAGCATTCCTGTCCGTGCTCACAATCCATCTGGTATTGACTTTGAACTCACACGCAGAAAAAAGGAATGAAGTCGGCCCAGCAGCTGAGCCCAGAATCAGCTGGGAGGACATTCAAAGTTCCCTGTAAGGGAGCGTGGATGGACAGAGGAGGACAGGGATTTGTAGCCACTTCTGCAATCGCTCTGACCATTGCCAAGTGGGCTAGCAGCAGCAGATGTTCCAGCAGGAGGGCAGTGTCTGTGCCCAGCGGCAGGGCCATTGTCCTTGCTGGAACCATCTCACACTGTTCACTGAGTCTTGTTCTCAGCTGACTGGCTTTCCAAGCTTAACTCTCTTGGCTTTCCCAAAGAGTCTGTGAGCCACCCAATATCCTTTAACAAATTCCTTTTCTGTTTAGACTAGCTAGACTGGTCTTTACAGTTTTTAATGGAAGGCCCTGGCACTGATAGCTTTCGAAGGCTGGAGCTCTATGGCTTTTAATACTCCATGCTAAAGAAAACACAATTTTTTGCTTTGTTTTATTTTCTGCAAATAAAATGTCTTGTTCTCCTCTTCCTATGTGTGTATTTATATAGTTCAGTTAGGCTTTAATATACAAGCTCTGAATTCTCCAAATACCAAAGCAGACAGTTTAAGAAAAGAAGGAAAGCAAACGCCTATTTCTCCCACTTTCAAAAGCACACACTTAAATTTTGTGTGGAAAAAAAATCTAAGCTCTCTAGCTCCACTCGGTGTCCTGTTGAACTGGTGTGGCACCATGTTACTCTTTCAGAGAATGAAAATGAAACTTGCTCACTGTAGCTTCATTGAACCACTTTATTCTTTGACCAATTTTGGATGGGTATTTTAATTAAAAATTTTTTTCAGCCAGGCACGCGGTGGGCTCACGCCTGTAATCCCAGCACTTTGGGAGGCCAAGGCAGATGGATCACGAGGTCAGGAGATCGAGACCATACTGGCTAACACGGTGAAACCCCGTCTCTACTAAAATTACAAAAAATTAGCCTGGTGTGGTGGCACACGCCTGTAATCCCAGCTACTCAGGAGGCTGAGGCAGGAGAATAGCTTGAACCCAGGAGGTGGAGGTTGCAGTGAGTTGAGATCAAGCCACTATACTCCAGCCTGGGTGACAGAGCGAGACTCTGTCTCAAAAAAAAAAAAAATTAAACTAAAAACAGTATGGGACAGTGGCCAAGAGCGTGGGCTTTGGAGTTAGGTCAACTTGGATTTGAATCTTGCTGCAGCTATATACTAGCTTTGCGACTGTGTCTTGCTACTCAGGTTTTGTGAGGCTCATCTGTAAGATGAATATAATAAAAATGTTCACCTCAGAATATTATTGTGAGGATTAAACAAGATCCAAGACCTGGCTTAAATTGCCATTAGAGAATGACCCAGGGGAGCTTATTCATTGTAGCTAAATGATAAAATTTAAAATCAAGATTTAAATGCTTTCAGAAGGGGTGCATTTAGAAACACTGAAGTCTCCTTGTTACTCTCTTTTTAAATATGATAGGAATTACAATTCTTATAGAGATTATGCTACACAATGATCTATGTTTACACAAGAACGTAAATGTTGTCTTGGAGAGATTACATGCTCAGATGGCAGAAGCTCTTCAGTGGCAATGAGGGCATGGGCTACTGGGCTACTCTTTGGCTTGGAAGACCTTTCCTGTCTTCCGTTCACCCTACCATGGCTCAATTTGGCTTCTGCCTACCTCCCCAATCCCATCCTACACCACTTCAGCCTTCACTACTGACCTTAGCTGTTGTCTGTTGCCTAAACACCTTCTTCAAGTTGTTCAGGTTACACTGACCTTACCTATTATCTGTTGCCTAAACACTCTCTTCTGTCTCAGGACTATTGCACTTGTTACTTCTTCAGCCTGGAGCGCATGTACAGGTACACACACACACTTACGCAAACACACACAAAATCATTCAAAGTTCAATATATATGAAACCTTTTCAGAGAAGACTGTCATCACCATCCTTGATGATGCGTGGTGGCTTTTAGTCATATAAAATGGCTTTATATATTTTAAAGTACTTTTTGTTATAAAGGTATATTTTTCAAGGCATAAAAAATATACAAAACATATTTTATATAGCAGTTTATTAGCTTGGTTGAGTTTTTAAATATTTAGACATTACTTACAGCAAAACATTGAAAGCACCTAATTTTTTTTTCCTGTTGGACATTTAAGTTCTATCCAAATGATGCAACAGTGTTCAGCCATGGAGTAAAATTGTTTGAAGTCTATACAACATGGAGAAATCCTTATGATAAAGACAAGAATAAAATATGAATATAAATCAAGAATATGTCTAAGTGAAACATGCATATAGAAAGAAAGAAATAAAATAGTTCTTAGGATGGGAACATTAGGGAATCTTTCCCACTTATTTTCAAGATGTTTATATGGTTATATTTAACTCTATAATTACAGGTTAAAAACAGGTTGCAACTCCATAAGTAACCTGTTTCTGTACCATTATAGCAGCTGCCTATGGAGAAGGGCTCGGTGCTGACAGGCTACTTAGCCTCACCTGCCTTCCTGTCCGGCAGTGGTAGGATTTCCACCTCTGCTTCCATGTATTGGCATGGTAGGAAGACAGCCGCAGAGAACAGACAGGTCAGATCAAATGCCAGCCAGGAGAAATATTTTAGGCCAGGCACAGTGGTTTACACCTGTAATCCCAGCACTTTGGGAGGCCGAGGCGGGTGGATCACCTGAGGTCAGGAGTTCGAGACCAGCCTGGCCGACATGGTGAAACCCTGTCTCTACTAAAAATACAAAAAATTAGCTGGGCATGGTGGTGCGTGCCTGTAACCCCAGTTACTTGGGAGGCTGAGGCAGGAGAATCACTTGAACCTGGGAGGTGGAGGGTGCCGTTACCTGAGATCGTGCCATTGTGCCATTGCACTCCAGTCTGGGCGACAAGTGTGAAACTCTGTCTCCAAAAGAAAAAAAAAAATAGGAAGAAAAAAAGAAAACAAAAACCCAGCTGCGAGAAATATTTTAAAGAACAAATCTAAAACAGTGGGCAGTTTGGCCCCCCAAGTGGATAATTCTAGGGAATTCTGGAGTTTAAGTTTGCATGACTTTGGCTGGCACCCAGACTTAAATCCATTCAGTTCTCCTGCCAGTGAAGCGAACAGACAAGTGAACAAGCCAGATCCAGCAAGAGTCGATCACAGGGCTCCACAGGAGACTGTTACGAACCCTGAAAGATGAGCAGATATTAGGCAGGCAATGAAAAGAGGGCAAGGTGGGGTGGGTGATGGAGGGTAGTTCAAGGCCAAGGGGACAGCGGGTGCAAAGGCAGAGCCTAGGAGGGGTGCTGGACCTCTGAAGGTCTGAAGAATTACCCTGACGACTGTCTGGAGAGGACTAGAGGAGAGTAAAAGCGGAAGCAAGGGGATCAGCTAGAAGGCTGCTGAAATGTTGAAAGAGAAAAGATGAGGGCTTAACTCAAGGCAGAACAGTGGGGATGGAGAGGGGATGAATTTGCAAGGTAAGAGGTGACGGAATCAGCAGGACTTCATAACCATCAGAAGAAGAAAAGTCAAGGGTGATTGTCAAGATGCTGGCTAGACATCTGGGTGCACTGGTGGGACCAACATTGCCAAACAAGTGTCTAGAAACAAACGAGTACTTGGTATTCATTCGTATTTTAGATGGAAAACTGCCTGCCCCTTTCCCATATTCTGATCCATGGACATCTATGATGTTTATATTTACATTTTATGGTTACATAGGGTAAACTCTATAGTTAATAATCAGGGAAAGAAGTCGCACCGAGGAAGGAATTCCAAGCCTCTTTAGAAACAATCTTTTGTCATAAATATCCAGAGGCATTTATGAATAAATACTGACCCCCAGTGTCTACGTACAGAAACAAAGATTTTAAAAACGATATAAAATACCAAGACTCCTGGGAGAGTACCTGGAATTCCAGCTACAAGTAACATTCCCTGCAATCCAATCCCAGGATCCTAGCAGGCATCCTCAGAGATAAAAATACTGACTAGCTAACCTATGGCCAGCGGCCTTAGGTCTGGAGAATTCTAATGAGTATTCTACAGAATGAGTGTCGGGATGGATTACATAGCCTCAATTGTGTTGCAGAGCTATGTGTTGGCCTTTGCCCCTCTGCTTCAGAGGTTACATATGTCAAGGTCTAGGTTCAATTACTCCTAAGAGTCTTCCCACTAAGGGTAGATTTTATGCAATTAATCTGACTAATACAAACTCCAGCTCTGTCTGATTCCCCATCCAGTTCAACACGACATCCAGAGAATTTTCCTCTCAGGCAGATACAAAGCAGTGTGGTTGGGCAGACATTCCCTCTTCAATACTGTGTGGTTAGGGTTAAGTTCACGAGAATTTTTTTTTTTTTTTTTTTTTTGTGATGGAGTTTCACTCTGTTGCCCAGACAGGAGTTCAGTGGCGTGATCTTGGCTCACTGCAACCTCCATCTCCCGGGTTCAAGTGATTCTCCTGCCTCAGCCTCCTGAGTAGCTGGGATTACAGGCACGTGCCACCACGCCCAGCTAATTTTTGTATTTTTAGTAGAGACAGGGTCTCACCATGTTGGTCAGGCTAGTCTTGAACTCTTGACCTCGTGATCCAGAAAGGAATTCCATTACTATTGGTTAACTGCAAGGTGATGGCAGTCATAATCGTGTTTCAGATTTGTTGTTTCAGCACACAAGCTCATTGCTGGTCTGATGCAAGCTGTAGCCTCAAAGATAATAGAAATAAAATAAGTATACAATTTGTTTCTTGACAAGATAATACAGACTTAAGAAGTCTTTCTCTTGGGCCAGGTGTGGTGGCTCATGCCTGTAATCCCAGCACTTTGGGAGGCTGAGGCGGGCGAATCACTTGAGGTCAGGAGTTTGAGACCAGCCTGGTCAACATGGTGAAACTCCATCTCTAATAAAAATACAAAGATTAGCCAAGCATGGTGGCGGGCACCTGTAATCCCAGCTACTCGGGAGGCTGAGGCACAAGAATTGCTTGAACCTGGGGGGGCAGAGGTCGCAGTGAACCAAGATCACACCATTGCACTCCAGCCTGGGCGACAAAGCAAGACCCTGTCTCAAAAGACAGAAAAAAAAAAGAAGAAAAGAAGAAGGCTTTCTCTTATCTTTCTCTTACTTAACAAAGACTGAGGTTTCAAGAATAAAAAGTCAAAAAAACCAGGCACCTCACTCTGAATAAGACATGTTTTAATGACTATACTAAACACAACATTGTTAAACTTACCAATTTTTTCCTCTGTCACTTTATTTTTTCTAGTTTTTTAAAAAAATTTCAAACCTACAGAAATGCTGAGATGATAGTAGAATAATACAACATTACAAATCATTTCCTCAATTCATCAGCTATGACATTTACTGTACAGTCATGTGCCTCAGTCATGTGCTGTTTTGGTCAACAGCGGACTGCATATACGATGTAAGATTATAATGGGGCTGAAAAATTCCTGTTGTGCAGTGACTTATAGCCATCCTAAGGTCCTAGCATGAGCCATTACTCATGTGTTTGTGGTGATGCTGGTGTAAACAAACCTACTGCACTGCCAGTCATACAAAAGTATAGCACATACAAGGATGTACAGTATGTAATACCTGAAAATGATAATAAATGATAGTGTTTTTTGTATTTACTATACTATACTTTTTCTTATCGTTTTAGAATATACTCCTTCTATTTATTAAAAATATTAGTTAACTGTAAGACAGCCTCAGGCAAATCCTTCAGGTAGTATTCTAGAAGAAGGCATTGTTAACATGGGAGATGACAGCTCCATGCATGTTAGTGCCCCTGAAGACCCTCCAGTGGGACAAGATGTGGAGGCGGAAGACAGTGACACTGATGATCCTGATCCTGTGTAGGCCTGGGCTAATGTGGTATTTGTGTCTTAGCTTTTAACAAGAAAGTTTAAAAGGTAAAAAATAAAAAATTTTATAGGAAGAAGCTTATAGCTGGGCGTGGTAGCTCACACCTGTAATCCCAGCACTTTGGGAGGCCAAGGCGGGCGGATCACTTGAGTCCATGAGTTCGAGACCAGCCTGGGCAACATGGTGAAACCCCGTCTCTACTAAAAATACAAAAGATTAGCCAGGCATGGTGTGGTGCGCCTGTAATTCCAGTTACTCGGGAGCTGAGGCAGGAGGGTCACTTGAACCCAGGAGGTAGAGGCTGCAGTGAGCCAAGATCGCACTACTGCACTTCCAGCCTGGGAGAAACAGCGAAACTCCGTCTCAAAAAAAAAAAAAAAAAAAAGAAAGAAAGAAACTTATAATGACATAAAGAAAATATTTTCATATGGTTAAATAAGGTTTCTGTTTTAATGTGTTATTACAAAAGTCAAAAGGTTTTGAAATATTAAAAACTTTTTAAAAGTTACAGTAAGCTAAGGTTAATTTATTATTGAAGAAAATTTTTTAAATAAATTTAGTGTAGACAAAGGGTATAGTGTTTATGAAGTCTACTGTAGTGTACAGTAATGTCCTAAGCCTTCACACTCACTCACTACTCGCTCACTGACTCACCCAGAGCAACTTCCATTCTCACAAGTTCTATGCATGGTAAGTGCCCTACGCAAATGTGCCACTTTTTAATCTTTTATAATGTATTTTTACTGTACCTTTTCTATGTTTAGATATGTTTGGACACACAAATACTTACCATTGTATTACAATTGCCTGCCGTATTCAGTACAGTAACATGCTGCACAAGTCTTTAGCGTAGAAGCAATAGGCTAAACCATATTTTTTATGTTTGTGTAGTATACTCTATGATGTTCACACGATGACAAAACCATCTAAGAATCCATTTCTCAGAACAAGTCGCATCATTAAGTGACCAATGACCGGTGTTTGCTTTCTGTCTCTAAAAATATAGAAACATTGTGTTGGCTGAGCCATTTACAAATGACTTACTGATAACAGGATGCCTTACCCTTAAATTCTTCAGCAGCTGTCTCCTAAGAACAAGGCACCATACCATTGCTATACCCAATAAATTTAATATTTATTATCACCTAATACAGAGACAGATTTTTTTTTTTTTTGGCAGGGTGGCGGCGGTGGGGGGGGCGGTGATGGAGTCTCCCTCTGTCGCCCAGGCTGGAGTGCAGTGGCATGATCTCAGCTCACTGCAACGTCCACCTCCCGGGTTCAAGCGATTCTCCTGCCTCAGCCTCCCAAGTAGCTGGGATTACAGGTGACTGTCACCTTGCCTGGTTAATTTTCATATACTTAGTAGAGACAGGGTTTCACCATGTTGGCCAGGCTGGTCTTGAACTCCTAACCTCAAGTGATCCGCCTGCCTTGGCCTCCCAAAGTGTTGGGATTACAGGCGTGAGCCACCGCACCCAGCCTACATAGACACATATTTTAATTTTCCCAAGTGCCCCAAAATATTCTTTGTAAATTTTTACAAGCTAAAGATCCAATTAAAGTTCACGAATTACATTTCACTATCATGTCCCTATAGTGTCATTTAATCTGGAACTGTCCCTTCATATTTTTGTGTTTATTTTTTGGCCTTGATATTTTTTAAAAGTCCAAACCAGTTGTCTTTTAGGGTATCCTGTATTTTGAATGTGTCATATTGCTTTCTCATTATTAGATTTAGATAAAAAGTTTTTGGGAAGAAGACTAAGTGATAGGTACCTCCCACTGATTTATAATAACAAGGACATGCATAAAATCACATACTATCTATTTGACCCATCCATTGGAGATTTTAAGGTTAATCACTCGGTTGCAGTAGTGTCTAAGGGATCTCTCCATTGTGAAGATACATTTTTTCTTTGTAATTAATAAGTTTATTATAAGACTATGCGAATGTTCAGTTCTCTAAAAGCCCAGTGGTTTTAGCATCCATTAATAGTCCTTGCTTGCATCCATTATTACCAATGGAAGCTGGCAATCTTCTGTAAAGAAACAGTATATATTTATGTCTCCTTTTTCTCTCCCCACCTTTAAAAAAATACCTTTATGGTCTTAGGCACTATTTTTTGAATTCAATGTTCTATAATTCATTACCATCATTCTTTTTCTTACTTTAAATTGCCCCAAATTTGGTCCTTCAAGCAAATGTCTGTGTCCCATCAGTCTTGTAACATCTTGATGAGTCAGAAAAGTGCTCAAAGTTCACCTTATGCTTCATCTGCCTCAAACCTGGAAGCAGGCATTTCCCCAAACATGCCTGCTTCTGTGGAATAGTGTTTATGAACCAAGATTGAAGGAATTCAGTGTGTTTGTTGTTTCTGGGTTATTGTTTCTAGGCCCTTTCAGAAGACAGAGCCAGAGTTAGTAGGGAGGGGCTTGGGGGAAAGAGAGTGGAAAATACACACACACACACACACACACACACACACACACACACACACACACACACTCTTACACAAACACCTCTCATCCAGAACCAATATACCACATGGTCCTTCCTTACCTTCCTCCATTCCGTATCTTTCTTCTCCCATGGTGAGTAACCTCACTTACAATAACATCAATACATTTATACTCATTTTTAACGCTACATAATTGTTTCAGAATTACGTAGTAAAAATAGTCTCAGCAACATTTTCATCTTTATGCACTTGAACATCAGAGTTACCAAATTATCCCACATCATCTTGCAGAAGTCACACACAGCAAGCTAACAGGCTTCTAAATAGTAACCAGAGATAATATAGATTACATACAAGTCGAAATTCCAGGCCAGGAGACAAATAACAACTGTTATTAATGTGCACGTTGGGAACTGCATGTTAATAAACGTGGTCACAACCTGGGATGAGAAATAACTTACAAATGTTGAGCAAAAGAGTCTGGTTGAGCTTGGAAATAGATCATCACATTCATCTTCCTTGCACACCTTATCAAGGAAAAATACATTAGCCATAATGTATTCTAACCAAGGATATTTCGTTAATTTGATGCCCATATTGGTACTACACAATGCAAAATCTTCTCTTCTGATGCAGTACTGCTCTTTTAGAAAAACCATTCTCAGTGTACTGGGATACGGTACTAGTTTGAGAGGCTTTTTAAAAGTTAAAACTCTGGGAGCAGCTGATGTTGCTATTGCCTTTATCTTGCCACACTGACCCACATGGGACAATCATCTCAGCCTGGGCAGAGGAGACATGCATAGCTGGCTCCAGGGAAAGCGTAAACTGGCAGCAGGATAGGCTGCCTCCTCCAAGGACCTAATTCCTAGATAGGCTGTCTTTTTTTTCTTCAGTAGAGACAAAGTCTTGCTATGTTGCCTAGGCTGCTCTCGAATTTCTCAGCTCGAGCAATCCTCCTGCCTCAGCCTCCCAGAGTGCTGGGATTACAGGCAGGGGCCACCATGGCTGGGCTGGTCATTGTCATTCCCTCTTTTTTTTTTATAGGAGAAAATAAATCCCTAATTTCTGTCCCAGCCTCAGAATAGAAGGATGCCAAGACTGGGATAGAGAATAAGCAGCCTTCAAGATTCCTGCATCAGAAATTCTGGATAAACTGTTAACAATGCAAAGAAAACAGGTTCACTAGGTGATCCTAAGGTTGAAGTGCTGGAGTTGTTAACTAATTTTAAGTGACATTTAAAAAAATGTCTTGGCCGGGCACGGTGGCTCACGCCTGTAATCCCAGCACTTTGGGAGGCCGAGGGGGGTGGATCACGAGGTTGGGAGATTGAGACCATCCTGGCTAACATGGTGAAACCCCATCTCTACTAAAAATACAAAAAATTAGCCAGGTGTGGTGGCGGGCACCTGTAGTCTCAGCTACTCGGGAGGCTGAGGCAGGAGAATGGCATGAACCCGGGAGGTGGAGCTTGCAGTGAGCCGAGGTCGTGCCACTGCACTCCAGCCTAAGCAAAAGTGTGAGACTCCGTCTCAAAAAAAAAAAAAAAAAGGCTCTTCTGTTCATATTTTTTCAGCCAAGATCTCAAAAACAGTAAGACCAAATTGTATCACAGAGTACTGTATTAGCAAAAATCATCCTTTTCTTGGGAAGCCTGTGAGATTCTAAAGTGACTGGATATGACAGTTGCTTTGTGTGCAGAAGCACATCATGCTGCCAGAAGGTTCCCTGGAAGAAGATACCTTGATGCAGGACAATGGAAGAATCCAACTCTAGGATCTTGAAGTACATTAAGACATGGTCACCCCTTGGGCTGGAAAACTCAGAGGCCAGTTCCAGAGATGATGATATTCAAAAATGGTGTGAATATCACTATGGCAGCCTAGCCATAGGTTTGGAATTCTACGAACATCATCTGGTAGTTGCATTCTTGACCCTGATATTTGAATTCTAGAGTATTACTTGGTTAATCAACACCACTAAAACGAAGGGGCTACACTAGAGAAACCAATAGTAGGTAATTAATAAATGTAAAGCATCCACATTCCATGTCCTTATGCATCACAGATGTGGCCAGCTGCAGGCAGAGCAGGTTCTTCTTTTCAACCATCTTCTTTGGCTAATCGTTAAAAGTCTTGCGTTAATAATCAAATGGAGACAAAGCAGTAGCAAAAATACTTTAAAGTTAGTATTCTTCAAATGCCAATTGTACTATAAAGTGGATAAAAATAAACTAATCCAATGAAAAACCATGAAAAAAATGGAAAATATCTATAACAGGTATTATAGCTACAAATGTTTTACATGACTTTATCATCGAAATATATGTGACCTGCTTTGAAACAGAGTCAACGGCTTAAAGAAATGATGACTTACGTACCCACAGCATCTAAAACATAGTGCAAAAGAGTATCATTAAGACAGATATGCAATCGTGTCCATGGCCTACCCTGACTGCTCCGTGCTACATACCATAATCTTTTGCCATCAGTTAGTTAATGAACAAATTTATGTCACAAGCCCCAATATACCATTCCCTCTGCTTATGTGAATGAAGTTACATGCACTGTATTCTACCTTCCCTGCTTCATGCTTCAACATATAGAAAATCATGAGTATCTGTTGTGTTGAAATAAGTGCAATTCTTTCTTTGAGTGTTACAGGAAAGTATGAGTCAAAGACTAGTTTAGAAGCCTACCTAAAATTCACCAAACACACGGAGACACTTTGGGGATGCCATTTTCAGTCACTTTATTATCAGGAACTTTATTTTTAAACTAATTACAGGTACCCAAAGTTCAAAAAATTAAAACAAACCAAAATGAGAACCTCAACAGCCATAGTTGTTTATTTGCTGCTTATTCTTGTGGCCAAAGAGGAATTCTACTAAATGTCAAATGAAGGATGTCTCTAAACTAGAAGACAAGTTAAAGGGCCTTGTTGTCATTTCTGTCATTGTGGTGGTGGTTGTTGGCTTTCTTGGAGAAATATATCTGTGACTTTCTCAACTAATGGGCCTCTGGCCTTAATTATCAAAGTATCCCTTTTCCTAGAGGAAAAGACTAGTAATAAATACATACGGTATATTATCTAATATCCCTTACTGTTATCCCAGAAAATCTTATTAAATATTAAAGTGAACTACTGATTAGAATAGTGCCTGTCAATGGTGACTCAATAATGATTTCTTGAATGATAAATACCTTTAACTTCATCTCTACTTGTTGCTCTCCCATCTCAGAAACTTATGACCTTCATTAAGCCCCACTAGTTACTAGTTTGGTGACCGACTAGGGGGCTAGCAAGAAAGCTAACTCATAAGGCTATGACATAAGCACTGAGGCATCCTAAAGCCTTATCTGGGCCACAATAAGTTACCTAGTTACCTATACAAACTCTACTCCACAGCCTAGCTCTGGAAAATCGGGGAAAAAGAGAGAGAGTTCAGCACCCATAACACACTCCTATGCCACTTCTTTTGCATTTCTTCTTAGCCAACAGTTGAGAAAGACTATTTTTTAGCTTGTTTCACTTTTCCTTGATCTTCTACTTTCTTAATGGCTGCTTGGATCGCCTCTTGGTCACCCAGGAACTGATGAGGCCCAACAGCACGCAGGTTTTCATCCAATTCCAGAAGAATGGGGACTCCAGTAGGAAGAGTAATGTTGATGATGTCTTCATCTGAGATACCTGTTGATCAGGACAGGAAGAGACCAGGTGTTAAAACACAACTCAGGAGGAAGTTCTGTTTAATTATATAACTGCACTTTAATCCCATTTAACTGTGTGCCTGAAACATGCAGGTACTGAGGGATTCCAGCTATAATTCCTGGAAGCCAGGAACTTTCCAGAAATTACAAGAAAAAAGGCTTAGAGATTCACAGCAAGTGCTACATCAGGACAGTAGATACCTTTTGGGACAATCTGTTCCTGTTTCCTATCTAAATCCGAAAGGAAGGAAAATTATTTTCTCTATGCCCACATTTGTGTTACTAGTTTTCCAAGGAATCAGGTAATCTCGAAAAATCAGAAAGTGAACCAGGAGCATTGGCTGTATTTCTCCTTTTATGTGTTGTACCCAGGCTGGTACTAAAATTAGGACTTTTCGCTAATCTCTAAATCTAGTTCATTTGCTTAAAATGTGTTTGGTTTTCCCACACTAAGTGAGCTTGCAATACCCTGAGCTAGATCCAGTCCAACAGGAATGCTTTCCCAGGTGCTTAGAAAGCACAGTCAAGGGAATCAGGAAGGGATTTTACAGCATGCCTGTGAACAGGGCTCGCTCTCCTATGATCCCTGAACATTCCAGCTGCTAAAAAAGGAAGGTATATATAAAACACAAGCCACCTTTAGCCCTTTTTAAAGTACAACTGAATTACAGGTAATTCAACTTGGACCAGAAGAGCTGTAGTTGTAGTAGCAGTGGTAGTAATAATATTCTTTATAAGTACTTTTAACAATAAACAGCTAACATGTTCTGAGTTCATATTTCATGCCAGGTACTCTTTTAAGCATTTTGTATGTATTAACTCATTTAATCATCATTGCAATATGATGACATATTATTTCTCCATGTAACAAGTTCTGGCACAGAGAGGTTAAGTAAACAATTATCACACAGAGAGTAAATGACAGAGCCTGGATTCAAACCTAGGGGTCTGTACCCACTGTATAATGTAACTCCTCTCAAGTTTCTGAGTTCAAAGTGAGCAAAGGGAAGGCATGAGAAAGAGATGAAGTTCAGCAAGCTAAAAGACAACTGAAAGTATTCAAATTATCTACTTTAAAAACACTCCTTTATTAATCACATAGACTTCTAAATTCTAACTATATGCTTCCTGTTCTATATTAACAGAAAGGACCTAGGTGAAACAAGTTCAGGGGAGTCCAAGGGTTTGTCTTTACTTGAGAGTGGCAGAATAAGTTGTTATTGGTTAGTAATCAATGCACCTTTTCATTTTAATTAGCCATTGATCCTAACTGTGAGCACCAGCCAAACAGTCACAGAATCGTAGCACTGGATGCTTACTGCTGGGGTGGCTCTTTATTAGAATTTCACGTCAAGGCCTAGAAGAGCTCCCTAATAACTCTTAT
Organism: Homo sapiens; assembly: GCF_000001405.40. Taxonomy (NCBI): domain Eukaryota; kingdom Metazoa; phylum Chordata; class Mammalia; order Primates; family Hominidae; genus Homo; species Homo sapiens. The sequence goes on along the minus strand of NC_000007.14, from coordinate 134,677,448 downwards.
ACACAAACTATCCATACTCAAACAACTATGAAAAATGGAAAGGATCTTAACTCAGAAGACACAGTCTCTTCCAAGTAAGTGTACTGTCCCATCACCTGCCCTGCCAGTACCCCTTCAATGTAATACAGAATTTTAGGCAAGTAACTTCTCTGGACCTCCAATTCTCCTGTCAATTAAAAAAGAAAGAAAGAAAGAAAAGAAACACACACTCTTCCTTTGCCAGCATTTTAAAGGGTTGTGGGATAAAAGGGGTGGCTTAAAAGAGAACATACATGAACAAAGGGTAGCACAATAAGTGTCTCTTCTTTCTCTATTAGGAATTCCCTTCTAGGTAGCAGATTTAATGGGAAGGCTACTAAGATACTCCTTTGCCCTGCCAAGCCCCACCCTCACACTGCAACCTTAGAGAAGATTACCATCACAAACTACAGCTGCTGAGAACAAATCTACTCAGACCAGACCTCTAGCTGTTTAGCAGGGAGATGACTACTCTAGATTCTAAACACCTTCTGGCTTCAACAGGCCAGAAATGTCAGCTAGCCGCACAACAGCCACCACAAACATCCCTTGGAAAGAGCAGGAGGGGAAGTCAACAGCCTGTTGTTTGGAGTCAGGTGACCACTGAGCCTTTCAAATCCAACAGTGCTCACTCCCAAATCCAGGGGAAGCTCTGGAGGTCTCCAAACCTAACTCATTCACTAACTAGTAACTGAGGGCCCTTTATATTCCTAGTACTCTGTGGAAGAACATGTGTGAGTGACCTTGGCCAAGATTTTACCTCCAATGAACTATTTTTTCATTTATAAAATAAGTCCCTCTAGCACCAACATTCCTGTATTTTATTCTTAATGGTTAAGAAAAGCAGAGGCACCTTAGAGACACAAGAGCATGAGTACACTGAGTACTGTTTACATTCATCTACTGTGCAAGGACCATGCTTTATCTGTTTCCAGAGTCTGTAAGCATATTGCTCACTAAATTGGAGAGAAAAATGGATTTTATAGATTTCTCCAAATAATCTAAATTTTCACTATAAAAAATTAATTTGTTAAAAGATAACAAAAGTGACCATGTTTGACTAAAGCTTACCAGAAGTAGAAACTATGAGTGTATATATCTATCAGCATCTTGGATTCACCACTCATAGATGTGTGCCTTTGCAGTGTCACCAACTATTAATCTTAAGTTCTTGAACCTAGGACTTTATTGTAGAATGACTGAACATTCTACTTCTATTCAACATTGTATTTAAGATCCTAGCTAGGGCAACTAGGCAAGACAATGAAATAAAAGGCACCCAGATTGGAAAGGAAGAAGTAAAACTATCTCTATTTGCAGATGGTATGATCCCACCAAAAACCTGTTAGAACTAATAAACTCAGCAAGGCTGCAGATATAAGAACAATACAGAAAAGGAAATTGGGTTTTTAATACAGTAGCAATAAGCAACATGAAAGATTAAGCAAACAATTCTATTTATAATAACATCAAAAAGAATAAAATGCTAAAAATAAATTTAACCTAAGAAGTACAAAACTATACTCTGACTACTACAACACAGTGTTCAAATGAAAGAAAACCTAAATATGTATTTATGGATTAGAAGACATAACACTGTTAAGAGGGCAATATTTCCTAAATTAACATACAGATTCAATACAATCCTATCAAAAATCTCAATGGACTTTTTTGTATAAATTGACAAACTGATCTTAAAGTTCATATGGAAATCTAAGGTACTCAGAATAGCCAAAACAATCTTGAAAAAGAAGAAATAAACCAAGGGACTCATAGTTCCTGATTTCAAAACTTACTACAAAGCTATAGTAATCAAGATACACACAGATCAATGAAATAGAATTGGGAACCCAAAATAAACCCTCATATTTTTTATCAATTGATTTCCAACAAGTGTGCCAAGACAATGAAATGCAGAAACAATAATCTTTTCAACAAATAGTACTGGGATAACTGTATATCCATATGTGAAAGAATGAAGTTGGACCCCTGACTCATACTTTATATAAAAATTAACTCAAAATGAATCAAAGACTTAGAGTCAAGAGCTAAAATTGTAAAAATTTTTAGAAAAAAAGCCATAGGAGTAAAGTCTTCATCACCTTGAGTTAATTAATGGTTTCTCAGATATGACACCAAAAGCATACACAAGAAAAAAATAAACTGGGTATATAAAAATTAAAAATGTTTGTGCTTCAAAGGACACTATTAAGAACATAAAAAGGCAACCCAGAGAATGGGAGAAAAATTTGTATATCATATATAGTCTAGATACAAGTTCCTTATCAGATATAAGAACTGTCTCCAATAATAAAAAGACAAATGATCAAATTTAAAAATGGGCAAAAGGTTTAAACAGCCATTTCTCCAAAGATATACAAAAGGTCAATAAGTACATAAAAATAGGCTTAATATTACTAGCTATCAAGGAAATGCAAATCAAAACCACAATGAGATACTACTTTGTACCCTCTAGGATGGCAACAATAAAAAGTCAGATTATAAACAAGTGTGAATAAGGATGTGGAGAAACTGGAATCATAATACACTGTAAAATCAGGTATGCAAAAGGCTATAGCCTCTTTCGAAAACAGTCTGGCAATTCCTTTTGTTAAACACAGATCTACCATATGACCCAGCAATTCCACTACTAAGCATATACCCAAGAGAAGTGAAATATGAGTCTATACAAAACTTGTACACAAACCTTCATAGCAGCATTACTCATAATAGTCAAAAAGTGAACACAACACAAATGTCCATTAACTAATGAACAGATAAATTAAATGTGGTATATCCATACAATAGAATATTATTTGGCAATGAAAAGGAATGAAGTACTGAACCAAACCACAACAAGGTTCTTGGATGAATCTTGAAAGCATGATGCTACTAAATAAAAGAAGCCAGTCACAAAGGACCACTTACTGCATAAGTCCATTTACATGAAATGTCCACAACAGGTGAATCTATAGTGACACAAAGTAGATTAGTTGTTGCCCAGGGCTGGGTGGAATAGGGGAGGAACTGGGGGGGTGATAACAGCTAAGGGGCACTGGGTTTCTTTTTAGGGTAGTGAAAATGTTCCAACATTGATTGTGGTAATGGATTTACAATTTTGTGAATACACTAAAAGCCATTTAATTGTATACTTTAAATGGCGAATTGCATAGTATGTGAATTATAACGCAATAAAGATGTTAAAAAATAGTAAACAGGGCTGGGCGCAGTGGCTCATGCCTCTAATCTCAGCACTTTGGGAGGCTGAGGTGGGTGGATCACTTGAGGTCAGGAGTTCAAGACCAGCCTGGGCAACATGGTGAAACCCTGTCTCTACTAAAAATACAAAAATTAGCCAGGCGTGGTGGTGGACGCCTGTAATCCCAGCTACTTGGGAGGCTGAGGCAGGAGAATTGCTTGATCCTGGGAGGTGGAGGTTGCAGTGAACCGAGATTGTGCCATTGCACTCCAGCCTGGGTGACACAGCAAGACTCTGTCTCAATTTAAAAAAAAAAAAAAAAAAAAAAGGAAACAGATCCAGAGTGGTTAAATAAAAACCTGCTCTACTCACAGGACTATTAAGGCAGTAAAAATGGACCTTTTTAAACTACCAAATCCCCAGGATTTAAACCCTGGTCAGGTGACTTATCCATGGTTATTTCCACGACTACTGAGGAGGAGAGAGAAGAATGTTTATATGAATGCTCTGCCCTCGTGAAAGGCTGGGTCCTAAATGGACATCTGCTGATGCCATCCAGTGTTCCCACGACTGGTAAAGGGAATGAATAAGTTTGTCTGATCCCCAGCTAACACACTGCGATTATGATGGGCCATGTTTAGGGGTTGTTGTCTGTGACTTTAGAAACGAGTTCCAGGTCTTCAGCAAGGGGCTTGGGTATACATGGGATTCACTTGTTTGACCATGGCCTCAGATCTAACCGGATCCAACAGGTCCCCTGTTTAATAGCAGCACTCTCAAGTTTGGTCCCTTTTGTGTGGGACCAAATTAAAGAGCCAAATAAACAAAGGCCGCCGTAATATTTCAACTACAAAGGAAGGAGAGTTCAACAAAAATAGAAATGTTTCCAATAAATAAATAAAATCAACATTCCACTTTAATGACTACTCAAGCCATTCACACAGCAGACTAATTACTTACAAATATTTAAAATACTTAGACTGGTTAATAATCAGTCAATGAGACTTAAGTGACTAAAATTTTGTTTTATTTTATTTTATTATTATTATTTTCTTTTTGAGATGGAGTCTCGCTCTGTCGCCCAGGCTGGAGTGCAGTGGCGCGATCTCAGCTCACTGCAAGCTCCGCCTCCTGGGTTCACGCCATTCTCCTGCCTCAGCCTCCAGAGTAGTTGGGACTACAGGTGCCCGCCACCACACCCGGCTACTTTTTTGTATTTTTAGTAGAGATGGGGTTTCACCATGTTAGCCAGGATGGTCTCTATCTCCTGACCTCGTGATCTGCCCGCCTCGGCCTCCCAAAGTGCTGAGATTACAGGTGTGAGCCACCGCGCCCGGCCAACTAAAATTTTAAAACAGCAAATTAGGAAAAACCACAGTGAAGCCATTACTCATTACTCAATTTTGGCATAAGTTACATTCATCATCCTAAGAAAGTTAAGCAGGCAGAGCTCCTAAGGCCAGAATAATGCATCTGAACTATATTAAACCAAACTGAATTAGTCCTATCAGCCTTATGTATATACAGATTTCACATCTAGCAAGTGTAGTATTTTTGATCCAAGTTGTTTTGGGAAAAAATCCATGTATAAGTGAACCTATGCAGTTCAAATCCATATTGTTCCAGGGTTGGCTGAAAAGGGAAACACTGCTGAGTTCTCACCCTGTACCTACCCCTCTCCACAGTGGTGTGGAGTTAAATACAGTTGTCATTACTTAGTGGACCATATTACTAAATAATTTCTGGACCCTAGCAGCCAAACCATAATAGTGTTACTTACAGTTGAACAAACATTCACTAAATTCTTGCAATGGGCAAGGCACTGTGTTCTACAGTAGGGTGGAGAGGAGCAGGTGCAGGGTGAGAACTCAGTGGTGTTTCCCTTCACAGCTACCCTTGTCTTTAAGGGTCCACCATTGCCTTTAAGTCTGTGTTGAAGTCTTTAAGTCTGTGTTAAAGTCTTTAAGTCTGTGTTAAATACTTAAAGTCTGCCTTTAAGTATCGAATCTTCATGTAGAAGCACCTAGGAGCTAACTGCAGTCAATTTAAATAATGGGATATTTTAAGGAAGAAATAATGAAAGTTTGGGGTAATAAGTCCAGGAAGTAGCTCAAGGCCAAAATTGGGGAGAAAGTCAAACAACTTTATTTTCTGCATAGAGGAATAACTTCAGGAAGTCAAATTTGCACCTACCAACCCCCTCCCCTAAGTCACCATAGCAGGAACAGGAACCAAAGACAAACTGTTATGTACACTGTACATCTACTAAAGCACCTCCTGGTAGAGGTGCTTGTGCAAATGCTCACTTTTCCCACCAGGATTATAAATTCCTTGAGAGCAGGAACAATGTTTGATCCATTTCTGTATCACCCATGCTGTTACAACACAGTGCTTTACCCACTGCAAGATTTAGTAAATGTTTATTCAACTGTAAGTAACACTTTTATGGTTTGGCTGCTAGGGTCCAGAAATTATTCAGTAATATGATCCACTAAGTAATTACAGCTGTATTTATTATGTGAATCTACTTTTTACATATAACTAAAGGCTATAAGGAATAAAATGTTAGGCTGGGTGTGGTGGCTCATGCCCATAATCCCAGCACTTTGGGAGGCCGAGGCAGGCAATCACGAGGTCAGGAGATCGAGGCCATCCTGGCTAACACAGTGAAACCCCGTCTCTAATAAAAATACAAAAACAAAATTAGCCGGGCGTGGTGGCGGGTACCTGTAGTCCCAGCTACTTGGGAGGCTGAGGTGGGAGAATGGCGTGAACCTGGGAGGTGGAGCTTGCAGTGAGCCCAGATTGCACCACTGCACTCCAGCCTGGGCAACAGAGCGAGACTCCATCTCAAAAAAAAAAAAAAAAGAACAAAATGTTAATTTAAAAATCCTAAAACATAAAGCCTATATATGAAAACACCCTAAGGACTTTGTCAGAGGTACAGTACAGACAAATTTCAGAAAGAGGTTAAAAGCTCCACAAAAGGACCTTGTGTGTCTCATTCACATATAGGTGCTATATCCCTTGTACCATGAACAAGACCTGATTTAGTGAACCCTAGGTGCAAACCTGAATTGAATAAATTCGAACTCTCTGGGTTTTCAAATTAAATCTAGTCTTTTATTGTTGAAGCCTTGATTAAACACTGTGCTCTCCTATGACCTTACCAAGAAAAAAAAAGGAGAATTAAAAGAATCTTAGCCTTGAACAAAAAGCTGTTTACATCTAGTGCCAATAAAATAAACAATTCAAATTAAATGGCTTTAGATGTTCTTTGATTTTCTCCAAAGTGTTCAAAATCTTTGAATTTTAGAAAACCAGAAGAGATGGTCAGAGAGACAGAAAGATTCGCTACAGGATGAGAAGGAAAGAAGAAACCCCAATTCGGTAGTGTATACTCTTTGGAATTAGAAAAAAAAGGGAAACAACTCCAGTCAACTCATTCATTTAATAAGGTGCCACCCATTCATTCCTCACTTTCCTCTCCTGGTCAAGTAAGTCACAATTCAAACCCCACCGACAATCTGTGATAAGAGTTCTGTATTCCTTTATGGCCAATAAGAGCTGAAACTAGAGATTCAGAGTTTCATAAATGATCTATTTTTAATTTTAATTCTTTAAGATCTGAATACTATATATGTAAAGATATGCTAGGGTGATTTGAATAACACGATAAAATAACAGCCACTAATTTAGAGTAAGGCAGAGAGAAGAATCCATTCTACGTTTAATTTTATAGTTAAAATAGCCTATAATGTTTAAAAAATAAAGGGTTCTATAAATCAATTATTATAAAAGAAAGCTTAACCACACCAATAGGCAACTACTTGCCTCACAGAAGCGAGGCCTGAATTGGCTGCTTCTGAAAATATCACACTAAAATGCCAAAGGTAACCAACTCATCAGTCCCCGTCCCCACAGCTAGTCCCAGCTGACCTTTCCTCCCTGAGTCTCTAATTTTATCTCAGCACTTCTGTGCCTTGCTATGTATGCAGCTGCACACAGGTCTTCAGGGATCAAGTCTGTCTTGCATGAGTGTCTTGTGTGTCACTCTTACTCCAAACTTGAAACTGCCTCGTCCTGTGCTTAAACCCAGACTAAACAATCCATTTCCTCTGGCAAGATGCAGACTACATCCAGTGTTTCAGTTTGGTACCTGGCTTTTCCTTGGACGTGCGCCAGCAGGAAACAAACAGGAAGTGACTATGCCAACCACAGAGAATGAAACACACGCCTGTCTGGAACGCTACAGTACAGGATGCTTTCAGATACTTAGGTCTGCGTTAGATGTTTTCACGGTGGTGCTTTGTGAGAAGTGTGTCTGAACCAGTCAGAGGTGGGCCCTGCTTTTTAACCTGGACTTATTAGCATAATAATGGTACTTCTAAAAGCCAGTAAAGCAGTCCCTTAAGTAGGCATTTTTTTACTATATAATATTCTGTATGTCTTGTTTTGACTTCTTCCGAAAGCATTAACTATCATCAGATTAAAAGTAAAGCAATCTCAAAAGCATATATGATTTATGAGCAGAGATATTATATAAATAAGTCATTTGACAGGGGAGAGGTCATCCCCATCAGCCAGGAAGCCTGTCTTAGGCACTGACATGTGGTTTCAGTGTTTGCAATTCTTATACAAGAGTGTTATCTAGCTCCGAATCAGTATCACTTGCCTCTCAGTGTACCATTCATCTGCGCTGACTCCAGGAGGTCCTTGTTGACCCGCTCCTAGACTAGGTTGTTACAAGAGAAAAAGGAGGGGATGGAAGGCCCAATTAAGGCTAAAGAAATTGATGATAATAAGCAGAGATAGTCTGGGATAAAAAAATAAAAAAATAAAAAAAACCTTTATTAGAGGAGCTTTCAACCTATAACATTAGCAAGATTCTCAAACATAACTTCTCATGAAGAAGGACTTTAAAAGGCAGTTCCCTATAATGACCATGGTTTAGGTGCTAAAGTCAGAACCAGATGGCTCCTGAAGCCTTGAGAAAGCATAACAAATGCCCTCCAGGTTAGTTTTCAAAGGCACAGATAGGTGCATATAGCAAACCTTCAACCCTTCACTTAATTCTCCTAATTGACTAATGTAGTCTATTACCTTTGTGAACAAAAGGTAAGGTCCCAATTAAGGCAATGGTGAGTTCACTGGATAAAGCAAGTCTTTTTTCAGGTATAATTTACATATAGCAAAAGTCACCCTTTTTAGCATACAGTTCTATGAGTTTTGACAACTGCATACAGTAGTGTAATAACCAATCAGGATATAAAACAGCTCTATCAACCCCTTAAAATTTCCTTGTGCCCCCAGCAGCCTACTCTTACCCCACCAATCTGTTATTTCCCGATAGTTCTATATTTTCCCAAATGGCACATAAATGGAATCATACAATACACAGCTTTTTTAGCCCAATTTCTTTCACTTGGCAAAATGCAGCTGAGGTTCATCCATGATGATGGGTGTATCAATAGTTTGCTTCTTTTTACTAAAGCAGTTTCTTTAAGCAAAACAGCTTAGTGATCAATGATTGATCAAATGAAATAAAAAATATGACCAGGATATACTAAACAGCAAAGTAAAACGCAGTATTGAACCATAGCTTTCCAGTGAGTTCAGAGCCATGTTCTAGTTCCTACATAAAACAACATGTGTACGTAAAATGCCTAAAACTGTGCTTGGCATGCAGTATGCACTGAATAAAGGTCATCCCGTATAGCTATGCTAGAGTGTGCCATTCAGACCACAATGTTATAACAGCAGTAATAATTTAAGACTCAATTAGTTGCATTAAATTACCTTTTTATAGTTTACCTGCCATGGATGTTCTTGACTCAGCTTCTTAAAACACAGTATTCCAAACAAAGAATAGGTCAAGGGAAAGGCTACCTTTTAGAAAAAAGTTTTAAAGCCCAGGTGATAACTGTGTGTGGAGCCTCAGTGAACTGAGTTTTGAGTAGAGTTCTTGATGCCAACTAATTACCATGATCACGGCCAAGGAATCTAGAGTCTCTTTAGATTTCAGTTTCCTCCAACAGCACCTGTCTTCTTTTCCACAAATGGAGAAAGCATCAGTCAGGATATGACTGCCTACAGTGTCATAATATCAAATATCTGAGAAACAACTAACATCTTCAGAACCAACACTCTTTACTGTTGAGGTATATGGATGACACCTCTAAGACTAGACCTAAGAGGAGATGAGTAATACTAGCATACTCTTAGTAGAAAGATCTTAAAGCAATTTGAGATTTCAGCATAGACCAATATTCTAATTAGTTATTTAACTGGGGTCATGATTCTTCCCACCCTAGTTTTCAAACAATAAGAAAGTATTTTTCTGATAGGACAGTATGCTGTCATTGATGCTATCCGTTACCACACTCCGCCCCAGTAGGTAAAACTTTTTTAGCTTGTCAAGCAGTTTAGAGACAAAATAGGGAAAAATTACTCCAGTCCCTTGAAAGAGCCCATTTTATATGGGAGAAGTTTACATAAACATCTCTAGAAAGCACGGCTTGGAACCAGATGAATCTGCAGCCACAAGTGTTTTTACTTTTATAATAAATGCAAAGAAATTTAGCAACTTTTGTGCTTACAGGAAATATAAAACCCTGGTTATGCCCATTTCTAGATTCAATTCTTAACAGTAGTGAAAGCTAACGTCTTCATTTTTACGTTTTTATTTTTCTAAAATGGGGTCTCACTATGTTGTCCAGGCTGATCTCAAGCCTAGGCACAAGCAATCCTCCTGCCTCCGCTTCCCTAGTAGTTGAGACTACAGGTGCGTGACCCCACACCCAGCTCAATATTTTTATAGTGAGGTAACCACATAATTTATCATCCAGACTGGGGCACTTTTGAAAGTAAAAGGAGATGCTATTAATAATTACATTCGGACAACAGGCATTAACCACAAAATGGGCATGTATGATCATGTAACTTGATAGTAAGCATAAATTGGCAATTAAGATGGTAACTTATATTTTGTACCACCATAAACACATACACATGAACTGGCAAAGCAGTCCTTCCTATAAAAGAAAACCTTTATTTCCCCCCTAAACAGTAGGGGAGATTCACTTAATTTTTTGAGTCTTGAAAAGTTAGCATCTAAATCCAATGAAATGCTTTCTTTTAGGTTGGTAAGTTACCAAGAAGCACACAAACCCTGTAACTTGAGCTGTGGAAAGTTAGACATGCAATACAAGAGGACTAACATTAGATTAACATGCCTATTCTGGTGAGTGAATACATCTACAATCAATTTTGAAAGGGCTAAAATCTCACTAAATTAACAGAAATGATGTGAAAAAAATATGATGACATACTATGTCTTCTGATCTTGAGAAAGTCACTTATGCTTAATTCTTGCAGTTGTGAAAAAGAATACTTGGGACCTTATTTTTCAATAGACACTGTAAGAGAAACTTTACTAACACAGATTGACATTTAGAGACAATAACTTATGCAGTGATCCTGAAATCCAATCCAGCCTATTTCATGCACATGACATAATTTCTTCCATGTTAGGTGTGGGAGTTAAGTCACAGTAGAGAACTACAGCAACATCTAAGAACTCCATTAGTGTTAATTGGAGTACCACCAGGAGGTACTATAGGCCAAAAAGGAACAAAGTCATCATATCCAGAATGGGTGAGAATCAAGATTACAAACCATCCTTCTATTTTCCTGTGGACAAATCCGGATCCTCACATCCATTCCATTAGTTTTCTAGGCTATGGTCTTATCCTAACTGCATGTTCTGGCTTTTCTGCCATTTTTTCCCTCTATCTGCCATCCTCCTTGGTCATCAACCCCATCATTTTTATTCTCTACCTCTCTCATAGATACCTCCCTCTCTGGCAGCCCATGTCTTTTTCTGTGTTCACATACTTCCTACTGAAGTCATTTCCTACAATTTACTTCTTTCTACACCAACCCCACTGTTTTACATCAATTATCCCCCAAATAAAAACATTTTCTATAAAGCCTGTTTATGGTAATAGGGATAGGAGTTATAATGTAAGGCTACTTTAAAATGTCATTAATGGCCAGGTGCGCAGTGGCTCATGCCGTAATCCCAGACTTTGGGAGGTTGAGGTGGGTAGATCGCTTGAGGCCAGGAGTTCGAGACCTGCCTGGCAAACGTGGCAAAACCCCATCTCTACTAAAAAATTACAAAAATTAGCCAGGTGTGGTGGTACACACCTATAATCCTAGCTACTCAGAAGGCTGAGGCATGAGAATCGCTTGAACTCAGGAGGCGAAGGTTGCAGTGGGCCAAGATCGAACCACTGCATTCCAGCCTGGGCAACACAGCGAGACTTTGTCTAAAAAAGAAAAGAAAAGAAAAGAAAAGAAAATGTCATTAATCTCTAAAAGAAAAGAAAAGGTCATTCAGTTTCATACTTCCAACTTAAAAAAATAAAAATAAAAAATAAAATAAAATAAAAAGCCCTTTAGATGAAGGACTGGAAGCTGCCTGAAGACCAATGCCTGCTTATTTCCCAATGAGCCCTGTAAGTCCACTTCTGCCCCAGTGGTCAAAGCTGCACTTTTTTTTTTTTTTTTTTTTTTTTCATTAATTTTTATTTTATTTTATTTTATTTTTTTTATTATACTCTAAGTTTTAGGGTACATGTGCACATTGTGCAGGTTAGTTACATATGTATACATGTGCCATGCTGGTGCGCTGCACCCACTAATGTGTCATCTAGCATTAGGTATATCTCCCAATACTATCCCTCCCCCCTCCCCCAACCCCACCACAGTCCCCAGAGTGTGATATTCCCCTTCCTGTGTCCATGTGATCTCATTGTTCAATTCCCACCTATGAGTGAGAATATGCGGTGTTTGTTTTTTTGTTCTTGCGATAGTTTACTGAGAATGATGGTTTCCAATTTCATCCATGTCCCTACAAAGGATATGAACTCATCATTTTTTATGGCTGCATAGTATTCCATGGTGTATATGTGCACTTTGATTTTCCCCAGTATTCTACACTCCACAGCCATGCATTTCAGTTTTGTTATCACTTCCGTATGTTTGCCACCCCCCACTGTTTTCTAGGCCAATGACAAATCCTTTAACCTTTCAATTCCATTGATTATTTTTCCAGCTTTAATGAGATATAATTCACATACAATTCACCCACACAAAGTGTACAACTCAATGGCTCTTAGCATATTCAGAGTTGTGCAACCCTCACTACAATCAATTTTAGAATATTTTTATCACCCCAACAAGAAACTCTGTACCCATCAGCAAATCACTTGCAAAATCTTCCATCCTCCCTACCCTCTAGGCAACAACCACTCTACCTTCTGTTTCTAAAGATTTGCCTATTCTGGGTATTTCATATAAATGAAATCCTCTAATATGTGATCCCTTGTGGCTGGCTTCTTTCACATAACAGAGTTATTTCAATGTTCACCCATATGGTAGCATGTATCAGCATCACCTTCCCTTTCATTGCCAAATAATATTCCATTGTATAGATAGACCCCATTTATAAGTTGATGAACACTTGGGTTGTTTCCATCTTTTGTCTATTGTGAATAATGCTGCTCTGCAGGTTTAGGTACAAGTTGTTGTGTGGACATGTGCTTTCATTCCTCTTGGGCATTGTGATGGTTTGAACTGTGATCCCCTCAAAAAGACAGGCTGAAGTCCCAAACTCCTCATAATGTGACCCTATTTGGAAATACAGTGTTTAACAGAGAATAATCCCATTAAAATGGAGGTCACTGGTGGGAGGCGGCAGGCTAATATTATTGGTGGCCTTATAAAAGGGGAAATGTGGATAAGAAACACACACACAAGGAGAATGCCAAGGAGTGATGCTTCTGCAAGCCACAGAACATCAAAGATTGCCGACAAACACCGAAGCTAGCCAAGGCAAGGAAGAATTGTCTCCTAGAGTCATCAGAGAGAGCACAGCCCTGCTCACACCTTGATTTGGGACTTCCAGCCCCTAGAAAACACATTTCTGTTGTTTTAACCCACCCAGTTTGGTTGTTTTCTTACGGCAGCACTGGGAAGCTAATATAGCTATATGGGTAGGCGTGGGATTGCTGGATCATATGGTAACTCTATGTTTAGCCCTTCTGAGGAACTGCCAGATTGTTTTCCAAAGCAGGTACACCATTTGATTAAATTAATTAAATAAATTGCTAATAGTTTCAAAGCCTCCCTCAAATGTAGAAAAGTAAGTTTTGCTATGTCTAAACACAACCTCTACATGTAATTCTCTCTTTGCCCCCACCATGGTTATAGTCTTCTTTACCATCATTTGTTAAACTTTCCGATTTCCCTCAAAAAGAACAGTAAAAAATAGTTAAATCATCAATGCACTAGCAGGAGGGGATGTGTACAATGAGCTGTGGTTGGGCTGTAGAATCGTTTTAAAGAGATCTATAATAAATTTGAAGATAGGTGAAGAGTCAATGGTATTAAACAGTAGGAAACTTTTTTAAAAGGGGGACTTCCAAGCTAAGAAGGTGGAGAAAGATGATCCTAAAGGAGATAGTGGTGTTTTCTTGAGAGAAGGGAGCCTGGCCACAATAAATCTGAGACCCAGCTCTGAAAAAGGAGTTGGCACGGTTGAATAGAATACACCTCTGGCAGAAACTCTGAAATTCTGAATTTCAGTTTGTTGTTGTCTAGTAGAAGCCTCAACTCTTCTTCAAACAATAAAATACTATGGTCCATTAATGATGAAGTTATATATCACTAATAATGAAGTTAAAGATCTAATTATTCTGAACAAGAATAGAACCTTTTATATAGTTGAGTAAATAAGATACACATGTGCCCACGCACATGCGCACGTGCACACACACAAACACACACACACACACATATCAAGTGCCATGTCTAGCCAATAAAATTTTAGTATCTAATAGTCTGTAGATTTTAGGTCTCTGCATGACTAATGGATGTCAGCTATACAAGTAATGATTTAGTTCTTGGTCATGTTATAAAAATTAGGGGAAAATAATCACATGCTAAAGATTACTTCATTTTTAACTAATAATCTATTTCTACTTATTTCACATACAAGGTCAGCCTTTTTATTTGTCACAGCCTCTTATAGAAAATTAAAGCAGAATGAAAACGAATGGTGGAGAAATTTCTTCTATTTATTACCAGTAAGCTAACTGCTGACAGTGATGAAAGGCAGGAAAACACCAGACAGGGCATATCACGCAAAAAGCACAACCATCTGGGATGAGTGGAGGCAGAGAGGGAAACGAGAAATCCACAGAACAGTGAGAAATCCAGAAGGTGTCACAGTGCAATCACTGATGCTCAAAACCGGTGAACCTGAATCCTCAAGAGTTCATTTGGTTCATGTTACTTAAAAAGGTAACAATACAGTATGTTTTAGTATACATGTAGAACATGACATAAAGTAGTTAAAATTATGGCTGCTGCTGATTTCCAAATTTTTAGAGTCAAGATAAATAAACCAACTATCCTTTTAGTTTCCTTCCCCCTAACTTTCTTCCAGTCAATGACTAAGCCTGTTCTGAAAAGAAGTTTGAAACAAAAGAACTGCTCAGGAAACCTACGTCTAGGAACAGCAATCATTGTTTAAAGTTGGAAGAACGTGAGCAAAACTGAAGTCTAGATAATTTACTTGACTTGAAAAACTCTAATTTACTTTCAAGGCCATTTCAACAATTCCTTCCTTTCCTAGCTTCCTTTCATTTCACTACAACAAGCCATACAGTCCTTTAGACTAGTGCTTCTCAAAGTGTGGAACCCCAATCAGCAGTATCAGCATCACCTAAAACTTCTAAGAAATGCAGATTCTCAGGGTGCGCCCCAGACCTACTGATTCCGAAACTCTGAGGGTGGGACCCACAATCTGTGATACACCAACCTCTCCAGGTGACTCTGATGCTTGCTAAAGTCTGAAAACTGCTGCTTCGGGTAACAGGAACAGAAAACACACAAGAGATCTGATTTATAGAACAAGACAATTCTTAAATCTGAAGTGACAAAGGGGGATAGAGGAGTCTATTGTGTAAATAGGGCCTCATTAGCTTAATTTCTAGATTAAGGCCTAGATATCACACTTGGCAACCTCTAATAAGTGGTATATAAAGCTGGTACCTTCCAGGTGTTTTAGGAGTGCCCTACTGCTATTTCCATGAGCAGATATCAGAATGGTTTTGCCACGTAATACTTCGGGAGCAATCCTTTCATTCCAATAGGGAAGGAGTCTCTCCAGAACATCCTTTAAGCTTTCCGACCGTGGCAGTTGATCCAAGGGCACATCGCATACTTTATACCTCCGGTCGTTGTAGATTTCTTGGTAGTAAGGATGAGACTCCTCAATGGGAGGCGGGGTTACATTGTAGCTTCTTCTCCAGAGCCTCACTTGTTCTTCACCATGATTCAAAGCCATCTGCTCCCTGTTGAGACCGATCAAGGCCCCATAGTGACGCTCATTTAGACGCCAGGAGCTTTCCACAGGCACCCATTCCTGGCCTAGCTCTTCCAGGATCAGCCAGGCTGTGTGAATGGACCGATTAAGGACAGATGTGAATACAAGATCAAACTCAAAGTTTAACGCTTTGAGTTGCTTCCCACAGTTCCGAGCTTCCTCCATTCCTTCGCTGTTGAGTTTCTGATCCACCCAGCTACAAAAACGGTTCTCCTTATTCCAAGCACCCTCTCCATGTCTTAACATAATAAGTTTGTACTTGGACATACTGATGGCTGAACTTCCCAGGCGTTTTCAAATGGGCTAATATTCAAGGACAGCAATACATCTAGAAAGACAAGAACAACAAGTCTAAGTTATATTCAACTGACAATCTAGGAATAGAAACATCGCTTTACAACACCCAATTTCTAAAAGAAACTGAAATCCCTTTGAACAGTCAGAAATGTGATAACTCATACACTGTGACACATACAGGCATATTCTATAGATATTAATAATTCATTACAGGGAATCTAGTTGACTTAAATTTTCTGATGTTTGGATAGCATGTTAATTGCATGACATAAAATAACAAAACACTTCATTCTAATGGCATGCTGTGTTTCTGCCAGATACAAAGGCAATTTATGCTTACAGTAGAAAGGATTTAATAGAATGAGTTACAGACGTCTGAAAGAATGACTAGTGGCTGGGAACTCCCAGCTCCCAGCAGCTGACTCTACACTGAAGGCATCCTTTTCACTTTGTTTTCCTGTGGTGGAAAAAGAAGTATTTACCAGTCTCACATTCTTATTATAGAAGTTATTAAACATGTTATTTCAATGCACCACTGCATATATCTGATATGTATCACTGGCTGGTGGCAACTAGCTCTTCAATGCCACAGGCTACAACACACAAGAAAATCTAAGGTATGCAAAACACATCAGTTCAACATTCAGACAAATTAAAAGTGCTTTAAAGAGACATTAACACCAAATATGGTACGTACCTAAATAATCTTGCACCTACCTCAAGATAGAGTTTTCAGCAGGAATAAATCCAGATGCAAAATAAGCTATCAAATGCAAGCAGCTGAGGGATGCTGCCTGTACAAACAGATCTGGTAGGCAGGAGTGAGAGGAACCACACTGATAAAGAGGCCCCACCTCCTCCTCCCCAGCCCTCCAGATATCCTACACACACCAGCTACGTCTTAGCAGGGGGAGAATCTAGTAAAGGGAGACCAGCAACTCTCAAGCTATGCTGAACTCCTTACATTTAAGCTGCTGGCCTGAAGATCTGCTGGGCCCACTCCATCCTCGGAGAATCTGCTGACATGGCTGCTCAGCCCGCCTCTCTCTCTCCTTGTGGTGGACACATCTGCACTGACACATGCTTGGTTTACACGCCCGGCCTCTCCATCTCTCCTCCAGTGTTTTGCACACTGGGTTGTAAAGATTATACGAGCACTACAGCCTGGTCTTCTGCCACTCTTGGCAACTTCCATTAACTGGAGATTTTCTCTCCCACTTAAACTGTGAGTCACCCACAGTAAAATAACAATCAATGGCAAAATTGATTGGAATCTAGATCTAGTTTCTACCTTTCTTTAGTAATTCCTAGAGATTCTGAAGGGAAAACAGTCTTTAAAATAAGGCTTTATATTTCAATGGAAGGCAAACAGAGGACTTAAGGAAAGAAATCAAATTGAGGTGATTTGCAAGTATCGTCATGTGTTGCTTAATGAAGGGAATATGTCCTGGCAAATGCATCATTAGGTGATTTTGTCGTGCAAACAACATAGAATGTACTTACACAAACCTAGATGGTATACATATTGTTACTTATGTTTTTTCATATGGAAAGCCAAGTATCCCAGCACAATTACTGAATATCAGTCATTTCCCCTACTCGATCTGCAATGCCAATGTCAAGTGCCACATATCAGATGTCTATATATGCTCCATTACCATCTTACAGGGCCACCATCATTTACACGATCCATGCTTGACTGAAACATCATTAGGTGGTGCATGACTGAAGTTGAAAGGCTACAGCAGTTAGGATGATGATTTTCCTTTCTTGTTAAGTACCAGGTTGCTGTGCATGTGCAGCAGGGAAGTGCCAGGGAACCAGAAGAGCCTGGGCTCAGGACCCAGATTAAAGCATCCCACAGAGCTGAGAATTCCCAAGGAGGAAGCCCAATGTCTCTGTCCTTAGCCTAGAAGAGGCATCAGGGTGGCAGAACAGAGAAGGGAACAAAAGGTATCTAGGCAGTGTTTTGCCAGATGACTGCCTGTGCCCAGGGGCAGAATAGTCATGAATCTAACAAAGTTCAAGCTTCAGAGCCCCTCACCTGTGAGAAACCAGGTGATGAACACACACACACACACACACACACACACACACACACACACGGAGGGGTGTGTGTAAGTGTGTTAATTTGCAAATGGAAGATATTTTTGCAGTGTTTCTTTACAAAGCCCCAATCCACCAAGTAGTAGAAGCCTCAGCTCCATCAAAAACTGTATCTACCCTTTGTAACCATTGATCATTTTGTTTTGTTATTGGTAGTGGAGGAGGGGGATGGAGAAAAAAGAAGCTATCAACTGTTCCTCTACCTTCACCCTCAGTTTATCTTGTCAAGTGAGAAACCTCCATAAGCTAATGAAGCCATTCTCTCTTCAGTTAAAGAAGGGCATGGTTAGACAAATTTTGTAGACAGAAGCACCTTTCCACCATCTTTTGATTATAAACTATATCAAGGGGACAAAACAATGTAGTAATAGCAACATGGACACTCAGGCACCCACCACCAAGCTTTGTGGTATCTTATTCTCCTATATTTGCTTACTGCATTAAAACAAAGTTCTGTTTTCTTTTTACTAAAAAAAAAATACACACACACACACACCAGAACAGAGGAACAGTACTGCAGTCACAAAAACTATGCAAATATGCATCCTTCCCTCACTCTGAAGCACAGGAATACATTTACGCAGGTGAATACATGATAAAGTACTAAACTAGTATGTCTATCTCAAGAAAACAAAAGGTCACTTTCCTCTCTCCTCCCTAGTACTATCAACGGACTTTTCCCACTTAACTGCTGGATACTTACAAAGAAACTGCTGAGGATTAGCTTGCAAACATAGAAACTTCAGTCAACATCCACAGGAGCTGATTTACCCAGTGTTTACCAAGAAACACACAACGCTGTAGCCAGTGTGATTTAAAGTTTAAGGCATGGATTGCAAACTCAAATGCCTGCAATGGGCAGGCAGCTGTGTGAAGCAGAGTGCAGCTGGACTATGCAGAGTGATGGGCACAGTGACCTGCAAGGACCATGCATGCTTCTTTGAAGGAGGCAACTCTTGTGTAAACAGAAAGTTTTCCGATAACCTCATCTCACTGAGCCAACAGCACTGTTCTTAGAACTTTTCTGGAAAACAAAAAGAAGATGGGATTGCTGACATCGAAGACTAGGATGAATGCAAGACTTAGAGTCAGACCACAGAGAAACTTTGAGTAAATAAATGTCTTTTTTAAAAAAGCTAAAACAATCATTTCAAAACCTCCTAAAAATTCATGTAAAAAATCAAAGGAGTACCTACTACTTAGCTCCAGCCCATTGCCCTGTGATACTGAGCAACTGAGGTTTCTAGATCTTCCAATTAAAAAAAAAATGAAAACGTGTATTTTTATCTGATATCTGATTTAAATATTAGCAACTAATGTATATTTGTAAAATGTGAGTGAAACAAAACATTTCTTCTGCAGGCTAGATCGTGGCTGCTAGCTTATGACCTCTGACTTAAAGGGAAACCTCCCCTAGGCCACAGATAAATGGTACAGCCACTATACCCCAGGAGACGGTCAGAACCCAAGCGTCTGGACCACTTAACCAGCTTTCCTGTTATTGCCCAACACAGCCTTTCAAAGGACAGACCCTCTAATCCCCATAATGCTCTGGGCTTCCTTCTCCCTGACCCACCTTTACAGCCCTCCCTCACCAAACCATTTGCTGGTGCCCTGCAGAATTCCTAGCTCTGTCCTCAAACTCCCACTCAGCTTTGAGTGTCAATTGCACTGAAAAAGATCTGAACTGAAAACGACCTCTTCCCAGGTGACACTGCTTCTCTCTCTAGTGGGGGGTGCTCATGCCTCATACCCTAGGGTTAGGTTCAGGTGATGGGCAGCGTCCTGCTTCCTCCACTGACCAAATCGCCCCTCCCCCACCATCCTAGGGAGTTGGGGAGCTTCAATGTTGAAAGTCTTGCTATATTCAGTTGAAGTTCTCTTGCCCTCATTTATTAACTGCAAACTAACAATTAAACTCCTTGAAAATTGAGTATCTTATTTTAAAACCTCAATTCTTCCTACTGGTCTTAGAAAATGTTCAGAATCCTTCATGTGACCTGCAAGGCTTTCGTTTTATTTCCTTGAGCATGTCAGGTTCTTTCTTGCCTCAGTAGTTTTGCACACACTGTACCCTATGCAGAACACTCACCCTTCATCTCTTCTCTCCATTGCCACTTCAGTCTCACCCTGCTTTAGGTTAAGCTCTAGTCATCCTTTAGATCAGTTGTGTCCAATCAAGATATAATGCGAGGCACAATGAAGTTTTAAATTTTCTACAAGCCACATGAATCCTATAGGTCCAAAAGCTATCATTCAGACATGGAGTCAAAGGAGATCATTTTGGAACTTTAAGGTGTAACAACTGCTCTATTGGATTTTGGACTTGCATGGGGCCTGCTGTAGCCCCTTTGTTTTGGCCAATTTCTCCCATTTGGAACAGGTATATTTACCCAATGCCTGTAGCCCCACTGTATCTAGGAAGTAACTAACTTGCTTTCAATTTTCTAGGCTCATAGGCAGAGAGGGCTTGCCTCGTCTCAGATGAGACTTTGGATTTGGACTTTTGGGTTGATGCTGAAATGAGCTAAGACTTTGGGCGACTGTTGGAAAGGGCATGATTATGTTTTGAAATGAGAGGACATGAGATTTGGGAGGGGCCAAGACCAAATTTCATCTTGAATTGTAGTTCCCATAATCCCCATGTGTCATGGGAGGGACCCAGTGGGAGGTAATTGATTCATGGGGACAGTTACCCTCATGCTGTTCTTATGATAGAAAGTGAGTTCTCACGAGGTCTGATGGTTTTATAAGGAGCTTTGCCCCCACTTCACTTATACTTCTCCTTGCTGCCACCATGTGAAGAAGGACATGTTTGCTTCCCTTCCACCATGATTGTAAGTTTCCTGAGGCCTCTCCAGCCATGCTGAACTGTGAATCATTTAAACCTCTTTCCTTTATAAAATTACCCAGTCTCTGATATGTCTTTATTAGCAGCATGAGAACTAATACAATTCTAACACATGATCCATACAAAAATTATTAATAAGGCAATTTACATTCTTTTTTTTCACAGTATGTCTTTGGAATCTGGTGTGTACTTTATAATGAAAGCATATCTCAATGTGAACCAGCCACATTTCAAGTGCTCCATAGCCACATGTGACCAGTGGCTACCGCACTAGATCATGCAGCTTTAGAGCTCAGCTTAAATGTTAGTTCCTGTAGGCCAGTGGTTCTCAAACTTTAATGTATATCAAAATCAAATTAAACAGATTGCTTGGGCCCACTTCCAGAGCTTGATTTAGTAGGTCTGGGGTGGGACTGTGAATATGCATTTCTAGCAAGTCCTCAGGTGATGGTGACATGGCTGGTCCAAGGACCATGTTTTGAGAACCCCTGGCTTTAGACTTCCTCTTCACCCATTGGGAAGTAGGTCAGGCCTGCTGACCTACTCCTGTAGCATCCCGCTTAACCACATTTGGTGCACTTGCGATGGATCCCTTGAGATATATTACCTGTTCAATGGCTATGTGCCCTGTAAGACTGTAAGCTGCATCAAGGCAGGTCTTACTGCTGTATCTCTAGAACCTAGCACATCGCTTGGCACATATGAGGCACTCAGTAGGTGTACTGACTGAACCAAAGTCAGACAGAAATGACTGGATTGTACACATGAGACTAAGGCTTGAGAGTTTTAGTGGTAACTGCCACAGTAAAATCAGTTGGCAGGGCTAAGATGTTAGGAAACTTTAACTTAAGAATCTCAGGGTATTTATGTCAAAACAGGAGCCAAGAATAATTATCCATTATAGTTCTGTACTTTGTACTTTTGTACTATAAGTTTAGTATGTTCATGGATGGCCATAATCTCCACAGAAAAAAATGGAGATTCTGATTGACTTGTTCAAAAACATATGGCCAGTAAATGGCAAACTGGAACTGCAACCCTGGTCTTCTGCCTTCAACCCCCCACTGGAGATATTAGAGTCATGGTTTGAGGATCTTGGCTCACTTGGCTTCACTTCACAGGGGTATCTCCAGTTCCAACTTGTCCTTCCAAACCCAGGCAGCCATTTCATCAAACGCAAACGAACAAGGTGAACATGAAGGAGGGCTCACCTTATTAGTACTCTTGAGAAAAACCTCAAGGCACAAAGTAAGCCAGGCAATAGTCACCCCAACTTATAAAGAGGAACCTTACTAAGAATAAATACTCCCCATCCCAAATTAAAAACTATTCCTTTTCAACCTCAAGCTTTATTTTTTTTGTTTTGTTTTGTTTTTCATAAAAGCTCACCAACCTGTACCTGGTTTCTCATTTATCCCATAGCAAAAGTTACTGGCACTTAAGTACCGATTTTAATCAATAATTTACATCATGTCAAAAAAAGAACACATAGGTTATTGATTTATCCCCCAGGGTGTCTTCCTTTTTAAAGTGTGATCTGGCTTGAAGAAAAAGTTTACTAAGGAAACATCTTTTACACAGCTGTGTATCTTATCCTCCCTCCCCTTCCTCTTGTCCATTTACCTTCCCTTCTAGCCATTCCTTTTTTAGTTTCCTGACACCAAACTTGTGCCTTACCCACTCTACTGAAATGGTGCCTCAAAAGACTACAGGTTAGTTACTTCTTACTAAGTGGAGATCATCTTCTCTCATGACTTCTCTAAAACAGACTACTTCCATCAAGAAAAAAAACCCACTAAGATTTTGGTGTAGCATTTCCTCCAGCTCTTCCACGGTTACATCTTGGTCTTGGGTGTCTGCATTTTCTTACCTACCTGTAAGAGTACTATGAAGATGATCATATTAGTCACAGTAGCCAACATTCACAGAGTGCTCACCTGTGAATGTTAGTTCAATGTTACTTGGCACTGTTTGAATCCTCAACCACCATTCCATGGAGTGGCTACTATGATTACTCCCATTTCACAGATGAAGAAACAGGAGGAAAGGTTAACTTGCCTAAGGTAACAGAGGCTGTAAATGGCAGAGCTGGAATTTAGTCTCGAGAAGTCTGTATCTATGCCCTGAACCATTTTGCTACACTGTCACATTGAAACCTGAGGCTCAGTCTTCAGTTCTTGGAAACCCTTTTCTCACTGCTTTAATCACATTAAAATGGATGACTCATAAATTGAAAGCCCCAAATACTCAGTCGCCCTAGCCTGACCAATTAATTCATTCTTCAAACATTTTGCAGATCCCATTTAGGCATGGCCCAATGCTAGGCCTATGAGGAATATGTAATCCAACAAGAATTATGTCTTCATCTTCAGTACGTGTGTGTGTGTGTGTGTACCTAAAACTCAAAGTAATTCACACCATGAGAAAGCACTTCATTAGTAAAAGAGAGGTGGGATGGGAGAGAATATTTCTGAGTAAGGCTTCGTGGACACAGTATTTTTTAAGCTGGATTTGGAAAGGCAAGGTTTAGATTTACAGAAAAAAGTAAAGGAATTCCAATCTAGGGGAACAGTGAGTGAAGGCAAAGGAACAGGTACATATGGAAAATGGCGAGCCCATTCAAACTGGTTGGAGTATAGCTAGAGTAACCATACATCCTGATTTGCCTAATAGGCAAAAAATATTCTTTCCATAAATGCCACCATAAAATTGAAGTTATGGTTCAAGATTAGCATTCTTTTGGCAAGGTCAAGACAGAGAGGGTAGTTAGGAGAAAGAGGCACATGCATCATTATTACAGAACAGTATTGTCTTAGGCCTGTTTCCCCAACATAATTACTACTAGGGCCCCTTTCACACTTAAGTGTCCCATTTGGAAAATTATATGGCCACTGTAAGTATAGGGTATAATAAGGAAGCAGGAGAAGACTAGCCTAGAAAGATAAGAAAAAATAGTGACACAAAAAAAGCCTGTGCCAAAGCATGTAGGTTTTTCTATACATATTGGGACATCATTAAAAGTTTAGTAGCATGCATTTTAGCAGGATCAGGCAGCACTTACTTACAGAAATAGACAGGAAAACCCAGGAGTATGAACACTAGCTGAGAGGTTTTTGCAATAATTCTGGTAACACAGAATAAAGACTTGGACCAGGACAATGGCCGTTTAAGTGAGATGAAGGAGATAAACGTGAAAGACACTATAGCTTAGCTCAGATGTTAGCAACTTTTTCTGTAAACCACCAAATAGCAAATTTTTTAGGCTTTCTAGGCTATACTGGTCTCTGCCATAATTAGGTACAATTGTATAATTCTGCCATTGCAGCTGAAAGCCACCATACATAATATATAAGTGAATAAATCTGTTTCAATAAAACTTCAGGTATGGACACTGAAATTAGAATTTCATATAATTTTCATGCACATGAAATATTAATTTATTTCAACCGTTTTACATGTAAAACCCATGCATAGTTTGTGGGCTGTTCAAAAACAGGTAGTAGACATATGATCCAGCAAGCCCGCCACTGGGTATACATCCAAAAGAAAGCAAATAAGTATACTGAAGAGATACCTGCACTCCATGTTTGTTGCAGCACTATTCACAATAGCCAAGATATGGAAGCAATCTAAGTGCCCATCAACAGATGAACAGATAAAGAAAATTTGGCACATATATACAATGGAATATCATTCAACCATAAAAAGAACGAAACCCTGTCATTCACAACAACATGGATGGAACTGGAGAGCCTAAGGTTAGGTGAAATAAGTCAGGCATGGAAAGACAAATTTCACATGTTTTCACTCATATGTGGGAGCTAAAAATTTTGAAAATTGAATGTATTGCAATAGCAGAATTATGGTTGCCAGAGGCAGGGAAAGGTAACAGGAGCGAGGGGGTTAAAGTGAGGATGGTTAACAGGTACAAAACTATAGTTAGAATAAATAAGATCAGTATTCAGTAGCACAATAGGGTGATAATAATTTATTGCATTTTAAAATAACTAAAATAATGGAATTAGAATGTTCCCAACACACAAAAAATAAATGCATGAGGTAATAGACAAATGCATGAGGTAAATCAATTACTCTGATTTGATCATTACATATTGTATATCTGTACCAAAACATCACATATACCTATAAATATATACAACTATTATGCATCCATAATTTAAAATTAAAAATGTAAATTTTTTAAAAAACGGTATAGGCCAGAAGCCCTCAATATGCCGATATTGGCCTAGCTGGATCCCACACTTAGATCTACTAATGACATCAGCATTTTTAACCTTTAAGCATCCCGTCATAGAATAATCCCAACATTATGAAATCACTAGATTTTATTCTTGGCCAGAACGGCAAGTACCATGAGTAATGGAATCCCATTCATAATTGTTTTTATTCCTCACAGAAGGCAATACTGAAGACATTTAAATCAGTCTGAGTACTTGACTTTTGCTTAACTAAATTATTTAGGAATAGGTTCAAGATTGAACTATAGGGGAAAACTATAGGATTCATCCTGTTAATCTCCTTCAAAAATATCATCTGTCATTTTGACACACTTTACCCCATTAGACATCTTCATAAATTATCCCATAGTGCCTCACACTTCAGGGGAATGTATACTTGCTCAGGAGTAGGTGCTATGTAATTGCTTTGACAATAAACAAATCAAAGAACATACTTTGCAGGTGACTTATAACTTTCAAAGATCTTTCACTATAAATGTATAGAAATTCCATCTAAGTTAGCTATAAAGCAAAGAATATTCTTTCCATAATGCCACCATAAAATTGAAACATAAAATTATGATTCAAGATTAGCATTCTTTTTGGCAAGACAGGGACTGTAGATAGGGGAGTGATGTACTTGCAAGGCACTGCATTTACTAAGGTTACCCCTCTTAATATTTTTGAGATCCCTAAGTACTTTCAACAAATGTAGCATGATCATCTGCTGCTGCTTCCTACTCCTTCATTAAACTATATAATTCCACATATGAAATTATGTGAAATATAATTTCACATTATATTTCTCCCATAACTGAGGCTCCTCTGTTATAAGTAC
Source organism: Homo sapiens (assembly GCF_000001405.40). NCBI lineage: Eukaryota > Metazoa > Chordata > Mammalia > Primates > Hominidae > Homo > Homo sapiens. The sequence continues at coordinate 134,651,444 of NC_000007.14, read as the reverse complement.
TCCCCATAACTGAGGCTCATCCTGTCTTCCAAACTGACACTCCTGGGACTTTGCTTCCTCCCTTCCTCACGTGTTTGAAAGTTAATAATGCCTAAGACCCTAGTGGTACAACTCACGGACAAATAGGACAAACTACAGGGTAAAGTCCAACTTAAAAACCTAGTTTTTCTTGTATTTCCAACGTTTAAGCAAGAAATTTGATCAGCAATATAATGTTGAAGTTATATAAAATAAGACAAATAGAACCAGAGTCACTTAGATTCAAAGCTCACATTTAAATATTAGTCAGTTGCTACCCTAGACACTCAGATGACGTTTTCCTTGGTCCAAACCCCTTATTGTGTGGCTTTGAGCAACTTTTAACCCCCACTGCAAGAGGAATCTAACTTTATAGAAGATGGGCTGGCTATTATTTGAGGACAGAGAAAAAGAACCATGTCTTTAACAAAGTAAAAAGGAACAGGTCTCAAGGGAAATGAAATCTGGGGCTCAGTTCCTTAAGGCTTTTAATGTTTCTTTTGAGACGCAGTCTCACTCTGTCGCCCAGGCTGGAGTGCAGTGGCGTGATCTCGGCTCGCTGCAAGCTCCGCCTCCCAGGTTCGTGCCATTGTCCTGCTTCAGCCTCCTGAGTAGCGGGGACCACAGGTGACCGTCACCACGCCCGGCTAATTTTTTTTGTTATCTTTAGTAGAGACAGGGTTTCACCATGTTAGCCAGGATGGTCTTGATCTCCTGACCTCGTGATCTGCCCGCCTCGGCCTCCCAAAGTGCTGGGATTACAGGCGTGAGCCACCGTGCTCGGCCAAGGCTTTTAATGTCTTAACAAACTATGCCTTCCCCCAAATCAAGTTCACTATTAGAAGTTCAAACACAACTGTACCTAAAAGTGTTCCATGGTCTATTACTTTTCCTAAGGCTTTGTAGAAACTTTTTCATCTGTACTTGCAGTTATAAGAACATCATTTTACAGGAGCAAATGTTACCACTTACAGGTGTTTTCCAGACACTAAAACCCTCTCATTCCCCAATCTTACATCTACTAATATTTCCTACTGATTGCTTGTTACAAGAATAACCAACCATACCAGGCAGATCCCTACTCATGGCGAAGAGATATACATATGTAATGAGATGTGCATTTGCTCAGGGCATGTTGCATGTTCCAGCCTGCATGGCATCACCACTGTGGACAACACCCACTCATGACGGACCCCTCCTTCCTATCTCTGGTCATTGTCTTCCCCAGGGTAGTAGCTTTTATCAACACAAACTGTGTCCACCAAATTCCAAAAGTCTAAAGTAAAAACAACCTAGATATGAGCCCAGCTCTGCTACTGACTGACAATGTGATCTTAACTTATTTAAATTCTTTGAACCTCAGGTTCCATATCTATAAAGATGAGGATCATGAAACTACTGTTCTCAGGGGGCTATCAGAAAGATTAAATGAGATTATGGTGAAGCACTCTACCAAAAAGTGAGAGGTAGAATGGAGCAGACTTTGACTAACTCATAAATAATGGCACAGATCTCAGGCCCGTCAAAGCAATCCTACCTTGCCGATGATATGAGCAGAAGCGAAAGCTGGGAATAAAGTAAAATGAAGGGAGGAATTAGAGGAGAAATGCTTAAATTAGGTGGTAGAAGGAGGAATGCAATCAAATATTGTGGGATGGAAGAAGGTGATGGTAAGATACAGTCTCAGAAGCTTACCAAGTACTAATATTCTGCAATCCAAATGCTTTAATGAAGTGGTTAACATTTAATTTATATTTTACAAAGTATGTTTTCCTCATATTTGTGGCTAAGTTTCAGCAGAAGGGTTTTGTTATTAAGTAATACTTTTTGTCCTGCCACCCATATAAACATCTTTCATATCAGATTTCATTCCAAGGATGTTTCAAGAAACCATTCGGTTCAAACACGTTTGTGACCTCTGTTCTTCAGGCCCCAGACACACAAAGATGAAGGCCAGGTGAATTTAGGTGCATCAATCATTACTTAAAATGTGCCTCTTAATCTCAACCAACCACAGCAGGCAAAAGAGGAAGAAAGACTAAAAGCTCTACCCAAACACTAACAGTAGTTGCTTCTAAGTGACATTTTTCTGCCACATTATACTTCGGTATGCTCCAAATTTTCTACAATAATCTGGTTTGGTTTAAATAGGAACACAAAAGAGTATATCCTTGTAATGGGGACAAAAATAGGAAGATCAATAAGACCTAGTATTTGCTAGCACAACAGGGTGACTATAGTAAAAAAAAAAACAATTTAATTGTAAATTTTCAAATAACTAAAAGAGTACAATTGGATTGTTTGAAACATAAAGGATAAATGCTTTTGGTGACAGCTACCCTATGTACTCTGATGTGATTATGCATTGCATGCCTATGTCAAAATATCTCATGTAACCCATAAATATATACACCTACTAGGTACCCACAAAAATTAAAAATTAAAAAACAAGAATATATCCTTGAAGCTGGGAACTTTTACTTGCTAATAGATGGTACAGAATTTACTGCAATGAGATTCTGCTTGTATACTAATAATTTTTACTTTAAAACAGACTTTAAATACAGAGTTTATATCTCAGATATAATTTAATGCAACATCTGCTTTCTAAAGATGCAAAAATCGAGATGGTAGGATCGCTTGAGCCCAGGAGGCAGAGGTGGAGGTTGCAGTGAGCAGAGATTGCGCCACTGCCCTCCAGCCTGGGCAACAGAGCGAGACCCTGTCTCAAAAAAAAAATGCAAAAATTAAGAGTCACAGTTGAAATGATTTGTTTAAGATCACACAAATAGTAACAGTTTCAGGACTAAAGCCAATGTTCTTGATTTCTAACTCAGAGCTCCTTCCACTATGACACTGTTTGAATTATGCTTCTCTGAAGTCCACCACCAACTGGGGAGCATCTGCGGTGTATGAGGTGCTACTGGAATACAAAGATGGCTAAGAAAGAGCTATTCCCTGGACTCACGGGAGGCAGTTCAAAAAAAAAGAAGGCCGGGCGCGGTAGCTCACACCTGTAATCCCAGCACTTTGGGAGGCCGAGGCAGGCAGATCACCTGAGGTCAGGAATTCGAGACCAGCCTGGCCAACATGGTGAAATCCTGTCTCTACTAAAAACACAAAATTAGCTGGGCGTGGGGGCGCATGCCTGTAATCCCAGCTACTCGGGAGGCTGAGGCAGGAGAATCGATTGAATCCAGGAGGCGGAGGTTGCGGTGAGCCAATATCGCGCCATTGCACTCCAGCCTGGGCAACAGAAGCGAAACTCCGTCTGAAAACAAAACAAAAAAAAAACCAAAACAAAAGAAAGAAAGAAAGAAAAAAGACAAGGCCAGGCACGGTGGCTCACGCCTGTAATCCCAGCACTTTGGGAGGCCGAGGCAGGCAGATCACCTGAGGTCAGGAGTTCAAGACCACCCTGGCCAACATGGTGAAACCCCGTCTCTACTAAAAATACAAAAATCAGCCAGGCGTGGTGGCCTATGCTTGTAATCCCAGCTACTTGGGAGGCTGAGGCAGGAGAATCACTTGAACCCGGTAGGCGGAGGTTGCAGTGAACCGAGATCGAGCCACTGCAGTCGCTCCAGCCTGGGCGACAGAGCGAGACTCCGTTTCAAAAAAAATAAAAAATAAAAGACAAATTGACATGAGTTCTGCTTTCACTATTAAAAAACCTTTAGTACCTACAGGTGAAACTTAGCTTTTGATTTTTCCCCTTCTTGGAAAGAGTCTGCATTTAGTCAGCTAACATTCTAGTACCACTCACAAGCTAAAGATCTTCCGTAATTTGCAAGGGAGGCAGTAGGGGGATGAGAGTTATAAGTTAGCTAACAACCAACTATTCTTTAAAGCTTAACTGTGAACTTAACTGCAATTATGCATTTCATTGACCTTCTCTAGTGTAATACCAGCTCGTCCCTTAGAAAAGAGGAAAATACACTTACGTTTTTATTTCTAGTGGTTCTAAGAACTTGTGATTTGGCTCCAGATTCCTACATGAAAACACTGCATATATTCACCTCCTTCTCTTTTCACCGCATTCGAGTTTTTCTGTCTACTACACAAAATGATAGATAGGGCCAGGTCTGCCAGAACCCTAAATACAGCGGCATCGCCCTGCTTCCTTCCAGGGGATCTTACTATTGGAAGGGCTCTGCTACACAGTACCTCAGACATCCAGAAGAGAGTTTATCTTCCCTCCAACTTCTATATATTCTTGCCATAAGGACAGCACTACCAAAGCGGGCTCCTCCTCTCAGTTGACAGAACGGTGACTGCCTGCGAGGCTCATTCTGAGATAGGGACAAGGGAAAGGGACCGGGGCGATAAGTGAGGGTCCCAGCTTGAGGGCTGGAGTGGGCACCAGACTCCCACCAACGACTAAACCGGGGGAAGTAAAGAAACTGGCCTTCCCCGCACCCAAAAATAAAACATCACATCACTAAAAAATGTAAACGTTCGCAACATTTTCTAAAACAAAGCCACTCACCTGCAAAGGGGCCACCAGCAGCAGCAGCAGCAGCAGCAGCCGCTCCTCCGAGCCGCCAAAGAGCCAGCGCCTCCTAGGACTCATCACTGCCGCCGGCATCGACGCTCTTTTCTAGCCCCTGAACCAGACGTGGGCAGGTCCTAGGGCTCTGCCTATTGGAAAGTCGAACTGTCACTCATCCACGGTCCCGGCCTACTCCCGGAACAGGAGAGGTCTCTTCCGTTTACCAAATCCCAGGAGTAAGAAGTGGGGCTCTGATTGGTTTACTCTAGAGACGAGCACATACCTGAACCAGTAAGGAGTTGGCTTCGACGCCAGCGGGCAGGCTTGGGCCTAGGGAAGTAGAAAAACACACCCTAGAGCGTCGCTGGTGCAAAACCTCGGGTGCGGGGAGCATCTTAGCTGTTTGAGGTTCTAGAAAGCGTTTAACGTCTTAAAAGAAACACCTGCGGGTGAAGACAGGTGTCAGCGGACTCTTGGAAGAGAGGAGGTGATGTTTCTTTTACTTATGGGAAATTTAGGGATTGAAACCTGAAGACGAAGCCGAGGTATCCTCCCAGAAGAAGCTCCTTTCGCACAAATTACTCGTGGTTGAAAGTCTTAAGTCGTGATTAAAACAAATGCCTTTAAAGTGCCCAATTTATAGGCAGTAACGCAACCTTACTTTCTCTTACCGCTTTTATAGGGATTCCCCTAGGCAGTTTGCTGACAGTATTTTAGGTGGGGAAGAAAAGTGATTAATGGAATGCCCTAAAAGCTTATTGCACAGAGGAAGGGAGGCTAGAGTGGAATGAGAGAATGACAAATTTGGAGGCGACAATAACTGAACAAGAGAAATCTATGAAAACACCGGAAACCTGGCACGAGGCCTTAAAAGCTTCTAAGCAGGCTTGAACTACCACACGAGGTTTTGAAGCATATGTGTCAGAACTCTTGGGTGGGCGGGAAAGATAAGGAATGTTATGGGAGATTCCCTTCTTAGAAGCTATCCTAAGTAGTGTTTCGTGTCCTCCTGTGAGTTTTTCCTGTTTCATCCTCCTAACAAATGCATTAGGTTTGTGACACGCAAGCAAGTCCTCAGAATAAATTATACATACAGTTGAAAAGATAATCTTTCCACATTTGAAATTCTGTGACACACTCTTTATTGAACTCATTAAGACCTAATCGTAGCCAGTTCTGTATCTCATTTATCCATGTTAGAGCATGACAGTTCCTCCTGGGATATCAACAGAACTTTACTTCCGGGACGGCACTAATCCGAGGCTTGACAGGTCCCAGCAGGTGATAGGTCTCACCTAGTGATAGTTAGAATTTAACTTGCACAAGATTAACTAGAGTTCAGGCCAGAACAGCTGGAAGGGGCAGCTTCCAAATCTTATACATTTGCCCTCTTGCTTTTTTCTCAATATCAGTTGAGGACAAAGTAAGGAGAAAGCTTTTCTTCTACAGTGTAATAAAGCTCCTATTCAGAGTGCCCACCATCCATACTCCGGAGGCTAATGACAGTCATTACCAAGTGACAGTCTTGTGGCATTTGGCATTTAGGGCTACTTAGTCTGGACTTAAGGGCGCCTACTCATTGGATTTAAGTTTACTGTTGTTATGGACACCCATGGAATGCTAGCTTGTCACATAAAACCTTAATATCAAACATCACTTGCCTTTTAGAATCATTCGCAAGAGTATGTGGCTTATGAATGAGTCATTTTGATATAAGATGGAAGCTTATATCAGTGATTCTGTCTAGAAGGAATTAAAAAGCAGATTTTCATCAGGAGCAAGCATGTTTGTAAGACAAATGTGCACAGAGGCTAACAGAATTTCAGGAGTTACTTTTGCCCTATGGCAAGATTGTTCTCCATACTTAATTATGTTACAGTATCATATCCTGAACCCTGTGTCCTGGTCTATTCGATGAGCTGTCTCTCTTATGAATTTTTAAATAACGAGGTCGTGGTTCACAAAGATGATCATAAATCCATTTAAGGCAAAGATGAACTCCAAAGAATATTAGACTTGTACAAACTTAGTACTTGACAGGGCTTTGGAAATTAAACTCTAGCTCCTTGTTGTACAGATAAAGAAACTGAAGCTTAAGTGATGTGCTCAGAATTACTTGGTTGGGGACAAATCCTGGGCTAGGACCCAAGGTTGCTAATTCATATAATTCTGGGAAGATGCTTCCTCTTCCTGCTGCCTTCTCCTCCTCACCCCAAAAGCAATGTATTTTTTAAATTAAGATTAATTTTAGGATTCACTTCCATTGAAGACCAGTCATGAGGACTTCAGTTCTGATACAGCAAGTGATATAGATACTATGAAAATAATTCAGTGTCATCAAACAGCTTTTGATGTAGTCTCACTTTTATCCAAACAAGAAATGAAAAGCAATAAATTATTATAGCTATGTTGTCTCTTTGTCTTCCTTTCTGTTACAGGTGTATATCAAAAAGTCAGTATTAACCCATGTGATACTTTGAGTTTTAGTTGAAAATTGTCTTCCTTGTGACCTGAATAAACCACTATTTTATTGATAGCATACATACCTGGTCAAAATAATTTCACAGTTATGTGCACAGAGCCTCTAGCCTTTTCCACGTATGGCTGAATTGGTCCACCGTGCATCAAAACATCATCCACGGACCTAGGCTATTCTCCCTTTTGCTAGCCTAGCAGAACCATTGGCTCCCTCCTTCCAGCAAACTCCAGAGTTAGCTAGTTCTATATGCCATGTACAGGAGTGTCTCCTTTTCTTCACAGTATCAGGACACACCATGAGTTGGTTATTTGCTGCCAGTGTTTAGTCTCCAACTGTACCCTACTTACTTCAGGGTCAGATTAAAATTTACCACTCGTAACCTAGTATAATAGACCTATGCGTGGCCCCCATCATTGACCTCCTAAGTACAAGACTCCCTTTTCTGAAACTAAAAACTGGAAATGCTGTTATGGGTCAGCCATCCAGACCTCTCAGAAGGGACCTTAAAGTCTGTCCCTTTCTTTCAGAAGTTAAAACTTAGAATCCTCATCTTCCTCACAGAGTAGGGTGAAGAATCATGGAGGCAGTTTTGGAATAGCTTTGCAATCTTTGAAGCACCTTGTGTCTGTCACTTTCCAGCACTGGGAACTCAGGGGCTTAATTGGACTTACAGTTCCATGTGGCTGGGGAAGCCTCACAATCATAGCTAACTCTAGAGTTTGCTGGAAGGAAGGAGCCAATGGTTTTGCTAGGCTAGCAAAATGCAGAATAGCCTAGGCAAATTGCTTGACCTCAGCCTCAGTGTCTTTATCTGTTAAACAGAGATAATACCCAAATCGCTAATGTGAAAATTAAGTGGGATAATGTGATGTGTGCCTGCCACATGGAAAGCATCTCATAAATGGTAGTTGTTATTCTTAACAATTATGGTAATGATAAATGTAAAGCATTTTACCTATTTACAAGTATTCTTATTCAAATTACTCAGTAAAGTCTTGGCATTGCGCTTGCCTCTTTTTCCTGCTCTCCACTCAAGTGGAGACCTGGACTCTTGCAGAGGGCATGAGACTGGGATTTCCCCAGCTATCTTGCAGCTACCCAGGGAGGTAATGGGCAGGAAGTGAATGCCAAAGAGGGTACAGACCCAGTGGCAGAGCCAGGAACCTCTGGTATTGGGAAGCCTGATCTATGTGAAATTCCCCTACAGTAAAACTAAACATTGACTAAGCACCTTGGCATAGGAAAAGAGCCAGGTTGATTTTTTTTCCCCACTACTTTCAGATCTGGGACAAGGATAGGGGAAAAAGGTAGAAACATGAGGAATCAAGAGAGGTGCTTTCCTCTTTTACAAATTCTCTACTCCACTAAGGAAAAACCCATGTTTCTTTAAATGCTTGTTGTTTATATGCTGGTAAACACAAACTCTGCCCTATGGAGTTTTTTTTAAAGCTTATATTTATTAATTATAAATTTATGTTTTAAAATGTTTATTGTATAAGGTTTAGAAAAGAAAAAACTTAAAATACCTATAATCCCACCCTCCAGAATTTATTTTTAACATTTTGTATATCCTATTTTTCCCATAAATCAATTACTTAAAAAAAAACCTGGACTCTTAGTATATATACTGTTTTGTGGCAATCTTTTCTACTTAATTTGTTATTAACATGTCCCAATGTCATTTAATATTTTTCTTCCGTATATAATCCCATTACGTGAATGTGCATCCAGGTGGTATGTACAAGAGTAGAGAACTGTCCAACCAATTCTCTACTCTTGGGCATTGAACTTGTTTCAGTTTCCTAAAAAGATTCATTGATTTAAATGGGCTGCTGCTTTCTCTAAATGACGGTGCTCCGGGAATGTCTACTGAACCAATGGCAATGCCTACTGGCTCCACCCTTTCTTCATGGAGACTGATAAAGTGGCCAGGAATTTTTTTCTCTATGTTCTGATATTACAGAGCTAAGAAAGGTGAAGATAGTAGCCTGATAGCTACTGAAGGATTTCTGCTTACCCTCTGTCTCCACAGAGTTTTCTATTCTTTAACCTGAAGAAAAGGTGTTTAGCTGAGGAGCCAGGGTGGGGAGGTGATATGGAGGGGATGGTGGATGGAAATCAGAGTTTGTATTAGTCCATTTTCACACTGCTGATAAAGACATACCCAAGACTGGGCAATTTACAAAAGAAAGAGGTTTAATTGAAGTTTCAGTTCCATGTGGCTGGGGAAGCCTCACAAACATGATGGAAGGCAAGGAGGAGCAAGTCATGTCTTACATGGATGGCGGCAGGCAAAGAGAGAATGAGAACCAAACGAAAGAGGTTTCTCCTTATAAAACCATTAGATCTCGTGAGACTTATTCACTATCATGAGAACAGTATGGGGAAAACCGCTGCCATAATTCAATTATCTCCCACCAGGTCCCTCCTACAACAGTGGGAATTATGGGGGATACAATTCAAGATGAGATTTGGGTGGGGACACAGCCAAACTATCAGGGCTCCATCAGTAAATCCTCACAAAACTCCTGGCATATGTGTCCCCATTTACAGATGAGGAAAGTAAAACTGGGAGAGATAATTTTTCTAAGACTGCACAGCTAGTTACAAAACCAGAGTCTGACTCTTAGCCTTTGTTCTAAGCTCTTCCCACCATGCACTGCTCCTAAAAACTTATTGATATAACTTCATTCTTCTTTTCTTTGGAAAATTTGTTGTCAGTCATCTAAGATGTATTTATCTGCTCCCTAAAAATAAAATTAAAAAACCCCTCCTGACCAGGATTTTCTTCTGCCTATGGGCTTCCCCAGTCAGCTAGCTCTTGGATAAAAGAACATATCCTCATTCTTTGATGAAGACTCAGATAACATAACTTTTCCCCTACATACATGCATATTTTCTTAAAGAAGTGACCTCACTCTACAAGTTGGAAGGTCAAACTCATAAAAGGAAGTCTTTATGAACCCTGCATCAACTTAAGAACATTACACACATATTTGTTTCCTTAGCTTTGGGGATTTATGAAATATTTTCTATATAGCAATAAGCCTATTTTTCTGCTATGGTTTATACACTGGTTCTGACGTAAGTTCTGAAAGAAGCTTCTCAGAATTGTTGACACCCATGAAGCATCTTTGAAATGGGTGTGTAACCTCATAATATAACACTTAGAAGGCAGTGACACTTACGTGGAAGTGTAATTTCTAGAATGTCTCATTAAAGCCTCTTTACACAATCTAATCCAAATCAGTATCAATCAAGGTTTATGTTTCAAATATTTTTTTCCATCCTCCTCATCCTATTCACAGACACACCACACCCCTAACACACTACCAACACCTTAGCCCAAGCTACCATCACCTCTTGCCGGCATTTTCTCAGTAGCCTCCTAACAAGTCTTTCTGAATCCACTTTTACTCTCTTCTAGGCAGCCAGGGGTGGGTGATATGGTAGAATACCTTAGTGATTGTGTCACAAGTCACCCCCTACCACTCCCCAGCTTAGAACAGTGGCTTCCCATTGCTCCTTATAGTGACCCTTCCTTCTCCCTATGATCATTTGGCCTTCACACATGTGTATTCCCTACCTAGAATGCTACATCCTTCCCCTCCTTCTCTTCTTCCTCCCTTCCCCACTCCCTGCCCCTTAGTCTAATGATTCCTATTCAACTTTGATATTTATTGAGTGGTCATCCTCCTGGAAAAACTTGATCCTACCTGGCTTATATCTCCTAGGCACCGTGCACTTCTTCTTTATAGAACTTTACACAAATCTACTTACACTGTATATGATCTGTTTCTCCATTGGTCTTCAAGCTCCCTAAACATATGGGCCCTGTTGCTTTGGTTTACCACTTGTCCACAATGTCTGGCATTAGGTGCTCAATTAATATATGTTAATAAATGAATGCATCAAAAAAGAAATAGATTAAATTTCCTGTCTTTTTTTTTTTTGCTAAATAGTACTTTTTGTGTATAGATTCACACAAATAAATAAGTACATGTCTTTTTAAAAACATTTATGCCTTTAGACCCTAGGAGTTTACAATAAAATGTGATATATATAAACTTATAAGAATAATGTTAAATTTTATGTGTGGACTGAAAATGTTAGCTCTGAAAGAAACAGAAATCATGTAGCTCAACTCCCTTATTTTATAGTTGAGAAAATAGAGGCTCAAAGTAGACGAAAGAATTGCTTAAATACAAAAGCAGTTAAAGCACAGAATGAGAATTGAAGTTTCTTATGTATAGGGTAAAATCAACCTTCTTAATTGTTTTCTCTTGTTTTCTTCCAGAGAAAAACAGATGTAACACGCAACTGGGAGGCCTTCCTAGGGCAGTGAAAGGCTGGTCCTAGCAGATAAGGTTCCAGGGGCTGCACTAGGTAGAGAAAGGCATATGATTACTTAGTCAAAACAAGTGCCAGGCCACAGATGCTAGTCAGCTGAGATGACATGAAGCCTAATGGGTCTGAAAAATAGAGAGGGGAAAACTTTTTAAGAAATCTAAAACAGTATAAAAATCACAACGGAGAGTAAAGGCTATCTATTTAAAGATGAAATCATCTTAAACCTCTAAACTAAGCCCGTCTATGTAAAATACTTTTTCTTTGGGTGTAAGCATTTTGGAGGCTACCTGAGATTCTAAGGGGCACCCTTTTTAAAAATGTTCTCTACTGGCTTTGAGAGCTGTTGTTTCTATAGCAACTTATAGTTGTTATTTTATGTCTAGAGAGATGCTACTTTTTTCCTAAAGAGCTATGATTCCAACATGAGTGAGACAAAGTTCTTTATGTTTCTCATTTAAGTACTCACAGAATCCTTATAAAATAAAATCCTTATAAAATAAATTTAATAAAATTTATTTTTATAATAAAATTTAAAAATATAAAATTAAAATAAAAATATAAAATTTAAAAATAATAAAATGTAAGAAATAGCTTGACTGGCTTCATTTATTAGTAACTTTTGAAATAAGGAATGAAGAGAGTAAATAATTAATTGTTTATATCATCAGTCAGTACCAACCACTAAATTCCAGTCTCTGCCAGGTGAGTGTCCTAACTAGTTTCTGATGTTGTCACTCTGTGAGGTATCAGATAAGAGGAATAGGTAAATTGCTGTTTGCAACCAGAAGATGTAAAAATCAGATAGGGAAGAAAAATCACTCTCATATGATGTTCTCTTTACTAAGTTACGACTTATAAAGTGAGTAATGGCAAAGGCTTCAAAGCTTGGTAATTCGAAGTAAGATGATGTTTAGATTGCTAGGATCCTGGATCACTATCACAGCCGAAACAAAGAAGGAACTGCAGTGCCAAATGACATACATGTCTTCACCATCAGAATACCAACAAGTGTATAAAGGCCTGGCATTGATATATTGCTAGAGTTTCCCTTCTGTAGATAATTGTTTTTATGCACAGCAGGAAAGGACCTGTGTTCTCAGCTCCAAACCCAGCTATATTCAGTAAAACAAGAATAGACCAACCTCTAACAAAATATTATGGAAAATGCTTTCATTTCTTTTCTTCTGAAAAAAGGTAACTATAGCATATTCTCTTCTCCTAAACTCATCTATTTCCTTATGCTTTGCTGCATCTCTGCCCTCTCTAAAAATGGGAGAAAAAGGAGAAAAAAAAAGGATAAAGAAGAAGAATAAGTAAAGTCTTCAGAAGTGTACAGGTTCTGGTCTCAACTAGCAAATCAATAAGTAACCAATTATTCATTGAATTCCTCCTAATGTTCAAGAACTTGTGTTAGGAATTTTGAAGGAAATGAATTAGTATTTTTCGTGCCTACTATAAACAAGTCACTGTGCCAAGTACAAGAGATATATAAATAAATTAAACATCCTCCTTGTCCTCAAGGTCCAGTAGGGGAAAGACTAACTCAAGTGTTTGTTACAGTCCAACAAATACAAGTGCAAGTAGAATGAGTAAGGGCTCACAGAGTATTTTGGGGTGGAAAGGGAGAGCGTAAGTGCAGGGTTGTAATAAGTTTAGATATTTGATGGAAGAGGTGAATTCTGAGCAATGTTTAAATATGCACAGAATTTCCAGTCAGAATTGCATAGTAGGTTTCCACTGTAAACATCCAGCAGTATTAAATAACATAAAAAGAAAATGCCCAAAATATATTCTAGGGTTCGAAAACAGTATAAACATTTCCGTGGACCAAAGACAGAATAGAAACACAGAGCCAAAGCCCTGATGTGCTCTGAGAGCAAAGGCCGCTGTAGAGGATGCTATTTCCACTCCTCCCAGGTAGCACGGTCTAGCATGTACTACACTAGAAGGTGGTTGCTTAAGGGGTGGGGCTTCCTGTTTTGAAAGAGGTTGGGAATCCTGAACTGCTGCCATTGCTGCCTGGGGCAACGGCATATCTCAACCAGCAACAGAAGAAGAACTCAAGGACATTAGATGCAGTCTTTCCACTGGAAACTGGCCTGGAAGAAACAGTGGAGAGACTGAAGATACTGGAGATGAAGTGCTGGAAACCTGGTGGGGTCAGAGGAGCAGGGAAAGCACAGTCTTTGAGCTCATTCTTCTAAAGTGGCCCTTTCTTGGATCACATTTTAAAAGAAATACATTGACATAGGTTTAAAGACTCTGATAATGGAAATTAGAGGGAGCGGTATGAAAGGAACTCTGTGACCATGGAGAATTAGTCAATGTGAAGATTCCTCCCAACTAGCAGTATAGACTTCCTTGCCTGGCCCCACCCCCAGACTAAATCCTTGTGTTATACCCTCCATGTGTCATTTACAGAAAGAGGTGGGATTGGAGCACAGTAACTACTCTGCTGATTTCCCAATACTGGCTAATTTTTGAAATTGTCTATCCATTCTTTCTTGGAAGAGAGGCACGTTTTTTTCGGCTCAAATACCCTCATTTGTTGCTTAGAAAATACCATCTATCAGCTGGGTGTGGTGGCTCATTCCTGTAATCCCAGCACTTTGGGAGGCTGAGGTGGATTGATCGCAAGGTCAGGAGTTTAAGACCAGCCTGGCCAACATGGTGAAACCCTGCCTCTATCAAAAATACAAAAAAAAAAAAAAAAAAAAAAAAAGAAAAGAAAAAAAAATTAGCCGGGCATGGTGGCATTCACCTATAATCCGAATTATTCAGGAGGCTGAGGCAGGAGAATAGCTTGAACCTGGGAGGTGGAGGTTGCAGTGAGCTGAGATCATGCCACTGCACTTCTGCCTGGGCCACAGAGCGAGACTCCATCTAAAAAAAAAAAAGAAAAGAAAATACCATCTATCGCTACAGACACAGGTAAGAGAAATGAATGTAGCCTTGAAAAGGAAGTGAAAGAAGGCCTGAATGATAGAAATGTGGTCTGGGCTTTTCTTAATTGTTGTCCAAGGGGGCACCTTCCTAGGACCCAAAGAAGTTTAAAACAAAATGTGGGCAATGAGGCCTGGAAAACCATTGAGGTGACACTAGCTTTGGTAAACTCACTATGTGTAAGGTTTCCCACTCAATTTTGTAGACTCAGAAGCTCAGCCCACCATTTTATAAGCTATAAAAGATAATGATTCTATTGTTTCCAAGGTTTTTATGATGTATCTCCTTGTTTTTTCATGCACCACCAAATATAAACTCACTATTCCAATCACTGTAAATTTTGAAACTATTACTAAAAAGTGGCTTGGTGCCCAGCAATTATCTCCCAGCAATCTCTAATCAACCATTCTTATAAGTTACTGTCATTGAACCAAATGGAAATATTTAATTCAGTTTAATATCTGTACAGATACCCCATTTTATTGCTCTTCACTTTACTTCATGCTGCAGATACTGCATTTTTCACAAATTGAAGGTTTGTAGCAGCCCTTTGTCAAGCAAGTCCATTGGCGCCATTTTTTTCCAACAGCATCTGCTCACTTTGTATCTCTTCCACATTTTGATAATTCTCAGGACATTTCAAACTTTTTCATTATTATATATGTTATGGCGATCTGTGATGAGTTGTCTTTAATGTTACTATTGTATTGCTTTGGTGTGCAATGAACTACACCCATATACTACATCAAAGTTAATTGATAAATGTGTGTGTTCTGACTGCTTGACTGACCAGCCATTCCCCCATCTCTCCCCATTTCCTCGGGCCTACTTATTCTCTGAGACACAACAACATTGGAATTAGGCCAATTAATAGTCCTACAGTGACCTGTAAGTGTTCCAGTTAAGGGAAATCACATGTCTCTCACTTGAAATCGAAAGCTAGAAATGATTAAGCTTAGTGAGGAAGGCATGTTGAAAGTCAGAGAGGCTGAAAGCTAAGGCTCTTGCACCAAACAGCCAAGCTGTGAATGCAAAGCAAAAGTTCTTGAAGGAAATTAAACTCTAGGGAACACACAAATGATAAGAAAGTGAAACAGTGTTATTGCTGATATGGAGGTTTTAGTGGTCTAGATAGGAGATCAAGCTAGCCACAACATTCCCTTAAGTCCAAGCCTAATCCAGAGCAAGGCTGTAACTCTCTCCAATTTTATAAAGGCTGAGAAAGGTGAGGAAGCTGCAGAAAAAAAGCTTCAAACTAAAGAGAAAAAAGTTGGAAGCTAACAGAGGTTGATTCATGAGGTTTAAGGAAGGAACGTGTCTTTATAGCATTAAAATGCAAAGTGAAGCAGCAAGTGCTCATGTAGAAGCTGCAGCAACTTAGCCAGGAGATCTAGCTAAGATCATTGATGAAGGTGGCTACACTAAACAGATTTTTAATGTAAATGAAACAGCCTTCTATTGGAAGAAGTTGCCAACTCGGACTTTCATAGCTAGAGAGAAGTCAATGCCTGGCCTTTTCTTATCTTTCATGGCCTTGATATTTTTGAAGAATAGACATTATTTTGTCAAATGTCCCTCAATTTTGAGTTCGTCTAATGTGTTCTTGTGATTGAACTCTAGTTATGCATGTTGTGTGAGACTACCATGAAATGATGCTATGTCCTCACTGCATCAAATTGCAGGGCTCATGATGTTGATATCTTATTACTGGTAGTGGTAACCTCGATCACTTGATTAAGTTGCTTTCTGCCAAGTTTCTCCCTGGTAAAATTACTGTCTTTCTCTTTGTCGTCAATATTTTAGGGAAGGTATTTTGAAATGATTCAAACTTTATTTCGACTCAAACTTTCACCCACTAATTTTAGCATCTCTTGATGGAGGATGTCTGCAAGAGTTATTATGGTGGTATTTAGTGAAGACTTTTTGTGTTTTTCTTTCATTTTACATTTATTAATTCAAATTCTATCACAAGGAAGAGCTGTCCCATCTCCCCTATTTATTTATTTATATCAGTATGAATTCATGGAAGCTTATTATATTTTATGGTTTATAATCCAATACTATACTGTTGACTCTTGAATACCATGGGAATTAGGGCCACTGACCCCCATGCAGTAAAAAAATCCACTTATAACTTTTGGCTCCCAAAAAATTTAACTACTTCCAGCATACTGTTGGCCAGAAGCCTTCCAGAAAACGTTATCAATTAATACATATTTTGTATATGTATGATATACTGTATTCTTAAAATAGACAAAATAAAATGTTATTAAGAAAATTATAAGGAAGAGAAAATATGTTTACTATTGATTAAGTGGAAATGGATCATCATAAAGGTCTTCATCATCGTCGACTTCACACTGAGTAGGCTGAGGAGGACGAGGAAGAGGAGGTGTTAGTCTTGCTGTCTCAGGGTGGCAGAGGTGGAAGGAAATCCATGTGTATGTGGACCCTCACAGCTCAAACCCATGTTGTTCTAGGGTACACTGTATTTATTTTGCTGCTCTGATTGTTCCAGGTTTGGCAATTAGGAGCTCCTTAGTGATTGGCTGCTGTGTTTTTGTTTGTTTTTGTTTCGTGGAGCATTTTCTTACTCTCTGGCACTACAAGATATTCCAAGATCATCTTGTTTATTACTTGCCCTAGCCCTGGAATCAGCTATTTCTCCAAGGAAGCTGGTTCCTTTTATTGCAGAATGGTGTTTGAAAACCAAAATCTGAGCATTAGGTGTGAAATTGGCTAAAATTTCTGACAATTTCATGTTGGTGAGAATGCAAAGTAATAAGCTCATAGGAATTGGTAAAACTAATTTGGAAAACAATTCGGCATTAGCTGTAAAGTTGTAGGTAAGTACACTTCATGAACCAGTAATTTCATTCCTAGGTGAATACCTTGGAGAAAGTTTGGCATATGTACAGCAAGAGTCATATACAGCTTTGTTTATGATAGCACAAAACTGAAAATCACCCAAAAGCCCAGTAGTAAGAGAACAGATGAATAAAATGGAGTACTGTAAGCTGTGAAAATGAATGAACCACAGCTATACACATCAACACGGATAAATCTCAGATACATAATTTTGAGCAAAAAAAAAAAAAGAGAGAGAATGATTTCATTTACATAAAGTCCAACAATATGCAAATAAATAATGTATATATTTGTAGGGATGCATAAGTGATAAGATGATACAACTAGAACGAAAAGGAAAATTATTACAAAATCCAGGTTACAGGTTGGGTATGGTGTGCAGTTGGGCTTCAGAGATACTGGTAATATTTCTTAGCTGAATGGTGGGTTAATCACATTCATTTTATTTAGATCATATATATGTGTGGAATATTGCATAATGAAGAAGGAAGTGAAGAAAAAGTAGGGGGGAGCTAGGGGAAAGGAAAGAAAATATAAAGAGGGAAGCAAGAAAAGAAGGGCAGGAAGGACACAGGAAGGGAGAGAAGGAGGGAAAGAGAACCAAAAGAGCACTCCTGTATGTGCTGTGGTCTTCGGATCCGGTGAAGTTCAGATTGTGACACCAAATATATGTGTGTCTTTAGATGAGCCACTAAACTCTAATAAGCCTCAGTTTTCACACCAGTTAAATTGGAACAACGTGCTCTGGCCTGTGTAGTTCACACTGTTATTGTGAAGATAAAATGGAATATTTACATCTATTATATTTATACCTATTATATCTATATAATAGCACTTCAAAAAGTGTCCTACAATGTAAAGCAAAAAGAAAAGTAATACATCAAGTTATCATCTTGATTCCTAATGCCAGATATGGTGTATCTCGATATTTACATGTAATTTCATATTCAGTGACTATTTAACTTACATCCCAGTCCTTTCTCAACTAAAATATAAAGAAGAAAGCAGACATTTTGCTATGCCTTTCACAAAGGTTAGTTTGCTCTTCTGACAAAATTTATAGAAGAGCAGCTTACCGAAAACATTCTGAACTCTCAGGCTGTGGAACCTGAGGTATTTGCTCGTTCTGGAAGGGTAATGTTGGTCTGCTCTCTGGTGGTCAGAGAAGAAAGCACATATGAAGGGGTTGTCAATCCGGTCTCAGTTTAAAAAAATACATTAATAATCAAGATAGCAGCTACCATAATTTATTATGTGCCAGGTTCTGTGCTAACTACTTAGTTCTCATTATCTCGTTTAGTCCTCACAACAACCCTGAAAGATATACTACATCACATTAGCCTCATATTTTTAGGTGAGAATTTAGGGTCACAGAGATTTGAATTAAATGGCCCATGGTCACCAAGTGAGTGATGGACAGATTGCCTCCTCAGAGGTGTCTGTGGCCAAAAGCCCACACTCAGCATCCACCTCAAATGTCTATTGGACAACTGAGATCTCCTTAGAGATCTTAACATCTTGTGGTACTTTAATTGTCTCATTGTCCCTCTTCTTTACTTGGAATAATCATCTTCCCTGTATTTTGACCAGACCCCAAACTGGCTACTTCTAGCCTCCAACTTCTCTAATTACTGACTCTTTATCTTTTGCTTGCTTTATCTTCTATTCTATTAATTAAATTAATTAATTGATTCTTTTATATTATGTAAATAAATAGTATTTACACCATATAGTATTTACACAATAGAATATTTAATATTTAGCTATTCTTTAATTTCTGAAATAAAAACCTACTTGGGCACAGTATATTTTCTAAATATACTGTTAGATTCAATTGTTACATGTTTTATTCAGGATTTCTTATCTATTTTTATTTGAGAGCCTGGTCTGTAATTTTCAATGACTGTTAGATTGTAATTCTAGGTTATTCTAACCTTGTGAGATGAATTGCAAAAGTTCCTGGTTTTGATGCTTTGACATAATTTGGATATCATGGAAATGATCTACACTCTGAATGTCTGATAGGGTTTTTTTTGCATAGTCATTCAAGCTTAGAGATGTTTTATAGGGTAGATCTTTTCATATGCTGTTCACCACCTCACCTTTTCCCTGACCTCTGCTGCTAGCTGGTCTATTCCTGTTTCTTATCTCTTCTTGAATCAATTTTGTTAATTTGTGTTTTCTGTATAATCAGCCATTTCATCTAGATTTTCAAGTTTATGGCACCAAAATTTTATGTTGTATTTTCTTATAATTTTAAAATATCTGTTTTCATTGTACTTATAACCCTTTTGCTATTCAGGTTGCCATCCTTTCTTATTGACTGCAGTAACCTCCTGACTGGTCTCCCCACATCCACTACTTTTCTCTGTGTATCTACCTCATCTTTTATCATTCCTTGCTGAATCCATCTATAGTCAAATAGAGCTATAAGATCTTAACTGCAAACCCACACATCAGAGAAAGCTATTGAAGTAGCAAGGTGGTTGTAGTCTCTTGCTAGCAGATCTGTACTACAAATCACAGCTGGGAGCTGTGGGACAGAGTCCTGTGCCCATTCTTGGGTATCCAGAGTTGTCATTATGTCACTTTCATCTCTAGCTTTTCACACACACACACACCCACACAGACACATATGTACACTTGCCCTTCACTGCTCCCTGCTGTACCCAGCCTAGCTGCATCTATCCAATATACCCTGCCTCCATAGCTCACCTCTGTTACTGGAGGAAGTGAGGAGGTGCTGTATAGGTTATCTTGGAAAAAACAAGTACAACACCTGATGACCAAATGGGAGTCCACAGTGCTACAAGCAAACCTTCAACCATGTGACAACCTTCACTAAACAAACCACTAAAGAAACTCCAATCCAGTTCTACTCAGGCCCACTCTGAAGGGAGGTGGATAAATCCAGAGATAGCAGTCAAATCTTGACTGCTTTAAAACTACCCCCAAATCAGCAAAACATATCCACCTTTTAGAATTTCAGACCCCAGCCTGACTCACCTCATGCATGTACACCTCTCTTTTTTCTCTTAACCTCTTTCATCACATATTTACCATTTATAGCTCTTAGACACCATGACTTTGATGTACAAATCAGCTCTTTCTTGGCCTCTAGCTAGAGCTGCTTTTCATGTTTAATCCTGAGCAGTATTCATCCTTAGCAACTGAGGAAGTTGAGCTGTATACATACACAATGACTGTGTCCTTACAGTATGAATTATTTTTTTAAACATACAATTGAGGATGTATAGTCATAGAGAATGTGCTTCTTTCAACAAACAGGTTATGTATGAAGTAATCAGTAAAGAAGAAAACAATTGAATCCAAATAGAGTATTTTTTCTCCTTCTTTGTGGTATGCAATGCCATATACTTGAATAATTGATATTGACTCAGTTCAGTGGTGTAGTGTGATATAATACGCAAGCATGGCCTGGAGTCAGGAGACTTTAGTCTACTCCTATGATCTGTTACAGTGGCTGTGTGACCTCAGGATAAGTCTACACGACCTTGACAATCATTTTAGCATAGTAGTTTTGGATCCCCAAAAGTGCATAGGTGCTTATTCTTTGATGAATAAGCAATATGAAAGAGATACTGTCCTTGTTCTCAAGAACCTTATTATTTTATGAAAATACTACTTATTTTAAGTAATTAACTATAAGGAAACATTTTCTCTCTTTTACCTTTAGGTGTCAAGCTCTTCTAGCCCCTTTTACAGTTAACTTTTCTCCATGTATTTTGCTATCTTTCTAGCCCTCAGAAAAATAAACATGGTATAATCATGGTTTAAGAAACTAAACCAAACCAAACCCTGTTACCCATGGTTTATTATTCACATCTCACTTCCTTTTTTTTCTTCCAAAGTCAAAACCTTCAGCGGATATAGAGAAAAACATTCTATTCCATTTACTGCTAGGATTATGATGGACTAGATAGAATGACTCTCCCACTACAATATGACTGAAGCCTGGATGAATTTCAAATATAATTTTTAAAACACTGCTACTGAGACATTTATTCCTCCTGATGCCAAATACATGGTGTCTTTTCCAGTATCACTTCTCCAGCTCTCTGGACACCAGCTGAGTGTCCACTCATTCAGTTCAGTTCTAACACTAACAACCCAGAGTTAGTGCAGACGCCACAGGTTTCGAACTCAGTACTACAGGACTACCCCTCAACACAGTCTTCGGATGCCAGCCGTAAGTCCCGGGCCTCCCATCCTTCTGAGTGACCAGCTATAAATCAGAGGTTCTCATGACCCCCTCCTCAGGTTTGATGATTTGTGAGAACAGCTCACCAAATTCACTGGTTTATTATCAATGCTACCACTCTGGAATGGTAAAGTGAAGGAGATTCGTAGGGCAAGGTTTGGGATCAGGGGTATGGGGCTCCCATGCCTTCTCTGGTCATGTCACTCCCCCAGCATCTTGATGTGTTCACCAACCTGGAAGCTCTCCAAATGTCATCATTTAGGGTTTCTTATGGAAGTTTTATCTGTGGGCAATGATTAAATCATTGGCCACCAGCAATCAATTCATTCTCCAGCTCCTTTCCCTGTGCTAGAGATTAGAGGGAGGTGGGTGGAATGTTCCAAGCTTCTAATCAAGGCTGGTTTTTCTGGAACAGCCACCCTCCTGAAGCTACCTAGAAGCCCACAAAAAGTCATGTCACTAGAACAAAAAATACTCCTATCACCCTTTATCACTCAGGAAATTCTAAGAGTTTTGGGAACTGTGTGCCAGAAATCAGGAACAAAGGCCAAGTATCTTTCTATGATATCACACTGACTGACAAGAAATAAGGAATATCCCCATTTGCCAAAAATAGAAAATGAAAAACAACTAAAACTGGAATGATGAACAGTTTAAACAAACGAAAAGGCTAGGATTACCTTGGGGAAAATGTCAGTGCCAGCACTGGAATTCGAAGATTAAGCTCTGGGCTTTCTGCAAAGAAAACGAGACTCTCTCATTAAGCCAATATATTTGAAGAGCTCTAGAGTAGTCCCAGATGAGTACTTCCTCCTGGATCCATAAAGCAAATGCAAATTCCGAATTTAAGGCCTTCTGATTTGGAAATATTAAATTCAATAAAATATAATGTATAATAAGATATTAACAAATATATCATGAACAAAATTAGGAAAAAACAAAAACACACAAGTTCTTGAGAATTTAAGATAATGAAATTATTATAGTAAAAAGCAATTATCAGCAAATGTTTTAAGATATTAAAGATGGAATAAAAACTGAAAAATGATCAAAATATAACTCTAATTTAAAATACCAGGCACATTTGAAAAAAAGAATGAATTAAGATATTTAGAAATAAAAATATCATTATTGAAATCAATAACCCAATAAATTAGCCAGCAGAATATACACAGGAAGAGAGAATTAAATCTAAAGGAAATACTCATAATACAGAGAGATAGGAGATAAATATTAAAGAAGCTAAATGTTATCCTCATTGGAGGATAGAATGAGTAAATATAACATATGTAAGTGCAGTTCCAGAAAGAGAGAATAGAGAAAATAGAGGAAAGACAATATTTGAAGATACAAAGCCTGAGAATTTTCCAGAACTGAAGAAAGGTCATGAATCCACAGATAGAAGAAACAAGAGTCCAAGGTAGACTAGATAAAAAGAAAGCCACTCTCAGATATATTTTAGTAAAACCAAAGACTATTTAAAAGCAGGCAGAAAAAAGAGGTAGAAAATTTACAAAGGTGGAAAAATGATGTCAAGTTTCTCAGTAACAGCAATGGAAGCCAGAATACAGTGGTAATAAAGACATTACCAAAAAAACACGTAGAAATTATTACCAAGAAATCATTTCTGAACAAACTTTTAAGAAATGTATTTCAGAAAGAGGAAATAGGATTCTAAAAAGTTCAGAGTATTCACATGCAGAAGAATACAGTTGGACTCTAACCTCACACCATATACAAAAATTAACTCAAAATGGATCAAAGACCTAAATTTAAGAGCTAAAATTGTAATATCCTTAGGAAAAAAACATAAGGGTAGACTTCACAATCTTGAATTTGGCAATGATTTCTTAAATATGACACCAAATGCACAAGCAACAAAAGAAGAAGTAAATTGGATTCAAAAGCTTTTATTCATCAAAAGACATTACCAAGGAAGTAAAAAGACAACATAGAATTATTTGCAAATCATATAAATGATAAAGATCTAGTATCCAGAATATATAAAGAACTTTTACAGCTCAACAACAAAAGACAAACATCTCATTTAAAAATGGGCAAAGGACTTGTATGGACATTTATCCAAAGAAGATGTACAAATGGCCAACAGGCACATGAAAAAATGTTTAGCATTGTTAGTGACTAGGGAAATGCAAATTGAAACCATAATGAGATACCACCTCATACCCACTAGAATGGCTATCATCTTTCTAAAATGAAAAATAATGTGTTGGAAAGGACGTGGAGAAATTGGAGTCTTTGTACACTACTGGTGGGCATTTAAAATGGTACAGCCACTGTGGGAAAGAGTTTGATTTCATAACCTACTAATAGATTGTAACAGTTTGGTGATTCTTCAAAAAATTAAACATAGTATTGCCTTATGAACCAGTAATCCTGCTCCTAGGTATATACCCCTAAAGAACTGAAAGCAGATATTCAAATAAGTATTTGTACACAAATGTTCATAACAGCACTGCTCACTGTAGCCAAAAGGTGGAAGCAGCCTAAATGTCTATCAATGGATAGATGGTATATTCATACAATGTATATTCATACAATGAAATATTCAGCCACAAAAAGGAATGAATAACTGATACATGCTACAACTTGAATGAATCTCAAAAACATGCTAATTTAAAGAAGCCAGACACAAAATGCCGCATATTGTATGATTTCATTTATGTGGAATATCCAGAATCCATAGAGATAGATAGCAGGTTACTGATTTCCAGATGCTGTAGGGGAGGGAGGAATGGAAAGTGATTGCTTAGTGAATAGGGAGTTTCCTTTGTGGCTGATAAAAATGTTCTAGAAATAGATAGCGATGATGGTTGCACATCACTGTACTGAATGCCACTGAGTTGGGGTTAAATGATTAAATGGTGAATGTTGTGTTTTATGAAAGTTACCACATTAAAAAATTTCACAGATGCAAAGAAATTAGCAAACATGTAGGTAAATACAGACATTGTACATTGTATATTATGAGAATAAATGATTATAATAACATCTCATTTGTGTCGACTTAAAAATAAGAATAAAATCGTGCACACCATGAACACACAAGTTGAGGAAGGGGTAATCAGAGTTAAAGCATGTCCAAGTCCCTCTGAGGACCTACAAAAGCCATCTGCTCTCAAGTACTCTTGACTGATCCACAGTAAAAAAATGTTTTACATTTCCACACAGTGTACACACATATATTTATGACTGAAACAGGAATTTCATGAAATAACTTGCCCTAACCTTATGAGTGTTGTCCACTGATATTTTCTAATCTAATAAATTTAATTTCAAAAATGCTGATTGTGGCCATTAAGTTGATTGTATAACTCATAAGTGGATTGTAACCCATAGCTTGAAACACAGTGGTATAAAGAGCATGTGGTGGCACCCAAGTAAAGAGCTAGGCAAGAAGAGAAAATAGAGGAAAGGGTTTTGGTAGTTCAATATCCTCTCTAATGCTCTATAAGCAAGCATAGACAAATGGTAAATTGGCTGTTTTCCACAACCTTTTGAAGATATCTGTCTGCTTCAGTATTATAATCTCCATGGGGCAGAAGAATATTTCCACTAGTGCACTAGAAGCCTTTTAAACAATTCTGTATTTGAATAGTGTTCTGTGAATTGCCAAGACAAACTTTTCTTGAGTTATTCAATATGGATGCAGCTCATGGAAAGCATTTTAGATTCATACACATTGTAAACAGTCTACTTCAATTTGAAGAAATCAGATCTGATCTGTGGTCTTACACCTTTTTACCTTGGACAAGTCACTTCGTTTCTCTTGGTTTTAGTTCCCTCATTTGTAAAATTAAAGGGAACTTTTAAGTTCTCTTCCTAAAATAGAAATCTGTAATTCACTCTAAGTCTACACAGAGCCCCAACTTCACACACATACACATACACAAACAAGAATGCACTGCATTCAGGTGAAGAAAACTTAATGTAGATTTATTATTGAAATACCCACAGCTTTGCAATAATCTGTATTAAAATAAGAAGTGATGAATCAGATGATTTATTGAGCATATTTCCCACATATTTTCAGATACATAATTTTTTTATTTATAAGACATTTATTGTTTTTTAATTAGTTGCTGACTGGGTGTGGTTTAGTTTACTTATTGCAATGTCAGGAGCGTTACCAAGTTATGGAAGGGGATTATACTGGTCTGAGCCTGTACCATTAAACATGTCCATATCCCATGGTAGCTACATGGCTCATATTTAAATTCTTTTTCCAATTGTTGCCAAGTACTTCAAGTAATAATATTTGGTAAGTTATGTTTACACTTGAGATACAAACATCTGTTTTTTCCACCACAATTATTCGTTTGTGTTAGCTAGTCATTGTAACCATCCTTGCTGTAGAATCAGATGTGACTAAGAGATTCGGTGTTTTCAGTTCACCACTGTCTGGGAAGATTCCTATGAAATGAAAGAGTGGAAAACACACTCTCTGCTCCAGCCATACTGAACTATTTCCAGTTCCCTGAAAGCCTTTTGATCATTTTTCCTTATTGTCTTTTTTAAAACTTTTTTTTGTGGAAAATTTCAAGCATACATAAACAGAAGAATATAAAGGACATCACTCATCACTCAACTTGTAGTATCAATGTTCTGCCTCGCTTCTTTTATCTAAACCTCCACTCCAAACTCCTCCATCTGATTGTTATTGTTTTTACAGTTTTTAAGGTAAAATATACATACATTGAGATGCACAAGTATTAATTGAACAATTTGAGCTGTGTGTCTATACCCTCACCATATTTCCATCTCGTAAGAAAAAAAGTCCTCCCTTGGGAGCAATGCCCCAAACCCTCAAAGGCACTACTGAATTTTTTCACCTTAGATTAGCTTTACCTGTTCTAGAACTTCATATAAGTGGAAACATACAATATATACTCTGTTGTATGCAGCTTCTTTCCTCAGCATTATGTTTTATTCATGTTATTGGATGTATCAGTACAGTAATTCATTCTTTTTAATGCTAAGTGCTAATATACTACAACTTGTTTACCCATCCTGTTGTTGATGGACATTTGGGTCGTTTTCAATTTTTGACTACAGTGAATAGAGCTGCTATGAACATTCTTCTACAAGTCTTTTTGTGAACATGTATTTTCACTTACCTTGGATACTTACCTACAACTGCAATTGCTGAATCAGAAGATGTGTTTAACTTTATAAGAAACTGCCAAACTTTTTGTCAAAGTGGTTATATCATTTTATACTTCCATCAGCAATATATGTGAGTTTTAATTGTTCTGCATCCTTACCAATACTTGATACTGTCAGTCTTAGATTTTAGCTATTCTAGTGGGCATGAAGTAGAATAACATTGGGGAAATCACCACTTCAGACTCAATTTTTCCATCTACACAATGGTGCAGTAAGACTTAGAAGTCAAAGGAAATAAGTATTTGAAAGGGCTTTGTAAAGTGTAAAGCGTTGATCAATACAAAATATTCATCTTGACAGAAGCCAAGATACATGATGCTGAACATACCACGCAGTCCTCTGGGTATAAATATAGGTTGAAAAAGATTAGACTGGGAAATAAAATGTTTGTTACTTTGTAACCATTTCCTTTTTGTTATATTATTTTCTTCCTGGAAAATTATATATAGGAAGACAAATTCAGGTAGTTAATTAACTGGAACCCCCAATCATTCATTCTAATCACCGATAGGCATCCAATAAATGTTTAGTTAAGCAATGAAGTATTTAGTTACACATTTCTCATAAGTACATGAATGTTGCTTATATTGCCCTTTTAAAGAACTTATTATTTCTTTAAGGAGATATAATCAACACATCTTCAGACATAATCTGCCTTTGGTCTGTTTCTGTTCAAGCAATGCTGCAGAGGCTTTTAGCTAGCCTGCTACTTCCAATAGCTGTGATCTTTCTTGAATTTTCATAATTTAGCTAAATATTTACATATATTGACTATCAACAAAAACATAGCAACCACATAAATATATTTTATTTGAAGCAAAATATTGTACTTGTAGATTTTTTTTCTTTTTGTAATTGGTATTCAATGATGCCTTTTTGTCCTCACTTATCAAAAGGAATCCTTCTTTTAGTGAAGTTAATACATAAGGAAATCAGCTTGAAAACTTCATGAGAACCAGTTTTCTAGAATCAACATCAACCATTATCTCTTTGTAGCCCCCTGGAACCTTCGAATGGAGAGGGGAGGATTCTCTTCCTTCACCCTCCCCCATTTCCCATTTGGGCAATACAAATAGCCCAAGTCTTAGTTATTCATTGAGTTTGATGTTAAGAGGTACAAAAAGCTTATAAGGCTCGCATTCAAGGGGAAACTGGGCCAACTATAAAATCTAAAGAGAAAGTACGATGTGAAAATTGTATCTGAAGGATAAAAAAGTGTGTCTCACATATATTTGAATCAGATGAATAGTCAGCTACTTTGTTTCTCTAAGAAAATTAGTATAATATTGTTTTCTAGCATAGTAGGATACTTCTGTGTATAATAAAAGACATCCTCAGTGTATTGGTGTTTTGGTTTTACTCACTCACCTTTGCCCATTTTGGACAACAGAAATGGAAAGCAAGAGTAATTTTGCTGGAGAAAGAGAGATGGCTGATGCTGGTATGTGGATATGCATGTATGGACATGTAGACCAAGGAGTCTCCTGTGTTCCCCGCCCTCCACACTCTCCTTCAAACACATTAACACGACAATGAAAGTATTCTGGCAAGTTTGGGTTTGTGGATGTGTCATGGGTTGATAAATTTGGTAAGTAGTTTCATATAATATTTTCATAGGTGAAGAATCAGAAGATTATCAAAAAATTGAAATAGTGTCAGAGTTCTATAGCTCAGGAATCTCCTGGCATCCATATACCTTTTACTTCGCTATCCATTTAAATATTTCTTCTAAAATCCCAATGTCAAACCCAGAGATTAAGACCAGAAGCTTGATCTGATAGCCCTCCTCAAAATACTTATCTTCCAGGTACTTTAAGGTTAATTTCACTGATGCCGTCTAGTGCTACAGTTTTGTCTCATGATACTTTTAGAGAAGTGCTTGAGGTTGATATATGCAATGCAAAGACATCTACTGGCCCAGTCACAGGTCATCTAATTTTCCATCTTTTTGCTACTCAATTCAAAATTGAAGACTTTGTAAACTCTCTGTAACCAATTTCCTTGTAAACGCAACTCATTTCTTGCCCTCCCTTTCCCCATGCCTTCTTTCCTGAGAAAACTGGGGCAAGTATTCATAAACATCTGTTGTGGTTGTTCTTTGATTCGTTGCAGATTTATTCTGTGTTCTGTTATGTTCTTTGTCCTGGGAACCTGACCTCTAGGTACTGTGTTACCGAGGTTCCCTTGCCCTCTGGTCAGTGGGAGGAGAAGATGTTGGAATATTTATTTTCAATATATCTCTCCTCACCATTTATTCCCACTCACCATCTGCTTCACCGTGGTTCTATCAATGGCCTCATCACTCAAACTATAGCTACCGTTGGGCAGCCCATCTTGACTCTAACTCTTAGCCAGTCTCCAAAAATTGCGTTTTCTCCCCCTACTGTTCAGGCCTGGGGATCATCAGAACTCCCTGCTATTCCTAGTGTCTGGGCACCTCAACATCCCTTGCTAGTTCCTCTAACCCGAACCACACCTCTAAATATTTCCTTTATGAAAAAGCCTCTACACAACAAAGCTGAGTGTGCTGTCTCTCTTGCTGAGAGGCTGATAGAGCCTCCTGTCTTCAAGTTCTTCACAGTTCATGAGACAGTGTCAGACTTAGGGATCATAGACTCCCCTAAGCCTGAAATTTAAAAAGTACCTGAGCACACAGACTCACATTTCCCTCTGTGCACTCACAGTACTTAGAGGGAAGCATGATGTCAGGAATAAAAACAAACTGAACTAATTAAATAGGAACATTTTTCTGAAACACCCTATGCCGTTTGAGTTAGAAGCCCATAGGAAAATATTATATTTGCATTTTTTCGGTCAAGAATGATATTTTCTGGGGACAGAAACAGAACTTGGGAAGATAATGACCGTTTGTGGAGCTATTGGGATGTGTATCAGCTATTGCCACAAAAATTCTGTGTCACAAACCACCCCAAAACTCGGTATCTTAAAATAGCAATCATTTAATCTCACAGAGCTGCAGGTCAGCTGGGTGGCTCTGCTTCATCTTCTTCATGTGCCTTGGACCAGTGACTAGTCAAGACACACTCTTCTCGTTGCAATGACTAGTCAAGACACACTCTTCTCGTTGCAATGATAGGGGTGCAAGAGGCCAGGCCCAACCACTCAAGCACATTTCAACCCCCTATTTCTGTCACATCTGCCAAGGCAAGCCATGCAGCCAAACCCAAAGTCAAGGATTTGGGGAAGGATATTTCCCTTGTGGAGGTAAAAGGGGGAAGGAGTGAATATTTTTGAAAGTACTCTACCACAGTGGGCCAGCTACAGAAAAGTCATTCTAGAGTGGGCTACAGTTTGTTCAATTAAAGGCAGGAGAATTTTTGTTTCAGAGTTTTTCTTCTCATTCTTCGTAAGTGAACAAGAGTGACTTTACAGTGTACACTACTCAGGTGATGGGTGTACAAAAATCTCAGAAATCATCACTAAATAACTTATCCATGTAATCAAATACCACCTGTTTTCCAAAAACCTGTTGAAATAAAAAATAAATAAATAAAATCAAGCTAAATATCTTGGCATCCAGAAACTTTTTTAAAATGTAGAGATAGTATTGCCCTAGAAATAGAGGCATTTTGGGGTTTTAGATACCAATCAAATGTTATTATGAAGATTTCATTATCTGTTCATGGTTAAACTGGTATTGCCAGACTTTGAGACCCTAATCAAGCTTTGTCTATTTTTATTTTCCTGCAAGGTTCAGATCCCAAAAGAATTACTCTCATTCTGAATCCTGTCTGAGACTCAGTACACACCAATGAGTATGCCTGTTGGTAATTCTACAATCTGGATATCCAAAAAAGTGGCCAAATGGTCCAAAACTAATACTCCCTTATCTGTACAGGAGCTCCCTAATTAGTAACTAATTTGTGCTTTAACTAAGGTTTATTTGAGCCCCTCAATTTGGAAGGGGTTAAAGTTGAAGATTCCAACAGATTTCACCAAGCTTAGTATCCACCAATTCTTTCCTATCTTAAGAAGGGGAGGAAAATATTTTCCTTATATAGGATTGAAGAGGAACAAAAAGCCCTTAGTTATATTGATCATCGGGAGGAAGGGGAAAAAAACTATTTTAAATGGTTTGAAACAAAGGAACAGCAAAGAAAATAGGGAGCAGAACAACAGGAAATGTCCATTATGCTGCTAGCACAGTGTGTGAACCAAAGAGTGTCCATTAATGATGATTGACATCAATAGAAACATTAGCTTGCACCTCCAGTTCTTGAGGGACAGTACAGAAATCCAGAGCAGGGAGAAACAGTATGATTTGCAATCATGACAAACCTCACAGATCAGATAATCCTAGCACTGGAATTTAAGAATAAATTGGTTTGAATAGATGAAGAAGAAGGAAACAGTGCTAGAAGACAGAGAAAGTATATGAGAAAGGTTTTGGAGTTAAGAATGAACAAGAATGTTCAGGGAATAGTGAGACCACCTTAGCCCATATAGGAAAGTGGTCAGAAATTAGATGGGATAGAGATCATGGTGCCAGATTATGAGGGTCTTAATAGGCCAATTAATCTAAATTGTTATGTGGTAGATGTTAGAAGCTGTTGGAATTCCTTGGTGGAGATATTTAGTGCAAACAACTTCAGTTGTCACAACAGGCTAGTCTTCATTGTGATTCTTGGCTAGCTTTTGACTTGGAGATAGTCATGATCACAGTGGACAAGAGGGGATGATTCATGTGTGTTTCGACTCCTTTACAAATTTAGTTTTAGCCTGAATCATAGAAAGACTCTATAGCCTTTTCTCATGCATTTGTTGGCAGCAGCTGCTTGTTCCCATGGGAACATACACCACTTACCTACTCAAACCTTCCTTTTGCCCTCAGCTTTTATTCATTGAAATGTTTCATCTTTTCTACAAAGGATATTTACACATAAGCTTAGAGCATCATCTATTTTTTTCTTCCACAGCTGAGAATTCATTCTGAATATTTGCAGATACATAAAACTCCAGGTGTAACTCCAAGCAAAACATGATGAAAGAGGGAATTTGGATAAACCATGGAATGATGACATCACATTGAGCACCATCTGGTATAAACATTTTTGCTTTCTGCAGTGACCAGATGAAGGAAATATGGTGCCGTGTGCTTCTTCAGTGATTAATTCAGGAAAGCCTTTGCTGAGCTGAAATCCAAAATAGGAAGAACCCACCTTCCACATGTTCAAGAAGCTTGTGATCCCAGGGATGACACTGCCCTTTTCCTCTGAAGGAAAGAAGTTTCCCCTGACCATAATGCCAAAGCTACAAACACTTACATACCTCCATAATTTTGCACTGAACTCTGCTCACATAGTACACAATAATTTCTGCACTACTTTGTTCCTGTTCCAAATTCTAGTGGCTTGAAATCCAAAATAGAGGAAGTTAAATCATAGCAGTTGTACACTTTAGAGAAACTTTGAATTTGGCTACTAGAGATTTTCTAAGGTATTGCTTTTCTTAATTTATATGAAAACTATTGAGCTAGGTTCTAGATTAAGTGCTGGTGATTCAGACATGAGTAAGTCATGATGCCACCTCTGGAGTGTTTCAGG
Source organism: Homo sapiens (assembly GCF_000001405.40). Classification (NCBI taxonomy): domain Eukaryota; kingdom Metazoa; phylum Chordata; class Mammalia; order Primates; family Hominidae; genus Homo; species Homo sapiens. The sequence goes on along the minus strand of NC_000007.14, from coordinate 134,619,321 downwards.
GAAGACAGTTACATAAAAACTAAGCTGTAATAGAATTTAATAAGTCCTTTAATAGAGGTGCAGAGTTCTGTGGGAACGTAGAAGGAAGAATAATTGCTTCTTCAGTTTCAAGGAGGACTTCACAGGGCAGAAGGCATTTGGGCAAGTCTTGAAGGATAAGCCAGGACTCCCCAAGTGGGGTGAGGGCACTTGAGGTGGAGAACAGATGAATAAAAGCAGCAAATGAATAAAAGCATCAAAGTGCAGTGTTGGTTGTTACTTCTTTTTATTCCAGATGAGACAAGCCAGGAATCAGGGCATACAGGGATCTGGGAGGCTGCTCTCTGTAAGCACAGCCTTCTCAGCACACATCTGCTGCAAGCCGAGATTTCAGGACTGCAGAATCAGGCTGACTGAATCATAAGGGTATTATGACTTCCTGGGAAACAAAATATTTGCAAACTCTTTCTTTTTTTCTTTTTTTTTTTCCTGGGACACGGTCTCACTCTGTCACTCAGGCTGGAGTACAGTGGCGTGATCAGAGCTCACTGCAACCATGAACTCCTGGGCACAAGTGATCCTCCCGCCTCAGCCTCCCCAGTAGCTGGGACTACTGCGTGCCACCATGTCCGGCTAATTTTGCAAACACTTCCATGGAAATGGAACAATGGCCTAAAAATAACTACAGATATTTCAGACTATCAGGATATGTGGTTTCTGGAAGAGGAGCCATATTTTTCTAAAGGGAACTTGAAGGAGATTACCCCCAAAGTTTCAGGGACTACAGGTGGTCTTAGTCTCCCTAGCCACATGAATACATCATTGTGTTTTTCCAGACCATTCACTCTTCACACGACTAAAATAGGAGTTCCCACCCTGTATCAGTTTCCTAGGGCTACCTTAACAAAGAACCACAAATTTGTGGCTGAAAACAACAGAAATGTATTCTCTCACAGTTAAGTAGGTCAGAAGTCTGAAATCAAGGTGTCTGCAGGGTTGGTTCCTCCTGGGGGATCTGAGGGAGAATCTGTTCCATGCCTCTCTCCTCGCCTCTGGTTTCCAGCAATCCTTGGCCCTTGTGGACACAGCACTCTAACCTCTGCCTCGTGCTTCATGAAACCTTCATCTGTGCTTCCATGTGTCTCAAAGTTCCCTCTCTTTTGTCTTAAGTATATCAATCAGTGGATTTAGGGCCCACCCTGAATCTAGGATAATCTCATCCCAAGATCCTTAATTATATCTGCAAAGGCCTCCTTTCCAAATAAGCATACATTCACAGGTTCTGGGAATTAGGATTTGAGCATATCTTTTTGGGAGGACACCGTTCAACGCACTATGCACCTTCTTTGTTGCACACATCTTGTGGCTTACTGCTAAGGTTGTCTTTTGAGTATCTACAACTGAGCTGTTTGACCTTGTCCAGAAACTAGATAAACTGGATACTAGGACAGAAAGACGCAGTGCCTTAACTCCCATTATCTAGGGGTAAAATAGAGGTCCTGATTATCCAGCTTCAGGTCTCCAAGAGTTTTCTTACTAGAATCTTTGACCAGAGGCTCATGAAGGGATGTGAACTCTGCTGTAAGACACCTAGAGTAAGACATGTTTACTGGAGAAAGGTGGAGCTACTTCACACACACCTTCCTTGCTTTTTATAGTCCCTGTGATTGTAACATACTCAGCCTCTTTTAAACTGGAACAGATAATTTACCACTCTTACAGTTAAAGGACATGTTGGGTTCTGATTACTTAGCTAGTCAGTGGTTACAGGGTCCACCAGAATCAAGAGACTCAGAGAGGAAAGCCAGCTCCCAACATTTATGGAGGGTAAACAAGTTTCTGCTAGCCCTCTATTCAGTTTTGGCAAAGAAACACCTTCAAAATGGATTGAGTAAAGCAACTTCTGCTTTGCTTTCCCATAAATCTCTTTTATCTCACTTTGCTTTTAACATATTCTCAAAACTCTTGGAATTCAGGATTATTGTCTCAATAAAATTTAATTTCTTAGCCAATAACTACATAATGTCTTCCTGGAGCAAGGTTACATGTTGGAAGTTGGACATAAAGCATACCCAACCTTGGTTAAATCTATTTCTCCTCCACTCTGTCTGCACCCAAGCAGTTGAACATGGCTGGAGAAAGACAAAACTCTGCCGACTGCCCTTAGGCCACTCATCTCCCATGACCCTTTGGTGCTGCTTGGCGATCCTTCTCCCTGTTCCTCATCTATTCTCAATCCTGGATGATTACTTCCCACCTTCTCCATTCTCCTCAATACTCCAACATCCCCTCTGCCCCAATCATCAGATATCAGCTGACTTGCTTGTTTCTGTCAAATTTATCAGAGCTCAGAAGCGAATTTCTACACACTTCACCACCTGTCTGCATCTGTGGTGGAGTGTGTAGACCCTTCTGCCTTCTCTCTGTTGCTATTGACAAGTGGTCTCTGCTTCTAAGGAAACTTCCTCTGCTTGTGCACAAGATCCCATTCCCTCTCACTTATGAAGGATAACACTTTCATAACTATCCTTCTTTTCCCTGCATCATCAGTTTTTCCCTCTTGACTGAATTAATCCCATCCACATACAACCATGCTACAACACTTCCCTTCTCAAACTCTCTCTCTCTCGACATGCACACCCCCTTCAGCCACTGTTTTATTTCTCTACAACCAACTATTTGAAAGAGTTGTCTATACAGGCTGCCTCCAATTTTACTTCTTTGGAACTCACGCCCTATCCTGAACCACCTCTGTAAAACTGCTCCTGTCAAGGTCAACAGTGGCCTCCAAGTATCTAAATCCAATGGTCAATCTTCAATCCTCACCTTATTTGACCTTTCTGCAGCATTTGACATGGTTGATTCTTCCTCCTGCTTGGATTCTTCCTCTCAACTTGGAGTCCAGAACTCTACTCTCTTTTTTTTCACTGGCCTCTCCTCAGTTTCTTTTCCTGGTTCCATCTTATCTTCTTGACCTCCAAATGTTGGAGTGCTACAGCACTTTGGTGGCCAGACCCCACCTTCTCTCTAACTTCACTCACTCCTAGGATGACATCAGATACTCTCATGCTTGGGTGCCCCACTCATAGTCCCTCAAGACTCACCTCTGCACACAGAAGGCTGATTACTGGGGGCACTTCAGATTCTCTGCCTTGGGGCCTTTTCTTGACCCAGGGAGCTCTGGACTCTCTTGCAGAGAAGCTGGAACTGCTGAAGAGTTAAGCCCCCAAAGCAGGCCTTGGCCAAAGACGGTTGAGGTTTGATGGATAATTATTTAGCTTTCTGGTCCCTCAGTTAGGATAACTTTAAGGCCTCTTCTACACTGTCTCCCAGAGTCCCACAATGGAACTAAACATCTGTTATCTGCAAGAGTAACTTACTTCATAATGCACCGTTTATTGACGTCCTTCCTTTTCCTGTCTCAATTCCCCATTTCTCCACCAGTATTTCTTGGACTCTCCTCCCAAATAAAGTATTTACACTAACATCCTTGTCAGGATCTGCTTCTAGGGGAACCCAAGGTAAAACAAATACTATTGATATGCCAAAGACTCCCATGTTTATATCTCTAGCTCAAATATCTTCCAAATTCCAGAATCATATTTTGCTTACTAAAGTGCCAGAAATGCTTCTAAATGCTTTATCAATGTGAAGTGATTCAATCCTTATACTAATCCTATGATGTGGGTTCTATCATTGTTCTCATTTTACTGATTAAGAACCTGAGGGACAGATAGCCAAGGCGACGTGCCCATGTCAGCACAGCCAGAAGGTAGAGGAGCCAGGATTCAAGCCACACTTTGGATCACAGTGCTGTACTGTCTCTATGAAAAAAGGGGTACATTTGAGGCCAGGTGTGGTGGCTCATGCCAGTAATCACAGCACTTTGGGTGGCCAAGGCAGGCAGATCACTTGAGGTCAGGAGTTTGAGACCAGCCCGGTCAACATGGCGAAACCCCATCTCTACTAAAAATACAAAACTTAGCCGGGTGTGGTGGCACACACCTATAGTCCCAGCTACTCGGGAGGCTGAGGCAAGAGAATTGCTTGAACCTGGGAGGCGGAGGTTGCAGTGGGCTGAGATCACACCATTGCACTCCAGTCTGGGTGACAGAGCGAGACTCTGCCTCAAAAAAAAAAAAGTGGGGCGGCGGGAGGCACATTTTAGAAAATGAGTTTTTTAATGGGTGAGGGCAATGGAGAGGGGTGGTACATTTCAAACATTAATAAACAGTATTCACAAAGAGTAAACCATTCTACAGTAGAATTATTTTCATTTTTGATAGACTTTCTAGACTGGAAGATGAAGTGAGTGCCGCAAAAATTGTAGATGTGACTTGAACAAAGCATTTGGCAAGATATCTCATGATTTGTTTTAGAAAATATGTAATAGGCCGGGCGCTGTGGCTCATGGCTGTAATCCCAGCACTTTGGGAGGCCGAGACGGGTGGATCACAAGGTCAGGAGATCGAGACCATCCTGGCTAACACAGTGAAACCTCATCTCTACTAAAAATACAAAAAATTAGCTAGGCGTGGTGGCAGGCATCTGTAATCCCAGCTACTTGGGAGGCTGAGGCAGGAGAATCGCTTGAACCCGGGAGGCAGAGGTTGCAGTGAGCCAAGATCAGGCCACTGCACTACAGCCTGGGTGACAGCGAGATTCCATCTAAATATAAAAGAAAAAAAAAAAAGAAAATGTGTAATAATATGAACTGGATTCTAGATCAATTAGGTGAATTCACATCCAGTTGAATGACCATACCAAAAGAGTTCTGTTTAATGAATTCTCTTTCAACCTGTTAAGAGGCTTCTTGTGGCAGGTCACAGGGCTCAGTGTTGTCTCCTGTCCTACTTAGGCTTTTTAGCAATGTCTTCAATAAAGAACATCACTGGAAAATCAATCTAATTTGAAGAAGATATGTGGAGTGGTGATGGAACAGGATAGTTAATGTGCTTAAAGGCTACAATGAAGAAAATGAATCTAACAAGATGGAATTTACTGGGTATGAGAGGTCCTTTACTCAGATCTAGAAAAGCAAACAGCTCTCCAAGATCTGGGTGGGGAAGAGATGGCTCAGCAGCATCACATGGAGGAAAAAGAGGCTCAGGGGTTTCCTTTGGCTAGAAGCTAAATGAGTCAACAGCAACTTGTGGCGCTATACCAAACCAAACCAAAGAAAAACAAAACCCCGAAGAAATCCTTAGCCTGGAAAAACAGAATTGTTGCATCTAAGCCAAGAGGAAGAAGCCCTTTTGTTTCTCCTTCATTAGTCAGCTCATATCTGAGGAACTGAATGTTGTTTGAGGTATTGCATCATAAACGGACAGAAACAAACCATAGGTGTCCAGAAGAAGAAAACAGGAATGGATAAGGATGACACCATCTCATAGGAAGAATATCTGTAGGAATGGGGAAAGAAATTAATGGGAGGATATACTATGTCTTCTTTTAGCAGGGCAGGGAGGGATAGCCATGGTGAGTGTTTATAGGACAGATATTACTTACTCTGTGCCACTCTCTTGTGTAGGAAAACAACAGAGAGGAAACTTGATATTGAATATCTACTCTGTGCCAGGAAGTGGTAGTCATTTTAAATGTGTTGTTCTACTGCATCCTTCCACTAACTTTCTCAGACAACTGATGGATTTCTAACACCTTAGCAACTTTCTAATAACTCTATTCCTTCTGATGATTAAGGAATGGGGAAGCATATGCTTGTTAATGTAAATGCGGTGTTTTGATACTGGACTCCAGTATTCAACTTGAAGGTTAAGTGATCAGCTCCAGAGGTAAAGAACCCTTGGCACACAGGGTCTGACACAGAGGTATACCATTCACTTCCTATACTCAGACCAAGATCAGACTGGGATGGGGTAGTGGGTGGACTTCAGCGAAAGAAAGACTTATTGGAGGATGCCAAATTCAGAAGTGGTGCCTGAGTAACAGGGCCCTGTCTGTTCCCACCTCAACTATGCTGACTGGCAGATGCAGCAAGAATTTTGGGCTGTCTCTTTCCACTAAGTCCCTCCCATCAGAATGTACTGATAGTTACCCCAGTCACTGCTGTGCTTCCCAGCTCCCTTCCCACTGTCCCTTAGTGGAGTCTTACTCCCAATTCCTCTATCTTGAGGTTCAGTTTATAAATAAGAATTTAAATAAATTATTTTTAAAACACCAAGGGAAATATTAGAATTTCAATCAATCTTTCTTATGCTGCCTGATATGGTTTGGCTGTGTCCCCACCCAAATCTCATCTTGAATTGTAGCTCCCATAATTCCCACATGTTGTGGAAGGGGCCCAGTGGGAGATAATTGAATCATGGGGACAGTTTCCCCCATACTGTTCTCATGGTAGTGAATAAGTCTAATGAGATCTGATGGTTTTATAAGAGGAAACCCTTTTCGCATGGTTCTCATTTTTCTCTTGTCTGCCACCTTGTAAAATGTGCTTCTCGCCTTCTGCCATGATTGTGAGGCCTCTCTCAGCCACGCGGAACTGTAAGTCTATTAAACCTCTTTTTCTTTATAAACTACCCAGCCTTGGGTATGTCTTTATCAGCAGCTTGAAAATGGACTAATATACTGCCTTAGTCTGTTCCTGCTGCTATAACAAAATGTCTTAGATGGGGGAATTTATAAGCAATAGAAATGTATTTCTTACAGTGCTAGAGGCTGAGAAGTCTGAGATCATGGTGCTGGCAGCTTCAGTAATTGGTGAGGGTGCCTTCTTGCAGCATCCTCACATGGCAGAAAAGACAGAAGAAGCTAACAGGTGCCTTCAAGTCCTTTAATAAGGGCACTAATTTCATTGATGAGGATGGAGCCCTCGCTACCTCCCAAAGACCCCACCTCTTAATACCATCACCTTGGGTGTTAAGGTGATCACATCCAACATGTGAACTATGTATGCAAACCATAGCATACGCCTACCTATAATGTATAAATCCTGCCACCTTGTGTCCAAGACTTCAGATATTGGCCAAGTATGTTTTTCAGGCTTTGTTTTCCATTATATCTCTTCATAGATTCTTTGTTTCATCTAAATTGGATTACTCATTTTTAGTATACTGCCATACCTTTTCCTATTGTTCTCTATACTCAGAAATCATTTTTTCTGTATATCTTTCAAAACCACACTCAGCATGTCAACTTCTGTTTAAGTATAACCTGTTTCATTAAGCTCTCTTTGAACAGCCGCCCCCCATGGCCATGGATGAGACATTTATTTCCTTCCTTGAGCGCCATAGTGAATGGCTAAAGCTCCTGTATGGCATTTATGTTACTACTCTCCAGTCTCCAAAACCGGTTCACATATTACGGTATGCAGAATTAATGTATTTGTGTTTATAAAGGACAGAATGTCTAGTAATTTCATATTGCACAATAGCTTATTTTAACCCATTTCCTAAATGGAAAAAAAAAATCAAAGAACGAAGAGGCAGTAACTCCATTTTGCACTGCAATACTTGTACAGCTTGTTATTTGAACTGTCTGTAATTGGTAGTGAACAATGAGGAAACAGCTATTTTTCTTGCACCACTGCCTTCAAAAATACCACTGGGGCCAGGCATGGTGGCTCATGCTTGTAATTCCAGCACTATGGAAGGCCAAGATGGGAGGATCACTTGAGCCCAGAAACACAAGACCGGCCTGGGCAACATAGTGAGACATTGTGTCTACAAAAATGAAAAAATTAGCCAGGCATGGTAGTGTGCCCCTGTAGTCCCAGCTACTCAGGAGGCTGCGATGGGAAGATTGGCTGAGCCAGGGAGGTTGAGGCTGTAGTGAGTTGAGATCACACCACTTCACTGCAGAGCAACATCTTGTCCCCCAACCCCAGAATACCATTGGTTCTCCTCTCTTCCCTGTTCCTTGGAGATATCATAGGCAATCACTTTCCAGCCACTATTGTGTGTTAAAACAATCTGACTTTTCAGGTACTAAAATGTACTATCTGGCTAAAAACTTCAAACTGTAATGCATTTCAACATGTTTCCCCTCCCACAGTTCAGAACTGATTTTTGGTTGATGGATTTAACAGAGGGAAGAAGGCGTGTGGTCTGTTCTTTCATTCTCCTTGCTCTTTGCTTTCTCCTCCCCGAGCTTGTCCTGGTATGGATAGCTGGAGCCACTGCTAATAAACTGCTAAAATAGCTCCTTGCAGCTTGTAAACAATTATGTCTGCAGTAAATGAGGTAGAGATGCTGGAAATTCCTTGGCAGAGGAAGGGATCTAAAAGTTCAGAAAGGTAGGCATGTTAGAACTGATGTATTGTGAGACACCAAAGAACCACTAGATGATTATGTTTCCCATGAGGACCCAGAGGATGCTCTCTTTACTAAAGCAATAAGGAATAAAGCATTCATAAAGGAGGCACTAGCACCTTGAGAAACTCAATGTTGTGTGTCCTCTGTAGGTCAAGATTGATAGTAGGAGACACTCTCAGAAACTGGGCTCCCTGGTGTCAATAAGAATGATAGGATCTAGAATAGCCAGATGACAGCATAAAACTGTCGAAAGGTAGGATTGTTGAAATTAGCTGCTGCGTTAATTTCCACAACAACCTTGCAGGAAGACAGGTATACTCAATTACCCTAATGGGTAACAAGGCCAGAGTAACAACTAGGGAGCCTAAGACTAATAAACTATGGTATCCTAGCAGCTACATACATTAAGATATTGTTTGATTAATAATCTGAAAAACACCTTGGGTTGGTCAGCACATGATAGGGAATCATGATCTCTTGTCCCGTTTTAAGAACTAAGGCCATTTTAAGACTTAGAATACACTGATTAAAGGGCCATGTCCCCTTGAGGAAGTGCCAGCAATGCCATAGCAAGTAGTTAAAGTAGCTATTCACAATCTTTCCTCAAGTAGCTACTTGCTGCATCCTGAAGTGATTTGTGTCTTCCTCAAACACTTAAAGGATGCAGGAGTGATTCTCCCCATGAAAACCCATTCAATTTACCAGTTTGGTCCTTGTTTGAACTAGACAGATGATGGACCTTGATCACCTGGACATTCTGGTCATTGTTCCACTATTTTGATGAGATCATGCCAAGCAGACCTGGTAGCAAAAAGTGACTAGAGTTCTCAATGCCTAAGTAAGGCATCTGCACCTCAGGTGATAGAAGATAAGCCCTACAAATATTCAAGGGCATGACACATCTGTGAAATTTTTAGAGGTGCCTTGATCTAGACCAGGGATTGCCAAACTATGGCCCATGTATCACATCCAGCCTTTGGTATGGTTTTTACTTTTTTTTTTTTGGAAAAGGAGTCTCACTCTGTCACCCAAGCTGGAGTGCAGTGGTGCCATCCTAGTTCACTGCAACCTCTGCCTCCTGAGTTCAAGCGATTCTCCTGCCTCAGCAGTGGAATCCTGAGTAGGTGGGATTACAGGTATGCACCACCATGCCCAGCTAATTTTTTTTTTTTTTTTGAGACTGAGTCTCGCTCTACCGCCCAGGCTGGGGTGCAGTGGTGTGATCTCGGCTCACTGCAACCTCCGCCTCCTGGGTTCAAGCGATTCTCCTGCCTCAGCCTCCTGAGTAGCTGGGACTACAGGTGCAATGTCACCACGCCTGGCTAGTAGTAGAGACGTGGTTTCACCGTGTTAGCCAGGATGGTCTTGATCTCCTGACCTCGTGATCAGCCCACCTCCGCCTCCCAAAGTGCTGGGATTACAGGCGTGAGCCACTGTTCCTGGCCTAATTTTTGTATTTTTAGTAGAGATAGAATTTCACTATGTTGGCCAGGCTTGTCTCGAACTCCTGACCCCAAGTGATCCGCCCACCTTGACCTCACAAAGTTCTGGGATTATAGGCGTTAGCCACCGCGCCCGGCCAGTTTTTACGTTTTTTAATAATTGAAAAAAAAATCTAAAGAACAATAATATTTTATGATATGAAAATTATTTTAAATTAAAGCTGAATATTATAAATGAAGTTTTACTATAGCATAGCACACTTTTCATTTCCATATTGTCTATGGCTGCATTTGAGTTTCAACAGCAAAGTTGAAGAGTTGCAACAGGGACCATTTGTGAAATCTTCATCACTTCTTACTGCTGCTTAGTGAGTTGACTTGACAGTGTTTCAAGTGCCAAGCATACTTGTTTTACTTTTATTTTATTTTATCAGTGCATATCTTTCATGTCAAAACAAGAAAAGTCAACTTCAAATGTTGCACTTTTAAGTTACTGTGGCATCTGGCTTTTTTTTAATTGAATTAGATCGGAAAGCATGTGTTTAGTATGCACTGACACTATAACTATGCTAAAACAACAGAATATATGTCAACATTGCCAGACTAAGCACTCATCACAATATGTCCAATTCACAGGAAAGCAACAGGCAGAACAATTAGGAAATTTAAAATAGAATATCTTATTATAGTGGAATTTCTTCACAAGAATTACAAATGTAAATGAGGCTGCAACCAAACTTAGTTTCCAAGTGGTTCATTTGTTAGCAAGCAAGGAAACCCATTTATCAATGGTAAGCTAATTAAACTGTGTTTTTATTAGCTGAAGAAATGTGTCCGCAGAAAATAAACTTGTTCAAGACTGTGAGTCTTTTGGTAACAAAAGTTGATTGAAAAGTTGAGGACATTGGGAGCAACATCAATAGTTAAAAACAAAGTTAATTGTTCTGAGTATCTTTCCTTGTCTCTTGATGAATAGACAGATGCTACTGATACTGCTCAGCTGTTGTTTTTTACTTGAGGTATCAATGCTAAGTTTGAAGTAACTAAAGAATTAGGTTCTATGAATAGTCTGTATGGAATAACTACAAGTGAGAATAATATTTTCAAAGAAGTTGGTAAAATTTCTAATTCAGTATAATCTGAAGTAGAATCTGCTAAGATGTGCTACACGGTGGTAAAAATTTGTGTGAAGCAGACAAAGGGTTACATGGACTCATTTAAAAGCTTGTGAAAAAGTAAGATGTTAAAACCTGTAATCATTCATCAGTAGGTACTTTGCATAACATGTTTGATTCTATCATATGTTATTGAACAGGTCATGTCCAAAATGGACCTTATTCACTTTTGTGGTGTAAACATCTGCAGTTCTATGATTTTTTTGTCAAAAATAGAAGCTGAATATCCTGAATTGCCCTATCAACAAGAATTTAATGGCTTAGCAGTGGTAAAGCTTAATTGTGATTTTTTGGTTTTTGCTCAGGCTGAAACTAAAATTTTTCTAAACAAGAAGAGCTACTCTCAACCACTATTATTCTAGTCTGAATGACTTTGGAAATTTGTTTGCTAAATTTTGCTAATTTTTAGGTGAGACACAATAAGTGTTCTTATTTTTTAAAGCTATGCACTGTCATTGACAGATAAAAGGATATGATGTTTAGGATTTGTTTCAAAATAATCAGGGAAGTAAAAAAGTACAGATGAAATAATATTGTCCGTAAATGATACTAAAGCTGAGTGATATGTACACTACATTCAATACACTATTCCCTCTAACTTTCTATATGTTCAAAATTCCTATAATGAAAAATTAGGAAAAAATCAATATCCATTATTATAGCTGACAAAGAAGGAAGTCATCTTATAGATAGGCTGGCCTACAAAGATGTCCTAAGAATCAAGAGACAACCAGAATAGTCATCAAAGTGTCCATTATGGCAGCCAATCCTTCAGGCAGCTGAGAGCCTGGGAGTCGCTGCAAACTGGCTTGGAGCTAATGAGCCACATGGGAGTTAAATCAGAGTGGGGCAGGGGTGAGGCAAGCAGATGATTTAGGGTGAGAAGAAATAAAGAGTCCACAGAATAAGGAATGAAAAAAAATCTCTAGAAATCCTCTAGCTTGTGGGAATTAACAAAGGAATACTCTGGGTTGGCCAAAGACCCAGCTGACTGAAAACAGTGCAATCAAGAGCCAACTTACCCAGGAAACAGATGTGCAGGAATTCCAAATTTCCTGAAGTAGTATGGGAAAGTAGAGTAACTGACTCCCAAAATTTTTTACAAACTCAGAAAGGAGTGAAAAGAAGGTAGGCTTTGGAGAACTCCTGGATGAACATCTTGCTTACAGAAAGTTCACATGGAGAATCAATGGCAGGAAAGGTAAGAAGGGCACTGCTACATGTGGTGTGCTCATTTCAGACAATGAGCACACAGCAACATCCAGGATATTCTCCTGCCTTAGAAGGAATCACAACAAACTGTAAAATACCAGGAATGAGGAGATTTGTCCAGTGGAGATACGTTGGGGCAGTCACTGAAAGAGTGAAAATAGCTGCCTGGCTTGAGAAAGCCGCCTATTTGAAGCCATTCTCATCTAAAAGTATAGATCAGCAAGTCCAAAGTTATAATCATCACTCCATCCCCTACAATCATCGTGAGTGATTTTTTTCTTCAACACTCAAGTCAATTCCACCAACATTTTGCTGACACTGTATTGGGAAGTGTGGAAGATAAAAAATACGTATTACCGAAACGTGGACCCTAACACAGGGACACTCACCTCTAAGTGGAGAATGTAAATGGCCCTTGCAACAAACTGACCCTGAACTCCTTGACCTTCAACTTTAATCTTCTTCAGTCTTTTTCAGCCACACCCAACCATAGCCACTTCTTTGGTATTATCCTCCCTAGTACTCCTCCATCATCAAGATCTCAAACTCTGAAATTCTTCTAGACTACAAACTATTATTCTTCTGTCTTCCTGGTACCTCATAATTTTTTCTGTTTACCCTCGTCGTGAACTCCAGACCCCTTGAATGCTTCTATTCAAGCCGTCTCTTGGTTTCACTTGCCCCCTTCGTAGCCTAGACACCATAGACATGCGAAGCGACTAAAGACCACTAGGTGGCAGCAGAGCCCCAACTAGACTGTCCCCCAGCTTGGGCACCAAGTCAGATTATTAATATTTATAATGAAAGCCTGAAGTTTGAAGGGGTAAGACAATAGTGGAATTAAACAAACAATAGCAAATAATACAGGGAGGTCAGTCAGCTGGGGCCAAGAAGATCTTAAGCCCCATGCAAGTGTAAACCAGAGAAATGGTGAGACCTCAGCCATTGGGGAGATGACAGGTTACTCTCAGGTTAATTGTCTATAATCATCTCCTATCTGTCTACATGGGTAGCCTTTCCCCTGCTTTGAAACATTTCCTGCTAAACAACCCTTAACGATTTTCTATTTAAAGATCAGTTAATGTCACTAGGCCTCCTGGAATCCTTTGTACTTAGGCAATTCCCAGCACTAGATAAAATCAAACTTCTTGGCCAGGCATGGTGGCTCACGCCTGTAATCCCAGCTCTCAGGGAGACAAGAGGCGGGAGGATAGCTTAAGCCCAGGAGTTCGAGACCTGCCTGGGCAATATAGCGAGACCCTGTTCTCCACAAAAAGGAAACAAGAAAAAAGACAAAAAAAAAATCAACCTTCTTATCTCTCTTTCTCTGGGCAGCCAGGTGCTTGGCAGAAAATTACAAAAGTCTGCACAGTGACTTAATTCTAAATATGTGATATGTAACCTCAGTGGTGACTTCAATGTTCAACTTTCATTCTTCATGAACTTCTTAGGGGATTCCTCATGGAAGTATTCTAAGCCTTCCCCACTCCCTGAAATCCCTTACCACATTTCAGCTTCCCCAACTGCAGCAGTTGAGCTCACATCCTCCTTTATCTGGGGGGCTGAGGTCATCCATCCTGTCCTCTCTGAAGCCCTTCTCTACTGTAGAAAGAGCATAGGAGCTACAGAGTCTTTCCGGGTAGGTGTACCCAGTCGGATGGAGAAGATAGAAATTCCACCCTCTTCAATAGAAAGTAATAAAAATGGATATCCTGTATCTCATCTCTGAATCAACTTACTCCCCCAAAAGATGTTACAAACATTACTAACTGGAGTGTTTTCTAAACCATAGGAAGGAGCCTGAGGTGACGTCTTTTACAAATTTTATCTGGAAAGGCAATGCTTTCAAACTATACTCCAGCAAAATATGCTCCCATCATTAAACTTCAACTGACTTTATCCTATCCCGGTGGCATGTGGTTTGTGTATTCAGTCCTTCATTTGATAAATACTTACTCTAGAGACAAGCCTCATAGCCACTACACATACTGCCAAATACAGAGATGATGGAAGACTTGTATGTCTGATAATGAATATTGAAAGGGAAGAATCATTCATCCAGAATTTATGAGAATCTCCCTCCACAACTATCAAAAGAGGATCTACCCACTGGGCTGCAGGCATATGGCAGTGTGCTCTGTCCTTAGGATCAATCAAGATGGTAAGTGCCTCAGGCTTAAGTTATTTATTATAATCACTCTTCTGATATGCAAATCATTTTCAAAGGTTTTCTGGCTACTGAAAAGATCATATATGACCAGCAGGCAGGTGCACATATGTTTCAGTCGGCTTGATGGATATATCTCTCTGAATAGTTATGTAAGATTCTACTATATTTATCAGTTTTTTAATGACTAGATTATTATGGATCATCCCCGATATTATTCCTGAGTGGACTAACAAAAATACATTTTTAGAAATAATTTTTTAAATGTCAAAAACTGTAGACTGGACCTTGGTCTCAAAATGACCCTACTAAGGTACTGACAGCCTAAAAGATTCAGCTGGAGCCTCCTGTCTTTCTCTTGTTATTTTTTTTTTTTAAGACGGAGTCTAGCTCTGTCGCCCAGGCTGGAGTGCAGTGGTGCGATCTCAGCTCACTGCAACCTCTGCCGCCTGGTTCAAGCAATTCTCCTGCCTCAGCCTCCTGAGTAGCTGGGATTACAGGTGCCTGCCACTGCGCCCAGCTAATTTTTGTATTTTTAGTAGACACGGAGTTTCACCATCTTGGCGAGGCTGGTCTTGAACTCCTGACCTCGTGATCCACCCGCCCCAGCCACCCAAAGTGCTTGGATTACAGGCGTGAGCCACCGTGCCCGGCCTTCTCTCTCTCTCTTAAAGCCAAGGGTATTAAACACACATCCATTTGGAACTGTATTAATTGAGGTTATGTAATTTAATTGATGTATCAATATTAGTAAACTAATAAATCAATTTTTAATAAATTGAATTTAAAAATGAATTTAATTTGTGGAATTTGAACTGTATCCATTAATTGGGGGTATTCATCAAAAACAATTGGGTGTAACATAGGAATATAAGACCTATATCAAATATTTGGAGGGCTTTCATTAGGAATAGGAAAAGACCCGTTCCGTGCCGTCACTGCATGCAGAATTGAGATCTACAAATGGAGGATAAAGGAAGATGGCATTTTAGCTGCACGTTAAGAAAGACTTGCTAAACACAAGATTTTCTCCTAAATATTCGTTGGGAAGTGAATTCCTGATCCCTAGAGGTGTTTAAACATTAGCCAGACTGTGTGTAATATTGAAGATCTAGAAGACCTCCAGTGCCTCTGGGCCCCACCAGCCTCGAGTCTATGATTCTGTAACTAGGCAACTTAACTTCAAAATGCATTTTAAACGTTTTTTTTCCTTTCTCTTGGATTTCAACATATAACCTTGAAGCAAACTGCAGAAGCCTTTTTCCTTAGCCTTAAAATGGACTCCACGTCCCTCTTTCTCACCGAATATAGTCCCTTCACATTTATCTAACTGCATGCTAGTGTCTAAAGGCACATAATTATTATGGGGCTAATTTTTAGGCAGACCAAGTCTGGAGACCCCGCTACAGAATTCCAGAGATGACTTCAAGGTGACTAGTCAACAACCCAGCCATTGTTAAGATGATGCCAGCCTGAGATCCAGGTGGCCTGGGACCCAAGACAGCCACCAGAGCAAGACACACAGGCATTGGAATCAGCACAATTCCTGCATGCCTTCCTTACCAAGTTTTCCCATTTTGAACTCTTGCTTTCCCCGCTAGATACAAAGCAGTTCCTTTGGATAGGAGGAATCCAGCAGCTTCCCCTTTACTAGTGTTGGTTAATAAAGTCACTTTCTTTCTACCAGACCTCGCTCTTGTTAATTAGACTCCGCAAGCAGCGAACATGCGTTTGGTTCCACTTCTAGACTGGCAGGCACATGCTAAACCTCCTAAATCAGCCACATCCCTTCTCCTGCAGCCTGAAGCCTACGGCTGCATGCTAGCCTTGGAGTTACCTTTTCTACCAGCCCTAGCTCACATCTTGCACAGAAAAAGGGCAGGGCTCCAGTGAGACAAAGCTGTTAGTTTTTCAGGTGGTAGAGCTTGCCGCTATGAGTGTGCTGCTTTGTACCTAGTGAATGCATAATGGGTGAAATTGCAGCTGATAATATGACGATGAAGCAAGTGTTTAAAGTCCTTGTCTGGATGCTTGGTTTCCGGCTTGTGGGTAGAACGGAACTAAGTTACAAAACATTAGGACACGCCAATTGCAGCAGGATTTTCTGCTTTAGAATATTAACTGTTTGTTTATAAATAAATCAAGTGAAGCTAAACGGACAGAAGCTGCCCCTTTAGTGTTGGAATCAGAGGAGACAAAAGGAGCCGAAAGTTGTATTTTCCCAAGATCACTTGTTCCCTCTGAGAGCTGAAGCAGAAATTAAGGAAGCAGATTCAAGAGTTCCAGTGCCTTTAGGGCTAGCTCCAAATTGTTGCCAAGAAAAAGTATAGGGTTCAGAAAAAGCCTCTTCTGACGTTAAATTATCTGAGAGGCAAGCAGAAGAGGGGGAACTTTATTTTTGGCAGATGTGGGAATATTAATACTTTAGGAAGGGTTGTAGTTTCTAACTTTACCAATTTACTAATTTTCTGATTGTGTACTTTTAAGAAAATACTTGGCATGTGGTTTCTTCTGAAGAGTATACATGGGAGATGTGGGACTTTTTTAAAATAACTTTTTTGGGACTTTTTTTTTTTTTTTTTTTTTTTTTACAATAACTAGCACCAGGAAAAGAGGTTCTTAAGAGAAAGAATGAGCTGGGGACATGTGGCTGTTTCTGATTCTCACAAGCCTGCTCTCCTCCAAGAGTCCACAGCCCTGGCCTTGGTGGGAGAGAGTGACAACGATGTATCTTGTACAAACAAAAGTCAAAATCCCAAATCTAAAGACAGGGTGAGCAAGGTGCATCTGCAAAGTCATGGTGCCGAGAACTCAGCCAGCAAACTTAACATTTGATCAGACCATATCTGGACGTGGAAATCCAAACTGCAGAGAACCAACCTGTGGAAGTCATTACAGTTTATTATAAAAAAAAAGTAGAACCTTAAATGTGTGTCTCAGGTGATGATTAGAGTTTGATAATGTTACTAAGACAATTAAAAAACCTAAGCTTGGGTGATTTTTGTTTTTACAGAAACCAAAAGGTAGACCCTGTATATTGATTAAGCGTTGAATTCCAGGAGAAACATGAATGATCAGTAAATATTCACTGCTTATGAAATGTTTTTAAAAACTGTTATAACCCCTGTTATTGCCACATAAAGGAAGGTCATTGTCTTTCTGTAACCCTGGGACCATGACAAAACTCTTGACATTTCTGTATACTTTTAAAAACATTTATCACCTTCTTAATATACTGTAGAAACAAATACTGTTTTTCTGTCCTTCTGAAATTCTGCTTTGCCATTTTGATACACTGATTGTCTGAGAACTACTCAGACAAGTTTGTTTTTGTTTCTGTTTTGAGACAGGGTCTTGCTCTGTGGCTCAGGCCGGAGTGCATGGTTATGCCTCACTGCAATCTCCACCTCCCGGGCTCAAGAGACCCTCCCACCTCAGCCCCCTGGGGTAGCCGGGATTACAGGCTGACACCACCATGCCCAGCTCATTTTTGTCTTTTTTGTAGATACAGGGTTTTGCCATGTTGCCCAGGCTGCTCTTAAACTCCTGGGCTCAAGAGATCCTCCCTCCTTGGCCTCCCAAAGTGCTAAGATTATAGGCGTGAGCCACCATGGCCAGCAAAACCAGTTTTATTACTCACATTGATTTAGTGACGTTTCTTCCCAGTTAACAATTTTTCCATTTTTGCAAACTGATTTGGTAAAGGGGACAGACCCTTATGTTTGGTGTTTTTTTTAATGTTCAACATAAAATAAAATGGATTTTAAAAAGAATATGTAAGATTCTTCCCCAAATCATTTCTTTTCAATTCTGCTTTGTATCTAGTTTGTCTTTTTTATTTTCTTTATTAACTAACTAATGATTCTTTTTTTCTCTTTTGGATAATTTCAGAAAAAAATTTCAGGAAAAATTGCAGAAATCGTACAAAGAACTTTTTTTCCTTAGTAATTTGAGAGTATTTTACCAACATGATACCCCATCACCCTTAAATGCATTAGTGTGCAATTCTTACGAAGACTTACACCTCTTACTATATTTAAACCATTGAAATGAGGAAATTAATTCTAATACATTACTATCATTTTGTTTCAGACATCATTAATTTTTTTTCAGTTGCCCCAGTAATATCCATTTTAGCCAAATGATCCATTTTAAAATTACATATTTCATTTATCATGTCTTTTTAATATTATTTGATTTGGAACCATTTCTCAGTTTTTATGATTTCATAATTTTGACTATTTTAAACACTACAGACCACTAATTTTGTGGGATTTATCTCATTGTGGGTTTGTCTGATGTTTCCTAGTGTTTAGATTCAAATTATACGTCTTTAGCAGAGATATCACAGATTTGAAGCCGGATTCTTCACACTGCATACTATCAAGTGGTACACAATTTCAATTTGTCCTATTACTAGTAATATTAAATTGATCACTTGATTAAGATTGTATGGTAGGCAGAATTTTAAGATGGCCCTATGACCTTGGCTCATGATATTACTCCCATGATGGTGTTATATTGCAAATGGACAATTACCGAAGTAGGCCTAATCTAAATAAATCCAGCCTTTAAAAGCAGAGAGTTTTTGAGAGCTGATGGCAGAAGTCAAAAATATTCGAGATGTGGCAGAGATTCACCTCCAGAGAAGCTCTACCTTGTTGAGATGGAGAAGACCCACAGCACAGAACTGTGTGATTGGCCTCCAGGAATGGAACACAACCACCATCTGACAGCCAGCAAGGAAATAGAGACTTTGGTCTAATTGTAGCAGGGAACTGAATTCTGGGAGAGGGATTCTTCCCCAAAGCCTCCAGAGAAGAGCCCAGCCTGGCCAACACCTTGATTGCAGCCTTGGGAGACCCTAGGCAAAGAACTCAGGGGGACTGCCTGGACTTCTAACTTACAGAACTATAAGACCATAAATGGGTTGTTTCAAGCTGTTATGTTTGTGGTAATTTGTCATGCAGCAATAGAAAACTAATACAAGTGAGATCTGCTAGTCTCTCAGTTGTAAAGTACCTGCTTTTAGTAATTAATAAGCATTTTGTAAAGAGGTACTTTGAGATGAGACAGATATCCTATTCCTCATCAAATGTTTACCCACTGGTTTCAGCATCCATTGATGTTTCTTGAATGTATATTAATTATTTATATGGGGGAGGCAGAGCAAGATGGCTGAATAGAAGCCTACACCATTCGTCCCCACAGCAGGAACACCACGTTTTAACAACTAACTGCATGCAAAAATACTTTCACAAGACAAGTACCCTAAAACTTAAAGTATAATAATAATAATAATAAAAATACTCTCACAAGAACCAAAAATCAGTGAGCAATCACATTACCTCATTTGAAATTCGTATCACTGAAAGAGACAGTGACGTGAGCAGGAAAGACAGACTTGAAGCATTGATGCCACCCCTCCCCCACCCCACGGCAGCAGCTGTGTACAAAGAATCTGGTCTCTTGGGAGAGAGAGAGTGCAGCAATTGTGAGGCTTTGCATTGAACTCAGAGTGGCCCTCTCATAGTGGAAATTAGATCCAGGCTGTATTCAGCTGATGTCTGCCCACAGACGGAGCATTTGGATTGGCCCTAGCCAAAGCGAAGTCACCCAGCCCAGCAATCAGAGCTTGAGTTCCAGCAAGCCTCGCCACTGTGGGCTGGAGTGCTCTGGGACCCTAAGTGAACTTGTGGGGCAGTCTGGGCCACAAGGACTGCAATTCTTAGGCAAATCCTAGTGCTGAGCTGGGTGCAGATCCAGTGGACTAGGGGGGCATGTGACCTACTGAGACTCAAAACCATACATTACATGGAAATTGAATAATCTGCTTCTGAATGACTTTTGGGTAAATGACGAAATTAAGGCAGAAATCAAGAAGTTCTTTGAAACTAGGGAGAACAAAGATACAACATACCAGAATATCTGGGACACAGCTAAACCAGTGTTAAGAGGGAAATTCATAGCACTAAATGCCCACATCAAAGAGTTAGAAAAGATCTCAGTGTAATAACCTAACATCACAACTAAAAAAACTAGAGAACTGAGAGCAAACCAAACCCAAAGCTAGCAGAAGACAAGAAATAACCAAAATCAGAGCTGAACTGAAGGAGATTAAGACACACATAAAAAATCAAAAGATTAACAAATCCAGGAGTTGATTTTTTGAAAAAATTAAGAAAATAGACCACTGCTAGACTAATAAAGAAGAAAAGAGAGAAGATTTAAATAAACACAATTAGAAATGACAAGGGGGATGTTACCACTGACCCCACAAAAATGCAAATAACCTCAGAGAATATTATGAACACCTCTATGCACATAAGCTAGAAAATATAGAAGAAATGGAAAAACATCTGGACACATACACCCTCCCAAGACTGAATCAGGAAGAAACTGAGTTCCTCAGTGGCCCAATAACGAGCTCCAAAAGTTTCCTACTGAAACTTTTCCAAAAAAATGAGGAGGAAGGACTCTTCCCTAACTCATTCTATGAGGCCAGCATCATCCTGATACCAAAACCTGGCAGAGACAATGAAAAAAGAAAACATGAGGCCAATATCCTTGGTGAACATTGATGCAAAAATCTTGAACAAAATACTGGCAAACCAAACCCAGCAACACATCAAAAAGCTTATCCACAAGGAGCAAGTAGGCTTTATCCTTGAAATGTAAGTTGGTTCAACATACACAAATCAATAAATGTGATTCATCACATAAACAGAACTAAGGATAAAACCACTTGATTATCTCAATAGATGCAGAAAAGGCTTTCAATAAAATTCAACCCAAATTCATACCCAAAGGAATATAAATTGTTCTGTCATAAAGACACATGCACACGTATATTTATTGCAGGACTGTTCACAATAGTAGAGACATGGAATCAACTCCTTTATATTAAAAACTCTCAATAAACTAGGTATTGAAAGAACATACCTTAAAATAATAAGAACCATCTATGATAAACACACAGCCAACATCATACTGAATGGGCAAAAGCTAGAAACATTCCCCTTGAAAACCAGCACAAAACAAGGATGCCCTCTGTCACCACTCCTATACAGTATAGTATTGGAAGTACTGGCCAGAGCTATCAGGCAAGAGAAAGAAATAAAGGGCACCTAAATAGGAAGAGAGGAAGTCCAACCATCCTTATTTGCATATAACGTGATCCTATACTTAGAAAACCCCATAGTCTCGGCCCAAAAGCTGCTTAAGCTGATTAAAAAAAAAACTTTAG
Organism: Homo sapiens; assembly: GCF_000001405.40. NCBI lineage: Eukaryota > Metazoa > Chordata > Mammalia > Primates > Hominidae > Homo > Homo sapiens. The sequence goes on along the minus strand of NC_000007.14, from coordinate 134,597,830 downwards.
CAAAGTTTCTGGATACAAAATCAACAGTCAAGCTGACAGCCAAATCAGGAAAGCAATCCCATTCACAATTGCCACAAAAAGAATAAAATACCTAGAAATACAGCTAACCAAGGAAGCAAAAGTTCTCTACAAAAAAAACTACAAAACACTGCGCAGAGAAATCAGAAATGACATAAACAAATGGAAAAACATTCCATGCTCATGGATAGGAGGAATCAATTTCATTAAAATGGCCATACCGCCCAAAGCAATGTATAGATTCAATGCTACTCCTATCAAACTAACAATGACATTCTTCATAGAACTAGAAAAAACTATTTTAAAATTCATCTGGAATCAAAAAAGAGCCTGAATAACCAAGACAATCCTAAACAAAAAGAACAAAGCTGGAGGCATCATGCTACCCAACTTCAAACTATACCACAGGGCTACAGTAACCAAAACAGCATAGTACTGGTACAAAAACAAACACATAGACCAATGGAACAGAATAGAGAGCCCAGAAATAAGTCTGCACACGTACAACTAACTGATCTTTGAAAAAGATGACAAAAACAAAGAATGGGGAAAGGAATCCCTATTCAATAAAGGGTGCTGGGATAACTGGCTAGCCAAATACAGCAGACTGAAATTTGACCCCTTCTTTACACTATGTACAAAAATCAATTTAAGATGGATTAAAGACTTAAATGTGGCCAGGAGTGGTGGCTCATGCCTGGTAATCCTAGCACTTTGGGAGGCTGAGGCAGGTGGATTGCCTGAGCCCAAGAGTTTGAGACCAGCCTGGGCAACACAGTGAAACCCCGTCTCTACCAAAATACAAAAAATTAGCCAGATGTGGTGGTGTGCACCTGTAGTCCCAGCTACTTAGGAGGCTGAGGCAGGAGAATTGCTTGAGCCTGGGAAGCGGAGGTTGCAGTGAGCCAAGATCACGCCACTGCACTCCAGCCTGGGCAACAGAGCGAGACTCAGTCTCAAAAAAAAAAAAAACAAAAAACTTAAAAGGCAAAACTATAAAAACCCTGGAAGATGACCATGGCAATATGATTCTAGACATAGGAATGGGCAAAGATTTCATGACAAAGACGACAAAAGCAATTGCAACAAGAGCAAACATTGACAAATAGGATCTAATTAAACTAAAGAGCTTCCGCACAGCAAAAGAAACTACCAACAGTGTAAATAGACAACCTACGAAATGGGTCAGTCGCGGTGGCTGTCACCTGTAATCCCAACACTTTGGGAGGCTGAGGCAAGCGGATCACTTGAGGCCAGGAGTTTGAGACCAGCCTGGCCAACATGGCAAAACCCTGTATCCACTAAAAATACAAAAAATTAACTGGGCATGGTGGCGCATGCCTGTAATCTCAGCTACTCAGTAGGCTGAGGCAGGAGAATCGCTTGAACCTGGGAGGCAGAGATTGCAGTGAGCTGAGATTGTGCCACTGCAGTTCAGCCTGGGCGACAGAGCGAGATTCTGTCCCCCAACCACACAGTCACAAAAAAAGAATGGGAGAAAGTATTTGCAACCTATGGGTCTGATAAATGTCTAATATCCAGCATCTATAAGGAACTTAAACAAATGTAGAAGGAAAAAGCAAATAACTCTGTTAAAAAGTAGGCAAAGGACATGAACAGACACTTTTCAAAAGAAAACATACAATAGCTGGGCATGGTGGCATGTATCTATAGTCCCGGCTACTCAGGAGGCTGAGGCAGTAGAATCACTTGAACCCGGGGGGCAGAGGTTGCAGTGAGCTGAGATCACGCCACTGCATTCCAGCCTGGGCAACAGAGTGAGAATCTATCTCAAAAAAAAAAAAAAGGCACATTACAAAATATAGCATTCGTGTAAAGAAGGCATATCTCAGGATAGACCGAGAATGAAGGAAACATACCAATATATTAAAAATGGTGATTTTTGAGTGCTGGGATTACTGATTATTTTAATTTCTTTTTTTGAGCTTTTCTGTTTTCCTATATATTCTACAGTGAAGTTTATATTTGGTACTTAGAAAAAAATTTACTTTCAATAACAGTACCTAAAAATCTTGAACTTTCACCTGAGTTCAACTGAGACATGGGGGAAAATGTATTAGCAAGGTGATACAGTTTGGCTCTGTGTCCCCACCCAAATCTCATCTCTAACTGTAATCCCCATGTGTCGAGGGAGGGACCTGGTTGGAGGTGACTGGATCATGGAGGCGGTTTCCCCCATGCTGTTCTCATGCTAGTCAGGAAGTTCTTGAAAATCTGATGGTTTAAAAGTGGCAAGTTTCCCCGGTGCTGTTTTGCTCTCCTGCTGTCTTGTGAAAAAGGTGCCTGCTTCCCCTTTACCTTCCGCCATGATTGTAAGTTTCCTGAGGCCTCCCCAACCATGCAGAACTGAGTCAATTAAACCTCTTTCTTTTATAAATTACCCAGTCTCAGGAAGTATCTTCATAGCGAAGTGAGAACAGACTAATACACAAGGGTTGCTTGTATTATCGTATATTACAGTTTTTAAAACATTTTACTGGATCAAATCATATCATTTTTCACTGGAGAAAAAAGTGCTAAAATATAAATCTTTTTCCCTTTTCCCACAGTTTCTTTCTCAAGTTGTCTTAGTGGCTTTTTTTGTTTGTTATTTAATGCATTTTAAGTATAGAAAAATTAAAATGTTAAGTTTTTAAGTTTTTAGCATGAGTTATACTGTTTGTCTTTATATTGTGCAATACCAGTTTTTACAGAGTCACCAACTTTATACAACTCATATTTTGGAGCTCATATATGTGTATATATGTTGTTCTTAGAAGAGTGGAAACACTGTACAAAACTAATTCAAATTTTTTTGTTTGTTTTTTGTTGTTGTTGTTGTTTTTTGGTTTGTTTGTTTGTTTGTTCTTTGAGATGGCATCTCACTCTGTTGCCCTGGCTGGAGTGCAGTGGCATGATCTCCACTCACCACGACCTCTGCCTTCCGGGTTCAAGTGATTCTCCTGCCTCAGCCTCCCAAGTAGATTTTATTACAGGCATGTGCCACCGCACCCGGCTCATTTTGTATTTTTAGTAGAGACGGGGTTTCTCTATGTTGGTCAGGCTGGTCTTGAACTCCTGACCTCAGGTTATCCACCCACCTTGGCCTCCCAAAGTGCTGGGATTACAGGCATGAGCCATTGTGTCTGGCCCAAATGTTTTTATTTCATTTCCTGATGTGCACACAGTCTACTAATATACTTTATTTTTGGCTTACTGGTTGGTAAGGATGTACTGAAAGGAAAATAAACTATGGTTTCTCCTATCTTTTCATTTCTTTGATGTCATTTTCAGAATATGGGGTGTCCAATAAACAGAGGTAACATAATGAAGGGCTCATGTGATTAAGTCAGGCCCACCCCAATGATCTCCCCGTCTTAACATCAATTGATCTGAAACATTAATTACATTTAAAAAAATTTATTTTACCATACAACGTAATAATCACACCAGTGTGATCATGTTCATCACAGGTTCCACCTATTCTTCAAGGAAGGAGGTTACATAGAGCAAGATTACGCAAGGGTCATTGGAGGTTGTCTTAGAACTCTGCCTACATTTTCTTTGTGATAGAGAATGGCTGGCTATCACTATCACGGCCTCCACTCAGCCTGGCTTTAACGAGCAAAATGCCCTTAGGCCAGATAGATAAAGGCCCAGTTAATCCCTCCAGTCAGATCAGGCAATTTGTTTCTTCCACAAGGTCAGTAAATGTCAATTGTGGGACTAAACTGCTTGAGTCCAAATTTCCATGTCAGAGAGCACAAATGCAAAGTCATGGTGCTGGGGAAGCTGCCAACACTCTCAGACACAACTGAGAATGCTTTGCTTTGGATAAAACAATGAGAATCCAGGGAGACTGGAGAATGAATATGTACAGAAACAAACAGGCTACTGAGAAGAGCAGTGGCTAAATATGAATCAGATTATATCAAGAGATGCTGTTTTAGCTACTTAGGTAATGAATGAATGAGAAAGTAAGTTCTGATAAAAAATGTTGGCTGAGTACAGTGGCTCACGCCTATAAGCCCAGCATTTTGGTAGGCTAAGGTGGGCAGATCACTGGAGGTCGGGAGTGGGGCACAAGTGCCACAAGCCCTGGGGCACAAGCACCAGCCTGGCCAACATGACAAAACCCAATCTCTACTAAAAATACAAAAATTAGCCGGGCATGGTGGCACACACCTGTAATCACAGCTACTCAGGAGGCTGAGGCAGGAGAATGGCTTAAACTCAGAAGGCTGAGGTTGCAGTGAGCCGAGATCATGCCACTGCACTCCAGCCTGGGCAATAGAATGAGATTTTGTCTCAACAAACAAACAAATAGACAAAAGTCCCTAAGTATATACTCATAAATATTGAGCATTCAACTACAAGCAGGACAATGTGTCAGACCCTATATTGGGTGGAATCATGTCCCCCCAAAGTCCATGTCCACTCAGAACCTCAGATTGTGACCTTATTTGAATATAGAGTCTTTGAAGATGGAGTTAGTTAAATTAAGATGAGGGCATTCTGAATTAAGGTGGATCATAAATCCAATGACTTGTGTCCTCATAAGAAGGTCATGTGAAGGCAGAGGCAGAAATCAGAGGGAGGCAGCTACAAGCCAAGGAACCCCAAGAATTGCCAGCAACCACCAGATGCTAGGAAGAGGCAAGAAGGATTCTTTCCTGGACACTTCGGAGGGAGTATAGCCCTGATGACACGTAAATTTTGGATTACTGGCCTCCAGAATTATGCAGGAATAAATTTCTGGTGTTTTAAGATTGTGGTAATTTGCTACAGCCACACTAGTGTTATGGGGTGGGTCTTTGTTCCTAGAGCTCCCAAGATGGTGGCAGCCACTCTCAAGATGGCAGCAAGCCTTTTGTTCTCTGACCTGGGGTTCTTGGTCTCACAGATTCCAAGGAATGGAACTTTGGGCCATGTGGTGAGTGTTATAGCTCTATTAGAAGCCGTGGGTCATGGAAGAGAACCATGGAACCCAGTGACTAGTATTAGGCTTGATTAGGATGAACCCAGACACTTAGCCACACAGGAACAATGGCAAGCCTCTAGCCCGAATGGGAGCGGCAATGGGTGCCTCACTGGATCAGAAATGCAGCAGACCCCCTGCTGGACCCAGAGAGGTGGAAGTCAATGGAGGGTCTGCGACAGTGGCATTCAGCAGTGGTGGACAGTGAGCAAAAGCTCAGCTTGAGCCAGAACAAACATGGACCAGAAGAGTGTGCAGTTGCAAGATTTAATAGAGTGAAAACAGAGCTCCCATACAATGGGAGGGGACCCAAAGCGGGTTGCCACTCCCTGCTCGAATGCCTGGGTTTATACCCCGATCATTGTCCCTCCCACTGTGGTCTCAGGTGATATATGATTTGACTATTTCTTTATCTCCTGCTTTTAGCCTAATTTGTATTTTAGTGAGCCCTTTTTACTACCTGATTTGTTGGGTGTGAGCTGAGTTACAAGCCCAGTGTTTAAAGGTGGGTGCAATCACCTTCCCCAGCTAGGCTTAGGAATTCTTAGTCGGCCTAGAAAATCCAGCTAGTCCTGTCTCTCAGTCCCCACTCTCAACAGGAAAACCCAAGTGCTGTTGGGGAGGTTGGCTGACGACCGCTCTAACTGCTTCCTGCTGAATTGGGGTGTAGCAGGGGTTGTGCAGTTGAGATTTCCTCGGGAGGGGTGCCTTCAATGTCATTAACATCGGAGCATGGGCTAGCTGGCCAGTCCAGGGGTCCACGGTAGATCTTAGTCATGCACTGCATCTGGTGCTCCATTTGAAGAACCATTTGTAGTTTTACAGCTTTGATTCTGGAAGAGACAAACTTAACAAGGAGGTTAAAGGTACAGGGATTGAAATGTAGGCCTGAAGTGCAGGGGCATATGGGTGTCGGCCGTGAAAGTGGGGTTTCCTTTAGAAAAACTCCTATACTATGGGGCATTGATATTTCCAGGAAGCCACATTCTCCGCAGAAGCTCTTGGTGAGGGGAGCTACTGGTAGTACAGTGGCATGGAGGAGGTGCAGTGAGAGTAAAAGGGGATAAGAGAACAGTAAAGAGAAAAATATGAAAAGGGAGGGCCATGGGGATCTATGATTCAGTTACTTTCCTCACAGTTGTCACTTGAAGAGCAGGCACAGATCCTCTAGAGGTTCACAGGAATAGCTAGTGTTGTCTCCTGGATTTTCGGGTTCTTTTGACAGTATCCAGAGTTTGACTCAAGTGTGATGTATCCAAGACTCCACTCCAGCCACTTTAACCATGGTTGAGGTACATAAAATGAAGGGTAGTGTCCTTCCCAGGATGTGTCTAGGGACAGGGAATTAGCAGGAAGGGACTTGACTAATACCATGTCACCAGGGTAGAATAGTTCCTTTCCCTCCTCTCAGGGACAGGCTCCTTGTAATGTTTTAAGAACTTGTTGATATTTGTCTAAGGAGGTGATGCCTGCAACTAAGTTGGCCATCTCTCAGTCGAGCACAAGTTATTGGTTAGGAAGGTCCATACAGCATCTCATATGGCTAAGTCCCACTTTTTGGGGAGAGTTTAGGATTCTTAGTAAGGCTATAGGCAACAGAGCAGGCCATGCAAGGTGGGTTTCTTGGGTTAGCTTTTTTAGATGTTGTTTGAGTGTTTCGTTCATTTTCTTGACTTTTCCTGAGGATTGTGGCCTCCAGGGGCAGTGTAAGTGATATTGTATGCCTAACACCTGGGATAGTCCCTGGGTTACTGCAGCCTTGAAAGCAGGGCCATTGTCACTCTGTAAGCCTCGGGGAAGTCCAAATCTAGGAATTATTTCATGAATTAGTGCCTTTATTACCTCTTGGGACTTTTCTGTCCTACAAGGGAAGGCGTCCGCCCAACCAGTGAAAGAATCTACCCAGACTAGTAGATACTGAAATCTCTGAGATTTGGGCATGTGGGTAAAACTTAGTTGCCAGTCTTCTCCTGGGTAATGGCCTGTTCTTTGTTCTCCTGAAGGAGCTTGGCGATAAGGCAGGGGATTGTTTCTTTGGCACATTTCACAGGCCCTGACTATCTGCTTGATAGTTTTGAAAAGGCCTGGTCCAGTAAATAATGATATGGCCATCTGATGGGTGCTATCAATGCCTAAGTGAAAGGTCTGGTGAAGGGTTTTAAGTAATTCACATTGGTTAGCTGCAGGCAAAAGTATTTTTCCTTCTTCAGTGGCTAGACATCCTGAGGGGAGGAAACTATGTCCTTGTGAGGTTCCCCCTTCTATTTCTTCTGCTGAGTACTGGGGCTTGGTTTCCTGGAGGGGATTACCCCATACTAGGGGTCCTTCTGTAAGCATTTCTAATGGAGGGTCCCACCTTGCAGCTCTTTTGGCTTCAATATCCACTTGGCAGTTCCCTTCTATTTCCCTTTCCTTTCCTTTCTGATGACCCCAGCAGTGAAAGACTGCCACCTCTTTAGGTTTCTGTACAGCCAATAATAATCTCCTAATGGCTTCCTGATGTTTGATAGGTGTTCCCTTGGAAGTTAGGAATTCCCTTTCTCTCCATATTACTGCGTGGGCATGGAGGACTAGGTAAGCATACTCAGAGTCTGTATATATGTTCACCCTTTTTTCTTCTCCTAATTCTAGTGTATAATGGCCCCTACTTTTGCTAGGATGTCTCTCCCTAACAAAGGAATGGGGCTTTCAGGCATAATTAGAAAGCCATGTGAAAAGAGTAAAGTTCCCCAGTCACAGCCTAGTGGCTGGGAGAAGTATCTAGTGACTGCCTGTCCTAGGACCCCTCGGACAGTGACAGAACTGGAGGACAGTTGTCCAGGACAGAAGAGTAAGACTGAGAAGGCTGTGCCAGTGTCCAGGGGACAGTTAACCTCCTGGCCTTCAATGATCAAGCATACCCGGGTCTCTATGAGAGTGATGTCATGGGCTGGCACTTGCCCCAGCCACCCTCAGTCGTCCTGCTGCTGGATCATCTGGTTAGTGGCTTCTGATTCAGAGGATCTTCATCCCCTGGGGCAGTGAGCCTTCCAGTGACTCCCTAGATATAAGGGGCATGGACAAGGGGGTGGCTTATTTCTATTCAGACATGGACAAGGGGATGGCTTATTTCTATTCAGACAATCTTATTTAAAGTGTAATTGTAAGCCTCACTGGAAGCAAGCCCCATTAAGCATTCAATTTGCCCAGCCTTTCCCTGTTCCAGAGCCTCCAAGGTCTGCTTGCCTGAGGGCCATGACTAAAGTGGTGGCCTTTTTCTTATCCTGTTTGTCCAGTTCTGCCTGCTCCTCCTGATCTCTATTATAAAAAACCGAGGTTGCCAAGTTCAATAGGGTTTCTTAGTTTTGCTCTGGGCCTAAGGCAGACTTTTGAAGTCTTTTCTAATGTCTGCAGCTGACTGAGTGATAAACTTATCCTTTAAGATTAGTTGGCCTTCAATAGAGTCAGGTGACAGAGAGGTATGCTTCCTCAGTGCCTCCGATAGTCTCTCCAGAAAGGCAGTAGGATTTTCTTCCTTTTCCTGTGTTATAGTGGACCTCATTGAATAATTCACAGGCCTCTTCCTAGTTTTCCTTAATCCTTCTAGCACGCAAGTTAGCAAATGTCTGTGGCAACATTCTCCATGTTCTTATTCTGCATCCCAATGAGGGTCTACACTGGGAACTGCCTGGTGGCCTGTGGGGAATTGTTCTCTTTCCTCTGTTGTCATCCTATCATTGACCTGACTGAGAAACCAGAGATTGCCAAACTCTTGCGCTGCAGTTATGGCAGCACTTCTCTCATTTGGGGTTAGTGTCTGATCTAGCAGTAACATTATATCTCTCCATGTGAGATCAAAGAATTGTCCTAACCCTTGTAAGACATCAATATAGCCATCAGGGTTATCTGAGAATTTACCTAGGTCTATTTTAATTTGCTTCAAGTCTGAGAGGGAAAAAAGTACATACACTCTGACTAGGCCAAATCATCCAGAATACATCTTAGGGGCATTTTTGCCTTGCGGGGAACATTTCTGAAAAAAGAACTTAGGGATGCCAGCACCCCTAGTCATTTTCCAATGAGCATTAGTCCTAGAGCATCCTCTATGGTCCTAATGCTTATTCCTTTCTGTTGGGAAGAGGCCCCCAAATCTGGCTATAAACTGGCCCCAAAACTGGCCATAAACAAAATCTCTGCAGTACTGTGACATGTTTATGATGGCCATGGTGCCCACACTGAAGGCTGTGGGTTTACCGGAATGAGGGTAAAGAACACCTGGCCCGCCCAGGGCAGAAAACCACGTAAGGTGTTCTTAAACCACAAACAATAGCATGAGCGATCTGTGCCTTAGGACATGTTCCTGCTGTAGATAACTAGCCAGAGCCCATCCCTTTATTTTGGCCCATCCCTTTGTTTCCCGTAAGGAATACTTTTAGTTATTCTATAAACTATAGAAACAATGCTTATCTCTGGCTGGCTGTCAATAAATATGTGGGTAAATCTCTGTTTGAGGCTCTCAGCTCTGAAGGCTGTGAGACCCCTGATTTCCCACTCCACACTCTATATTTCTGTGTGTGTGTCTTTAATTCCTCTAGTGCTGCTGGGTTAGGGTCTCCATGACCGAGCTGGTCTCAGCACCTTTCCAGGGTGCGTAACCACCCATGGACCTCTGCTTATTGGATTAGTTACGCTCACCAATGAGGCAGTCCTGCACCTGTTTTCCCACCTTTCTTGACCTTACAAAGAAAGGGGTCCAGGCTGCTGGATTCTAGTAGTCCTTTACCAGCGTGCCCAATATTGCCTTTGTGCTCAGGGGTGAGTCCTAGAGCTGGGCTGGGTTCCTGAGTATTTCATAACAATCCAGCTGCCCCATCAGATGCATTCCCATAAACAACTGTTCTTATGCAAATTCATTTCAGACAGGGTGTAGTAACCTTTTGAGTCAGGATTGAGATAGAGTTTTGATTCTGTAAGTACTTTAAGGCTTGGCTGAATGCAAACAGCTCGCATGGCTGAGCAGACCAGTTATAGGGCAATTATCCTAACTCTGCTTCCAGAAGAGTCTCCCTATAATTTACTGAATACCCATTGTGATTTTTTTCTCAATCAGCCAGGAGGAACCATCTATCGTCCTATCCTGAAGGGAGTTCCTCCTAGGTCTCATTGGACCTTTGTATGGTAATTAAAATTTAAATCCCCTGTTAGGAAACCTACTGGGTTAAGGGAATTTTCAGTGGTTAATGTTAAATCACCTTCTTCTAACAGAATAGCCCCATACTTTAAGATTTTTGAGTTAGTAAGCTACCTTTTTGCTTTTTTTGACTTAGGATAGCTCTGAACTGGTGAGGTGTGCTCACAATGAGGTTTCCTCTAAAGGTTATTTTTCTACTTTTAGCAAAGCAGTTGCTGCTACCAACTGAATGCATTTGGGCCATCCGCGGGTTACTGGGTTAAGGATTTTTGATAGGAACATTATAGGTTGTCAGTGGTCTCAGTGTTTTCAGGCTATGCCCTTGTTTGCACTGAAAATTAGGTGGTATTGCAATGTGTTATAGGGTCACGGAGAAGACCTTCAATTATCAATTATACGTTTTAAATTTACCCAGGCTTTTAAAGGAATAGGGTACACGGTTTTTTTCTTTACTACTTCTATTGTTCTCTTTCTTTCTGTCTTTGACTCCCTCTTTGTCTGTCTGCTTCTTTCCCCCTCTCTCTCTGCTTCTTCCCCCCCCACTCTGTCTCTCTCTCTCTCTCTCTCTCTCCTCTCTGTCTCTCTCTTCTCTGTCTTTGTAGATGGATTTTGGAAACACAGTGGAAGGATGTTTGCTTATTGCCCGCATTTGCCACTATAGGAATATGTGCCTCCCTGTCATTTACTCAATCTGTTTTCATTCTGATCTATTATGTTGTTGTAGACCCAGTTCCAGTTGTTAAAGTACTGGGTTATGAGTTCTAAGGCCCCAGCAAGGGTGGTGGGGAATGGGTCACACATAACTGCCCATGTCAAGAGCTGTATGCCTAAATTGGGAGGGACACCAGGGACAAGACTCCCTGGATTCATAGCCTAGATGCCTAAGGTTGCAGCATAGAACTTCCTTAGATCCCTTTGGAGATACAACTTGCTCTAATACTTGGGAGAGGAAGTGAAAGTCTGAAGCATTAGTACCTAGGAGGCAGGGATCGGAGGAAGTAGATTCAGAGGTAAGGAGAATTTTGGGGCTACGCTTTCAAGAAAGTCATGGTTGGGACCCAGGAGGTATGGGTCAGAAGGAGAGGTAGGGGCACACACATGGATGACTTTTGAGTAGAGACTTTTGACTGTGCCATGATCTTGACTGGCCAATGCCGGGAGTTCAGGACGACAGCTTTCTGCCTCTAGTCGACCCTTGGCTTCCCCAGGAAAATTGTGAAAGTGGAAGCTGGTTCCAGGCAGACCAATGCTCCCAACCCAGAAGGGTTGGGAGCTGTTAGCAAGCCTTTTCCCAGGAAGCCTCACACCTGAGTCTTTAGTCCAGCAGCCATGCTAATCATTTTTAACCGGCCGACAGGTGCCAGGTATTTTCCTCCAATTCTAAGGAAGGATAGGACAGAACAGCGAGCGAAAGTGGCCCAATATTATTCACTGCTTTAGAGAATCCCTGTACAGGCCACCAAATGTTACGGGTGGGTCTTTGTTCTTAGAACTCCCAAGATGGTGGCAGCCACTCCCAAGATGGTGGCAGCCACTCTCAAGATGGCAGCAAGCCTTTTGTTCTCTGACCTGGGATTCTTGGTCTCACAGATTCCAAGAGTGGAACCTTTGGCCATGTGGTGAGTGTTATAGCTCTATTAGAAGCCGTGGGTCATGGAAGAGAGTCATGGAACCCAGCGACTGGTGTTCAGCTCGATTAGGACAAACCTGGGCACTTAGCCACGCAGGAACAATGGTGAGCTCTAGCCCAAATGGGAGTGGCAATGGGCGCCTCACTGGATCAGAAATGCAGCAGACACCCTGCCTGATCCAGAGAGGTGGAAGTCAATGGAGGGTCTGCGACAGTGGCGTTCAGCAGTGGACGGTGAGCGAAAGCTCAGCTTGAGCCAGAACAAACATGGACCAGAAGAGTGTGCAGTTGCAAGATTTAATAGAGTGAAAACAGAGCTCCCATACAATGGGAGGGGACCCAAAGTGGGTTGCCACTCCCTGCTCGAATGCCTGGGTTTATACCCCGATCATTGTCCCTCCCACTGTGGTCTCAGGTGATATATGATTTGACTATTTCTTTACCTCCTGCTTTTAGCCTAATTTGTATTTTAGTGAGCCCTCTTTACTACCTGATTTGTTGGGTGTGAGCTGAGTTACAAGCCCAGTGTTTAAAGGTGGGTGCAATCACCTTCCCCAGCTAGGCTTAGGAATTCTTAGTCAGCCTAGGAAACCCAGCTAGTCCTGTCTCTCACCAGGAAAACTAATACAGACACTAATGGAGAAATAAAAACTAGAATAATGAGAATATTGCTATTTATAGGAAGAAAGCAAGGTTGTGAATTCTGCTTATCAGTAAATATAGAGGAACCATTATCTTTTTTTAGTCTTCACGATTATCCCAAGGTTGAAGCACTAGGGTATAGTTTTTTTCCAATCAAGACAGCCTTTAACTATACCCCAGGAGTCTGACATATAGGCTGCCTTTACCCCTGCTTTTCACTTGAGCTGTCAGCATCTCTTGGTTCATGGATAGCAGTACCATGGCTGTTCTCTGCTCACTGCTTCTCAGGACTTCTGAATGCTGTGTCCTAGTAGAAAGCAGATCCTGGGACTATATGCAAGCCATATTCAACTCACACTTAGGAAGGAATTGCTAATAAGAGCAATGCACCATTTTCTACCATGGAGTAGAACAAACAGAATTGAAAGGAGAGAATATTAGTGGTGCCTCAATTCCTATTTTACCTCTCACTATTAGACTTCAATGAGAGCAGAAGTAAAACTTCAATCATGAATTAAAGATTGACATTCTCCACATATCATCCCTGCCTCCAAAATGATTATCTCAGTTCCAGTTCAAGGATGTTATACAGTCTTTGCAATTTATGACTAGCCGTAGAGTTCATGAAATTACTTCAGATTATGTGAGTAGGCATTATGGGTTGTAACAATTAAGAAATCTAGCTTCAGTTTTTTTTTAAATCTGAAATTGGAGTTAAAAAGTAAAATTGGAGTAAAAACACTTCCCATCCATCTATCCTTCCAACTATCCTTCCATCCATCCATCCATCCATCCATCCATCCATCCTTCCTTCCCTGCTTCCATCCATTTATCCATGCCTCCCTCCCTCCATCTATCCATCCTTCCAACCACCCTTCTATCCATCCATCATTTCATCCATCTATCCCCAATCCCTCTATCCTTCTACCCATCCTTCCTTCCATTCATCCTTCCATCCATCCTTCCTTTCATCCATCCTTCCATCCGTCCTTCATGTTTCCATCCATCCATCTATGCCACCCTCCCTCCATCCATCCATTCATCCATCCATTGTTCCATCCATTCCATCTGTCCATTTATTCAACAGATATTATTGAGAATCCCTTCTCCCATAGAGCTTACATTCCAGTGGGTAGAAACAGGGTAAGCAAGCAAACAGTAAATATTTAAAATACATAACATATTGATAAATGCTAAGGAGAAGAAGAAAACACAGAAGGGCAAGAGGAAGTATCAGAGGAGATGGGTTAATTTTAAATAGGGTGATGAAGAAAGGCCTCCCTGAGAAGATGATAAATCAGCAAAGAAATTAAAAATACAAGTCAGAGAATTATTCTAATATCAGAGGGCAGAAGATCCCAGGCAATGAGAATAGCAAGGGCAAAAGCCCTGGGGCACAAGCACCTCTCTTGTGTAATTTTTTTAGTAACGTTCAAGGTCCTCGTGGTCTCCACCAACTCTCCCTTACTTATCTGGGGGTTGATATTTTTCAACCAACAAAAGTGCTGGAAGGCAACACTATAAGATTTTAAGGGTGCAAAACTTTCATGAAATTTCTGGGAAAATGCTGACAACAAATGAGGAAAAACAAATGAACTAGGTAGAGTTTTAAATTAAATGTAATCAAATTCCACTGCATTGTACATTCAGAATATGTATTTTCTAAAATTGAAAGGCTTGTTAAATGAGAATAGTTTCAAGTAAAAGTGTCTCTTCCATTTGGTTTTCCCAGTGGATGTATAAAATAACTAATTGAGCTAAATCTCTGCTATTTTCTAAATCCTTAATGCCTCTCTTGATTGTAAAAGTGCATTTCGTATTGTGGAAATTTTGAAAATTATGTAAAAGAATAACAAAAAAAACCTGTTGCCATACAATATAGAAAAAAACCCTGTTAATATTCATATCTTTCTAGATATATTTTCCTTTTATTTCTAAGTTTTGTTGGTTTGATAGTGAAAAAAACTTATTTTAATTTGCATTCTTATTACTAGTCAGTACAATTTTTCATGTCATGTACTGGTCAATTTTTATGTACCAACTTTCTTTTTGGCATCTTAGAATTTTCTTATTGATATGAATAAGCTCTTTTGATTATATGAAAATTGCCAAATGGTTTTGTTCAAGTTTGTTTATCTCCTATTAGTTTGTTTGTTTTTGTTTTTGTTTTGAGACGGAGTCCCACTCTGTCGCCCAGGCAGGAGTGCAATGGCACAATCCCGGCTCACTGCAACTTCTGCCTCCTGGGATAAAGCGATTTTCATGCCTCAGCCTCCTGAGGCATGTGCCACCACACCCAGCTAATTTTTGTATTTTTATTAGAGGCAGGGTTTCACCATGTTGGCCAGGCTGGTCTCAAACTCCTGACCTCAAGTGATCCACCCTCCTCGGCCTCCCAAAGTGCTGGGATTATAGATGTGAGCCACCACTGCTGGTTAATTTTTGCATATTTTTATGTTCAGAATTTACATGTCTATAGTCATGCACACGCATTAAAGCAAAAAAAAAAAAAGGTTATTTCCAACAATCTTCACTCTTCAGGGTCTTTCAAATTTTACTGAAAACTATTTTCTACAGAAGCCTCTCTCATCTGTACATTTTAAACTCTAATGTACAGTTAAATCTCACAATAATGCAATAAGTAGTTAAATCTCACAATAATGCAAATTTGTTAATTTAATATTTCATATAGCAACAGTCTCACTATGTTGCCCAGGCTGGTCTCGAATTCCTGGCCTCAAGCGATCCTCCTGCCTCGGCCTCCCAAAGTGCTGGGATTACAGGTGTGAACCACCAGGACTGGCTGGGTCCAAATTTGTAATCATGTAAAGTGCAGAGTTGTTGCAAGGTTGTTGAAATGACTGGAGCAGCCCTGGACAGTCAGGCATTAAGGGGTCTGGCTGGGAGATCCAAATCCCTTTAGGTCCCAGTTATAGTTTGGCATCATCTGCCCAGCATTTGCCAGATCTCACTTAAATACAAGAGGGCAAGTCTAGCCCTCTGAACTACCTGAGCCCGGCAGGATGGTCACAGTGATTCCAGAATCTCCATGCTAGTTGCAACCCATTTTTCCAGCCCTCTCTTAGACAATGAGTAGAGAGAATACTTGAAACACAAGAGCTTCACTCCTTGCCTCCCTACTTCCCAGGACAAGCTCCCTTCCTTTTCCACACTGACCTTACTTACCATCTTCCCCTCTGTGGTTATTCCCCTTCTTTTCTCTTCATAAGGCAAATTCCCTACATTATCATAAGAGTTATTTAACACACACCTGTAGTGTATATCTTAGATTCTCTCCCCTTAATGGCAGCTTTGGTTTAGTTGATGATGATGGTGGCTTTATTTCTGAACAATTGAGACAAAATTGTGAATAAATTTTAGGATGGATTCACTGTATTTCTTACAGTTGTGACATTGAGGACCCCAAGGCCTGCAAAGTTCTCATTACTTGAGATATAAATGCTGAAAATATAATCAGATAACTGGCTGTGTGAGGTGGCCCATGCTTGTGATTCCAGCACTTTGGAAGGCAGAGGTGGGAGGATCATTGAGACCAGGAGTTCGAGACCAGCCTGGACAACATAGCAACATTGCAAGATCCTGTCTCTACAAAAAATAATTAGCAGGACATAATTAGTAGTCCCAGATACTCAGGAGGCTGTGGCAGGGGGATCATTTGAGCACCAGTAATTAAAGTTTGCAGTGAACTACACTCATGCCACTGCACTCCACTCCAGCCTGGGAAACAGAGCAAGACTCCTTCTCTACAAAGATAAAAAACAGAATAACTAAGAAGCTGCTTTTTAAAACACAGAATTTCTCCACATTAACTTTTTAAATTTACCTCTGTTTGGTTAAATACAAGTGAAACAAAGCAAGAAAAAGCCACATAATAGAAACCCAACCATTTTATCCCCAAACCCAAGCTTTTTATGAAGCAAATCATAATCACAGTCACGTGAAGAAGAAAACTTTCACAAAGTGCTCACTAAAGAGATATCACTGGGCTCTGGGTTGAAATTGCTTCCTGTGTATCAATTGTACACATTTTATATACATTTTAAAAGCACCCAGTCTATGACATTGTGTATGGATGTGTACACATATACTAAAAATACAAAAATGTGGTTGGGAAGTATACCAGTGAAAGGTCCAGCCAGGAGAAAAGAAACTACACTAAGTTTTTTAAATATTGGATATTTGATTAAAATACTTGGTTATAATAGGTGATCAGTTACACGTGATGGAAGAGCTGGGCTATTGAAAGGAGATGAGGCAACTAGTTTAGCAGCAGCAGGAAGAGATCCCCTCTCCTAAGGAAGAAGGACAAAGAAAGAGGGCTGCTTCCTCATCCCAGAAGCTTTGTCTGGTAGGAGATAGAATCAAGGTGGAGGCTGCCTGGGAAAAAGCTGAGCCCACAGAGGAATGTGGCTTCTACTGGAGATGCCACTCAAGGTCAAGAGACAGGGAGAGAGGGAGAGAGAAATGCCTGGCTCTTCCCTTCTCCAGCCCTTCAAGCTCCTAACTGTACCTCTCACTGAGCAAACCCAGGGGAAGTCATAACATAGCAAGGAAGCTTGGGAATTAGATGTACCCCCCAGCCTCAACCAGAGGATGTGGGGACTCACCAATTTAGGATAGGCATTTGCCTCTTGAGAGGGAGTCAGGGGAATGGGGATGGGGAGAGGCACAAAGTGGTCCTCGACTACATTGGTAACCCCTAATTTCCTAATTTTTTTTAAAGGTTTGGAGCCAATATGGCAAAAGGTTAGCATTTCTTTTTTTTTCAGACAGTCACTCTCTGTCACCCAGGCTGGTGTGCAGTGGTGCAATCTTGGCTCACTGCAACCTCCACCTCCCAGGTTCAAGTGACCCTCCCACCTCAGCCTCCGGAGTAGCTGGGACTACAGCACAATACCCGGCTAGCAATTGTTAACATTTTAATGTTGGCGGCCAGATGCTCATTAGTTTATTTCCTGTATATTTCTATATAGTTGGAATATTTCATAAGAAGCAATTATTATAGGACAAACAGAAATGTTCCAGATTAATGGCAATAGTAAGTATCTTTATTGTTTTTCCACCCTACTTCCCAAGGAAATGCCGCACCTCTCTCAATGAACACTAGCATCTTTGTGGAGTTTGCAGGTTCTGCCATTGACTCTTTGGCACGATGGTGTATTGAAGGCAAGGTGGGAGAGCATGATAGGGAATGAGTGGAGACAGGCAAGGAGGAGAGGTGGCAGGAAAAGACTCAGGAGGAAGGGATGACCATCGATTGCTGTGAGCTGGATCCCAGAGCCTGCCTGCCTTTGAAACTTGGTTCAGTCACTTACTACCTGGGTGGCCTTGAGCAAGGTCCTCCTCCCTCCCTGCATCTCTATTTCCTCTTCCAGGAAATGTGAATAAGAAGATGTTAAAAGTACCTACCCCAAAGGGGTTATTTTGAGGATTCAGTGAATTCACCCACAGGAAAACACTTCAAATTGTGTTGGCGCATAGTACACTCTCAATACATGTTGGTTAAAGTCATTATTTTTTATTATTTATCTTTACATCCTCAGTGTTGGCAGAGTTTCTGGTGCTTAACAGACATTTGATCAGATCAGATAAGTGGAAAAAATTGTCATTTGCTTATTCAGGCCATGCTTTTCTGTGATATTCTTATCCTAGTTGAACATACAGAAATACATGTCTAAAACAGCACCTCCATTCTGGTCTACAACAGGACAAAGTTCACTGTGATCTCAGATAAGCTTGGCTAAAATAGTTCTTGAGTGGAGACAGTCACACTTCAGCGAAGAAAGAGAATCCCCTGTGTAATCTCACCAGGAGATTCAACCTCAATATTCTGCATCGAAGGGAAAGTCCTCCAAATGAGAGAATCTACAGAGAGAGAGAAAAAAAAAAAGAAACTGTGTTCCATCAAAGCAACAACTCTCGCTGAGAAGGTATTCTTCTCTGGTGGACTCTGTGGTATTTGTGGTCTCTCAGCCTCCTCCCTGCAAGAACACAAGAAGGGTGCTTACACCTTGACCTTCCTTCAAATCGATATGAGGGTTTTGCTAGGAAGGAGGGCAGACAGTGAGCAGGGCAGCAGAATAAACTCGTAATGACAACTCACGGTAAGCCTGGTGTCAGGCGAGGTGACAGACAAGTCTTGTCCCAATCCACTCTCACAACATCATGAGGTAGGAAACAACAGCAGAATTGACAGCTTGGGGATTGTTATGAGTATTAAATGAGATAATACCACCGGAAAAGGGCTCAGGACCCTGGCACATTCTAAGCTAAGGTTCAATGGATGTTAGCTGCGATTAGTATTATCATCCTACTTTATAGGTAAAGAAACCAACTTAGAAAAACTAAGAAATTTGCCCAATGTCACACAGCGAAGAAACCAGTGTTAGAGTTGGATTTGAGGCCAGGTGGATTTACTTCTGAGTCCACCAACCCATTGCCTACACCAGAAATGATGCTCATAGGAAAGTAAGTGTTTTAGTTTGGGGGAGAGTCACATCTTATGTTCACCCTTCCTTTTTACTCTAAATAGCTGCTACTTTGTTAAGCACGGATGAAACTAAGCCATTGTAAGATGAGGAAAGGCTGCTATGATACTGAGGGTGGGCAGGATAGATATGGAATATCATGACATGCAAGCAACGCTTGAGATACTGAAATCATTTTTAAAAGCTGAAAAATCATTTTTGGCTACACAAATATTTGAAGAAATTCAAATTGCCATTGAATTGCAGACCTCGCAGTAATAAATGCCAGACAATTCTATTTGATATATGTAATTAGACACATTAATCAGAAAGTATTGATTCTAAAGAGATGATGTAGAATTCCCGCCTAGCCAGAGTGAAAGACTTTTTTTCAACAACTTATCTGAGATTTAAAGTAAAGTTAGCACCACCTCCTTTAAGAGGCATTTGGAGATGATTTAATCCAGCCTCCCTGGCCTTCTTGCTTGAATGCTCTAAACACAATCCCACCTCAGGGACTTTGCACCTGCTGTTATCACTGCCAAGAATGCTCTTCCCCCAAATATACATATGGCATATCCCTCACAGCAAAGCTTCCCTTGACCCAACCCGTATAAAGGATCAGTCCCACTACCACCTACCACTTCCTGTCCACTTTGCCCTACTTTACTTTTCTGTCTAGCATTTGTTGCTGTCTGACATCAATATTTTGAGTTGATTTATTTCTGTTGTCTCTTCTTCCCTCCCTCCCTAAGCCTGTGGAGGCAGCAGCTTTGTACAGTATGATAACCCAAGCACCTAGAAAATGCCTGGCACACAGATGACCACTAGATATTGACTGAATGAATGAATAAATGAATGTTCTGCCTCCTGCCTATTGATAACACACCTTCTCTTACAATTCTAGCTCTACATCCAGAAGTTCAGACAATAAGCAGCAATTAGAGATGTGTCCCTTACAGTGATTCCCAGGTACCCAAATTTTAACTTTCAAAACTGCCCCAAAATAGTATTTGAAGACACAAGTAGTCCCAACAACCTTCTAATCCTTCCAACTAACCCTCTACCAGTTTAGAAAAACTCCTGGCAATTCTTCTAGTTAACTCCATGCCACTTACTCCTTGAAGTCAAAGGCCCTCCAGTTTCTGTTGAAGCTGAGTATGGTTGCCATCTCCTCATCACTCAATTTAAAGTCAAAGACCTAGAAAGGAAAGAATTCCAATACATTATCGGTAAGGCTGTTACTGCTGTGGCTGGAGACTGCCGGCCATTCTAGCAGGGAGGGAGCTCACATTCACAGCACAAACTGGCCATAGGAGTTTTTCCCATTCTGTCCAAGGGATACAAATTTTTCTCTAAATTAGGTCCTACACAAAGACCACAGTATTTGTAGTGCTCAGTGTTCTGGGGGGAGGGAGACCAGGCTCACAGGCACTAAACCCCAGGCGTGCACAGGCCCTGTGCTCCATGACAGGTGCTTCTAGAGGACACTTCTCCAAGGACAGTTCACACCTCCTCTGCTGCTGGGAGGTGAGCAGGTAGGCCAGGACAGTCTGCTCTTGTGTATGGCCTAGGGCCTAGCTGCTCAGGGGCAACTGAGGGTCTTCTCAGTGGTGTGAGGCACAACTGTGCTCAGACCTGATAGGGCTTTACCAGGCACTGCCCCCAGGATGTTCTTAGCCCATGGGTCATTCATCTCAGCTCTACCGAGCCTAGCTCCCTGGGCTGGAAAATGATAGGGTGGTGGGGAAGGAGGGGGCCAAAGACAGTGCAGGGATGAGGTGAGAAGCCTAGTGAGAAGGTCTGCCTGTCCCCCACTCCACTGAGGAATACCAGGCCCGACCAGCCGGAAACTTACCTGAATGTTCTCAACAATGTGTGCTGGTGTCATAGACTTGGGGATCACTGTCACATTCCTCTGGATATGGAAACGGATCAGAACCTGTGCAGAAAGGGGACATCATGTTTCCACTCAGCTACAAGGACCCCTCCTTTTATGGAAAGGAAGAATAAAACATCTCTGCAGCTCACTGTGGCTTCAGGTACAATCGCTAATAATTACTGAGCCCTTCACAGCTATTAGACTTGTGCCAGACCCCCACCTCTTTCTCTCCCTTCACCTTAGAGACAACCCTGTGATCTTCCTTTTTTAGGAATGAAGAAAGTAGCTTGGGGGTCATAAGGCTGATCAGAGGTAGAGTTGGCATCTGCACCCATATCCCTAGACTCCAAAGCCATGCTTTGCCACTGGGCTGTAGGGCTTGACAGGAAGCTGTGAGACAGAAGCTATCTTTGCTTCAGTGACAGCTCTTGTGTTTCCTAGAGGTTCCAACAGACTTCAAAGGAAATACTTTAGAGGGCTTCAGCTCCTGTGTTCTTCCCCTTTAAGGAGTCAGTTGAGGACAACACGAGAAATGAAACATGAGACTGGAAGCATGAGTGGTTGGATAACAAGAAAAATAAAAATATGGTACCTGGGCTGTGGTTTTTTTGTGCTTTGCAGCAATCTCCTTAATCTTGGGATCCTCCAGCAGGGAAGGGTCCTCAGGTTTGGCCCTAGGGGCAGAAAGATGCTGATGTGAATAATCACCATGGCTACCGTGTACAGAAGGACACCACTCCAATGAGGGTCTCAAGACTGATCATCAGAGCCTCTCCATCTGGGAGACAGGCAGGAGGACCTGGAAGCTTGGGTCCTTTCCCCGGGCTCTGAAGCCTCAGCATTTTGCAAGCCTGGTTCACCCTTGGGTGGCTGAACTGGAAATATTCCCAGAGGGTCAAGCATGTCGCCCTTGTTGTTGTTGTTGTTGTTTAATTCCCATTTTTTCCCACTGCCATCCCATTTGTGTGTACCAAACGTGTTACCTTACACACATTTTTCTTTCCAGTAACTTATGGACCCATACCGACATTTACCAATTATAAAATAATGTTTTTAAGATTATCAAGAGAAAGACCCACCACTTGGAAGCCTCACCAAGGTCTATCCGGAGAGCCCAGGGGGCTGTAGGCCGTAACGGTGATGCCCTTGGAGTGGCAGTACTGGATCAGTTTCTCCTGCGTGAGGTATGGGTGACACTCAACCTGCAACAGCAAACAATCCTCATCACGGGGAAAGCCGGCTCTGTTTTGCATTGTTCCTAGGGAGTTCTACACACAAAAAAAGTCCACCAAGCAAAGGCCAAACAAGTGCGCACTGAGATTCTTGCTAAATCACCCATGAGATCAGCCTCACACCTCCCCAAAGTGTCCTGATCACTGACCCCTGAGATAAGACTCAGGGCATAGCATTGAACATTCCCCCCGCAATGTTTAAGAAGTAATAGGGCAGGACCCTTACCCTTAAACTGAATAGAATTTACCTGGTTAGTCACTGGTTTATATTTCAGTCCAGGTTTGTTCAAGAGCCTCTCGATCTGGAAGTGGTTGAAATTTGAGACCCCAAGGGCTTTCACCAGCCCCTCGTCCACCAGCTCCTCCATGGCCTATCATAGAAAGGAATACCTTATGGGCAGCTCTAGAGGGACTACAGGGACCCTGGCTTGCCTTAGTCTTCCCTGGGGCAGAAATTGCTAAAGGATCCACCGCAACAGAGTTAGCTGAAGCATTCACAGGAAATTTCAGTCCAGGGCCTGGGTGCCCATCAGTGATTGGTTCCAGCCCTACTGCCCCTCCCCAGCCCAAGAAAATCTAAAACTAACAGGTAAAGATTTTATGTTCTTGCCACTCTCACCTTACACGTAAAGAAACACATAAAAAATTATAGTTCCATACACCATGGAAATATGAAAGTTTTATCATGAAAAAAATAAATAAAAATCAACATTTGTAAGCTTATGAGATGATTTAATTTTTAATGAATCCAAATGATAGCAGGGAGCTACTGTTGTGTGTGTACATTGTACACCCAAACCTGGGCAAGCTGTGTTAGTCAGGAAGAGGCTGCAGCATACGGAGAAGCCTCACCTGTGGGTCCTGAGTCACTGTCTCCCACACCAACCATGGCTTGGTTTGCAAGAAGGTCATGCATATAAATTACGCCCTAGCAGGGGCACCCGGCCACGGAGTTGTGTGGGGCTAAAACCTGACCCACTGTTTGCATATCCAGCCATGCTTCCTGGTACAGAAGCTGCATGGACATGCAAGGAAGGGAATCTTTGTATAATTTTTAGCCTTTATTGGGCATTTTCCAAACTTGCCCAAAGATATCATATATGTTAGCAGCAGCCTCCAATGCAACATGTATTTAGTAGCCATCTATTACATGTTCTAGATCCTGCCCAGAAGTTGTCAAGATGTAAAAGTATACAATGTGCTTCCTTCTTCTGGGATTCTTACAGTCCAATTAAAGTGCTAGAGTTCCCTTCTATGGAGCCATCAATCATGACACTGAGGCTGCCTCAGATAACATGACAGTGGCATAGACAGAGTCAGAAAGGCAGAGAAGGAAGAGATTCACACAGCCCGCAGTTGTCAGGGGAGTCCTTTCAGGTAGAGTATAAGCTGGGCCTCAAAAAACAAACAAACAAACAAACAAAAACCCCGAGAGAGAGAAAAGAGGGGAAAAACATGAGCATATGACACAGGAAGGCAGGAAGGCAGGAGCAAAGCTCAGAGGCAGGGATGAGCATGACATGTTCAGGGAACACTTTATGCAGCCCTTCTCAATTTTGGCTGCAATTTGGAATCACTAGTGAGCTTTGAAAGGTACTGGCTGGATGCAGTGGCTCATGACTAATCTCAGCACTTTGGGAGGCTGAGACAGGAGGATTGCTTAAGGCCAGATGTTTGAGTCCATCCTGGGCAACATAGCAAGACTCTGTCTCTACCAAAAAAAAAAATTTGTTTTAATTAGCTGGATGCGGTGACGTGTGCCTCTGATCCCAGCTACTTCAGAGGTTTACTTGAGCCCAGGAGTCCAAGGCTGCACTGAGCTATGATCATGCCATTGTACTCTACTCTGGGCAACAGAGCAAGACTCTCTCTAAATTAAAAAAGAAAAATGACTGATTCCTGGATTTCATCCCCCAGAGTTTCTTACTGATTTTGTCTGAGTTGTAGCCTAGACATTGGGATTTTTAAATTCCTCAGGTGATTCTAATGCCCAGCCAACGTTGAGAACCACTAGCATAGATTAAGTTATTCAAATTGGGAAGTAGAGTTTGGAAGCTATGAAATCATAAGTTTCCCAAAAACTTCTGATTCAGCAATTAGATAATTTAAAAGCTTTTGTGCATCATAGGTCAGGTTAGTTTTCCCGTATTAAAACTTGACTTCTTTATACTTTTTTCCTCCCCTCTGCTTCAGGGTAGTCAATGAGGTTTCTACTGAACTGGTTGTGGGTCTACATAAACATCCAATGCTTACGTATTCAAGCATGCTCGTTTCAAATCAGAGCCTCTGAACTTGATCAATGATATCTTTTCATGCCTTTCAAATGTTTTCTTTAGCAGTCATCCTCATGTTCATTAAGAAAACATAGCACTGTGAGAAGCAGGGTACATTGACATACTTGCCATACTTCATATCATCATAGGAGCTAAGGCAAAAACACAGATCAAATGTAATGCAAACAGCCTGGTGCTATAGCTCACGCCTGTAATCTGAACACTTTGGGAGGCTGAGACGGGTGGATCCCTTGAGGTCAGGAGTTTGAGACCAGCCTGGCCAACATGGTGAAACCTCATCTCTACTAAAAATATAAAAATTATCCATGTGTGGTGGCATGCACATGTAGTCCCAGCTACTTGGAAGGCCAAGGCAGGAGAATGGTTTTTACTTGGTAGAGGGAGGTTGTAGTGAGCCAAGATGGTGTCACTGCACCCTAGCTTGTGTGACAGAGTGAGAATCTGTATCAAAAAAAGAATGCTGTGCTTGTGGATTAATGCTTTTGAACAAACAATACACAGAAAAAACTACATTTAATTGAATCATGTCAATTCTAAGCATTTCAGAAAGGTGAGGCTTAATATATTTTCCCGTGTAAAACACAATACAAACTCGCAACTACATGCACCCCTACACAGACAGCTGCCAAGATAACATGATTAACTCTTGGAGTTATATGCCACTGTTCATTTATATCTTATTTCTCCAATTCGTTCTCTATTAGCATTTGCAAAAGGACATAATGGTATAATAAAAAATGGCCAGAGAAAACATTCATCCCTTAATTCATTTTCAATATGAAATGATGTGAAACAGGTCATGGGTTTGATCTGAGAAGCAGGGCACTCAGGCTCCCTGATTTTCTTTTTTCTTTTTTTTTTTTTTCTTCAAGATGGTGTCTTGCACTGACGCCTGGGCTGGAGTGCAATGGTGCAATCTTGGCTCAATGCAACCTCCACCTCCCAAGTTCACACAATTCTCCTGCCTCAGCCTTCCAAGTAGCTCACATTCCAGGCACACACCACCACACCTGGCTAATTTTTTGTATTTTTAGTAGAGACAGCGTTTTACTCTGCTAGCCAGACTGGTCTCAAACTTCTGACCTCATGATCCTTCCACCTCGGCTTCCCAAAGTGCTGGGATTACAAAGTTCCCTGATTTCCGGATGTGTGTTCACTGCTTACCAAGCACCATGCTGATGGTTTTGGTGGTTGGACTTGCAATTCAGATGAGTCTGGGTCTAATCCCAGCTCTGCCACACACATTGTGACATGACCTGGGCAAGTCACCAACCAATCTAGGTTTCAAATGTCATTATTTATAAATGGGGATGTTAACCCTGTCTCCTAGGGTTAGATGATTACATGGGCTTTATGACTGATGTTCCCGGCACGTAAACCATCTTAAGTTTTATCACACCCCGAAAGATATATATTAGTAGTATGTATTATAAGACCTTTTTTCTTTAAAGAGAAAACTGAGCCCTACAAGAGTTACAAAACTGACCCTAGGTTACTCAGCTGCTATGAGCAAACCCAGGCCCAAACCCTCTGTTCCAAATGCCTCACCCTGGTTTGAGAACAGCATGTGTATTCCCCAAAGTGGGGTACATTGTATTTCCAGTCTTATTTGAAGACTCAGTAGTAGGCTTGAAATATAAATAGTATCAGATGCACCCAAAAGCCAAAGGTGATGAGGAGGATATTAGAAGAGCTAGAGAATCACAATGATGAAATTAGAAAGCATCAGGCACATGGCCTCTTTCATATCAATGGGAATCTCATGGATAACTGAGGATTTCTCTCCCAGCACACTTAGACAAAGCTGGAACCTACCTCCCAGGCATCCAAGAACGTTCCTTTTCCACTGATCATATTACCTTTATCATCTTTGGGGAAAAAGTCATCCCCAGTCTGTAAATACAGAATGAAAAGTTTACTGGAATCTGCATCAGGACACTTGGTTCTGTTCAACAAGGTTTCAGGATCCTGATGCTTGCTAAATACCACATCTGCATACCACTTTTTCAAGCTCTGGAGTACATACTACAAGAATGTGAGTTTAAATAAAATCTCTATATCTACTGTAGCATATTAATCCCTATATTTTTAGAAACTACTGGATTGACTTTAAGATCCTCTGTTAGTACATTCCAGAAGCCACCATTATCACCATGGACATTAACCTCACACACCTACATCCTATACACACCCAAGGGCAAACTTTCATTTCAGTATCACTGGATAAAGATTAGATCTCCAGGGTGTGGTTTTCTGGAGAAGATATTGGCCAACTTCTATCCTTGCAGCCTCTAGAAGAGGCGTGGAATTCGGGATGGCAGGCCATCATCACTCCAGCTGGTCAGGAGGGGAGAGAGCTGGAAATTTGTCTCCCCCACCCCTCAGGAGCAGGTAAGAGCAGAGCCCCAGGCAATGGGTGCTGGGATCACTACTGGCTTCCTTCCAGCATCACCATACTTGGACTTTTCTCCAAGATGCCACTGCCAGGTGTGCTTTGCTTAATAAAATAATTAAGCCCTGGAATACAGTTATGGAAGAATAACCCAAGAGGTTTCCTGGGAGGGCAACCCCAGGGCATGGAATCTAGACAAAGGTGATATGGCAGTTACAACTTGTCTGGGCTGCCAGAAATCATGTCTTCTCTCAGACATAACTGCAAGATAACCCAGGCATGTGAGCACCTCAGCAGCGCACATGGCCTTAGCCTCCCTTCCAGCCAGCATCTTTCTGCTCCAAGGTCTCTTCCTGACCACCTGCCATTCCCAATTATGAAGTGCAAGCTCTCCTGCTCCAGTCCACACCACTCTGCAGCCCTGGTGCAGCTACTACTTTCTGGCACCTGCTCAGTATTGGGTGAATCCGCCCCTGATAATTCATCGTTATTTCATGTAGGTTCTTTTCTATTTCCCTAAGTGTTGGCTGGTCTGAGAAATAAAGGGAAAGATTACAAAGAGAGAAATTTTTAAAGCTGGGTGTCCGGGGGAGACATCACGTTTCGGCAGGTTCCATGATGCCCTCAAGCTACAAAACCAGCAAGTTTTTATTAGTGATTTTCAAAAGGGGAGGGAGTATACAAATAGGGTGTGGATCACAGAGATGACCTACTTCACAAGGTAATAAAATATCACAAGGCAAATGGAGGCAGGGCAAGATCACAGGACCGGGGCAAAATTAAAATTGCTAATGAAGTTTCGGGCATGCATTGTCATTGATAACGTCTTATCAGGAGACAGGGTTTGAGAGCACACAATCGGTCTGACCAAAATTTATTAGGTGGGAATTTCCTCGTCCTAATAAGCCTGGGAGCACAACAGGAGTCCGGGGCTTATTTCATCCCTTATCTACAACTGTAAAAGACAGCCGTCCCCAGAGCAGCCATTTTAGAGGCCTACCCCTAGGAGCGCATTCTCTTTCTCAGGGTTGTTCCTTGCTGAGAAAAAGAATTCAGCAATATTTCTCCTATTTTCTTTTGAAAGAAGAGAAATATGGCTCTGTGCTGCCCGGCCCACAGGCAGCCAGACTTTAAGGTTATCTCCCTTGTTCCCTGAACATCGCTGTTATCCTGTTCTTAAGGTGCCCATATTTGATATTGTTCAAACACACATGCTCTACAAACAATTTGTGCAGTTAATGCAATCATCACAGGGTCCTGAGGCGACATTCATCCTCAGCTTACGAAGATGATGGGATTAAGAGATTTAAGTAAAGACAGGCATAGGAAATCACAAAAGTACTGATTGGGGAAGTGATAAATGTTCATGAAATCTTCACAATTTATGTTCAGAGATTGCAGTAAAGACAGGCGTAAGAAATTATAAAAACATTAATGTGGGGAATTAAGAAATGTCCATGAAATCTTCACAATTTATGTTCTTCTGCCATGGCTTCAGCCAGTCTCTCTGTTGGGGGTCCCTGAATTCCTGCAACAGCTCAGAAACTAGAGGCTGAGAAAGGGAGTCACTCAAACCTTGAATCCCTGTGGCCAGTGAATAAGATAGACGTCCAGATAGCTCAGCTTCAGGTCCTTGAGGGTCTTCTCAAAGGCTTTCCTCACAAGGGGTCTCTCAAAGAAAGTGGGCCACACCTGCAAAGAGTGTAGCAATGAGCTAGTAATACTGGGAAAAGGAAGGGCCACATTATACTCATTGTCCCTGCTTTTTGATTTGCATCCTCATCTAACCTGGCTCAGGCCATCTATAACAAAGCTGATTAAGATCCACGATGCAGTGTGGAAGATCGCCAGGGCTCAGCACCTCAATGACATGTCTTAAGTTTTAAAAGCAGTTGACTTTTTCAACTCTCCTAGTACTCTATAAGTGTCTCAGATCATTTAAGTAAATGTGGCCACAGATTTGAAATTTGTTTACCTGTCTCAGTCTCTTCCTCAGCTGTGGGCTCTCTGAGAGCAGGAATTGCGTGTAGCTTTTAAATGTCAAGCATTCTTAGGCCTTTGGGAATAGATGGCCCTTTATCTGACCCATCTGATAGGTCCCTTATCAAGCCTATCAGGACCCAAGTGATAACTTTAAAAGGGCTTTATCCAGACTTGGCTGCTACACAGTGGGGTCTATTTGTCCCACCAGATGTAAGCATTTTCCAAGTACACAGAACTAGTGTTTTGTTTTTTTTTTCAGCAACTTGCATATAATATAGATCCAGTGATTCTCAACACCCTCACACCCAACATCCTTTTCTTTTTTTATAACATTGTATACCTCAACTTTTACTAGACTGAATAAAGAAAATCACATGTGATAATAGAAAAGTGCTCCTACTGTTTTCCAAAATACCCCCTGGCTGAGAACCTCAGGGGCACAGTCGCTGAGACCACAGTGCTGAGAGGGAGGCTTCATATCAAGCCCTGCCTGCACCCTTGGCCTGTGACTGCCTCTGGGCAGATGGTAGATCCCTCTGATGGGGAACAGGGAGGCCCAGAGGGAGCCAAGCCCACTATGGGAAATCCAACCCGCAGGCAGGTGGGGCAGCCACGACATGTTCAAATATCAATAACGGCTTGGAGTATGGATAGTATTGTATCCACGGATGTTATCAAGGCAGAGATGAAAACGGGTACACGTAGAAAAGGCCGACAGAGTTCTTGCTGCCCACCCGATCCAGATACTTCTGCCTGCCTTGAAGTGAAGGCCTCCCACCAAATGCGCCATGTGCACCTTGCTGACGATGAACAGGTCCTCCCGCATCACAGCCTTCTCTTGGATCTTCTCTTGGATGGCTTCTCCCACCTCATGTTGATTCTCATAGAAATAGGCACAGTCAATGTGGCGATATTCTGCATCAATGGCCACCTTCACCGCTTCTTTCACTTTGCCGAGAAGAGACTGAAAAGCAAAAGAAAAGCCCATCACACATGTATTTTTTTTTTAAGAGATGAGACCTTGCCATGTTGCCCAGGCTGGCCTCACACTCCCAGGTTCAAACAATCCTCCCAACTCCTGAGTAGCTGGAATTACACCACACTCAGCAACCACCATATTCTCTTATCCCCAGACCACCTTCACCTGCCCCACACGGTCCAGTTTCTCCAAACCAAGGCTTCGCTGGGGTCTTCTTTGCCAGGGAATATCTGGGAGGATACACAGTTTAGAAAAGTTTTCAAAAGAAAGGAAGGAAAGTGAATTAATTTTATGATTATGCCCTTTTGTCCTATCCTAGCTAAAAGTCAGTTCCCTTTTCATCCAGGTTAGTCCTGAAATGTCTTCAGGTGTGTGGTGGTGCAGATGGCTCCACTACAACTTTCTGAAGACCCAGATGAAAGCTTGACTCTAAATAACCCAGAGGGATTTTCAGACAATTTCCCCAAACGGTGATAAGGATCTGGATAATGGTCATTACAGCATCAATCCAGATTCCAACACTTACTGGGTGTGTGGGTCTAAGCAGGTGATTCAATCTCTCTAAACCTTGTCGGCAAAATGGAAAAAAAAATAGCACCAGCCACAAGAGGCCTTTGTGGTGATGACATGCTGTAATGAATGTTAAGTTAACCACATTACCTGACACACAGGCTCAGTACAGGCCGTCCATTATACAATGATCATTTTGGAAAAAAAGGAGAAATAGAGAAGCTTATAGGAATAGAGTTTGTTTTCCATTCCTATAAAAAGAAAGAGCGAGGTAGGGAGAACGAGAGAGAGGGAGAGAAAGAAGGGAAGGAAAGAAAAGAAAAAAAGGAAATACAATTATCACACTTTGTTCTAACCTAGCCAAGCCAATGATGGGGGCAAAAAGCACTTAAAACTTGATCTCTCACAAAATAGTCTTTTAAACCTCTTCTATTGTGAGGTAACAAACATTGAAAAGTACACAAAACAGAGATGCACAACTACCCTACCACCTGGGCAAGAAACGGGCTGCCACCTGGCATCTAGAAGCAGCCCTGTGACCCCAACCGCTATACTACACCCTTCTTCACCTCCACTGCTAAGTTCATAATCCTTTAATCTATCATCCCCACGTGTTGAAGGCAGCTCCCTTCATAATTCTTACATTCAATTCCAAAATTCTGAAACTGTCTAGTAAACTTATGAAGGGTGAGCAGATTCCCTGGAGATCTGGAAGTGATTATTTGTTCCATTTATATAGGATTAAAGCTCTGATTTGGGGCAAATCTTGCTATTCAAGCAAGAGTCAGTATGTATGAATCGAGCTGGAAGTGATCTGTTCGCCCAGATAGACCAAGACTTTATCCTGAGAATGACCCAGTGCTGCAGCAGAGGGTCCTACCCTCCAGCTCGGCACAGGAGAGGGAAAAAAGTCAGTGTGCACAGAAGGAAAGAGAGCCAGAGGCAGAAGTCTGAGCAGGGAAATTAGCCATGAGGGACAGGAGAGAAGAGGAACTCCAAAGACTGCTTCTCATCACTAGTTAGGGTAGTGCTATCATGGATGGAAATGGCAAAGAAGGCAGAGGGAGGCAGTGATGGAACAACTTCAAACTTAGCCTAACAGAGGCCCAGGAACCTGCCTCACTGAGTCCTCAATGTGCCTTAGCGTGTTTTGCCAGCTGTCATAAAAACAGCCGGGTGGAGCTCACGACTCCCAGCCCAGGCTCTCTGCAGTCCCAGCATGTTGCAGATTTCAATGTGTACAGGAACCACCTAGGGAACTTGTTAAAGTGCAGATGCCCGTTAGGTAGCCTGGGTGAAGCCTGAGACTCTGCATTTTTTCTCTTTCTTTCTTTCTCTTACACGGGATCTCACTCTGTTGCCCAGACTGGAGTGCAGTGGCACAATCACTGCTCACTGCAGCCTTGACCTCTCAGGCTCAACACTCAATCTCCACCTCAGCCTCCCAAGTGGCTGGGACTACAGCTGCATGCCACCATGCACAGCTAATTTATTGATTATTTGTAGAAATTGGGTCTTGCTATGTTGCCCAGTCTGGTCTCCAACTCCTGGGCTTAAGCAGTCCTCTCGTCTGGATCTCCCAAAGTGCTGGGATTACAGGCATGAGCCACCACACCCAGCCAGTTCTGCATGTCTAACAAGCTCCCAGGTCATAGGGATGCTGCTAGCCCAAGTCCCACATGGTGATCTGCAAAGTGGTGCCAGGGACTTCTGGCTCTGCATCCTCTCCACAACCACCCAGCCCACAACAAACCCACAGCCAAGACTCTGGGGAAACCTTGTGCCCAATTAAGTGTCCTAGAGCCAGAGAGAGAAACTGCCCTGGAAAACAATTTTAAGTCCAACTCTGCTTGAAATTTGATACTTGCTAGAGGAGTTCTCATCACTGCTGGGAAAGCCAGTCTTGCAGCATTGCAGCTTGAATCAGCTTTGAGAAAAGAAAGCAACCCGAGTCCCAGCTCCAGGACTGAAATTCACCTCTCCAAACCCCTACCCGACCTCCAGGCTTTTCTGGCTGAATGTAGAAAGAGAAAACACCCAAACAGCCCTCCAGAGAAGAAAGTTGTGCAAAGATTTGCATATTTACCCTCCAAGTGCCCAGGCCCACAATGGGCATCTTGGCTTTTGTACTGAGCTCCACAAACGTGGCCATGGTTGGTGCGGAAATGATTCTGAGTGAGCAGGTAGAAGTCTCACGTCCTGCTGTGTCCAGAGTTGGTTCCTTCCAGAGGGTTCGTGGTCTCGCTGGCTTCAAGAATGAAGCCGTGGACCTTCACAGTGTGTGTTACAGCTGTTAAAGATGTTGTGTCTGGAGTTTGTTCCTTCAGATGTGTCTGGAGTTTCTCCCTTCTGGTGGGTTTGTGGTGTCGCTGACTTCAAGAATGAAGCCGCAGACTGTCGTGGTGATCGTTGTAGCTCTTAAAGGTGGTGTGGACCCAAAGAGTGAGCAGCAGCAAGATTTTTCGTCAAGAGGGTAAGAACAAAGTTTCCACGGTGTGGAAGGGTATCTGAGCGGTTCCCTGCTGCTGCTGACTGGGGTGGCCAGCTTTTATTCCATTATTTGCCCACATCCTGCAGATTGTTCCATTTTACAGAGTGCTGATTGGTGCATTTACAACCCTTTAGCTAGTTACAGAGTGCTGATTGCTGCGTTTTTACAGAGTGCTGATTGGTGCATTTACAATCCTTTAGCTAGACACAGAGCACTGATTGGTGCATTTACAATCCTCTAGCTAGACAGAAAAGTTCTCCAAGTCCCCACTTGACCCAGGAAGTCCAGCTGGCTTCACCTCTCAATCCCCCATCTAAACAGGACACCACAACTGCTGTTGGGAATTGGGTGATGACCTCTCTAGCCACTTACTGCTGGATAGGGGCGAAGAAGGGGCCCTGCACTTGTAGTGTCCTTCAGAAGGGAACTCTTTAGGCCAGTCAAAGGGCCAACGGGTTGGTCCAGGGGTCCTTGGTGGAAGTTGTTAGTTGAGTTCACTTGGGGTTCCATTTGTAAGACCATCTGTAGCTTGATGGCCTCGATCCTAGAGGAAACAAATTTGACAAGGAGGTTAAAAATACAGGGCCCAAAGGTGAGTAATAGCAAGATGGCTTTCATGGGACCTAGAAAGGGGAGAAGCCATGTCGCCCAACTCCAGAGGTTGGTGTAAGAATTAGAAAGGCATTGCCTGATTTCAGAAGCCTTTTCCTGTAAACGCCGGGCAGCATCTCGTATTATCCCTGACTGGTTAGTGTAAAAACAATACTCTTCCCCTAAAAAGATGCAGAGCCCTCCTTTCTCAGCAGTGAGGAGGCCTAGGCCTCAGTGGTTTTGGAGAGTCACTGCTGTCAAAGAGTCTATTTAGAACTGTAGAGTAAGGATAGATTTTGTTATTTCTTGCAAACTGTCTGAGAAATCCTTTGAGAGTGTGTGATAGTAGGATAATGAAGTAGATAAACTGGCTATTCCGGTTCCCATAGCAGTAGCCATTCCTAACCCTATAAGCAGGGGTATTAGCTGTATGGCTCTGTGCTGACGGACTTGAGTTTTGAGGGGCACTGATAGGGTCTGATTTCCTGGGGCAATGTTAATGTTGGGACATAGGAAGACTAAGGTTGCAGGTGCCTGTCCAGTTGGTCGGGAGGCAGATATAGGTTGACATTCCACAGAAGAAGAATCTGCCTTGGCTAGGTAGTCAGAACTGGTTGTGTATGTTAAAAAGGTGTGTGAGTTTGTCGTTTTCATTTTCCCATACTCCTAGAGTACTTGCCAAGGTAGCTGTGGTAAGCGGCTAGAAACGGGTGTTGGGAGCAAACTGAGTGGCTGTTTTCTGTTTTCCCATTGGAGAAAAAACTGTTTTGTATCTACTAGGAACCATTTGTGAAGTGACTGAAAGATGGGATGAGATGGGATGAAAGATTGGTACATTTTTACAGAGTGCTGATTGGTGCATTAACAATCCTTTAGCCAGACACAGAGCACTGATTGGTGACTTTACAATCTGCTAGCTAAAGAGAAAAGTTCTCCAAGTCTCCACTCAACCCAGGAAGTCCAGGTGGCTTCACCTCTCACTGCTTTTTGTTTGTTTGTTTTTGAGACGGAGTCTTGCTCTGATGCCCAGGCTGGAGTGCAGTGGTGTGATCTTGGCTCACTGCAACCTCTGTCTCCCAGGTTCAAGCAATTCTCCTGCCTCAGCATCCTGAATAGCTGCGATTACAGGCACCCACCATCACTCCCATCTAACTTTTGTATTTTTAGTAGAGACAGACTGGTTTCAAACTCCTGACCTCAGGTGATCCACCCACCTCGGCCTGCCAAAGTGCTGGGATTACAGGCATGAGCTGTGCCTGGCCACATCCTGCTTTAGAAGGCTTGTGCTAGCTGCAGTGGGAAGAGCTGGAGCCTGGCCACAGTAGCTTCCCTGCCCTGTCCAAACAGAAAATCCATTCCAGGCTTTTGTGAGATTGAGGATTCTGTGAATGAATTATTAAACATGACAACCTTTTGCAAAGTTCTCTTGGGTAACAGTATCATTGGAGTTTCTGTTTGTTCACGATGAGTCAACAAATTCAACACAGCCCAAAGTTGGAAAGTAGGGAGGGAGAGAGAAAGGAAGGAAAGAAGAGTTGGGGGAGGGAGGGAAGGAATGAGGGAAGAGTAAGGAATAGAGAAAACAGACAGAAAAAGACAGAAAGAGAGTAAAGGAAGGAAGGGAGCAAGGAAGGAAGGAAAGAAGGAAGGAAGAAAGAAGGAAAGAAAGAAAGAAAGAAAGAAAGAAAGAAAGAAAGAAAGAAAGAAAGAAAGAAAGAGAAAGGAAGGAAGGAAGAAAGGAAGGAAGGAAAGAAAGAAAAGAAAAGATTAAGAAAGAAGCCTGGCCAACATGGTGATACTCCCTCTCTACTAAAAATACAGAAATTAGGTAGGTGTGGTGGTGAGAGGTGTAGCCAGCTGGACTTCTGGGTTGGGTGGGGACTCGGAGAAATTTTCTATCTTACAAGAGGATTGTAAGATGCACCAATCAGCACTCTGTAGCTAGGATTGTAAAATGCACCAATCAGTGCTCTGTGGCTAGCTAGAGGTTTGTAAAATGGACTAATCAGCACTCTGTAAAATGGACCAATCAGTGCTCCGTATAATGGACCAATCAGCGCTCTGTAAAATGGACCAATCAGCACTCTGTAAAATAGACCAATCAGCACTCTGTAAAATGGACCAATCAGCACTCTGTAAAATGGACCAATCAACAGGAAGTGGGTAGGGACAAATAAGGGAATTAAAGCTGGTCACCCCAGCCCCCAGCAGCAACGCTTAGGCAACCCGCTTAGGTACCCTTACAGGATGTGGAAGCATTGTTCTTCCGCTGTTCAAAATAAATCTTCCTGCTGCTCACTCTTTGGGTCTGTGCCATCTTTAAGAACTGTAACACTCACTGTGAAGGTCCGCTGCTCCAGTCTTGAAGTCAGCCAGACCACAAAACCACTGGAAGGAATCAACTCCAGACACAGTGGCACATGTCTGTAATCCCAGCTACTTGGGAGGCTGAGACAGGAGAATTGCTTGAACCTAGGAGGTGGAAGTTGCAGTGAGCCGAGATTGTGCCACTGCACTCCAGCCTGGGCGACACAGTGAGACCCTGTGTAAAAGAAAGAGAGAAAGCAAAGCAAAGAAGGAAGAAAAAACAAAGGCTTTCTTTCCCTGTGATGGTTTCCCTGTGAAATGGAGTCTAGGGAGGAGAGGTGAGAAGCAGCGTTTCAATTTTAAAAGTTACAATTGCAGGTTCAGTGCAGAGATGGTCAAATCCCGACCTGATTGGAGTCAGCTGTAACTAGTTGGTAGTCAGCAGTCTAGGGAACATGATATAGGCCTGTGCCATGCTGTGACATGCCATGACAGGCCAGGGCCACGTCACAGCATCTGTTTCAGCCTGCCGGTAGTGGGTTTTTCTGTCTTTTACATGTTCTTGTTGATGAGTTGGCTTTGGTTGAATCTTGAAATGGAATTGAATCTCTAGGCTGTGGCTTACGACAGCTCATAGAAGGCAATTGGCATGATATTTTGCACCTATGAGTGAAAAATGTTAACACTTCATTGATGTTTGTTAAATTATCTACTTCAACATTAATAATACATGCATGGTCCGGGCATGGTGTCTCACACCTGTAATCCCAGCATTTTGGGAGGCCAAGGCAGGTGGATCACTTGAGCTCAAGTGTTTGAAACTAGCCTGGCCAACATGGTGAAACCCTGTGTCTGCTAAAAATCCTAAAATTAGCCACATAGGTGGCTCGTATCTGTAGTCCCAGCTGCTTGGGAGGCCTGAGAATCACTTGAACCTAGGAGGTGGAGATTGCAGTGAGCCAAGATTATGCCACTGGAATCCAGCCTGGGTGACAGATAGAGACTCCATCTCAAAAATAAATAAATAAATACATGCATGCCTCATAATCTGGTGGTCACAAAGTCTCCTGGATCTGCACATGGGGCACCTTATTTTCCCAGTGTATACTGGATGATATGCAGTGCTAGTATTGTTGAAATAGTAAATCCTTTGTGACTATAAACCTAAATAACAGAGAGAGGTCCCTAAAAGAAAAATATTTCTCTGGGAATAGACCACTGCAATGGGAGTATGCATGCCACAGTAAACTATGTGTATATTTGGGAAAATAAAGGAAAACAAAAATTTTTTAAGGAAAAAATGAGGATTATCTAATTTCTTTGAATTAATTAGCCTTGGCTCCAAAGATCAATCACGAAAGTGGTGTTAGTCTGAGGTTGGACAGGCAGTTGTTCAGAGGTCCTTGCAGAGTATGTTTTCTGTTCAGTTGGAATGGCCTTTGCTCAAGGTTGTGGTGTTCGCCGTCTTTCGTGGTACTTTTGGTTTTCAGGTGTACAACCATTAGAACCCTCTTTTCATGGTCTTCCCAGCTGTATTTGTCAGAGTCTTTTGTTTGTTTTTTAACATTAGTGACTCCATTTTGATTCTGACCATTTTCATGTGATGCACAGAATAAAGAAATGTGTATTATTCATAAAAATATTCCTTCTAGAACCACTTAGCTATGAATCAGTGAGGAGGGATATCTTTTTTAGATAATTGAGATTAAGAAGGTATATCTATTAGCTGTTTTCGTGTAACAACCCAACTGGTTATTACAGCAACCATTTATTTGCTCGTGATTTTGTGGGTTGGCAATTTGGGCAGGAATCAGCTGATAAGCCGATCTCAGAACCACGTGGTATCAGCTGGGTTTCCTCACCTCTGTGGGCCTCACTGGGTGGACTGGGTTGTCAGGGAAGACAGGGACCCTCTTTATGTGTTTTCCGTTTTCCATGAGGCTAACTTGGGCTTGTTCATAGGTAGCAGCATTGTAGGAGGCCTACCCTTGGAATGTGTGCAGTGTCACTTCTGTCACCTTCTATTGATCAAAGCAAGTCTCAAGGCCAGGACGGGGCCAAGGAGTAGGGAAATAGATTTCACCTCTTGAGGGGATTTGTTACAAGGAATTTTCGCTAATAGTTTTTTTTTTTTCTTAGGTGGAGTCTCGCTCTGTCACCCAGGCTGGAGTGCAGTTGCCCAATCTCAGCTCACTACAACCTCTGCCTCCCGGGTTCAAGCAATTCTCCTGCCTCAGCCTCCCAAGTAGCTAGGACTACAGGTGCACACCACCACACCCAGCTAATTATTGTGTTTTTGTTAGAGACGAGGTTACACCATGGTGGCCAGGATGGTCTCAATCTCCTGACCTTGGGATCTGCCTGCCTTGGCCTCCCAAAGTGCTGGGATTACAGGCGTGAGCCACTGCACCTGGCATAATTTTGGCTACTCTTAATCAACCCCAGAAGGTTTAATAAGAACTTTGATTAGCTACTTTCTAGCTTCATGAATTTACCAAGCTATTCCTGGTTTTGCACCTTTAAGAAACTCATTTTTTAAATCTGATGAATATATGTCCATAAGAAGCTTTACTTGGTTAAAATTAAATACATACAAAATTGACAGAAAAATTATTTTGTCAAAGAAAAATGAACGAAGAGTAGTGTCATTTTTCATTGTCACATTCATTTCTCTAAGAAATGGATCTGTCCTTCAACATCTCCTCCTAGCCCATACTGTTTGAATATAGAGGGCTCTTGGGCCATGGTCCGGGGATTATTTATAATCAGCAACAAGGGGTTACAGTGTCATGGCTTACAATTTGGTGGGGTGGGACCAGGGACTAGTTGGAGTTTTTTGTTTTGGTCGTCATAATTTATTTGAAGCAGGGAGCTTGGCTCTCCACCCTTTGTACTTATTAGTCCACCAAACATCTGCCCAGTCACCACTGGGACTTTTAACACTCCATACTTATACATGCTTGATTTTTTGTGGTATAGACATAGACACTTATCAACATGGGCTAGCTTCTTTTGACCTTGCTCATCTCCATACGGGATGACTGAACAGGCATCAAACTGAAGGGTTAAAAAATGACTAGCCTGAGTTACACTGATGACAAGATGACCTTCTGTTGAAAAGAAAAAAGAGAATAAATAAGTGATTATTAAGCTCTTTTTAGAGTTAATTTGGTGGGGGTGGGCTGTGGAGTGACAGTTCATGATTCTGGAGGTGGCGGCACCTTCTTGACTCGGGTGTGATGAGTCCATCCTCTTTCTGTTGTCCAGACTGCAGTCTCAGTACATAGGAGCACTAGGTAGGGTCCTTCCCAGGCTGGTTCGAGCTTCCTTTTCTTCTACCCTTGGATGAGAACATGGTCTCAAGGCCAATGCTGATGTTCTGGAAACTCCAGGGGTGATGCCTGTGCTAGGAGACCTTTAGTCCCAAGGGAAAAGAAGGTAGAGCCTAGACCAAGTATATAATTTTTGAGGAAATGATCCTTTGTTTCAAACATAGGGATGTCAGCAATGGAGTGTAAGTAGGGCATTCCATAGAGCGTTTCCTCAGGTGACAGGCCAATATCTTTCCAAGGGGCAGTCCGGATTCTTAACCAAGCAATAGGAGTATATTTAGTCCATGGCAATCGAGTTTCTAAAACTAAGTTAAGTGGTTTATTAGAGTCTGATTCATCCACTCTACTCTTCCTGTGGAGGATGGATGCCAAGGAGTATGGTATTCCCAATGTATATCTAGTACCTGTGCTAACTTCTTAATGACATGCACAGTGAAATGGGTTGCAGTATCTGAATCAGTATTTTCTATTAGTTCAAATCTGGGTATGATGTTTTCAATTAGCGCTTTAACTACATTACTGGAGGTTGCACGTGAGAATGGGATTGCCTCTACCCAGTGGGTAAAATGGTCTATTATTACTAATAAGTATAACTACCAATTGGAGGCATTTCAGTGTAATTGATCTGAACACTTTGAAATGGTCTCAGTGCTGGATTTCTTCCACCAAGGCGCAATTTCCTTAGATCCTGCTTATTAGCTTTTTTTACATGTTAAGCAACTATCTATAACTTGTTTGGCCAGGGTGTAAATTCTTATACACCCATAAACCCGGAGAACTGCATTGCACATTGCTTGGGGTCCCCAATGGGTCCCTTGATGTAATTGAGACAAGACTTCCCTCATGAGAGGTTTTGACAACATTTCCCTTTGATCTGATAATATCCATTTCCTATCCGCATTTTCTTTAGCTCCTATTTTTATCAACGTCTTTTGTTCAATGGAAGAGAAAACGGGTTACAGTAGGAGGAGGGCATGGAGTTAAATGGAAGAAATGGCAACTTGTTTTGCTATTTTATTGTAACCGACTGAGTTATAGAGAGAATGCCACAGTCTGAGACTAATTCAGTGATCCTTTATTGCCAGCAACCGAGAGACGGCTAGAGCTCAAAATTCTCTCAGCCCCGAAGAAGGGGCTACACATCTTTTTACACCTTGGTCTAAAGAGGGGAGGAGGAGTGTAGCTGAAGCAATTTTTTACAGAAGCAGAACAGGCAAAAAAGTTGAAAGATAAATGGTTACAGAAACAGTAATAAGAAAATAAACAGTTCCAGGTGCAGGGGCTTAAATTATCACAAAGTGATAAACGCAAAGGCTTTGGGCACCGTCAACCGAGTGCGTTCCCAGGAGCTGCTGGTACAGCTTGCCTCAGTATCTTATCAGTAAGCGCATTCTTGGATGTGCTTGGAGTCAGCTTGCACCAGTTATGTCCTTAAGGGAGGGGGACAAGGGGCTGCAAGTGAAGAAACCAAAATGGAGTCTGTCCAGCTCTCTCAGCTAAGAGAGAGTCAATCAGGTTAAAAGAAGTTAGGGTATCACATTTCCCACTCGTGTTTGGGGGAATCAGATCATTGATTCCTCGGTTATAACAAGGGTGTTATATTGGGTTCTAAGATACATAAGATTGACAGAAGCTATGCGTTGCTTTACAAAATTAAGAAACCAATTTAATATACAAGGCCTGAAGACTAACCCTAACAAGAGGAGGAGAAGGGGGTCCCGCCAACCCAGTAATTAGAGTAGTTAGCCAGGGATTCCAGTTAAACATGCTTTGGTACTTTGGTACTCCAGGAATGAGAAAGGTGGTGTTACTTTCTTGTTCCTTCTGGCATCTATCTAGATTTTCTCGAACTCTTTGAAGAGTATTTTTTATGACTCCAGACTGATTGGCATAGAAACAACAACTTTCTTCTAGAGCTGTGCATAAACCTCCTTGGGAGATAAATAGCAGATCTAAGCCTCGGCGGTTTTGAAGAACTACTTCAGCTAGAGACTCTACCTGGGCATGTAGTATATTTATGGCTGATTGGAGATTGCTTAAATCAGCATCTACCTGTTGAGATAGTGATATTAGTCCAGTTTCTCCTTGAATCAGGGCAGTCGTGCCAATAGCTGCTGACGTAGCTATGCTAAGGCCAGCTAGAAGGGGTACAAGGAGTAGGGCAGCTCGGTGAAACCTGAAATGCAATTCAGGGGGAGCAATGAGAAGTTGTCCTTCTGGCCCACTGTACATGTAGATCTGGGGGAGTACATGAATCAACATGCATAGGAGAGGTCCAGGTTCAGTCCCATTGATGCAGCGAGTGAGGCCTGAAATGCAGGCCAACCAGGTATTTTTGGGTGCCTGGTAGGAGACTGAGGGGTTTAAGGAAGTAAGGAGAGACTCACTACAAGTAGCCTGAAAGGGAGAAGCAGGTAAGTTATACCTTGCGCTAATTAGACAGAAGGCATTCCCTGACACATCTCCTAGTGTAAGGGCATGGGGGCACGTATGACAAGAAAGAGAGTCCATTTTGAGCATGGCTTCTACTCCTAATCCAACATAATATGGGGGTTTGGCCTTTCGGCACAACCAGCAATCTCAGGCTAGTTTAGGCTTGGTGAGATTAAGGAGGTGATGTATCCCGTCCAAAATGGACATCGGGCTGGGTTGGAGGTATTGTCATTGCAGCTGGGGTCTCAGAACCAGGAATGGCAGTGGGACAGTTAAATCGACTCTCTCTGGGTGTTTTTGGAACATAGGGTCACCTAAATCAGTTAAAGTTCTGATTGGCTTCATGGGACCAGGAATTTTTTCTGGATGGTGAACATAGTTCCAACATCAAATCCTGAAATATAAAGCCTTAATCCCTATGACATGCTGTAATACCATTGAGTTAAACTAGGGTTACGGAGAGTTATAGTAAGAGGATTACAATTTCCTATAGTACACGG
This sequence comes from Homo sapiens, assembly GCF_000001405.40. NCBI lineage: Eukaryota > Metazoa > Chordata > Mammalia > Primates > Hominidae > Homo > Homo sapiens. The sequence goes on along the minus strand of NC_000007.14, from coordinate 134,555,978 downwards.
CTTAGGATGGGAAGCACAAGCTATGGAAAGGGTTGAGGATCAGGTTCATCCTCCAGAGTAAGTGGCCAAGGTTACACACATGCAGTAAGGGCAGAAAAACTGGTAAGAATCTCGACAACTAGAGTCAGGGCGATTTCCAGGACAAAGGTAAAAGTCAACGCTCTGGAGCCTTTTTTCTGCACCCTTAGAACTTCCACATCCAGTTTGGCTTCTGGTGTGTCCGAACCCTGCAGCAAGGTCAGCGTTCCCTGCTCTCATGATCGGCAGATTGCATTGCTCTTCAAGGGTATGGGCAGGGTCGGGGAACAAAGCACATAAACCGACTACAAAAGAGACTTCCTTGGAGGGTCCCACCTTCCAAGTGGTGTTTGCAAACACACATCCTGTCATGAAGGAAGTGAGGAGAAAAGAGTAGGAAGGGGCAGAGGACATAACAGGTGGAAACAGACAGAAGAGGTAAATAAAAAGAATTAATTCGATAGCTTTACTCAACTTAGGCGCAGTTTTAAGGGGCCTGGCCTAGGCTTGGGGACCCATTTTTTTTGCTGGGCTTTGTTGGCCTTTTTGATGCGAGAATGATGAATCCAAGCAGGAGTGCCGTCCACCTTCAGAGCTGTTGGTGTGGTGAGGATGACAGTATGAGGTCCTTTCCAGGCAGGAGTCAGTCCTTTTTTCTGGAACTTTTTAACATACACTAGGTCACCCAGCTGGAAAGAGTGGCAGGGCCCAGTCTGGTCAGGAACTGGGCTGGGGTGTGCTCCCCTGACAAGCAGCTGGATGATGTCTTGTACCCGTTGGAGAGACTGCAGGTACTGTAACAAGTTAGCTTGTGAGATTTCTGCTAAATGGGTATCCTTTAGCTTAGGCAAGATAGGCGGAGCCCTTCCATACATGATTTCAAAAGGTGAAAACCCAGCCTGGTAAGGGGTGCATCTTACTCTAAGAAGGGCTAAAGGAAGGAGCTTTACCTAGTTTTCACTGGTTTCTAGGATTAATTTTGCAAGAGTACTTTTTAGGATGGGGTTCATGCATTCTACTTGTCCAGAGCTCTGGGGTCGATAGGCACAATGGAGTTTCCATTGAATGTTTAATGCCTTGCTGACCGACTGAGCTATGGACGAGGTGAAGGCTGGTCCATTATCAGACCTTATTACAACAGGCAGTCCATGTTGAGGGATGATTTCATTGAGTAAAAGCTTAACTACCGTGGTAGCAGTTTCGTTTTTGGTGGCAAATGCCTCAGTCCATCCAGAAAAGGTGTCTACTAGCACCAGGAGGTATTTATACCCTGCCAAGTGTGGTTTTACCTCTGTAAAGTCAATTTCCCACCTTCCTCCTGGCAAGCCTCCCTGGAGGCGGTGGCCTGGGCTGGGCTTAGGACCTTGCTTGGTGTTTACTTGGGCACAAGCCGTTTACTGGAGAGCTGCTTGGTTAGTTAAGTCCTGAAGGTGGGGGATCTTGAAATGGCTCCTTAGAAGCTGGGCCAGTTTTACTCCTCCTAAATGGGTGGTAGAATGTAGATGATTGATAAAAGTTTCCCCAAGGGCTTGGGGCATGAAGATTCTGGAATCAGGAAGAATTCACCAACCTTCCTGATTTTTACTGGCTTGAAGATCCGAAGCTTGTTTTTCTTCCTCTGGGGAGTATTCTGGGTAGTCTGCCCAGTCAGTTGTGGAAAGGACACAGAGGGCAGCAGGGTTAAAGGCACGACCAGGAGCTGAGCTGCCTCTCAAGCTGCAGAGTCTGCTCTTTGGTTACCACGAGCAATGGCCATGTCTTCTCTTTGATGTCCTTTGCAGTGAATTGCAGCCACCTGTTGAGGGAGCCAAACAGCTTCAAGCAGGGCTAAAATTTCTTCTTTGTTGTTGACACTCTTTCCTGCTGAGGTGAGTAGCCCTCGCTCTTGATAGATGGCTCTGTGTACATGTACAGTAGCAAAAGCATACCTGCTGTCAGTGTAGATGTTAATACATTTGTCTTTACCCTATTGGAGGGCCTGAGTCAGGGTTACCAACTCAGTCCTCTGTGCCAAGGTACCTGCCGGCAGTGCCTGGGCCTACAGTACATCTGTCTCCATAGTAATGGCCACACCAGCCTTCTGTACTCCCTGTTCAAGGAAGCTGCTACCATCTGTAAACACGGTGGCATCCACCTCCTTTAGAGGCACATCTTGGAGATGAGGTCAGCCAGTTTCCATAGTTTCTAACAGTTCTTGGCAGTCATGGACAGGTGTGGTAAGGTCTGGATCAGGGAACAAGGTAGCTGGATTTAAACACCTTGTGGGAGAGAAAGTTAAACGCGGCTGATCTAACAGTAAACTCTGATACCGCAAGATGCGAGCATTCGACATCCATTTGCCAGAAGCACTTTGTAGCAAGGTCTCTACAGCATGAGGAGCCGTAAGGGTTAAATTCTGGCCCAGAGTCAGTTTATCAGCCTCCTGGACCTGGCTTGCTGTTGCCACTATGGCTCACAGACAACTTGGCCACCCAGAGGCCACAGGGTCCAGTCTCTTAGACAAATAGGCCACTGGGTGTTGCCATGGCCCTAAAGTCTGAGTAAGTACCCCTTTAGCGACTCCTTGGTTTTCATGAACAAAAAGGTGAAATGGTTTTGAGATATTTGGGAGGGCAAGAGCAGGGGCCTCAGTTAGTGCCTTCTTCAGATTTTGAAAAGCCTGTTCTTCTTTGTCAGTCCAAACCAGCGGGGTATTCCCTCCAGTAGTGGTGTACAGGGGTTTGGCAATTTCCATGAACCCCAATATCTATAGGCGACCATATCCCACGGTGCCCAGGAATTCATGTACCTGTCTCTTAGTGGTGGGAGTGGGGATTTGAAGGATGGCTGCCTTTCGAGCACTGGTGAGTGCCCTTTTTCCTTCATTTGTCTCATACCCTAGGTAGGAAATGCTGGGAAGAAAAAGCTGGGCCTTCTTGGCTGGGACCTGATACCCGAATTCCTGAAGGAGGTAAAGTAGGTCCGTAGTATGTTGCAGGCAGCTGTCAGTAGTTTCAGTAGCCAATAACAGGTCGTCTACATACTGGAGAAGAGTGCAGTTAGGGTGACTGGCTCAGAATGGTAAAAGATCCTGTTGGAGGGCTTCCCTAAAAAGGGTGGGGGAATTTTTAAAACTTCGGGGTAACCAAGTCCAGGTTAATTGGGTGGTGTCTACCGAGCCAGGATATGTCTGTTCAAAAGCAAAGATAGGTTGACTTTTGGGGCCAGAGGAATAGCAAAAAAAAGCATCCTTGAAGTCAAGGACAGTGTACACCATATGTTCTGGTGGGAGCAGGCTGAGTAAAGTATAAGGGTTAGAGACAGTTGGATGGACAGTGACTGTCTGCTTGTTACCTTCCTGCAAGTCCTGTACAGGCTGGTAATCATTTGTTCCGGGTTTCTGGACCGGCAAAAATGGAATATTCCAGGCGATCTCACATGGTGTGAGTATACCAGCTTGTAATAGTTGCTGAATATGAGGATTAATTCCCTCTATAGCCCACAGAATCATAGGATATTGTTTGACCTGGACCGGCAGGGTGGTGGCCAGGAGTTCTACAACAGCTGGCAGATGGTGGTTTGCCAGTCCTGGGAGGTATGAGGAAACAGAGTCTGTAAAGCCAGTAGGAGAGGATTACTTTTATTCTCCGGCAGTTGTGAGGGTGAAACTAAGAGATATTCCTCTGACCGAAGGGTGGTTAGCAGGAGCTGAGCAGTAGGGGGCATTGTGTCCCCTAACATGAGGTGAGTTTGTTGGGCCGAGAAGGAGATGGACGCCTGTAGCTTATGAAGCAGGTCTCATCCGAGGAGGGAGAAGGGGCACTCTGGGACCACGAGGAACAAGTGGGTTACTCTTTTCTGTCCTAAACTCACCTCTCGTGAGTGGGTGACAGGATATTCCTGAATAGCTCCAGTAGCCCTTTACTCAGCAACCTTTTTATTAGACACTGCCTAAGGGTGTCTGGAGTACTGAGTGTTCCACCCCGGTGTCAATTAGGAAGCGTACAGGCTGGCCCCCCACTGTGGTGGTCACCATGGGTTCCCGGGGCCAAGTGACAAAGAGCCCTGGCCCCGTCAATCATCAGATTCCTCTGCTGCGGGGCAGGGTGAGGACCTTTTTCTTTTCTGGTTTCTCCTCTGGCTTTAATGGGCATTCCTTTCTCCAGTGTCCAATCTGCTTGCAAGAAGCACATTGGTTTCTTTATAGGGGAGTCCTCTCACGTTTCTGGCCTTCCTGGTGGGGACTCGGGGTCCCCTGGTCAGTGCTCTGTGATGGGGGCCCTTCCTTTTTGGCTTCTTGGATGGCAGCCACTAAGCTTTTTGCCTGTCTTTTTGATGCTTTGTCTGCAGCCCTTTCAGCTGCCTGAGCTACCTGTTTTTGCTTTTCAAATTCTCGATTGTCGAAAACTCTCTGGGCTATCTCTAAAAGCTGGCTGATGTAAGGAAATACTTTCTGGCTTCTCTTCAGATATGGTCCCTCTCTTCAGAGGTGAAAAGGGATGAAAGGAGTTGCTGACACTCATCCCAGGTGGGCCGGTGAGTCTGGAGCACAGACTCCATCAGTGAGGTTAAGACCTGGGGCTTTTCAGAAAAGGGGGGATTATGAGCCTTCCAGTTGTACAGGTCAGAAGTAGAGAAGGGGACATAAACTAAAAATGGAGCACAACGCCCACTGCCCAAAGGGATTTGGGCCTCTGTCAGTGGGAGGAGCGGGGCCACCTCCTCCGGCTGAGGCCATAATTGGGAGGATATAGGCAGAGAGGCCACAGAGGATGTAGTTGAGGAGACAAGGGAAGATTCTGGGGGAGGAGGAGGGTTATAGGGTGGTGGAAATGGGTGAAGAAAACTTTCCTCTTCTTCAGAAGGAGGCAGTACAGGAGGAATCGAGGGAGCTGAGGGTGGAGGCAAAAGTGAGGTCTGGCTAAAAAGGACCTTGGAGGTAGGATCACGAATGGCTACAGAGTTTTATCACGAGTGGAGCCATGAAGGAGAGCTCTGGACTAAATCTAGCCATTGATCAATGTAGGGAAACTGATCGGGGTGACCGGGAGTTCCAACAACGACCCACCACACAGCCTGAACAGCTGTGAAGTGTAGTGACCCGTCTGGGGGCCACCCAGTTCCAAACTTTGGCCATTCTACTTCGCAGAGTGTCCAGAGTTTGCCTTTTTTAAGGCGGACCCCGTAATCATCTGAGAAGCCTAGAGAGAAATTCTGCAACATACACTGGAGAGGACTCCAATCTTTATGGGGCCGGGAAGAAGAGTTTACTATTCTGGAGGCAATTAACAAGGTTTGAACAAAAATATTAAACCCAGCATGGACAAAGATATTCACGGCCTGGGAGGCTATGGTATCAGAAGAACAGAAGTATTATAGCTAGAAGAAGTAGGAAAACAACTATAGCCAATATTTCTTGCCACATAAGGTCTGTCTCCTCAAGCTTCGAGATCTATGGAGAGGATAAGAGGTGGGTCCAAGGGATCCTCAGCCAGTGGGACTTAGGTGACCCCCCCTTCTTGACTTATATCCCAAATAACTTTGGTGTCTCCACGACTCGAAAGCAAAATGTTCAAACTCGGTCCTTTCCTTCACGGGTTTAAGGAGGGAGAACACAGCCAAGTCTTAGAGACGCTGGACTTGCTGCAACACAGGAAAATGAGATGTGCAGGGTAAGGGATGGGGATGAGGAGGAAAGGGGCCACTTGGATTTCCCTAAAGGTTGGAGAGTAGCCAAAAGAGGTAAAATAAGAGTCCAGACAGAGTAGAGCAGTATGGGTGTAGGTTTCTCTGCACAGTGCCTTATTTAAGGGCATGGGAAAAGTTATGGGATGACAGAAAAGGTGAGTAAGGAGGTCAGCAGGGTGGCTATTTTGGATCCACCACTGGTCTAAGGAGAAGGTGGACCAGTCGTTGGGGCGTGGGGTATGGCAATCCAAACGCCAGCAATCTTTATGGTGCCAGAAATCCTAAACGGGTGAATGTCTTCCACACCCTTCCCCATAACAACACCTAATTTGTTTCTGACAGGAAAGGCAGGACTGGGATGGCCAGCCCAACCGACTAATGAGGAATTTGACCTCCTGGGATAGAAAATCTGTACTAAGGACCTTGAAGAAGTCCTTGCCCAGTCATTTTGGGCAGTATCGACGATCCGACATATGAAATTTAGACAGACACTAAACAGGACAATAGGCACTGGGGTATATAAACAAGCATGGCAATTTTTATAGACAGACAAGGGGAGGGGGTCCCGTGATGGGATCAGTCAGATGCCCTCCTGGCTGCTCCCCTTTCGGGGACTTAGGCTCCTCTTGGCATTGGCAGGCTGGTATAAACCCCTGGCTTGGATCGAGCTATGCCTGATGCCGCCCTAAGCCTTATGAGGTCACCACGGAACCACAGGTGAGGGCCTTCTCGAATTCCCTAGCTTTCACCCTGGAGCTACAAACTGGAAATTCAAGCGCAAGCCCTTGAACTCCACATTCACTCACTCACTCACTCACTCAGAGTTTATTACAATTTTTATACCCATTCTAAAACAGAGATCTCCCGGAGACCTGAATGAGAGAGGGAGAAGAGATAGAGAGAGAGAGAGACTAGACTTAACAGAGAATCCTGACAGAAACCAGGACTCTGTCCTCCAGTGTCCTGGAGCATGGACAGAGTCTGAGGGAGGACCTTCGTCAGGGCCGTTTCCCTCCCAGAGAGACAGAGTCAGATCTGACTTACCTTCCCGGGACTAGAGACTGAGGACTCAGGAGTTGAATTTGGCTGGGCGCACCGGCAGTCGATCCGTTCCCCTCCAGAAGACAGTGGCCTGTGGAGCCCTGGAACGTCTTCAGGTGGCCCTGTAAGCCAGCTGTCTGTCTGGGGAAGCCCGGAATGAGTCAGGTCTTCACCCGGTGGCGAATCTCTCTGGGGCTTCCAAATGTCGTAACCGAGCAAGTCATAGAGAGAATGCCACACTCTGAGACTAATTCAGGAGTCCTTTATTGCTGGCGACTGAGAAAGAGCTAGAGCTTGAAATTCTCTCGGTCCGGAAGAAGAGGCTAGAGTTCTTTTTATACCTTGGCCTAAAGAGGGGAGGGGGAGTCTAGCTGAAGCAATTTTTTACAGAAGCAGAACAGGAAAAAATTAAAAGATAAATGGTTACAGAAACAGTTACAGGAAAATAAACAGTTCCAGGTGCAGGGGCTTAAAGTATCCCAAAGTGATAAAAGCAGGGGCTTTGGATACCACCAACCAAGTGTGCTCCCAGGAGCTGCTGGTACAGCTTGCCTCAGTATCTTATCAATAAGCGCATTCTTGGATGTGCTTGGAGTCAGCTTGCACCAGTTATGTCCTTAAGGAGGGGGACAAGGGGCTGCAAGCGAAGAAACCAAGCTAAGACTCTCTCAGCTATTGACTCTCTCGATATTGACTCTCAATTGAGTCTCCCAAGCTATTGACTCTCTCAGCTAAGAAAGAGTCAATCAGGATAAAACAAGATAGGGTATCACAATTTGATCTGCAAGATTATTTCCTGGACTTGTGAAAGGCGAGTCGTTTTGGTGCCCTGGGACATGTACAATAGCTATCTCTTCTGGCAATTGGAGATTGTTGAGGACACGAGCATCAGTTCTCTATGAACTAAATCTTGGCCTCTACTATTGATAAGAGCCCTCTCCATCCAAATTTTCCCAAATGTGTGTGCCTCCCCAGAGGGATACTTAGAGTCAGTATAGATAGATTTTCTTGGTTTTGTAAATGTCCTAAAGCTTGGCTGAGTGCAAACAGTTCACACCCTTGGACAGACCAATTATTAGACCCCCTTCCTGATTTTACTTTTTTAACAGTCTTTCCATTAATCACTGAATACCTATTATGTCTCTTTCTTTTAATCACCTGGGAGGTTCCATCTATGAATAAGTGCCACCCTGTCTTGAAGGGAGTTTTTCCTAAGTCTGGTTGAACTTTCGTATGGTAATTAATTCGATTTAAACACGCGTGCTCTCTCGTTTTACGTTTGGATCCCCCGTTAAAGAGCCTGCTGAATAAAGTGAATTATTAGTACTTAATATTAAATCACCTTTTTCCCAGAAAGATAGCCTCATATTTTAAAATTTTTGAGTTGGTAATCTCCCTCCTTGCGTTTTGATTTAATATAGTTTTAACTTGGTGGGTTGTGGCCTGAAGCGGCTGGGGAGTAACTTGAAACCTCAGCTGAAGGGACAGCACAGGCTGGGGCGTGGCCTGAAACAGCTGGGGAGTAACCTGAAACCACAGCCGGAGGGACCTGAGAGGGGAACCAAAGGGGCAGGATTGGGGGCGCTGAAGGAAGGAAGGTGATTTAGAGGATCCCATGTCTTGGTAGGTATGGGTTGTCTAGGCATGGGAACTCTTTCCTTTTTAGAAAGGTTGGTTTCTGATTTTCTCCCTCCAGAGTCTAAAGGGTAAAGGAGAACTGGTCCCTGCCGCCAGCAGAGGGCGTAATCGATTTTTCCTGGGACACAGGGCTCTTACTGTTAACATATTTGATTAACAGCTGACAAATTCGCTCTTCATTAGACTTAAATTTTGGCCAGAAAAGTGAGGGCTTAAGGATGGGTTCTCGAACTTAAATAAAACAACAATATTCTATCATCTGCTGTTTTTGTTTATACTTGGTTCTCTTATTATTTTTTCAATACTTTAGCATAAGCCCCAAGGGGCTATCAGAAGGAAATTCATCACTCTCTAGACTCTTTAGTTTTCCTGTCTTACTTGAAACGTTCCCCATCTTAGGGATTATGGGGAGGAGGCCCAACCCCTCCTGTGAGATTTCTACCCTCCCCCTTCCTGGAGGCTTACTGAGGCTTTGGGGAAAGGCTCCAACCCAACCTGTTTGGATTTCTACCCTCCCCCTTCCTCTTTGTCTACTCTGTCTGTTCCTGACTCTAGTTGACAGATGGCAGCATGAGGCCATAGAGAAGACTCACTCACTCCACATAACCACCATACTAAGTCCCATTCATACACTGTCAGCCTCCAGCTTATCCCAACCACCTGGGAAATACTTTGTCACCTTCGCCAAGTCTCCTACCTTATTCCATGCACAAGAATTTCCTGGTCCTCTTATTGTTGCGGTCTTGCAAGCTTCTCCTCCCCGCTTTGCTGAGATCCAGACTTATTTGTCACAAAGCGGGGGGGGGGCCCTGATCTCCCTCAACCTAGGGGCACGGTAACTAGACAGTAGGATGCGTCCCCTCCGGGTGGGGTGACCGAAGGCCCCCTTCCCAAAGGAGAAGATTCGAGCCCCAAAGTTGGGCTCCAGAACTGTTAGGAATAACGCTCAAAATCTTAAGGAAATTGAACACTTGAACAAAGGATTCTTAGCAAAGCAATTTTACTTCTGCGCAGAGAGGTGCCTCCTTGTCCAGTCGCCATGAGAGCACACCTGAAAAAGGGGCACGAGAGCCTTTACTCCTGACACAAGTACTGCCCCTGTACCCTTTCTCCATTGGCCAGGGTCAGGTCGTACAATCTAAACTAATCCTGGTTGGCTAAACATTGGATTTTTTTTAGATAAGGTGGGCACGTAAAAAAGGCAGAGAATAAAGGGGAAGGGGTGTCTGTAATGAGCTAAAAAGTTAGTCCTCTTTCCAAATAAGGAAAGGAATGTGAGCAGGTACAGATACCACCTGGTACTGTGGCATGCCTGGGCATGTAACAAAGGAAAAAAGAGAAAAAAGGAGAAAAAGGAAAAAAGGTGGAGGGATTACTATGAATTAAAGAATAAAAGATTGATCAGGTTATCTGAAGAGAAACCTCATCATATCCCACACATCCATCCATCCATCCATCCATCCATCATTCATCCATCCATCCATCCATCCATCCATCCATCATTCATCCATCCCCAATCCATGTATCCTTCCACCCATCCCTCCTTCCATTTGTCTTTCTATCCATCCTTCCTTCTTTCCATGTTTCCAACCATCCATCCATGCCTCCGTCCCTCCACCCATCCATTCGTCCATCCATTGTTCCATCCATTCCATCTATCTATTTATTCACCAGATATTATTGAGGCGGGGAATACAATAATTAACAGAACTCAAAAATCCCTTCTCTCATAGAGCTTACATGCTAGTGGGTAGAAACAGGGTAAGCAAGCAAACAGCAAATATATAAAATACATGACATATTGATAAACAAATGCTATGGAGAAGAAGAAAACACTTAGAAGGGCAAGAAGAAATATCAGAGGAGGTAGGTTAATTTTAAATAGGGTGATGAAGAAAGTCCTCTCTGAAAAGACGATAAATCGGCAAGGAAATTAAAAATACAAGTCAGAGAATTATTCTAATATCTGAGGGCAGAGCATCCCAGGCAGTGAGAATACCAAGGGCAAGAGCCCTGAGGCACAAGTACCTCTCTTGCGTAATTTTTTAGTAACGGTCAAGGTCCTCTTGGTCCTCACCAACTCTCCCTAACTTATCTGGGGGCTGATATTTTTGAACCAACAAAAGTGCTGGAAGGCAACACTGTAAGATTTTAAGGGTGCAAAACTTTCATGAAATGTCTGGGAAAATGCTGACAACAAATGAGGAAAAACAAATGAATTAGGTAGAATTTAAAATTAAATGTAATCAAATTCCACTGCATTGTACATTCAGAATACGTATTTTCTAAAATCGAAAGGCTTGTTAAATGAGAATAATTTCAAGTAAAAGTGTCTCTTTCATTTGGTTTTCCCAGTGGATGTATAAAATAACTAATTGAGCTAAATCTGTTATTTTTTAAATCCTTAATGCCTCTCTAGAATGTAAAAGTTCATTTCCTATTGTGGAAATTTTGAAAATTATGTAAAAGAATAACAAAAATAAACTTGTTGCCAAACAACATAGAAAAAAACCCTCTTAATATTCAAATCTTTCTAGATAGATTTTCTTTTATTTCTAAGTTTTGCTGGTTTGATAGTGTATAAAGCTTATTTTAATTTGCATTTTTATTACTAGTCTGTACAATTTTTCATGTCATTTAATGGTCAATTTTATGTAAAAACTTTCTTTGTGGCATCTGAGATTTTTCTTATTTATATGAATAAACTCTTTTGATTATAAGAAAATTGCCAAATGGTTTTGTCCAAGTTTGTTTATCTCTTATTTTTGTGTGTTTCTTTGCTTGTTTTTGTTTTGAGATGGAGTCTCACTCTGTCACCCAGGCAGGAGTGCAGTGGCGCAATCTCAGCTCGCTGCAACCTCTGCCTCCCAGGTTCAAGCAATTCTCGTGCCTCAGCCTCCTGAGTGGGATTAGAGGCGTGTGCCACCATGCCTAGATAAGTTTTATAGTTTTATTAGAGACCAGGTTTCACCATATTGGCCGGGATGGTCTCAAACTCCTGACCTCAAGTGATCCATCCTCCTCAGCCTCCCAAAGTGCTGGCATTACAGGCGTAAGCCACTGCCACTGGCCTATTTTTGCATAATTATATGTTCGGAGTTTACATTTCTATAGTCATGCACGGTCATTAAAGCAAAAAAAAAAAACTTATTTCCAACAATCTTCACTCTTCAGGGTTCTTTCAAATTTTACTGAAAACTATTTTCTACAGAAGCCTCTCTCATCTGTACATTGTTAAATATAATGTACAGTTAAATCTCACAATAATGCAATAAGTAGGGTCCAAATTTTTTTATATTTAATAGTTCATATAGCAACAGTCTCACTATGTTGCCCAGGCTGGTCTCAAATTCCTGGCCTCAAGCGATCCTCCTACCTTGACCTCCCAAAGTCCTGGCATTAAAGGTGTGAACCACCAGGCCCCGCTGGGTCCAAATTTTTAATCATGTAAAATGCAGAGCTGTTGCAAGGTTGTTGAAATGACTGGAGCAGCCCTGGACAGTCAGGCATTAGGGGGTTTGCCTGGGACATCCAAATCCCTTTAGGTCCCAGTTATAGTTTGGCATCATCTGCCCAGCATTTGCCAGATCTCACTTAAATACAACAGGGTAAGTCTAGCCCTCTGGATTACCTGGGCCAGGCAGGACAGTCACAGTGATTCCAGAATCTCCATGGTAGCTGCTACCCATCTTTCCAGCCCTCTCTTAGACAATGAATGGAGAGAATACTTGAAACATAAGAGCCTCACTCCTTGCCTCCCTACTTCCCACGACAAGCTCCCTTCCTTTTCCACACTGACTTTACTTACCATCTTCCTCTCTGTGGTTACTCCCCTTCCTTTCTCTTCATAATGCAAGTTCCCTACATTATCATAAGAGTTTTTTAACACACACCTGTAGTGTATACCTTAGATTGTCTCCCCATAAAGGCAGCTTTGGTTTAGGTGATGATGATGGTGGCTTTATTTCCAACCAATTGGGACAAAATAGTGAACAAATGTTAGGATGGATGCATTGTATTTGTTACAGTTGTGACATTGAGGACCCTGAGACGTGTAAGGTTCTCATTACTCGAGATATAAATGCTGAAAATATAATCAGATAACTGGCTGGTGAGGTGGCGCATGCCTGTGATCCCATCATTTTGGAAGGCAGAGGCGGGAGGATCACTTGAGGCCAGGAGTTTCCAACCAGCCTGGGAAACATAGCAACATCGCAAGATCCTGTCTCTACAAAAAATAATTAGCAGGACATCATGCCTGTGCCTGTAGTCCCAGCTACTCAGGAGGCTGAGGCAGGAGAATCACTTGAGCCCAGGAATTCAAGGTTGCAGTGAGCTATGATCATGCCACTGCACTCCACTCCAGCCTGGGCAACAGAGCAAGACTCCTTCTCCACAAAGACAGAAAACAGAATAAGTAAGAAGTTGCTTTTTAAAACACAGCATTTCTCCACATTAGCTTTTTAAATTTACCTCTGTTTGGTTAAGTTCAAGTGAAACAAACAAACAAAAAACCACATAATAGAAACCGAATCATTTTATCCTATAACCAAAGCTTTTTATCAAGCAAGTCATAATCACAGTGACACAAAGAAGAAAATGTTCACAAAATGCTCACTAAGGAGATATCACTGGGCTCTGGGTTGAAATTGCTTCCTGTGCATCAGTTGTATACATTTTATATACATTTTAAAAGCACCCAGTCTGTGAGATTGTGTATGGATGTGTACATATATAATAAAAATACATATATAATAAAAATGTGGATGGGAAGTATACCAGTCAAAGGGCCAGCCAGAAGAAAAGAAACTATGCTAAGATTTTTGAAAATTGCATGTTTTATTCAAATACGTGGTTATGATAGGTGATCAGATACACGTGATGGAAGAGCTGGGCTATTGAAAGGAGATGAGGCAACTAGTTTAGCAGCAGCAGGAAGAGATCCCTTCTCCTAAGGAAGAAGGACAAAGAAAGAGTGCTGCTTCCTCATCCCAGAAGCTTTGTCTGGTAGGAGATAGAATCAAGGTGGAGGCTGCCTGGAAAAAGTTGAGCCCACAGAGAAACGTGTCTTCTACTGGAGATGCCGCTCAAGGTCAATAGACAGGGAGAGAGGGAGAGAGAAACGCCTGGTCTTCCCTTCTCCAGCCCGTCAAGCTCCTAACTGTACCTCTCACTGAGCAAACCCAGAGGAATTCCTAACATAGCAAGGAAGCTTGGGAATGTAGGTGTACCCCCCAACCCCAAACAGAGGATGAGGGGACTCACCAATTTAGGATAAGCATTTGCCTCTGGAGAGGGGGGTCAGTGGAATGGGGATGGGGAGAGGCACAAAGTGGTCCTCGACTATATTGGTAACCCCTAATTTCTTTAATTTTTTTTTAAAGGTTTGGAGCCAATATGGCAAAATGTTAGCATTCGCTCTTTGTTTTTTGTTTTGAGACAGAGTCTCTCTCTCTCACCCAGGCTGGTGTGCAGTGGTGCAATCTTGGCTCACTGCAACCTCCACCTCCCAGGTTCAAGCGACCCTCCCACCTCAGCCTTCGGAGTAGCTGGGACTACAGGTGCGCACCACTACACTCGGCCAGCACTTGTTAACATTATAAGGTGGGCGGCCAGATGCTCATTAGTTTATTTTCTGTACATTTCTATATAGTTGGAATATTTCATAAGAAGCAATTATTATAGGACAAACAGAAATGTTCCAGATTAATGGCAATAGTAAGTATCTTTATTGTTTTTCCACCCTACTTCCCAAGGAAATGCCACACCTCTACTTCCCAAGAAAATGCCGCACCTCTCTCAATGAACACTAGCATCTTTGTGGAGTTTGCAGGCTCTGCCATTGACTCTTTGGCACAATGGTGTTGAAGGCAAGCTGTGAGAGCAAGACAGGGAATGAGTGGAGACAGGCAAGAAGGAAAGGTGGCAGGAAAAGGCTCAGGAGAAAGAGGATGACCATCGATCGCTGTGAGCTACCCCAGAGCCTGCCTCCCTTTGAAACTTGGTTCAGTCACTTACTACCTGGGTGGCCTTGAGCAAGTTCCTCCTCCCTCCCCTCTACCTCCATTTCCTCTTCCAGCAAATGTGAATAATAAGATGTTAAGAATACCTACCCCAAAGGGATTATTCTGAGGATTCAATGACTTCACCCACAGGAAAACACTTCAAATTGTGTTGGCACATAGTACAGTCTCAATACATGTTGGTTATGATTATTATTTTTTTTATTGATCTTTACATCCTCAGTGTTGGCAGAGTTTCTGATGCTTAATAAACATTTGTTCTGATCAGATAAGTGGAAAAAATTGTCATTTCCTTATTCAAGCCATGCTTTTCTGTGATATTCTGATCCTAGTTGAACATACAGAAATAAATGTCTAAAACAGCACCTCGATTCTCGTCTATAACAGGACTAAGTTCACTGTGATCTTAAATAAGCTTGGCTAAAATGGGACATGAGTGGAGGTAGTCACACTTCAGCGAAGAAAGAGAATCTCCTGTATAATCTCACCAGGAGATTCAACCTCAATATTCTGCATTGAAGGGATAGTCTTCCAAATGAGAGGATCTGCAGGAAAGAACAAAAAACAAAAACAGAGAAACTGAGTTCCATCAAAACAACAACTCTGGTTGAGAAGGTATTCTTCCCTGGTGGACTCTATCATATTTGTGCTCTCTTAGCCTCCTCCCTGCAAGAACATAAGGAGGGTGCCCACACTTTGACCTTCCCTCAAATCGATATGAGGGCTTTGCTCGGAAGGAGGGCAGACAGTGAGCAGGGCAGCAGAATAAACTCGTAATGACAACCCATAGTAAGCCTGGTGTCAGGCGAGGTGACAGACAAGTCTTGTCCCAATCCACTCTCACAACATCATGAAGTAGGAAACAACAGCAGAATTGACAGCTTGGGGATTGTTCTGAGTATTAAATGAGATAATACCACCGGAAAAGGGCGCAGGACCCTGGCACATTCTAAGCTAAGGTTCAATGGATGTTAGCTGCGATTAGTATTATCATCCTACTTTATAAGTGAAGAAACCAACTTGGAAAAACTAGGAAATTTGCCCAATGTCACACAGCTAATAAACCAGTGTTAAAGTTGGATTTGAGGCCAGGTGGATTTACTGCAGAGCCCACCAACCCATTGCCTCCATTGCTACCCATTGCCAGAAATGATGCTCATAGGAAGGTAAGCAGTTTAGTTTGGGGGGTGAGTCCCACTTTACGTTCACCCTTCCTTTTTGCTCTAAGTAGCTACTACTTTGTTAAGCTCCAATAAAAGTAAGCCATTGTAAGATGAGGAAAGGCTCCTATGATACTTAGGGTGGGCAGGATAGATATGGAATATCATGACATGCAAGCAGCGCTTGAGATACTGAAACCTTTTTTTTTTTTCTGAGACAGAGTCTCGCGCTGTCACCCAGGATGGAGTGCAGTGGCGCAATCTCAGCTCACTGCAAGCTCTACCTCCCGGGTTCACACCATTCTCCTGCCTCAGCCTCCTAATTAGCTGGGACTACAGGTGCCCACCACCACGCCCAGCTAATTTTTGGTAGAGACGGGGTTTCACCATGTTAGCCAGGATGGTCTTGATCTCCTGACCTCTTGATCAGCCCACCTTGGCCTCCCAAAGTGCTGGGATCACAGCCGTGGGCCACCACGCCCAGCCGAAATCATTTTTAAAAGGTGAAAAATCGTTTTTGGCTATAGAAACATTGAAAGAGATTCAAATCCTCATTGAATTACAGATCTGGCAGTAATAAATGCCAGACAACTCTTTTTGATACATTTAATTAGATACATTATTCAGAAAGTATTGCTTGTAAAGAGATGATTTAGAATGCCTGCCCAGCCAGAGTGAAAGCTTTTTTTCACCACTTATCTAAGATTTTAAGTAAAGTTAGCACCACCTCCTTTAAGAGGCATTTGGAGATGATTTAATCCAGCCTCCCTGGCCTTCTTGCTTGAATGTTCTAAACACAATCCCACCTCAGGGACTTTGCACCTGCTGTTATCACCGCCAAGAATGCTCTTCCCCCAAATATGCATATGGTATATCCCTCACAGCAAAGCCTCCCTTTACACACCCTGTATAAAGGATCAGTCCCACTACCACCCACCGCTTCCTATCCACTTTGCCCTACTTTATTTTTCTGTCTAGCATTTGTTGCTGTCTGACATCTATATTTTGAGTTGATTTATTTCTGTTGTCTCTTCTTCCCTCCCTCCCTAAGCCTATGGAGGCAGCAACTTTGTACAGTATGATAACCTAAGCACCTAGAAAATGCCTGGCACATAGATGACCGTGAGATATTGATTGAATGAATGAATAAATGAATGTTCTGCCTCCCGCCTATTGACAACCCACCTTCTGTTATGATTCTAGCTCTACATCCAGAAGTTCAGACAATGAGCAGCAATTAGAGATGTGTCCCTCACAGTGATTCCCAGGTACCCCAATTTTAACTTTCAAAATTGCCCCAAAATAGTATTTGAAGACACAAGTAGTCCCAGCAGCCTTCCAATCCTTCCAACTAACCCTCTATTAGTTTAGAAAAACTCCTGGCAATGCTTCTAGTTAACTCCATGCCACTTACTGCAACACGTTACAGGCCCTCCAGTTTCTGTTGAAGCTGAGTATGGTTGCCATCTCCTCATCACTCAATTTAAAGTCAAAGACCTGGAAAGGTAGGAGTTCCAATACATCATCAGTAAGGCCATTCTAGCTGTGGCTGGAGACTGCCGGCCATTCTAGCAGGGAGGGAGCTCACATTCACAGCACAAACTGGCCACAGGAGTTTTTCCCATTCTGTCCACGGGATACAAATTTTTCTCTAAATTAGGTCCTACACAAAGACCACAGTATTTGTAGTGCTCAGTGTTCTGGGGGGAGGGAGACCAGGCTCACAGGCACTAAACCCCAGGCGTGCACAGGCCCTGTGCTCCATGACAGGTGCTTCTAGAGGACACTTCTCCAAGGACAGTTCACACCTCCTCTGCTGCCGGGAAGTGAGCAGGGAGGCCAGGACAGTCTGTTCTTGTGTGTGGCCCAGGGCCTAGCTGCTCAGGGGCAACTGAGGGTCTTCTCAGTGGTGTGAGGCACAACTGTGCTCAGACCTGATAGGGCTTTACCAGGCACTGCCCCCAGGATGTCCTTAGCCCATGGGTCATTCATCTCAGCTCTACTGACCCTAGCTCCCTGGGCTGGAAAATGATAGGGTGGTGGGAAGGGAGGGGGCAAAAGACAATGCAGCGATGAGGTGAGAAGCCTAGTGAGAAGGTCTGCCTGTCCCCCACTCCACTGAGGAATACCAGGGCCGACCAGCCGGAAACTTACCTGAATGTTCTCAACAATGCGTGCTGGTGTCACAGACTTGGGGATGACAATCACATTCCTCTGGATATGGAAACGGATCAGAACCTATGCGGAAAGGGGACATCAGGCTTCCACTCAGCTCCAAAGACCCCTCCTTTTATGGAAAGGAAGAATAAAACATCTCTGCAGCTCACTGTGGCTTCAGGTACAATCGCTAATAATTACTGAGCCCTTCACAGCTATTAGACTTGTGCCAGACCCCCACCTCTTTCTCTCCCTTCACCTTAGAGACAACCCTGTGATCTTCCTTTTTTAGGAATGAAGAAAGTAGCTTGGGGGTCATAAGGCTGATCAGAGGTAGAGTTGGCATCTGCACCCATATCCCTAGACTCCAAAGCCATGCTTTGCCACTGGGCTGTAGGGCTTGACAGGAAGCTGTGAGACAGAAGCTATCTTTGCTTCAGTGACAGCTCTTGTGTTTCCTAGAGGTTCCAACAGACTTCAAAGGAAACACTTTAGAGGGCTTCAGCTCCTATATTCTTCCCCTTTAAGGAGTTTGTTGAGGACAACACAGGATATGAAACACGAGACTGGAAGAATGAGTTGTTGGATAACAAGAAAAATAAAAATATGGCACCTGGGCTGCGGTTTTTTTGTGCTTTGCAGCAATCTCCTTAATCTTGGGATCCTCCAGCAGGGAAGGGTCTTCTGGCTTGGCCCTAGGGGCAGAAAGATGCTGATGTGAATAATCACCATGGCTACCATGTACAGAAGGACACCACTCCAATGAGGGTCTCAAGACTGATCATCAGAGCCTCTCCATCTGGGAGACAGGCAGGAGGACCTGGAAGCTTGGGTCCTTTCCCCGGGCTCTGAAGCCTCAGCATTTTGCAAAGCCTGGTTCACCCTTGGGTGGCTGAACTGGAAATATTCCCAGAGGGTCAAGCATGTCGCCCTTGGTGTTGTTGTTGTTGTTTAATTCCCATTTTTTCCCACTGCCATCCCATTTGTGTGTACCAAACGTGTTACCTTACACACATTTTTCTTTCCAGTAACTTATGGACCCATACCAACATTTACCAATTATAAAATAATGTTTTTAAGATTATCAAGAGAAAGACCCACCACTTGGAAGCCTCACCAAGGTCTATCCGGAGAGCCCAGGGGGCTGTAGGCCGTAACGGTGATGCCCTTGGAGTGGCAGTACTGGATCAGTTTCTCCTGTGTGAGGTATGGGTGACACTCAACCTGCAACAGCAAACAATCCTCATCACGGGGAAAGCCGGCTCTGTTTTGCATTGTTCCTAGGGAGTTCTACACACAAAAAAAGTCCACCAAGCAAAGGCCAAACACCTGCCCACTGAGATACTTGCTAAATCACCCGTGAGATCAGCCTCACACCTCCCCAAAGTGTCCTGATCACTGACCCCTGAGATGAGACTCAGGGCATAGCATTGAACATTCCTCCCGCAATGTTTAAGAAGTAATAGGGCAGGACCCTTACCCTTAAACTGAATAGAATTTACCTGGTTAGTCACTGGTTTATATTTCAGTCCAGGTTTGTTCAAGAGCTTCTCGATCTGGAAGTGGCTGAAATTGGAGACCCCAAGGGCTTTCACCAGCCCCTCATCCACCAGCTCCTCCATGGCCTATCATAGAAAGGAATACCTTATGGGCAGCTCTAGAGGGACTACAGGGACCCTGGCTTGCCTTAGTCCTCCCTGGGGCAGAAATTGCTAAAGGATCCACCGTAACAGGGTTAGCCGAAGCATTCACAGGAAATTTTAGTCCAGGGCCTGGGTGCCCATCAGTGACTGGTTCCAGCCCTACTGCCCCTCCCCAGCGCAAGAAAAACTAGGAGTAACAGGTAAAGATTTTATGTTCTTGCCACTCTCACCTTACACGTGAAGAAACACATAAAAAATTAAACTTCCTGTACACAGGGGAAATATGAAAGTTTTGTAATGCAAAAAAATAAAAAGTAAATAAAAATCAACATTTGTAAGCTTATGAGATGATTTAATTTTTAATGAATCCAAATGATAGCAGGGAGCTGCTGTTGTGTGTGTGCATTGCACACCCAAACCTGGGCAAGCTGTGTTAGTCAGGAAGAGGCTGCAGCATACGGAGAAGCCTCACTTGTGGGTCCTGAGTCCCTCTCTCCCACACTAAGCATGCTTTGGTTTGCAGGAAGGTCATGCATTCAGATTACACCCTGATAGGGGCACCCGGCCATGGAGTTGTGTGGGACTGAAGCCTGACCCACTGTTTGCATATCCAGCCATGCTTCCTGGTACAGAAACTGCATGGACACGCAAGGAAGGGAATCTTTGTATAATTTTTAGCCTATATTGGGCATTTTCCAAACTTGCCCAAAGATACCATACATGTTAGCAGCAGCCTCCAGTGCAATATGTATTTAGTAGCCATCTATTACATGTTCCAGATCCTGCCCAGAAGTTGTCAGGATGTAAATGTATACAATGTGCTCCCTTTTTCTGGGATTCTTATAGTCCAATTAAAGTGCTAGAGTTCCCTTCTATGGAGCCATCAATCATGACACTGAGGCTGCCTCAGATAACATCACAGCGGCATAGACAGAGTCAGAAAGGGCAGAGAAAGAAGAGATACATACAGCCCGCAGTTGTCAGGGGAGTCCTTCAGGTAGAGTATAAGCTGGGCCTCAAAAGAAAAAAAAAAAAAAAAAAAAAAAGACAGAAAAGAGGGAAAAAACATGAGCATATGACACAGGAAGGCAGGAGCAAAGCTCAGAGGCAGGGATAAGCACGACATGTTCAGGGAACACTTTATCCAGCCCTTCTCAACTTTGGCTGCAATTTGGAATCACCAGGGAGCTTTAAAAAATACTGGCTGGATGCAGTGGCTCATGACTGTAATCTCAGCACTTTGGGAGGTGACAGGAGGATTGGAACAGGGGTTTTGGGCCTAGGTTTGAGTAACCTAGGGTAAGTTTTTTAACTCTTGTAGGCCTTAGCTTTCTCTTCTTAAAAAAAGTCTTATAATACCTACTAATAATATATATGTTTCTGATATATATTACCAGAGGCTGAGACAGGAGGATTGCTTGAGGCCAGGTGTTGGAGACCATCCTGGGCAACATAGCAAGACCCTGTCTCTACAAAAAGAAATTTTTTTAATTAGCTGGATGTGGCGGCATGTGCCTTTGATTCCAGCTACTTGGGAGGATTGCTTCAGCCCAGGAGTCCGAGGCTGCACTAAACTATGATGATGCCATTGTACTCCAGCCTGGGCAACAGAGAGAGACTCTCTCTAAATTAAAAAAAAAAATTACCAGTGCCTGGATTTCACCCCCCAGAGTTTCTTACAGATTTTCTCTGAGTTGTAGCCTAGACGTTGGGATTTTTAAACTCCTCAGGTGATTCTAATGCATAGCCACGTTGAGAACCACTAGGATATATGATGTTATCCAAATTGGGCAGTAGAATTTAGAAGCTGTGAAATCATTAGGTTTCCCAAAATTTCAGATGGGGCAATTAGATAATTTAAAAGTTTTTGTGCACATAGGTCAGGTTAGTTTTCCTGTATTAGAACTTGACTTCTTTATACATTTTTCCTCCTCTCTGCTTCAATGTGGTCAGTGAGGTTTCTACTGAACTGGTTGTGGGTCTACATAAACATCCAACGCTTACATATTCAAGCCTGCTCATTTCAAATCAGAGCCTCTGATCTTGATCACTGCTATCTTTTCATGCCTTTCAAATGTTTTATTTAGCAGTCGTTCTTGTATTCATTCAAAAAACAGCACTGCGAGAAGCAGGCTACATTGACATACTTGCCATACTTCATGGCATCATAAGAGTTAAGATAAAAAAATCTTATCATATGTAATGCAAATAGCCAGGTGTGGTGGCTCACACCTGTAATCTGAGCACTTTGGGAGGCCAAGACAGGTGGATCCCTTGAGGTCAGGACTTCGAGACCAGACTGGCCAACATGGTGAAACCCCATCTCTACTAAAAATACAAAAATTAGCCAGGCGTGGTGGCATGCACCTCTAGTCCCAGCGACTCAGGAGGCTGAGGCAGGAGAATGGCTTTTACTTGGTAGAGGGACGTTGCAGTGAGCCAAGATTGTGCCACTGCACTCCAGCCTGGGTGACAGAGTGAGAGTGTCTAAGACAATAAAAACAACAAAAAGCTGTGCTTGTGGATTAATGCTTTTGAACAAACAATACACAGAAAAAGCTACATTTCATTGAATCATGTCAATTATAAGCATTTCAGAAAGTTGAAACATAATATATTTTTGCTTGTAAAACACAATACAAACTCGCAACTACATGCACACCTACACAGACAGCTACCAAAATAACACGATTAACTCTTGGAGTCATAAGCCACTGTTCATTTATAACTTATTCCTCCACTTCATTCTCTACTAGCATTTGCAAAAGGGTATAAATAATAAAAAATGACCAGAGAAAATGTTCATCCCTTCATTCATTTTGAATGTGAATGACGTGAAACAGGTCATGGTTAGATCTGAGAAGCAGAGCACTCAGGCTCCCTGATTTCTGGATGTGTCTTCACTGCCTGCCAAGCACCATGCTGATGGCTTTGGTGGTTGGACTTGTGATTCAGATGAGTCTGGGTCTAATCCCAGCTCTGCCACACACATTGTGACAAGACCTGGGCAAGTCATCAAACAATCTAGGTTTCAAATGTCATTATTTATAAATGGGGATGTTAACCCTGTCTCCTAGGGTTAAATGGGCTTTATGACTAATGTTCCTGGCATGTAAACCATCTTAATCTTTATCACACACTGGAAGATATATATTGGTAGTATGTATTATACAACTTCTTTTTAAGAAGAGAAAACTGAGCCCTACATGAGTTACAAAACTGACCCTAGGTTACTCAGCTGCTATGAGCACACCCAGGCCCAAACCTCCTGTTCCAAATGCCTCGCCCTGGTTTGAGAACAGCATGTGTATTCCCCAAAGTGGGGTACATTGTATTTCCAGTCTTATTTGAAGACTATTAGCCTTGAAATATAAATAGTATCAGATGTACCCAAAAGCCAAAGGTGATGAGGAAGATATTAGAAGAGCTAGAAAATCACAATGATGAAATTAGAAAGCATCAGGCACATGGCCTCATTCATATCCATGCGAATCTCATGGATAACTGAAGATTTCTCTCCCAGCACACTTAGAGGAAGCTGGGAACCTACCTCCCAGGCATCCAAGAACGTTGCTTTTCCACCGATGGCATTACCTTTATCATCTTTGGGGAAAAGGTCATCCCCAGACTGTGAACACAGAATGAAAAGTTTACTGGAATCTGCATCAGGACACTTGGTTCTGTTCAACAAGGTTTCAGGATCCTGACTCTTGCTAAATACCACATCTGCATACCACTTTTTCAAGTTCTGGAGTACATACTTTAGGAATGTGAGTTTAATTAAAATCTCTGTATCTACTGTAGCATACTAATATTTTAGAAACGACTGGCTTGACTTTAAGATTTGCTGCTAGTACATTCCAGAAGTTCATTATCACCATGGACATTAACCTCATACACCTAGATCCCATATACAACCAAGGGCAAACTTTCATTTCAATATTACTGGATAAGGATTAGATATCCAAGCTGTGGTTTTCTGGAGAAGATATTGGCCAACTTCTATCCTTGCAGCCTCTAGAAGAGGCGTGGAATTAGGGGTGGCAGGCCATCATCACTCCAGTTGGTCAGGAGGGGAGAGAGCTGGAAATTTGTCTCTCCCACCCCTCAGGAGCAGGTAAGAGCAGAGCCCCAGGCAATGGGTGCCTGGATCACTACTGGCTTCCTTCCAGCATCACCATACTTGGGCTTTTCTCCAAGATGCCACTCCCAGGTGTACTTTGCTTAATAAGATAATTATGCCCTGGAATATAGTTATGCAAGAGTAACCCAAGAGATTTCCTGGGAGGGCAACCCTGGGGCGTGGAATCAAGACAAAGGTGATATGGCAGTTGCAACTTGTCTGGGCTGCCAGAAATCATGTCTTCTCTCAGACATAACTGCAAGAAAACCCAGGCATGTGGCCACCTCAGCAGCACACATGGCCTCAACCTCCCTTCCAGGCCAGTGTGTTTCTTCTCCAAGGTCTCTTCCTGACCACCTGCCATTCCCAATTATGAAATGCAAGGCCTCCTGCCCCAGTCCACACCACCCCACAGCCCTGGTGCAGCTACTATTTTCTGGCACCTGCTCAGAAACTAGAGGCTGAGAAAGAGAGTGTCTTAAACCTTGAATCCCTGTGGCCAGTGAATAAGATAGACGTCCAGATAGCTCAGCTTCAGGTCCTTGAGGGTCTTCTCAAAGGCTTTCCTCACAAGGGGTCTCTCAAAGAAAGTGGGCCACAACTGCAAAGAGTGTAGCAATGAGCTATTAATACTGGGAAAAGGAAGGGCCACATTGTACTCATTGTCCCTGCTTTTTGATTTGCATCCTCATCTAACCCACCACAAGCCATTTGTAACAAAGCTGATTAAGATCCACGACACAGTGTGGAACATCACCAGGGCTCAGCACCTCAATGACATGTCTTAAGTGTTAAAAGCAATTGACTTTTTCAACTGTCCTAGTACTCTATACGTGTCTCAGATCATTGAAGTAAATGTGGCCACAGATTTGAAATTTGTTTACCTGTCTCAGTCTCTTCCTCAGCTGTAGGCTCTCTGAGAGCAGGAATTGTGTGTAGCTTTTAAATGTCAAGCATTCTTAGGCCTTTGGGAGCAGATGGTCCTTTATCTGACCTATCTGATAGGTCCCTTATCAAGCCTATAAGGCCCCAAGTGATAATTTTACAAAGGCTTTATCCAGACTTGGCTGCTACACAGTGAGGTCTATTTGTCCTACCAGATGTATGCATTTTCCAAGTACCTAGAACTAGTGTTATTTTTTTTCAGCAAGTTATGTATAATATAGATCCAGTGATTCTCAGCCCTCTCACACCCAACATCTTCTTCTTTTTTATAACATTGTATCCCTCACCTTTTACTAGAATGAATAAAGAAATTCATATGTGACAATAGAAAAATGCCCCTACCATTTTCTAAAATTCCCCCTGGCTGAGAGTCTCAGGGGCACAGTCACTGAGATCACAGTGCTGAAAGGGAGGCTTCAGATCAAGACCCGCCTGCACCCTTGGCCTCTGATTGCCTCTGGGCAGATGGTAGATCCCTCTGATGGGGAACAGGGAGGCCCAGGGCAGTGCAGGGTTCCATGGAACCAAGCCCACTATGGGAAAACCAACCTACAGGCAGGTGGGGCAGCCACGACATGTTCAAATATCAATAATGGCTTGGAGTATGGATAGTGTTGTATTCACGGATGTTATCAAGGCAGAGATGAAAAGGGGTACATGTAGAAAAGGCTGACAGAGTTCTTGCTGCCAACCCGACCCAGATACTTCTGCCTGCCTTGAAGTGAAGGCCTCCCACCAAATGCACCATTGCACCTTGCTGACGATGAACAGGTCCTCCCGCTTCACAGCCTTCTCTTGGATCTTCTCTTGGATGGCTTCCCCCACTTCATGTTCATTCTGATAGACATAGGCACAGTCAATGTGCCGATATCCTGCATCAATGGCCACCTTCACTGCTTCTTTCACTTTGCCAAGAGGAGACTGAAAGGCAAAAGAAAAGCTCATCACATATGTGTTTTTTTTAAGAGATGGGGCCCTGCCGTGTTGCCCAGGCTGGCCTCACACTCCCAGGTTCAAGCAACCCTCCCACCTCCCGAGTAGCTGGAATTACACCACTCTCAGCAACCATCATATTCTCTTATCCCCAGGCCACCTTCAACAGGCTGCCCCACAAGGCCCAGTTTCTCCAAACCAAGGCCTCACTGGGGTCTCCTTTGCCAGGGGATCTCTGGGAGGATACACACTTTACAAAACTTTTCAAAAGAAAAGAAGGAAAGTGAATTATTTTATGATTATGTCCTTATGTCCTATCCTAGCTAAAAGTCAGTTCCCTTTTCATCCAGGTTAGTCCTGAAATGTCTTCAGGTGTGTGGGGGTGCAGACCGCTCCACTACAACTTTCTGAAGACCCAGATGAAAGCTTGACTCTAAATAACCCCAAGGGATTTTCAGACAATTTCCCCAAATGGTGATAAGGATCTGGATAATGGTCATTACACCATCAATCTGGATTCGATCACTTACTGGGTGTGTGGGTCTAAGCAGGTGATTCAATCTCTGTAAACCTTGTATGCAAAATGGAAAAAAAAATAGCACCAGCCTCATGAGGCCTTTGTGGTGATGAGATGCTGCAATGAATATTAAGCTTTTTGCACATTACCTGACACACAGTAAGGTTCAGTAGAGGCCATCATTATACAATGATCGTTTCAGAAAAAAAAGAGAAATAGAAAACCTTATAGGAATAGAGTTTGTTTTCCACTCCTGTAAAAAGAAAGAGAGAGGGAGGGGAATGACAGAGAGGGAGAGAAAGAAGGGAAGGAAAGAAAAGAAAAGAAAGAAAAAAAGAAAAGAAGGGAAATAGAATTATCACATTTTGTTCTAACCTAGCCAAGCCAATGATGGGGGCAAAAAAGCACTTAAAACTTGATCTCTCACAAAATGGTCTTTTAAACCTCTTCAATTGTGAGATAACAAACATTGAACAGTACACAAAACAGAGATGCACAGCTACCCTACCACCTGGACAAGAAACGAGCTGCTGCCAGGCACCCAGAAGCAGCCCTGTGCCCCCAACCGCTACGCTACACCCTTCTTCACCTCCACTGCTAAGTTCATAATCCTTTAGTCTATCATCCCCACGTGTTGAAGACAGCTCCCTTCATAATTCTTTCATTCAATTCCAAAATTATGAAACTGTCTGGTAAACTCACCCAGGGTGAGTAGATTCCCTGGAGATCTGGAAGTGATTATTTATTCTGTTTATACAGGATTGAAGGTCTGATTTTGGGCAAATCTTGCTATTCAAGCAAGAGACGCTCTGCATGAATCAAGCTGGAAGTGATCTGTTCCTCCAGATACACCAAGAATGTATCCTGAGGATGACCCAGTGCTGCAGCAGAGGGTCCTAACCTCTAGCTTGGGACAGAAGAGAAGAAAAATCAGGGTGCACAGAAGGAAAGAGAGCCAGAGGCAGAAGTCTCAGCAGGGACATTAGCCATGAGGGACAGGAGAGAAGAGGAACTCCAAAGACTGCTTCTCATCACTAGTTAGGGTAGTGCTATCATGGATGGAAATGGCAAAGAAGGCAGAGGGAGGTGGTGATGGAACAACTTGAAACTTAGCCTAACAGAGGCTCGGGAACCTGCCTCACTGAGTCCTGGATGTGCCTTACCACATTTTGCCAGCTGTCGTTAACACAGCCGGGTGGTGCTCACGACTCCCAGCCCAGGCTCTCTGCAGCCCCAGCATGTTGCAGATTTCAATGTGTACAGGAACCACGTAGGGATCTTGTTAAAGTGCAGATGCCCATTAGGTAGCCTGGGTTGGAGCCTGAGACTCTGCATTTTGTTTCTCTCTGTCTCTCTTTCTTTCTCTCTCTCTCTTTCTCTCTTTCTTGCTTTCTTGGATCTCACTCTGTTGCCCAGACTGGAGTGCAGTGGCACAATCACTGCTCATTGCAGCCTTGACCCCTCAGGCTCAACACTCAATCTCCACCTCAGCCTCCCAAGTGGCTGGGACTACAGGTGCGTGCCACCATGCCCAGAAAATTTATTTATTTTTTGTAGAAATGGATTCTTGCCATGTTGCCCAGGCTGGTCTCCAACTCCTGGGCTCAAGCAACCCTCCCGTCTGGATTTCCCAAAGTGCTGGGATTACAGGGATAAGCCACCACACCTGGCCAGTTTGCATTTCTAGCAAGTTTCCAGGTCATAGGGATGCTGCTAGCCCAAGTCTCACACCGTGATCTGCAAAGGGGTGCCAAGGACTTCGGGCTCTGCATCCTCTCCTCAACCACCCAGCCCACAACAAACCCACAGCCAAGACTTGGGGGAAACGTTGAGCCCAATTAAGTGTCCTAGAACCAGAGAGAGAAACTGCCCTGGAAAACAGTTTTAAGTCCAACAGCTGCTTGAAATTTGATACTTGCTAGAGAAGCTCTCATCACTGCTGGGAAAGCCAGCCTTGGAGCTTTGCAGCCTGAATCAGCTCTGAGAAAAGAAAGCAACCTAAGTCCTGGCTCCAGGGCTGAATCTTACCTCTCCAACCCCTGCCCGACCTCCAGGCTTTCCTGGCTGAATGCAGAAAGAGAAAACACCCAAACGCCCCTCCAGAGAAGAAGGGTGTGCAAAGATTTGCATATTTACCTTCCAAGTGCCCAGGCCCACAATGGGCATCTTGGCTTTGGTACTGAGCTCCACAAACGTGGCCATGGTTGGTGCAGAAATGATTCTGAGTGAGCAGGTAGAAGTCTCACGTCCTGCTCTCTGTTGCTGTTTTTGAGACAGTCTTGCACTGTTGCCAAGGCTAGAGTGCAGTGGTGCGATCTCAGCTCACTACAACCTCTGTCTCCTGGGTTCAAGCAATTCTCCTGCCTCAGCCTCCCGAGTAGCTGGGATTACAGGCGCCCACCGTGACTCCCAGCTAATTTTTATATTGTTAGTAGAGACAGGCTGGTCTCAAACTCCTGAGCTCAGGTGATCCGCCCACCTCGGCCTTCCAAAGTGCTGGGATTACAGGTGTGAGCTACTGTGCCCGGCCACAGGCTGCTTAAGAAGGCTGCTGCTATCTACAGTGGGAGGAGTTGGAGCCTGGCCACAGTAGCTTCCCTGCCATAACCAAACAGGAAATCCATTCCAGGCTTTTGTGAGATTGAGGATTCTGTGAATGAATTATTAAACATGGCAACCTTGTGCAAAGTTCTCTCTTAGGTGACAGTATCATTGGAGTTTCTGCTTGTTCAGGATGAGTCAACAAATTCAACACAGCCAAAAGTTGGAAGGTAGGGAGGGAGACAGCAAGGAAGAAAAGAAGAGTTGGAGGAGGGAGGGAAAGAAGTCTGGCCAACATAGTGAAACCCTGCCTCTACTAAAAATACAAAAATTAGCCGGGCGTGGGGGCACGTATCTGCAATCCCAGCTACTTGGGAGGCTGAGAAAGGAGAATCACTTGAACCTGGGAGGCGGAGGTTGCAATGAGCCTAGATCATGCCACTGCACTCCAGCCTGGGCGACAGACAGTGAGACCCTGTCTCAAAAAAAAGAAAGAAAGAAGGGAAGGCAGGAAGGAAGAAAGGAAAGAAGGAAGGAAGGAAGGAAGGAAGGAAGGAGGGAGGGAGGGAGGGAGGGAGGAAGGAAAGAAAGAAGGAAGGAGAGAAAGAAAGCAAAGCAAAGAAGGAAGAAAAAACAAGGGCTTGCTTTCCCTGTGATGGTTTCCTCTGTGAAATAGAGTCTAGGGAGGAGAGGTGAGAAGCAGCGTTTCAATTTTAAAAGTTGCAATTGCAGGTTCAGTGCAGAGATGGTCAAATCCCGACCTGATTGGAGTCAGCTGTAACTAGTTGGTAGTCAGCAATCTAGGGAACATGATATAGGCCTGTGCCATGCTGTGACACGCCATGACAGGCCAGGGCCACGTCACAGCATCTGTTTCAGCCTGCCGGTAGTGGGTTTTTCTGTCTTTTACATGTTCTTGTTGATGAGTTGGCTTTGGTTGAATCTTGAAATGGAATTGAATCTCTAGGCTGTGGCTTATGACAGCTCATAGAAGGCAATTGGCATGATATTTTGCAACTATGAGTGAAAAATCTTATACTTCATTGATGTTTGTTAAATTATCTACTTCAACATTAATAATAATGCATGGGCCGGGCATGGTGTCTCACACCTGTAATCCCAGCACTTTGGGAGGCCGAGGCAGGTAGATCACTTGAGCTTAGGGGTTTGAGACCAGCCTGGCCAACATGGTGAAACCCTGTCTCTGCTAAAAATCCAAAAATTAGCGAGGCATGATGGCACGTACCTATAGTCCCCGCTGCTTGGGAGGCCTGAGAATCCCTTGAACCTGGGAGGTGGAGAATGCAGTGAGCCAAGATGGTGCCACTGCACTATAGCCTGGGCGACAGAGACAGACTCTGTCCCAAAAATAAATAATTAAATACATGCATTCCTCATAATCTGGTGGCCACAAAGTCTCCTGGATATGCACTTGCGGCACTTTATTTTCCCAGTGTATACTGGATGACATGCAGTGCTAGTATTGTTGAAATAGTAAATCCTTAGTGACTGTCAACCTAAATAACAGAGAGAGGGTCCCTACAAGAAAAATATTTCTCTGGGAATAGAGCACTGCAATGGGAATATGCATGCCACAGTAAACTATGTGTATATTTGGGGAAATAAAGGAAGACAAAACTTTTCAAGGAAAAAATGAGGATTATCTAATTGCTTTGAAATAATTAGCCTTGGCTCCAAAGATCAATCATGAAAGTGGTGTTAGTCTGAGGTTGGACACGCAGTTGTTCAGAGGTCCTTGCAGAGTATGTTTTGTGTTCAGTTGCAATGGCCTTTGCTCAAGGTTGTGGTTTTCACCGTCTTTCATGGTACTTTTGGTTTTCAGGTGTACAACCATTAGAACCCTCTTTTCATGGTCTTCCCAGCTGTATTTGTCAGAGTCTTCTGTTTGTTTTTTAACATTAGTGACTCCATTTTGATTCTGACCATTTTCATGTGATGCACAGAATAAAGAAATGTGTATTGTTCATAATAACATTCCTTCCAGAACCACTTAGCTATGAATCAGTGAGAAGGGATATCTTTTTTAGATAATTGAGATTAAGAAGGTATATTGATTAGCTGTTTTCGTGTAACAAACAAACTGGTTATTACAGCAACCATTTATTTGCTTGTGATTTTGTGGGTTGGCAATTTGGGCAGGAATCAGCTGATAAGCCGGTCTCAGAACCACGTGGTGTCTGTCAGCTGGGTTTTCTCACCTCTGTGGGCTTCACTGGGGTGGACTGGGATGTCAGGGAAGGCAGGGACCCTTTTTATGTGTTTTTCATTTTCCATGAGGCTAACTTGGGCTTGTTCATAGGTAGCAGCATTGTAGGAGGCCTACCCTTGGAATGTGTGCAGTGTCACTTCTGTCACCTTCTATTGATCAAAGCAAGTCTCAAGGCCAGGACGGGGCCAAGGAGTAGGGAAATAGATTTCACCTCTTGAGGGGATTTGTTACACAGAATTATGGCTATTCTTAATCAACCCCAGAAGTTTTCATAAGAGTTTTGATTAGCTACTTTCTAGCTTCATGAATTTACCAATCTATTCCTGGTTTTGTACCCTTAAGAAACTCTCATTTTTTAAATCTGATGAATATATGTGCATAAGAAGTTTTACTTTGTTAAAATTAAGTACATACAAAATTGAGACAAAATTATTTTTAGAAGGAAAATGAACGAGTAGTGCCGCTTTTCATTCTCATCCATTTCTCTAAGAAACAGAGGAAGCAGCAACTAATATATCTGAAACAGGGAGGAAAAAGAACAATTCCAAGAATTGTGGGAGTGCAGAGAAGTTTCTGGGCAGAACAGTGTGAGCCAAGGGGTGGAAGCGACTAAGATACATTGGAAGAACGGGAGGAAGCCAGTGTGGGGACGCTCAGAGAGTAGACTTACAGGGTGCCCAGCAGAGTTAAAGCTAGACTGATATGCAGGTACCAGAGGGTCAGGAGCTGCAAAGCTGTGATCATGGAGTTGGATTTACCATGAAGGTAACAAAACTTGACCTTCAGTTGCCTTCACTTGCATGAGCACCATCTTAGGCTTTGTACCTAACATTGAATTCTTAATTTTGTATTCTTTAAAAGAAAACCCCGATCGTACAACTTCAGGATCACAAAATCTGAATCCCCTGTGCATGTTAACATTTTTTATTTTATTTGAGAGCACCAAAGTTTTGTTTTTTAATTTTTCAAAAATCTTTTTATTATGAAATATTTTGAAAATATGCAAAACTACACGTCCCCACCTTCTCTCCTTGTGCTGTATTTGTTAGCTGGGTGTGGTGGCTCACACCACCTGTAATCCCAGCTCTTTGGGAGGCTGAGGCAGGAGGACTACTTGAGGCCAGAAGCAACATAGCGAGACCCTGTCTCTATGAAAAATACAAGAAACAATTAGCTGGGCATGGTGACACATGCCCGTAGTCTCAGCCACTCAGGAGGCTGAGGCCAGATGGTTGCTTGAGCCCGGGAGTCTGGATGACATAGTAAGACACTGTCTCAAAAAAAAAAAAAAAAGAAAAGAAAGGAAAAAAAAAGCCAAAAAACAAAACAAAACAAACAAACAAAAAATCACTTTCTCTCTATAGTTTCCCGCCCTCTGGATTCTGCTGATTATTGCATTCCCAGAAATGTATTTATCATGTCACTCTATCCCCCAAATATCTTGGCAACACTAATAAGACCTAGAGGCTTGATAAAATCCAGATCCAATTCTTGTTTTGTTTTGTTTTTTGGCTACTTCCTATACATTGTATTCTTCTATTCCGGTGGAATGACTGGCTGCCTCTTTATTTGTATTTATTTATTTGTATTATTTACAGTAGTCATTGATGATCATTACTTAAATCCATTATTTCATAACATTACAAAACAGTGAAATACTAATTATACCATTCTTTCTTCATGTATTAGCTGGCATACTTCTTTAAGGAGAAATTTCTCCTAATCAATTATTTGGCTACCCTGAGGTATAGTTTGAATAGGAACACTGAATAATGATTGATTCATTCTTTTATTTTAGTTTTTAAAAGGAGGTTTCCAAGCACCCTCCAAGGTGACAGATTAGTTGTCATTTAGTGTTCTTTGAATTCATGAATTTAAATATATTCAATGTTATAATCTATTGCTATTCTTATTGATGCCCAAATTATCCTCTTTGCCACTGAGAGCACTTCAAATTGGCTTTTGCATTCTTTTCATGTAATCTTTATAGCCTTTGGTAACTTCATTGCTTTCCTGTTCCAGACCTACATTTATCCAAGGAGATTTCCTTTTAGTGGAAATTGATATTTAGAAACCACAATTAGGGAACTAGAATCATTCTTTGCAATTGAATTGAATCTTGCTTCCAGGCCTTTTCAGTAGAAAGAGGTAGGAAATACCTTTTAAAAAACCTACCATGTATTTTTAGTAATACAAGAAACAATTAGCTGGGCAAGGTGGTGCATGCCTGTAATCCCAGCTACTCAGGAGGCTGAGGCAGGAGAATCACTTGAACCTGGGAGGCGGAGGTTGCAGTGAGCGGAGATTGCACCATTGCACTCGTGCCTGGGCAATAAGAGTGAAACTCCATCTCAAAAAAAAAACAAAAACCAAAACAAAACAAAAAAAAACACGACTTCAAATGGACATTTCTGATTCAAGTTAAGAACTTCAAGGCTTAATCTCACCTGTCTTATGTTTCTTCATTCTCTCACACTGAATATCTCACTTCCCAAAGATACAAACGTAATTGCTAATTTGCTTGATTTCACAATGTACATGCAATAGTACTAAAAATACAACACAGCCTACACACTGTAATTACTAAAAACAATTTTAAAGTATTGAAAACAGTTTAAGAGCCATTAGGCTTATTTATTCTGTGAACCCCGAAAATTTGAGACAGGTCTCAGTTAATTTAGAAAGTTTATTTTGCCAAGGTTGAGGACACACGCCTGCGACACAGCCTTAGGAGGTCATGATGACGTGTGCCCAAGATAGTCAGAGCACAGCCTGGTTTTATACATTTTAGGGAGTCATGAGACATCAATTAACATATGTAAGATGAACATTGGTTCCATCCAGAAAAGCTGGACAACTCGAAGCAGGGAGGGGGCTTCCAGATCATAGATAAAGAGACAAATGGCTGCATTCTTTTGAGTTTCTGATTAGCCTCTCCAAAAGAGGCAATCACATATGCATTTATCTCAGTGAGCAGAGGGGTGACTTTGTTTGTTTGTTTGAGATGAAGTTTCGCTCTTGTTGCTCAAGCTGGAGTGCAATGGTGCAATCTCAGCTTCCTGCAACCTCCGCCTCCTGGGTTCAAGCAATTCTCCTGCCTCAGCATCCCAAGTAGCTGGGATTACAGGCATGTGCCACCAAGCCTGGCTAATTTTTTGTATTTAGTAGAGACGGGGTTTCACCCTGTTGGTCAGGCTGGTCTCGAACTCCTGACCTCAGGTAATCCATCCGCCTTGGCCTCCCAAAGTGCTGGGATTACAGATGTGAGCCACCGCACCGGGCCCAGAGGGGTGACTTTGAATAGAATGGGAGGCAGGTTTGTCTTAGCAGTTCCCAGCTTGACATTTCCCTTTAGTTTAGTGATTTCAGGGGCCTAAGGTATGTATTTTTTTACAATTCTATTTTGGTTTTAAATTCCAGGGGTTCTTTTTCAAGTGTTTTGTTTTAGAATTATGTTCCAAAGCCAAATATGCATAGTTTCAAATTCAAATATACAAATCAGGTTATTTTCAGAGCAGTCTGCTTTTTACCCCTGTCAGAATACTGAATACAAAAAGGCAATGGAGAAATTTTTTCTTAAGTATTGAAGAAAAATAACTTTAAACTCAGAATTTTCTATCCAGCCAAACTGCCATTTAAATGGGAGAATATAATAATATTCATACACATGAAATCCTCAGAAAATGTATCTTACAATGACTCACGGTCATTAAAATGTTTATGCTTTATATCCTGTGATCATAAGTTTCTGGGGGTTAGAAAAATTTTCTTCTGAATCAAGTTATCATTAAAATTAGTATTTATGCAACAATAATTTTTAAGCATAAATTCTTAAATTTTTGATAAACCATTAAACATCTATTATAAAATTCCACTGGAACTGTATCTCTATGTAACATAAATGGAGATTTTTTAAAAAATTAATTTATATCCACCTGTGCTGTAAGAGTTAATTTCAGCAGGCCTGGATTAGCCTGATACATTTTATTAAAATAAATAAAGGCACCTCCCTGGCATGAGATATGAACCATAATGATTAACAGTGTTTCTTTACGACTTTGGGTCTGGGGAGTTGCGTGGCAGTTTATATCAGTTTTGTTGTTGATAACATTGAAATTGGTGATGTGCACCTCAGTATAAACTCTTACAGGGCTCTGTCCTTCTTTCTGCTTGTGTAGCAAGAAAACTCTGATGTAGCCAGAAAGATTAGATTCCACTTTTGACCCTTTAGTTCCAATGGATTCTGTACATATATTAGTGGTTCTGATTCAAGAATGTCCTGGTACAACCCTTAAAGAAAGGAAGAAAACTTGGAGCCCAGACCAGCTCCTCCAGACCCTTTGCTGGAGACAGCCTTTGACTAGTATGAATAGTCTCACTTCTAGGCTGTTTCTCTATTGTTTTCTTTTCCTGTAGTCACCTGTAGATTTCTAAGCCTTGCCATTTTGGATCCTGTGAGCCTTGCTTAGTGTTTGAATCCCATCTAGCTGTGGAACCCAAAGCCTTTTACAAACGTAAAGGCGGCCTGGGATGGAAAGGAAACGCTTCTTTTACTTCTTTAAATATATATATATATACTTTAAGTTCTGGGATACATGTGCAGAACGTGCAGGTTTGTTACATAGGTATACACATGCCATGGTGGTTTGCTGCACCCATCAACCCGTCATCTACATTAGGTATTTCTCCCAATGCTATCCCTCCCCTAGCTCCCCAGCCCCCAGCAGGCCCCGGTGTGTGATATTCCCCTCCCTGTGTCCATGTGTTCTCATTGTTCAACTTCTTTTACTTCTATTGGATGCAAGAGCACACTGTATATTACTTTCTAACTCTGGTAACGAGCTGTTTGGGGTGATAGAATTCATTTAGGGAGACCTGGGGATGTGACTGTGGAGAGAATGCAAATTAAACTCTGATTAATATCAGAATATATGATAAAATCCATGGAACAGTGGTATTTCTGTTATCTGAAAATGTAACTGGTATGGATATAATCTCTGAAAGGAAATTCCTCCCCCTACTGGGTAAGATTTAAAAAATAACTTGTAGATTTGTTTTTGTTCGGTATTAATTGGACATGGAAACTGGGAGCCTTGAGAGTTGCCTAAGCCAACTCAAATAGTAAATTTGAAACAATATCAACAATCAACAAGAAATGACAGCCCTAACTAGGGAAATATTAGACGCACATGTGTTAGCGTACACAAACACCATGTACAATAGCCTGGCATGGTCAGTAAGGAAGGCTGACAGTTCATGGCATGGCAGTTCACTTCACAATAGAATAGAGGAAAAGCAAAACTGTGTCCCCAACAGGTCCAGACTCTTCTACTGATACAACAAAGTAAAAACAACTGGCAATTGATCTGTAATTAATATGGCTAATTCACCTCTCTCCATATCAGTCACGAAGGTGAGCCAACAATTTTCTCTGATGTAGAATGATCGCCCTCATGCGTTTACTGTACTACTTCAAAAATATTTCAACTCTCCCATGTATTTTCTTTCTTTCTTTCTTTCTTTCTTTTTTTTTTTTGAGACAGAGTCTCGCTCTGTTGCCCAAGCTGGAGTGCAGTGGCACGATCTTGACTCACTGCAACCCCTGCCTCCTGGGTTCAAGCAATTCTCCTATCTCAGCCTCCCTAGTGGCTGGGACTACAGGCACACACCACCACGCCTGGCTAAGTTTTTGTATTTTTAGTAGAGATGGGGTTTCACTATATTGGTCATGCTGGTCTCAAACTCCTGACCTCAGGTGATCAACCCACATCAGCCTCCCAAAGTGCTGAGATTACAGGTGTGAGCCACCATGCCCAGCCTCTCCCATGTATTTTCACTAACTGTTAAGGTGGGCTCCACATCTAATACAACTGGATGATGTACTAATAATAGATTATATTGATGATATGATTATTTCTGAAACTGAAGATCAAGCTAAGAATAAAGTAATTAAGCTTATAAAGCATATCTCTAATTGGAGATGATTGCTAAAATTGAGGGGCCACACACACTGTGAAAGTTTTGGTGAGGTAATATGTGCTGGAATGACCCATAACATACCACAGACCACCAAAAACAAATTACTCCTAACCCTCAGACTAACTAAGAGGCTCAATGCCCAGTGGGTCTATTTGGCTTTTGGAGAAATCATATCCCTGAGTTATGAATACTGCTGGTCCCAATACATAAAATCACTGCGGAAAAGGATGCATTTGATTGGGAACCCAAACAACAGCCTTCTTATGACTGCAGGAGGCAGTGGTTCCACTGGGAACACACAATCATCATGCTAAAATGATATGAGTATTGGCTCCCCATATTCAAGCTGTGTGAACTCTCCAGCAGAAGTCCATGACTGCTGCTCACCAACTTTGGATTGGGGGACTAGAGCATTACCAAATGCTGCTCTCTGCTGTACTCCTTCTGGAAAACAGTTACTTGTTTGTTACTGGGTATTGAGATAACCCAAATAACTGAAGAACATAAAGACTGGAAATACCCATCATTCCATGGGTGATGTCAGAAAAGCACTTTGGCCAGCCAGGTGAGGTGGCTCACGCCTGTAATCCCAGCACTTTGGGAGGCTGAGGCAGGCGGATCACAAGATCAGGAGTTTGAGACCAGCCTGACCAACATAGTGAAACCTCGTCTCTACTAAAAATACAAGAAATTAGCCAGGCGTGGTGGTGGACGCCTGTAATCCCAGCTACATGGGAGGCTGAGGCAGGAGAATCGCTTGAAGCTGGGAGGCGGAAAGGTTGCAGTGAGCCGGGATCACGCCATTGCACTCCAGCCGAGGCAACAGTGTGAGACTCCAACTTGGGGGAAAAAAAGAAGAAAAGAAAAGAAAAGCACTCCAACAGGAGTACAAGGCTCAAAGAAGTTCCATCATAGAATGGAAATGATGCATACAGGAACATGCTATCAGGCAAACCACAGGAGGGGTACATTTTATTCACCAGCAAGTAGCCTCTTTTCCCTTAGGACCTACAATTTAAAAAAAGAACACTAACAACAACAAAAAAGCATTCTACATCAGTGTTTCCCACCTAGTTATATTTCATCAAATTAAAGCAAACATTTCACTACCCACACAGCACAACAAGGGCCCAAGAAGCATCACATTCAATGAATTTATTATATTTCTTATCACTATCAAGTTAATAGGTTTATAGAAAGTTCGAATGAACAACTAAAGCATCTGCTTTCAAAAGGATTGAAAAGCTGGTCTACTATCTTCAGAGATATGTTTTGCAAGTTGACATGAGAATATTTAAAGGTGAGTTTCCATTAGATAAATTGCTACACTTTTGTAGCGGATTAGGAAATAGGAGACAATACAGAAACTTGAAGCCAACTCTTCCTTTCTTCACCACAATTTCCTTGTTGAATGGCAAACCTGCTAGTCCCTGAACCAGAGCTATTCATACAACAAAGGGTCCCATAGGCTGGTAATATTCCAAAACAAGATACTATACCTATAAAATAGAACCTAATTGCAAGAATTCCCTAGGGATTGATACAATTATTCTTGGGTCAATTACCAAAAAGGATTATTCTTTTTCTACACCTCACTAAAGTGGGGCTATTGCAATTATTTTGTTGCCTAATGGACAAGATGGTCCTCTGTTTCTGTACTTATTTAGTCTGACCCTCAATGATTGCAAATGACTGTAAAGGGAAGCCCTGGCATGTCCCATACTGCTACCAACAATAGGAATTGTCCAATGGCTGAAAAGAGGGACCTCATTTGTAGGAAAATGTTTGATGAAAATTAATGATGAATGAAAGAAAGGTAAGATTGTCATTGGGAGAAAAAAGTCAACAAATGATTGTGATATCTACCTGCAATTCGGTGCCTTGCAGAGGCTGGAGCAAGAGAATAATATTATCTCATAAGTTTTGATCCAGATTCCCCTTGGGAGGGAGAACTCTGTCTGCTGAGAACTCCTCCTCTTTTAAAAAACCAAGACGTGAGCTGCATCAAGGTCAAACTTATGAGCCTTAGGACTTAAGTTAGAAAGCAGCAGAATATTTCCCCTGTCAAATCCAGAGAACACTGATCAATAATCTTTTGAATGAACACTGCATGACCATTAATTGTGATTAGTGAAGGTTTAAGAAAGGTATTGGGATATAAATTATCCATTGAATGCTCCATCTGTTATAAAATTATGTCTTTAAAAAAGCCGTTGTGAGTAGAAAAAGAAAATCCATGAAGAGGTGAAGGCACAATTAAAATACTTGGATCACTGATAGAGAAAGTAATGATATACAACTTGGTGATCCTGCATTCCTGAGAATGAAAAGCCAGCAATTAGACATGTATGGTTCTGAGACCAGCCTGACCAACATAGTGAAACCCCGTCTCTACTAAAAATACAAAGTTAGCCAAGCCTGGTGGTGGGTGCCTGTAATCCCAGCTACACGGGAGGCTGAGGCGGGAGAATCGCTTGAAGCTGGGAGACGGAAAGTTGCAGTGAGCCGAGATCACGCCATTGCACTCCAGCCGAGGCAACAGTGCGAGACTCCAACTTGGGGGAAGAAAAGAAAAGAAAAGAAAAGAAAAGAAAAGAAAAGAAAAGAAAAGAAAAGAAAAGAAAAGAAAAGAAAAGAAAAACACTCCAATAGGAGTGCAAGGCTCAAAGAAGCTCCATTTTAAGTCTGTCTGCTGAGAAGCATTACAATATACACAAACCAAAATTTACCTAGGGATCACTACTACTTATACGTCCTTACCCTGAAGAATTCAACATTTTTGGATCTCCACTTTATTTCCAAATTACACTAAAGCAATGAGTACTCAATGGCAACAATGTGTCTGGTGGCTCAAACAGCATCAGCCCACCCAAAGTAAGAGAGCTTTAGGAAGATTGGAAACTGGGCTAGAAATCGTTGACCAGGCAGAATTCATTTTTAATAAGGAAAGACATGTTGAAGAAAAAGACCTAACATAAATAGAAAAACTAGAAGCATCCTATTTCAGGATGAGGGACAAAGATGACAAGTTACCTGGCATGACAGTACAGGACTGACAATTATAGCAGCTACTAAGATGACATGCCCAAACCTGGAAATGGGAATGAGCCTGCATGCCAGCACAGCTGGGTTATTAGATGTCTTAATTCAAATGGAGTCTGAGATATCCCCAACACAATGACCAGGGCATCTCACAGCAGAATTTCAAGTTACATACTCACAGAAGACTTATAAGCCACCCAGTCAATGAAAATGTTTAATTAGAGAAAGCAACCTACCGACATGTTCTTCCACGGCTTAAGCACCATGACTCAGTGCTGACCATTCTTTTTATAGTGTGACTCATGGTGATTGGACAAATTTGGAAAAGCATTAGAGCGTTTCCCATGGGGAATAGATGGGCCCTGTTGTAGAGCCTCTTTCCTTGGGAAGCAATATTTGTTAAAGCCATATACCCAGAGGAAAGGAGTTTGACTGTGTACTCCAAACATTTTGAATCCTGTGCACTCCAGACATAACAGAGATATAGCCTCAAGTTTATACTCTTATGAGAAATAACACAGGGTGTGGTAGGCAAAATAATGCCCCCCACAAAGATGTTCATGCCCTAATCCCTGGCACCTGTGAATATATTAGGTTACATGGCAAAGGAGAATTAAGGTTGCAGATGGAATTAAGCCTGCCAATCTGCTGACTTTGAGACGAGGGGATTATCCTGGATTATTCTGGTGGGCCCGATGTAATCACATGGGTCCTTATAAAGTGGAGGAGAGAGGCAGAGTTTGACATTGCTGTCAAACTAAGAGTAATTGTTTTGTCGTAAAAAGGCTGACCATGGGTCTAGGGTGGATTGTGCTGTTAGGGTTCATTCTGGCAGGCCTTGAAATCACCTGAACTGTCTAACTGAAATCAGAAATGTAACTCCCAGATGAGATGCATGACTTGCACCTGGCATGGACACGACACATCCCCCCACCCCCCGCCCCGACACACACAGAGAAGTCTGGCACTGGGGCTGATTGTATGGCAAGAATATGTCTGTATGACCAGCAGGGTATAAAAGGCACCAGCTCAGACTCCGTGAGCATCTGAGAATAGATGCACCGAAACTCTTCTTGCTCTCCCATCCCTTAGAAAGTCCTGGGTAGGACCACAGTCATGCCTCCTTCTGTAACAGGAAGAAACCTTCATTTGAGTATACAACAGCAGAGGATGGAGGGAGGTGGTGGAATTGACAGTAGGACAACTAGGTGGCACTTGTCTATTTTCACGATGCGTCTGACGTCTTGAAATATGCAAAGTGATCCTCAGCTGAACTTGAAGGGAAGGTGTTGAAGATTTAAAATTGTTTCAGAGGACAGCAGGCAGTAAAGAACAGACAGCAGAATTGTCCACTTAGATTTTTCCCCACAAATCTATCTATCTATCTATCTATCTATCTATCTATCTATCTATCTATCTACCTACCTATCTATCATCTATCTGTCTATCTATCTATCTATCACTCTCCACCCTCTTTTCCTGGTGGCTACTTGTAGCCACGTTGTTTTTTGCTTTCTTCTTGGCGCTTTTCCCCATAATCAGTCCACACTCCCCCTAGTGGTCTGATGATGAATTTCTACTAACTGGGTTACGTAAAGAAACCTGCTGTATTCAGATCACAGCTGGAGTCCCTCTCTGTTTTAAGACGGAAACTGGAAGGATATTGTTTTATTATTTACAAAGGGGATGGGGGTGGCACTACCCACCATCTCATTTATCCCTATCTTCCATAGTGATCTCTAAAAGAAGACTCCTGGGGCTTAAATTCCCAGTTCTAGGGTCTCTTGGGGGTCACTACCAACATCATCCTTGTCAAACTAGGGCTGGAAAGAACCACGGTTGGGTCTACTCCTACAGAACTTCTATTAAAAATAATTGGTGTAGTCTTCCCTGCTGTCACCTCTTTCTTCTCCTTCTGACCAAAGAAGCTACTTTTGCCAAGCTGACTTACTGGGCAGGAGAGGGTGGTAAAGCTCTGGAGAGTCACCCATCCTGGTCTTGAAGGAGTGTCATCACCATCTCACACAGAGTGAGGCAGCATTG
Source organism: Homo sapiens (assembly GCF_000001405.40). Lineage (NCBI taxonomy): Eukaryota > Metazoa > Chordata > Mammalia > Primates > Hominidae > Homo > Homo sapiens. Next base: position 134,514,278 of record NC_000007.14, on the reverse strand, counting down.
GACATGACCTGGGAATCCCAGGGAGGCAGCATGTGCCAGGACTTAGGTCCTAGTGCCAGCTTTTCTGCTATCAATGTGACCTATTCATTAGCCACTTTGAGCCTCAGTTTCTTCATGTGTAAAAATGATACTGTGGTGGTTCTCAGTAGAGAAAAGGGGTGGCATACTAGAATAATGTGAAATGCTTTTTCCGCCTACATATTATTTATTTTCTCTTTGGCAAAAAAAACCTTCGAAGTATTTCTGAAACACCCAATACTAGATGATTGCAAGTGCCCTAACAGTTCTAACACATCGTTTGAAGATGTGTTAGATATTTGCGTTAGATCCATCCACCCTAGACCCATTACTTGCAATAGAAGCAAGTTCTCGCCACTGTGGTGAAGCTCAGAAAATGTGTGTATCTAAAGGTTTGTTACAAGGCTGGGTATGGTGGCTCACTCCTGTAACGCCAGCACTTCTGGGAGGCCGAGGCAGGCGGATCACTTGAGGTCAGGAGTTCGAGACCAGCCTGGCCAACATGGTGAAACCCCGTCTCTACTAAAAATACAAAAATTAGCTGGGTGTCGTGGCGGGTGCCTGTAATCCCAGCTACTCAGGAAGCTGAGGCAGGGAAAATTGCTTGAACTGGGGAGGCAGAGGTTGCAGTGAGCGAAGATCTCGCCACTGCCCTCCAGCCTGGGCAACAGAGCGATACTCCATGTCAAAACAAAAAAACAAAACAACAACTACAAAAACCAAAATAAAGGTTTGTTACAGAGCAAACCTAGAAGATTGAAGGAGTCAATCTAATCCCTTTCCTGGCCTGGAACTGCCTTGACAATTTCAGGTGTGATCGGGAAACCCCATCCAAAATCAAGCCTGGGGCCGCGGCAGATTGTGTACATGTCAGACTTTAACCAGCAGAGGGTAGCACATACCTATGTCCTGGGCTTTCCAGGAAAGTCACAAAACTTGCCCTGAGAAAATGCTTTCTAGAGAAAGGCAACAAGGTTTAACCAAGTCTACATAGGCATAAAAAATTAAAGTCCATTTAGAACACAATCTGGAACTCAAGCCCAGGTCCAGAGGTGGACCAAGGCAATTTCCCAATGAAGGAAAACTTTGTCTTTGAATCCTCATCATTTCCCATTCCATGTCCCTCTTTGGCTTCTCAAAGTATGTTTAGAGGACTGGCAGCATTGGCATCACCTAGGAGCTTGACAGAAAAGCAGAATTTCGGATCCCACCCCAGACCCTCTGAGTCAGACTCTACATTTTCACAAGATTCCCATGTGATACCTGTTCATGTTGATGTTTGAGAGGCCGCGATGTCAGCACCCCTTCCCTACCTACACATGCTGCCTAGAAACTTACCCTGTTCCCTGTGCCAACCTCACTCCCCACAGGGGAAGATTCCTGCTGATTTCAGCCTTCACAAGAGGGAAGCACTTCGTGTGGCCTTAGGTGGGCAGACCTGAGATTTCTTCTTCAGGTGATTAGGGACCTCATAGTGTGTTTTTTTTTTTAACCACCTGGCTATATTTGTCTTCACATGACAGCTGAGCAAGGGAACATTGGGGTGATACACCGAAAAAAGATTGTTGGGGCTCAGAAAACTGTATCTCAAGTTTAGCACTTTGAAAAAAAGGAAATTGGAAGGCCCTGAAAGCAGGCTCAGAAGCAAGATCTTCTCCTACCCTCCTGTCTCTTGCCCCTCATTCTCCCCTGAAGTGAATCATAGAAACCAGAATTTCCTCTCCCCAAGGTGAGTCATAAAACCTAAAAATATTACTCTAACCTTTCTCCCACCTTTCTGTGTAGGAGCTTACCTGCCTTATCTGATAGTAGGCCATAAGACTCTCAATCCATAGGGGTCCTGCCATATGGCCAGGAGGAAGGAATGCTCAACAGAGTGGCCAAGAAGAATCTGAACAGACTGGCTTTGCTGGGCTTCCCACCCGCTCTTAGTATATTGCCATTAGAGCCCATCCTTTTGTGCAATCACATTTCTACACAGCTGTTCATTCTTCATCAAACCTAAGCATAAAAACAGTTTTCCCTAGGTTTTGGAGGTTTTATTTCTGAAGGCTCCTGTTTCACATACAACTTTGATTAAATAGAAGAGTGACATTAGCAAGATGGCTGACTAGAGATGCCTGACCCTTATCTTCCCTACAAGAAAGGACCAAGGCAATAAATATACAGCTGAAATTTGACTGGAGTGCCAAAAGGAGAGCGATGGAGTGAAGCAGGGGAGTGGAGATGCTTCTGAGGTGGTTGGAGGCTCAGGAGGACAGGATGGAGGCACATGGCCTCCGCAGCCCCATCTCACCCACCTGGATCGGACTGGCCCAGAGATAAGAGGACTACTTCTTAGGGGAAAAAGGTAAACAGAAGAACCCCCTGTCACCCCTTGCCACTGCAAACACCTCCAGTCCTTACTATGGGAGAATCCCACATCCTGGTAAGCGCTGAGTCCAGTTTGGAAAGCTGCTGAGAATTCACTCAGCTGTGTCACTCCAGGTGAGGTGCATAAGGTGTGCACTCCGCCTTACGCCACTGAGCCATGGAGCCATCCTGAGAACAGACCTACTGCCGGAGTGTGCCCTGCTCTGGGGCCATAGTCATTGTGCCTCTCTAGCACTGGGGCTCTATCTTCATTCCACCAAACCCACATGGTACCCAACTGTACAGAGGCTGGTCCCAGGATTGGCTATGACTCTTGTCCTGCACAACAGTGAAACAAACCCATGCTATCTCCAATACAGCTGGAAGAATAACCTAGCAGTCTCACCCAGGATGAACCTGCTCTTGTGCCAGCCAAATAACTATGTGTTCTCCCCCAAGGAGAACAGGTCCTCAACCCACCAAGCACCTGACATGCCCCTAGGCCAGTGGAGCAGTTACGTGCAGATGTCCAGGGTCTGAAAAACAGGGCTTCAACACTACCCCCTCCAAGAACATAACCCTGGCTTGCACAAAGTCCCCACACCCACAATCAGGGCTTCAGAAACTTGGGAGGCTAACCGAGAAGCTGTGTGCCTATGTCCTGGGTCTGAAAGAAAGCTTTATGTGTCACCTGTGATAAACACACACCAAGGTCAGCAAAGAAGCTGTGCTCTCATGTTCCAAGGCTGAGAAGCCAGGCTCTTCCTTGGTGCTCAAAGCCCCTGAGGGATAGTTGTCTTTCTGCAGAATATTTGAGGGATATTTGAGGGACAAATATTTGAAGGATATTTGTCTTTCTGCAGAATAAGACATTTTGAGTAGTAGTCTCAGAGTTGCTTTGGTAAGAGAAGAGAAGGCTTCCCAGGCCCCGCAGATGGGTTTTTGAAGGTAGCTCTGGGCCCAGGGCCACATGAGACGCCCTTGGGGAAGAACAGCCATCACTGTGGGAGCTTGTGATAATGATGTAGGAATCTACGGCACTGACCTGAAAAACTGCACAGCCTTTATAAAGGCCACAGAGAACGGAATGAGCACCCATAGGAATGAGACATTCTGTGCTCTCAGGAAACAGATAACAGAGGCCAAGGCCTGCTGACGCCTCCCTAGGCTTTTTTTCCCTCATTCCCTCTGGCCCTGCCTTTATTCTCTACCTTACTTTCCCACTCCCTTTTTTACAGGTGAAAGAAAACAGAGCATAGGACAGGAAGAAATTCACTGTGTGAATTTCTCGTGAATTTCCTTAGGGACACACAAGCAGGAGGAGAAGGGGAGGAACTGATACCAGGGCCTGCCCTAGATCTAGCCCTGGAGGTATCTCTAAAATAAGTACATTCTCCAGCTCCTCTGTCTCTCTGTTGCTCTCACTCTAGCCCTCTCCCTTTTTCTCTGCATCCTTGTTCACGCATACTAGGCACTCTCTTGTTTCCTCTGTGCTAAGAAGCAATTATAATATAAACTCATGGCCAGGTGCGGTGGCTCACGCCTATAATCCCAGCACTTTGGGAGGCCGAGGCAGGTGGATCACCTCGGGTCAGGAGGTAGAGACCAGCCTGGCCAACATGGGGAAATGCCGTCTCTACTAAAAAATTAGCTGGGCATGGTAGCACATGCCTGTAATCCCAGCTACTCAGGAGGCTGTGGCAGGAGAATCACTTGAACCCCGGAGGCGGAGGTTGCAGGGAGCCGAGATTGCACCACTGCACTCCAACCTGGGTGACAGAGCGAGGCTCCATCTCCAATATATATATATACGCTCATTATATTCACAGGGCCTGCCTCAACCTACAGCTTCCCCCAGTCCTTCCTCGCTCCAGTACCCAACTTGCTGTTTCAGGTCTCCCAAGCCCAGACCCAGTCCCCATGAGGGGGGTTCTCTGCTCCCTTCTTTAATTAAGCCCATTGAAAACTTATTCATTTGGAGCTAAATGATCCATGAGTCCCTGATGAGCCAGACCCAACAGCTACCTCCCTAGGACATTTGCATTTCAAAGCTTGGAACTTGAACTGAAATCTTGAGAGCGAATTGGTAGAGAAGGTGAATTAATTGGTAGAGAGGGGGAAGAGGTTCTGTTATTCCAATTACAGAGACGTCTGCATTCTGAGGTAGAGTATATGGGGAGATGATACTAAGTATGTCCCATCCCAAGGGTATTTTCCTCTTCCTGTCATTTTCTTTTGAATTTTCCCACCTGAAAAAGTGCTGGACCTAGGATAGACAATCAATATTTCAAATAAAAAATAAGTTGAAATGTATAGTGTCATAAAACTATAGCTGTGATGGTGATGGTACGTTCTTGGGTATATATAGAAATAGAAAACAACTGATGCTATTGACATTGAATTATTGATAGGGCATTAGGGATGGTTGGTTACTCATCACTAGTACACATTGCCATCAGCATCATAACTATGATCATTGAATTTCAGAGTCTAACAATCTTTAGTCAGTGTGAGCACATTTTTATAAATAAGTTGAGCTTAATTTCCTAGAGAAAATTAGAGAAAAGTTTAGAGAGCTATTTTTTGGGCTTATGAGGTTCAGTATTGTATCTCATAAAATATGGAAGGCCTCACATACCCATAGTGAACAGAAGCTGTGGCCTTTGTTTCTGTGACTCACACTTTCAACTTTGCCTTGGTATTGTGCTGTTCCTACTAAGACTATAAGTTCTTCTTGCACAAGGACAGTCCCTAATGCTTCCTTGTTTCCCCCAGAGGGCCAGGGACATGTAATTATATAATAAGTGCAGTTCCCGGTGGAATGAATGAACCCAAAATTGTCTGCTTCCTATGTTCTCCAGGAAGGGTCACTTTGGCCTGCTAAGGATAGAAAATGCCTAAAAGCAAGAGGTGTGAGGAAGAGGAGGCAGCCATTGTTATTGTCCACCACACGTCACATGTGTGCTCACACCATTGCTGTTGGTTTGAGGTTAGAGACTGCCTGGGCCATGAACAGGGTCAGTCCTACCATTGGTGAGGTCTCTGTAACTGTTTTTGCCTTCTCTGCCTGACAAGGTCCTCTCATCTATCCAGGTCTACCTTCCCCTGTGAAGTCCTTGATGTGGTTGGGCTGTATCCCCACCCAAAATCTCATCTTGAATTGTAATCCCCATAATCCCCACATGTCAAGGGCAGGACCAAGTGGAGGTAATAGGATCATGGGGGGTGGTTCCCCCATGCTGCTCTCTTGATCATGAGTGAGTTCTCAGGAGAACTAATGGTTTTATAAGCATCTGGCACTTTCCCTGCTTGCACTCACTCCTTCCTGCTGCCCTGTGAAGAAGGTGCTTGCTTCTCCTTTGCTTTCAATCTTCCATCATGATTGTAAGTTTCCTGAGGCCTCCCCAGCAATGCAGAACTGTGAGTCAATTAAACCTCTTTCCTTTATAAATTACCCAGTCTCAAGTATTTCTTCATAGCAGTGTGAGAACAGACTAATACAGTCCTTCTCAACCCCTGCAGGTAGAATCCGGGAGTTAATCACTAAATCCTTTGTGCTTTCTTGGCATTTTACTCAGACCACCTGTACCATTATACATTATATAAGTGTTTATCCTCTTCCTTGAGTCTGGAAGCTTCCTAAGAGCAGGAACCAGGCACAGTTACATTCTCTCACCAGTTTTTGTGAAGATAGTATTATTTGATGAGTAAAGAATTAATTAGTAAATGAACAGATACAGTTCCTGCGGCAAGAATGGGTGAAAATGAGAGAGACCACAGGTACTTTTCCAGATGACCTTTAAAGGCCTTACAGAAGGAAACCAGGAAGATGTTGGCAAGCCATATAAGTGGTCATTCTTCAAAAGCAAAAATACTTGAGGTAGATACACCTTGTCCTTTTTAATAAAACCTGTGCTTCTTGATGGACACAGCCTGTGTCTAAATTTCAGTATGGCATCTTGATGGCTCTCCTAATCACTTCTGACTTGTATAGCATTCATCTTATGGGTCAGACCTAGCACAGCATGTTCAAAGACTTGTTCACAGGTGAGCATAGCACATGATATTTAAGAACATCTTCCTCTTCCTCTGCCAGTGCCTGTCTCCAAGTGATGCACCAGAGTGGTTCATCAGTTCTTCAAAATGAAGACAGTGTGATCCTTTGGGCAGGAGCTGACTTGGAGCCAAACCTCCTTGGATGGCCCCAAGACTTATTGAAGTAGAACCTTGTCACTGGGGATGTCTTTGTTACTGAAAATAAATGCCCTCCTAGGAGGAACATTTACACGCAGCCAGGCCCAATTCTTCCCATTGCTGGAACACCAGATGCTGAGCAGGACTATGACAGAAGTCTCAGGATGCCCCTAGAAATGCTCGGCTGCAACTTCCAGAGGGAAGATGGATTGGCCAGGCTCAGGATGGCCCAGGGAAACACTGTTCCAAAAATTGCTGTGATTTATTCACTGACAATTGTTTAGGTATAGAATAAAGGTTAAAAGCTTGGGACAAGCCAGGGGTGATAAGGAACATGAATCTGTTTTCGTCTGTGAGGGCTGCTATAATAAAATACTTCAGACTAGATAATTTATAAGGAACAGAAATGTATTCTTACAATTCTGGAGGCTGGAAAGTCCAAGATCAAGACCCCTGCAGATTCAGCATCTAGTGAGGGCTTGCTTTCCATTTCAAAGATGGTGCCTTCTTGCTGTGTCTTCAGATGGCAGAAAGGGGCAAGGGAGCTTGCTTGAACCTCTTTTAAAAGGGCACTAATCCCATTCATGAAGGTGGAGTCCTCATAACTTAATCACTTCTCAAAAGGCTCCACCTCTTAATACTATCACGTTGGGGATTAGTTTCTAACATATAAATTTTTGGGGTCACCAACAGTCAGACCATAGCATTATCCCTCCATCCTCTCCAGCTTCCCTCTGCAGTCCACCAGGGTGGTCTTTGCAGCTCCCCAGGAGGCTGCTGTGCAGTCAGGTTAGGCCCACTTTGAGAAAGCTGAACATAGACTTTCTTATTATCTAAAAATTAACAGAAAAGCAACAGTACAGAGATCAAAACAATCATGTGTTTATTGCAGAATAAAGAAGAAGCTCATTCTCTCTCTCTCAGGGGAGTAAGAAAATCATCACTGTAGCATATTTCCATAATTATAGCAACCATCTTTTTTCTTTTTTTTTCCTTGAAACAGAGGCTCGCTATGTTGCCCAGGCTGGAGTGCAATGGCACAGTCTCAGCTCACGGTAACCTCCATCTCCTGTATTCAAGCTATTCTCGTGCCTCAGCCTCCCAAGTAGCTGGGACTACAGATGTGCACCACCATGTCTGGCTAGTTTTTTTGTTTTTAGTAGAGACGGGGCTTCCCCATGTTGGCCAGGCTGGTCTCAAACTCCTGACCCCAAGTGATCCACCCACCTCAACCTCCCAAGGTTCTGGGATTACAGGCATGAGCTACTGCGCCTAGCCCCCATCTTTATGTTAATACCACATAAATCATATGAGCACAGCTTGGGGTAGAATTTGCTCTGTCTTCATACCAATATCATGAAAATTGTATCAGTGCAACTAAGGTAGGGTCTTAAGAATTATTATTGATATTTTTAGATATTATTATTATAGATAATTAAACATAGTGAGGATCCTGAGGTGTGATGTGCACATCTGGAGACCCAGGTAAATTTTGGGGCCTTGGGAACCTCTTTGCATGGATTTGATCCATTTCCTGGACAAAGCCATGATGGGACGTTTTGGAAACAATAGTCCTGTAACAAAGACTTCTGACCCAGGTATAAAAAGAGAAGGAAAGATGACTGCTCATTTCTTGTGCAGTATGTGGGATGGGCAGAGAATTCTCTTAAAGGTAGCAATGAGTCATGTGCTTGCATATGTACCTAAAGTATGATTCAGGGAAGGTGCTTTTGTTTTTGTTTTTGTTTTTTTGTTTTTTAGACAGTCTTGCTCTGTTGCCCAGGCTGGAGTGCAACGGTGCGATCTGGGCTCACTGCAACCTCGGCCTCCCAGGTTCAAGTGATTCTCCTGCCTCAGCCTCCAGAGTAGCTGGAATTACAGGTGTGTGCCGCCATGCCTGGCTAATTTTTGTATTTTTAGTAGGGACAGGGTCTTGCCATGCTGGCCAGGCTGATCTCAAAATCCTGACCTCAGGTGATCCGCCCCCCTCAGCCTCCCAAAGTGCTGGGATTGCAAGTGTGAGCCACAGAGCCTTGCCAGGGAAGGTGCTCTGTGGGGCCTCTCACAGGGTTCTCCACCCTAGACTAGTGAAACTAGTTCCAAGGTATGGAAGATTTGTGCCTGCATGTCACTGAAGGATGAGTTAAAGAAAAATAGTGGTTTTGTTTGTTTGTTTGTTTGTTGGGCTTTTTTTTTTTTTTTTTGAGACAGAGTCTGGCTCTGTCGCCCAGGCTGTAGTGTGGTGGCACGATCTCGGCTCACTGCAATCTCTGCCTCCTGGTTTCAAGTGATTCTCCTGCCTCAGACTCCCTAGTAGCTGGGATTACAGACATGTGCCACCCCACCCAGCTAATTTTTGTATTTTTAGTAGAGACGAGGTTTCACCATGTTAGCCAGGCTGCTCTCGAACTCCTGACCTCAAGTGATCCGCCCACCTCGGCCTCCAAAAGTGCTGGGATTACAGGTGCGAGCCACTGCGCCCGGCCAGAAAAATAGTTTTAAGAAACTAAGAGTGCAAGTCCAGATAGCATATGATCCATTATTTTTTAATGTTAACAATGGTAGGAAGAGGACCTTAGTCCAGTTACCATCACCATGGTGATGACAACTTTGGAAGGAGGGATGCTGGAAGCGAAATTAGGGCCTCAGCTGCCAAGGTCCCATGCAGTGGGGCTCCAGCAACATTGTATAGAAAAGAGCACATGCAGAAGGTTAAAGCAGGTCAGGCATCCCAAATCAGCAGAGCCTGGGGCCCAGTGCCAGAGGGACCCAGCAGAACTGTGAGAACCCCAAGGATTCTAAAGATGGGAAAGAAGCCAAGTTACTTGGCATAGATGAGATCTGAGTTTGAGGAAATTTTTACTTGGCCTTAAAGACCAAGTTGTACCCAGGAAACAGGAAGACTTCGGGACACAGAAGTATTAGTCACTATTATTTTATTTATTTATTTAAGATGGAGTCTCACTCTATTGCCCAGGCTGGAGTGCAATGGCACGATCTCAGCTCACTGCAATCTCTGCCCCCCAAGTTCAAGCAATTCTCCTGCCTCAGCCTCCCGAGCAGCTGGGATTACAGGCATGCACCACCACGCCTAGCTAATTTTTGTATTTTTAGTAGAGACAGGGTTTTACCATGTTGGCCAGGCTTGTCTTGAACTCCTGACCTCGTGATCCAGCCACCTTGGCCTCCCAAAGTGCTGGGATTACAGGCATGAGCCACCGTGCCCGGCCTAGTCACAATTACTATTATAGATACTATTATTGTGATGTATAACCACTTCTGGATTTAAGATGTGTGAATTTAGCAGACTATTTCTCTCTGAGCCTCATTTTGATCATCTGTAGATCAATGAGTTTGACCAGATATTATGTAAGTTTCCTCCAAATATAATGGATTGTGAACCTTATAATTAAAAAAAAAACAGGGAACTTTATGGAGAAACCGTAAAAATTCGATACAATGAATAAAACAAAAATGACAGAAAGCAGCATAGAAGGGGTGAACTTAAAATTCTTGGGTTAACAGGATAGGATTACCTATTAGGAAAAACCCTGACTAGGGTGACCAACCATCCCTGCTAGCCTGAGCCTGAGGGGTTCCCAAATCACAGGATTTTTGCTTTTAAAATCAGGAAAGTCCCAGACAAACCAGGATGAGTTGGTCACCCTACTTATGGACCTCAGGTACCCAAATAGTATTGCATGGAGAAAATGAGGACAGTTTCATACAAATCAATTGGAATTTGATTAACTAAGGGCGTGAGTTCTTATAAAGAAACATATTTCATGGAAACACTAGATGCTAAAGAAAGAAAAAAGTACACTTGGACAAGAAATCTATAAGTCTCAGAGAATATTTGGATAAAAATAAAGGAAGCAAGAAAGATATATTTTGTTCAGGCAGCCTGCATCTGGAAGTCCAGCCAGGGAGAAAATGTGTATGATAATTTACCAACGCAAATATGGAGCTCAAATTCTAAAATTATTAAGCAAATTCTAAGTGTCCTAAGAACGAGTATTTTTCATCGCTGTTGTTGTTGTTGTTGTTGTTGAACAAAGAAAGAGGAGAGCGAGGTTTGCTGATTTTGTTTGGGGTCAGGACAGTTGTTTTTCATTGGCAGTTGGAGATGAGGTTCATAGAAGATGGCATTGTCTCTTGTCCTCACCACACCACCTGCCTCCCTCTTCACCCTCAGTCATGTTGGACTGTTTTGAGCCCTTTTGGAGGAAGAGGTTAGAAGTAAAAATTGGAGTTGTTTTGGTGAGAGATTTTGTAAGATTTGGGGCTCAAATAGTGGTGCTTTGGTATCTATGTAACAAAGTACAAAATAAAGTGGGTAGAGAACTTTCTCTCCACTTTGGTATGGAACCCAGCTTCACTCTGCTCCTTGAGGACTAATGGCTTTGGGAATAAGTTGCCCATGGACACTGACACAGTCAGCAAGGGCTGTGAGGTACCCTCAGGAGGTTCTACAAAAAGTAAAATTAAATATATATTTATATCTTCTATATATATATATATAGAAGGTATATAGAGAAAAATATATATAGAAATATATATAGAAAATATATAGAGAGAAATATATAGAGAATATATATAGAAAATATATATATAAAAAGATATATATAGAAAATATAAATATATATAAAAAAGAAGATATATAAAAGATATAAATATATGTGATGGTTACTATTGAGTGTCAACTTGATTGGATTGAAGGATGCGAAATATTGTTCCTGGGTGTGTCTGTGAGGGTGTTGCCAAAGCAGATTAACATTTGAGTCAGCTGGACTAGGAGAGGCACAACCCACCCTCCATCTGGGTGGGCACCATCTAATCAGCTTCCAGCACAGCCAGAATATAAAGCAGACAGAAGAACGTGGGAAGACTAGACTGGCTTAGTCTTCTGTCCTACATCTTTCTCCTGTGCTGGATGCTTCCTGCCCTCAAACATCAGACTCCAAGCTCTTCAGCTTTTGGACTCAGACATTTCACCACAGACTGGAGGCTGCACTGTCAGCTTCTCTACTTCAGAGGTTTTGGGACTTGGACTGGCTTCCTTGCTCCTCAGCTTGCAGGCGGCCTATTGTGAAACTTCATCATGTGATCATGTTGAGTCAATACTCCTTAATAAACTTCCTTTCATATCTGCATCTATCCTATTAATCCTGTCCCTCTAGAGAACCCTAATACAATATATAAAGGATAGATATAAATATATTATTTACTTCTGTATTATTTATATATTATATTAACATTTACATTATATTATTTATAGCATAAATAATTTGCCTCATTTCATCATGAAAGATGAGGTTTCTTTCATTCATTTAATTGTAATTTCATTCATTCTTTTAATTGTAATTTTATTTTCATCTTGATAGTCCGTTGTGTATATGTACTGCAATGTACTTATCCAATCTCTTGCTGAGAGGCATCTGAGTGGTTTCTAGGCTTTCGCTGTTACTAGCCATGGTACTGTGAACATCTATGTACACATAGGCACTAGGATACACATGTGTAAGTTTCCCTAGGACAGAAATTGCTGAAGTACAAACATTCATATCTTCAACTTTTCTAGATAACAAATTATTTTTCAAAATGATTACCAATGTGCTTTCCCCAGGTACATATGAAAAATTATGTTGCTCACAAACAATAAATACCATCTGTAACACTTCCCAATCTAGACAGTTTGTAATGGTATCTGGTTGTGATTTTAATTTGCCTTTCACTGATGACTAATAAAGTTTAATACTTTTTCATATGTTTATTGGCCATTGGGATCTCCAGTTTTATTAAATATCTGCTCAAGTGTTTCTCAATTTTTCTATTTGGTTATTGTTTCCTTAATGATTGTAGGAGTCTTTTATATATTCTGGTAACAGTCTTTGTTAATTATATATGTATTGCAAATATCCTAAAACATTCTGGGGCTCAAATTTGTATGCTCTTTATAGTATGTTCATATGAAAAATATGCTGGATTTTGATGGGATCAGATTTATCAATCTTTTCCTTTAGTGCTCTTTATATCCTCTCTAAGATGCTTTCTTTAACATGAGATCGGGAAGACATTTTTTTTATCTTCTAAAAACTATACAACACTGCCTTAACTACTGTAGCTTTATAATAAGTCTTAAAATTGTTAGTGTTAGTCCTCCAATAATGTTCTTTCTCAAAGTTTTTTGGCCATTCTAGGTCCTTCCATATAAATATTAGAATCAGTTTGTTAATTTCTACCCCCAACAAAAAAAAATGATAGGTTTTTTCTTTTTTTTTCTTCTTTCTATATTTAATTTTATTTTCTTTTAAGTTCTGGGATACATGTGCAATATGTGCAGGTTTGTTACACAGGTAAACGTGTGCCATGGTTGTTTGCTACACCTCTCAACCCATCACCTAGGTATTAAGCCCCTATTTAACCTGATGCTCTCCCTTTAAGACAATGAGTCTTAGTTAAGGTCGTTAGTTAAGGTAGATTTGGGTTTCATGTAATAAAGAATGTTCTAGCTACAGGAAGTAGTAACATCCTTATCACCAGAGATATTCAGAGGCTGAATGACTGAGACCATCATGGTTTCTTGTGAAAGGTTGAGCTGAATGACTTAACATTTCCCAATTCTAAAACGAAAGATCTTTAGATGCTGCAAAATAGATTTGAAAAGTGCGCTAAGGGCAAAGTCTCAATTTTGAAGCAGTATCACTTGCCGTTTTTCTCAGTCTACTGCTTCCCTTATCAAGCTTTCAGCCTTTCATATATCCTTCCCTTGCCATCACCTCTCAGAAAATATGACAAAAGCTCTCATCTTCTCCCCAGGTAATACATGGGTGATGAAATAATCTTTACAACAAACCCATACGACACAAGTTTATTTACTTAACAAACCTGCACAGGTACCCCTGAACCTAAAATAAAAGTTTTAAAAAATCCTAATATAGTTTGGACATTTTCCCCTCCAAATCTCATGTTGAAATTTGATCCCTAATGTTGGAGGTGGGACCTGATGGAAGGTGTTTGTGTCATGGGGGTGGATCCTTGTGGTGGTCAGTGAAATCTCACTCTATTAGTTCCCTTGAGGTCTGATCCCTAAGAAGGGTCTGGCACCTCCCTCCCCTCTCTTTTCCCTCCTTTCTTGCCATGTGATGCCTGCTCCCTCTCCGCTTCCACCATGAGTAGAAATCCTCAAAGCAGATGCTGACACCATGTTTCTGGTACAGCCTGCAGACCACGAACCAAATAAACCTCTTTTTAAAAAAATTATCCAGCCTCAGGTATTCCTTTATAGCAAAGGAAATTGACTAAGACACATGCTCCTATAGATGTATATGTATGCATCTATAATGCATATATATGTATATGTATATAACACACATACACATGTGTTAGGACGTTCAGGGAATACAGGGACAGTATCAATCTCAAAAAAAGGACCCCACCGAAATTAAGGACAGCAATTCTCAATACTTTCATTGATAACATTTTATAACATGTTATTAATAACAATTAATAACATTATGGACTTTAATGTGGTTTTAGCTTACTCAAATTTGACAACATCTTTAAATCTTTTTTTTTTTTTTTTTTTTTTTGAGAAGGAGTTTGTCTCTTCTTACCCAGGGTGGAGTGCAATGGCGCCATCTCGGCTCACTGTAGCCTCCGCCTCCTTGATTCAAGTGATTCTCCTGCCTCAGTCTCCCGAGTAGCTAGGATTACAGGCGTGTGCCACTATGCCTGGCTAATTTTTATATTTTTAGTAGAGACGGGGTTTCACTATGTTGGCCAGGCTGGTCTTAAACTCCTGACTTCAGGTGATCCACCCGCCTCGGCCTTCCAAAGTGCTGGGATTGTAGGTGAAAGCCAGCCACCGCGCCCGGCTCTTTAAATCTTTAAGTGACTATTCTTCAGAGTAATTCACTCAAAAGTGAATAGTATAGAACACTAGCTATGTTTTAAACATAGTTGTATTAAATGTTTCTCTCTCTATATATATATATACACACACACACATATATATAGTCACCTATATTTGTTAACCTATATATAGGAACCTGTGTGTGTGTGTGTGTGTGTGTGTGTACATAGGTTTTGGATTTTCACTTTCAAAAATGAAGTTGTTAAATCACCTGAATGGAACGGGCATGGCTGTATCCTCCTGTCTTCACTTTGAGACACTTTGAAGAGTTTGCCGTTTGCCTTTGGTGAGTGAGCGCAATAAATAACTTCCACTTGACCCACAACAAAGTTGAGGAGACTCAAAGGTTAATTTAACAATTTCTATGAGATAAATTAATCTGGGGGCCAAAGTAACTGTAAATACTTGGTATACTCAGTGCTTAAAATTAGATAGGAATGGGCGAATTGAGGACAGTGATTTGCATAACATTTTCTTTGGAGATAAAATCCAGTCAGAGATTTTTTTTCACATGCAATCATTTCAGGCAGTTCACCTAAAAAGCAATAAAAATTGTTTTGGTTTTTCCTTAAAAGAAGTGAGATTGCTCTTCACTCTATCTTTTGTCCTTTCTATAAGCACTGAGTAAGTAGGCCATTATTATTATTACTATTTCATCTTTCTTTTTTTAATATAACATTAAATTTTTACTGGCTTACTTGCTTTAAAATGTCATATTCACATTCTTTATTCCAAGAACGGGAGAAGATAGAAGAAAGTTTTACCACCTTTGATTTGAGGGAAGACTTAAAATGTGATAGGCTGAAATTTGGGGATAAACCCAAGGTCTGAATGACAGTTGGGGTTTGACGAATACTGTACAAACAGAATGGCAGAGACTTAATCCTTGGAGAAACTCTATAAAAAGAAATAAGGTTTTTGGGACAAGTAATTAAGTAAGAAACAATAGCATGAAAAATAGAATGACAAACTGAGAAAGCTGATATTCTCACTGCCCTTGGCTCCAGTAAGATCCTTCCCAAAGAAATTATCTTCTTGCTATGTGTGCCAGGACCATGAAAATCCAGACAAATGAGAAGATTAAAAATCATATCAGATGGAGAACAGTGAAAACAACAGGAAATGATTTGTTTGCAGAATAAACAACTGGGTGAGATATGATATTGTCTTCAGAATTTGAAGGACTGTCATGAAACTTTTATGACAGCACTAAGACCAGAAAGAGGATGGTTCCAAGAGTTCTATGTGGCATGGAATAAAGACATGATGATTAAGATTGCCTGACAAATTGACAAGCTGCCTCCCAAATCCATGCACTCACTTAGAATGAAAGTATCTGGGAGCTGTATTAGTCAATTTTCACACTGCTGATGAAGACATATCCAAGACTGCTCAATTTACAAAAGAAAGAGTTTTAATGGACTTACAGTTCCATATGGCTGGGGAGGCTTCACAATCATGGCAGAAGGTGAAAGGCACGTCTTACATGGCAGCAGATGAGAAAAGAGCTTGTGTAGGGACTCCCCTTTTTAAAACCATCAGCTTTCATGAGACTTATTTACTATCATGAAAATAGCACAGGAAAGACCTGACTCCAGGATTCAATTACCTCCCACTGGGCCCCTCCCACAGCACATGGGAATTCAACGTGAGATTTGGGTGGGGACACAGCCAAACCATATCAAGAGCTAAGTGATAAGAACTTATGAACACAAAGAAGGAAACAACAGACAATGGGATCTACTTGAGCAGGGAGGGTAGGAGGAGGGAGAGGAGCAGAAAAGATAACTATTGGGTACTGAGCTTAAACCTGGGTGATGAAATAATATGTACAACAAACCCCCATGGCATGTGTTTACCTATGTAACAAACCTTTACATGTACCCCCAAAGCTAAAATAAAAGTTTTAAAAAAACGTTTAAAGTAGTACTAATAATATTGGTTCAAGAATATTGAGATTAACTACTACCTGAAGAGTCCTATTATATTCACGTATTGTATATAAATGATCATATTCATCTATTTACATGTAAAAACACAAAAGTTGGCATCAAACAATACAAGGTTAATTATTACTGTAGATCTGAAAGTAGAAAAAAACAGAATGGAATTATTTGTTCCTAGGTTGAGTGACCAACTATTAGAGATGCTGTGGATGATTCCTCATTGAATGAGGAATATCAGTGGAACTTTACGGCAGTGGTCAGACTTCTGGGTCTCATGACTGCTTTATACTCTTAAAAATTATTGAGGCCAGGTGCGGTGGCTCATGCCTGTAATCTCAGCACTTTGGGAGGCCAAGGCGGGTGGATCACAAGGTTAAGAGATCAAGACCATCCTGGCTAACATGGTGAAACACGTCTCTACTAAAAATACAAAAATTACTTGGGCTTGGTGGCACATGCCTGTAGTCCCAGCTACGGGGGAGGCTGAGGCAGGAGAATCGCTTGAACCTGGGAGGCAGAGGTTGCAGTGAGCCAAGATTGCACCACTTCACTCCAGCCTGGGAGACAGAGCGAGACTCCACCTCAAAAAAAAAATTACTGAAGACCCCAAGGAACTTTTGTTTAATATGGGTTATATATCAATATTTACCATACTGAAAACTAAAACTCAGAAATTTAAAAAATATTTATGTATTAATAATTTTTTAAAATAATAAACATTATATGTTATACAAATAACATTTTATGAAAATACAACTATATTTTCTAAAACAAAAATTTAGTGAGAAGAATGGCACTACTTTGCGTTTTTATAAAACTCATTAATGTATGACTTAATAGAAGACAGCTGATTTTCATACCTTCTTTATTCACTCTATTGGAATATCACACACCATGTGGCCTCTGGAAACTCCACTATACACTTGTGAGAGAATGAGAATAAAAAAAAAACGCTTTTAGTATCATTACAAAAATGGTTTTAGTCTCCTGAATCCCTCTGAGAGCATCTCTAGATCCCAGATACACTTCAACCCTTTGTAGTCTGATAGCATCAACCCAATTTATCAACCTAATAATACTGCATTAATAAGCCACACTCTCCCCTTTCAGGACATGGTTAAGAGGACTCTACTTGGGTACAAAGCATAGACATGTGAATTCATCAGAATCTAAAAGTATCATTCTACTTTCTCTTTTTTTTTTTTGCCATAGTCAAGATTCATTAATCTTCAACTAGAAGTTCAGTACTCTTTTTTGTTTGTTTTTTCAATAGAGATAGAGTCTTGCTCTATTGGTAGGCTGGTCTCAAACTCCTGGCTTCCAACACTCTCAGAGTGCTGGGATTACAGGTGTGAGCCACCACACCCAGCTAAAAGTCTGATACTCTTCACAGCATCATATTATTTATCTGCAAATAAACTATCTTGAAAAGATTATAATGGGTCATGTCAAAGTTGATATATCTATGAGGAAGTTTACATTTGAGGTTGCCCAAAAATAATTTCTTGATTCATAAATCTAGAAGCAAAGGGGAGATTTTCAACCTCCAAGTAATTTTTACTTTTTTCTTGGTTCTACATAAGCTTTATCATAATTATGTCACTGACATGTTGGAATAAATACAAAGTTAATTACAATTGAAAAAGAAGAACACTGCAACATAAACTAAATTATTTTAACTAAATTTGAACTTACGTGGTTGACATTGTTTCACAATTGTGTAAGTTCAAATTTAGTTTAGATCTGTCTAGTTGTTTAGTGTTTAGACCTTTACAAAGGCCAGATAACTAAACAAATCCTTTTCTCTACTTTTTAGTACTGTTATTTTTAGATTACTTAGATTAACCTCAAAACAAACCCAGTTTATAGCATAGTCCACAGCCTGTAATTAGATAACAATTACAATATTGGTTTAGCAAAAGTGGAAGCCATCTAATCATTTTCCAAAACAATTTAATTCCTAAACTCATTTTGCTTTTCATCATTTGTTGCCAACAATTTCCTACTTTGTCAGTTTCTATATATCTCTCATGTTCTTTTCATACCTAGTGCTTGGTATTGCCCTTCTATGTAGAAGTTAAGTTTATGTTAAAGATCAGATAGGTCTGTTTTAACTTCCTGAATTTCTGCTTCTTGTATTCCTGAAATGACTAGGGCAGTTATTTGTAGATTTTCTAAGGCAGTTACTTGCAGATTATGTCTTTTATCTCTGTGGAAATAATAGACATAATAATTTCAATCAATAATTGAAATAATTCCAATTGCTACAAATATTCATAGCGCTTTTCTTAGGTGATATTTATCTAGTGGAGATAAATTTGGTAAAATGAGCTTTTTGTCATATCCTTGTCCCTTTTTGTCATATCCTTGTCCCTCAAATTGTATGCATTGTGGTTGGACATATGTGACTTTAAATTGTTCTATTTTGAAAAATATTTTACTCTCCTAGGTGTTGGTTTGTAAATTAATTTTAATAAGTTAATGAGAATGTGTTTCAATAAATTTGATTTTAATAATTTAGGTGGAGAGTTTGTTATGCCTTTGGTCCACTGTGGTTTCCAATGGTGTGTTCATAAGCAATGTGTGTCACTCCAGGATCCTCTGTCAATTATGCATAGTCCAGAGTTACAGAGTTTAACAGAGCATTTTGCAAAAGAAGTGTCTTTAGCTACAAATATAGGTAAGTGGGAGTCTAGTCTTGTTATGGTTTGGTAAATAGGATGTTGGACTGACCATGTAACTTTATTCCATGATCCATTAGATGGCTAGATCGTGGAGAAAAAGTAATTTGACATACCTGGGTTTATTTTTATGACTTTCTTCATATTTATTTTGGTTCCTAGTGTTTCCCACCAATTGATTTAAATTATGTATTGTTGTTTATATCATCCTGAATTTCCAATGGACACATTGGAAAAATAACTTGATTTTGTACATATTTGGTTTTGCTGGTAAATTTGTTTAATATAATCATATTTCTTGGTTCATTTCCTGTAGAGAATGTGCTAATAATCTCTGTTGTTTCGTATGTGGATATAAATGGTCCAAGTACTAAAGGTGACTTAGATAATAGCAAATTGTAGTTATCTGGTCTGTGAGTACATGTGAATATTAATTGTTCCCATTTTATTTGTCATAATTTATCAAAAATACTCATTTCCAATGATGTCCAGGACCATCCAGGATTTCTAGAAGATGTTGACTTCCAAAAGTCAGTAAATTTAGCAGGTATTTTGTATGTTGCTATATCTACAGTGATGACTGGGAACTAGTGTACTTTTCACAATTGTGTCCAAAATGAGCCTGTTTTGGCTTCTGTTGCATCCCATGATACAGCAGACTTTCCAGTTATGATAACATATCTGTCTGCATTTTCTATAAGCTCTTTGGCTAAAGGTACTTTTGATAATCATAGAGAAGTTTTCTATCTAGTGTAAATTTAGTATGTGTTGTGTTATGCCAAAGCTGCCTGAATTGGGCTGTGTCTGTTGGTTCAGTTTGATTTGTAAAGCATGTTTGTCTTGGCATCTGTAGCCATGTTGATTAGTAATTTATATTGAAGGATGGATGAGGCTAAGATTTTTCACCTGTGGGATAATGGAATGTAGCTTTAGTGTATGTCAAGTTAAGTTTAAAGTATATTAATGCTGGTTGTGCCTCAAAATATATATCTTGTTGGGTAGCGTTGATTCTATACATTTTAAGTTCATCAGTTGTGATGTTTAACTGGTACCCTTGAAAGCAATATACTGGTATTCAGGACAAGCTTTATCTACATAATCTTGTGTTGTTTTAGTGTGTGTTTCACAGGTAGTGTGTGTAAAGTGATAGGATCTGTTAAGATTATTGGGTATAATCTTTGTTTACAATCTAATTCTGCTGGTAATAATTTTTTTGCCTTATTAAAGAATTGTGGTCCTGTCAAATAATCTTGCCTTTTGGCATAGTAATCATAAGATGAACAGGGTGGATGAAAGAAAACTTTCTAAAAATGGAAAGTGAACAAAAGTTCCTTAGATAATAGTTACAATATGTCTTATCCTCTTATTATGTCTTTTATCTCTGTGGACATAATTGAAGTAATAATTGAAATAATTCCAATTGCTGCAAATATCTGTAGCGGTTTTCTTAGATGATATTTATCTAGTGGAGATAAATTTGGTAAAATTAGCTGTTTATCATATCCTTGTTATTCTGTCATAGTCTCATGTGTATCCCAGTAACATACTTTTTCCTGTGGAGGTTTGAAATGTGGGTATATGTAATATGGAGTGGTTCATGTGGTAGCAATATTTGGTGTAGTATCATCCTTTGAACCTACTTCATAATCATAATCTTCATTTCCTTCAAGCCTGGGTTTCTTCATTTCCTTCAGAATTCATATCAAGTATTAACAAATGACTTACTTGTAGAAGTGTATTATATTCAAGCATGTCATGTTAGATCCTGCAATATATGGTTCTATCTGTGGTATTATGATTGCTCTTTGGTCTGATTTATTGCTTCTTATGCAATGATCTATTTTGATTGATATGTCTGTTTCTGTTAGCATTTCGCTATCCATTATGTGTGCTGTCTATTGGTTTGAAGTGTTATTGAATGCTTGGTTGTAGCTGCATAAATTGGCTGTGTCACATTTAGTCATGTCATTTATGCATTCTTCTGAGGGGTGCTTAAAAATGTGTGCAAAGCTTCTATAAAGACGCATTGGCTGGGTTGTGTCTCATGCCTTTAATCCCAATACTTTGGGAGGGCAAGGCAGGCAGATCGCTTGAGCCCAGGAGTTAGAGACCAGCCTGGACAATATGGTGAAACCTCATCTCTGCAAAAAATTAGTTGGTCGTGGGGGCATGTGCCTATAGTCCCAGTTACCTGGGAGGCTGAGGTGGGAGGATCACTTGAGACCAGTGATTGTGCCACTGCACTCCCCACTGGGTGATAGAGTGAGACTCTGTCTCAAAAAAAAAAAAAAAAAGATGCATTGATTCAATGCTCGTGTAGAAACTCTGCAGGCATCGCTTCGGTCAAACAAATACGAACAAAATGGTCTAATTGAAGCTCTAAGTATTCCTTTATCAGTCCCTTGATTTTCCAACAATTGTTCAAAAATGGTATATTTTCATAAAGTATATGTTATGAAATGTGTTCTGTTAATACTATAATTTTAGATGCTGTATGAGTTGGCATTGTTGGATATGTGTGTGTTTGAGGCTTAGGGATTTTAATGGTTGCTTCAGAAGTAGAATTAATAGTAGTAGTAGTAATAGTATCTGTTATTTCCCTTCTATACCTCCTAACATATTTTAAGCTATTTGTATCAATCCTATGTTTGGGATTAATGATCAGATACATAGGCATTAAACTGCAAACAGAGTAGTGTTAACTGCAAACAAAGATATAATAATCTATGTATAAATCTCATTGTAATTATTTACTTCTTTAATAGTATAGTCAAGGGTTGCTTCCAGCAGTGGTATGGCTGCTGGGTTAAATTGGCGTAGCTCCAACAAAATAAGGTAGTTATGTGGTGTTTGTTCTCTCCTATTAAGCGGTTTAACAATACAACTTATATAATAGGTTAGCATCCAAGCAAGACCAATGCAATCATTGGGGTGTACACTTTCAGCTAAACCTTGAATGGCTGCTGATGCCGCATTTAATTCATAAATGTAAGGAGTCGGAAGGTGGCAGTGGCACTTAGGTTCTACAAAGTCTGGTATGAAATTCCAGCCTCCACCGGCCTGCATGGGCCAGTCTGCTTTAGCTAATTCCTGAAAGAAATCGGTGAAGTGGTTCTGAGAGCTGTAGGTGGTGAAGATGAGGCTGAAACTGAAGAGGAAAGAGGGCAAGACGGGATACATGAGGGTGATGGAGATCCTGGAGAGGTTAAATCCATATGCTGGGAGTGCACTACAGCTCTCAGTCTGCAAATGCTTAATCAAATAACGCTCTTAATAAGCAGACAGTGTAATTTGTAATTTGCCTGCAAGGGGTGTGTTTACTTGTGTTAGTCTCATTTGTCTGTTTACAGTCTCTCCGGCGGCAATGTAAGTAACAGGATAGCAAAGTCACTATGATGGCTAGTATGAGGTGAATGAGAAAGGTGATAAGACCAGTTGAGAAGTGACACAAATTTGTAGCCATTTTGATGTCTTAAGTGGGTATGGTATTTAATTATTTCGGTGATGACTAGAAGTGATGTTTTGGGTTTTTGGGGTTTTTTTGAGACAGAGTCTCACTGTGTCGCCCAGGCTGGAGTCCAGTGGCATGATCTTGGCTCACTGCAATGTCTGCCTCCTGGATTCCAGTGATTCTCCTGCCTCAGCCTCCCGAGTAGCTGGGATTACAGGTGTCCGCCACCATAGCCGGCTAATTTTTGTATTTTTAGTAGAGACGGGGTTTCACCATATAGGTCAGGCTGGTCTCAAACTCTGGACCTCAAGTGATCCGCCTGCCTCAGCCTCCCGAAGTGCTGGGATTACAGGTGTGAGCCACTGCACCTGGCTGAAGTGATGTTGAAGTTAAAAATATTAAGTTAGTGGCAAGTAAAATTGGATTGAATTGAAGCATGCCTTCACTTATTCTTATGGAAAATATTAGTGCATGACTAGAAGAAAACAGTGTAACAATACTGCAGAAAGTGGGATAGCATGTCTAAGTTTAGTGAGAATTTGGAGAGAGGTTGAAGATTTTGTGTAATTGTGATTCTCCTCTGTTTCCTGTAATCCTATAAGTGTTTCTGTGTCCATTGGCCATAATGTCCTGTTGGGAGATAGTGTTGTTATTTAGTTTAGTGCTTGCCTTGTAAGGTTTAATATTTGCATTACGTCCTTCCTTATCTTTTGTGACCATTAAGGTCAGTTGATTAAGATATAAGTGGGGGCTGCTTTTGTTAAGTCTTTCTCTTTGATTTAAATGGAAACATGCCAGGTTAAAAGCTTATTGGAATGTACTCATTTTGTCTAAGGTTCTTAATTCTCTTTAGTAGTCCACTCAATCTTTCTGTACATCCCACTGCTGTCAGATTATAGGGTAGGTAGTATTCCATTGTATATCTCATTGATCTGCCAATGCTTTTGTTGTCCTTAATGTAAGATGAGTTCCCTGATCAAGTTCAGTTGTTTTAGGGGTTCTATTGTAGCTGCCCAATTTTCTAAAGATGAGATGGTTTATTTAGCAGGTGGGTGGCTAGCTGCTATTGCTGCACCATTTCCTGTATATGTATCCATCATTGTTACTGCATATTTTTGTGGATAGGAGTGATTTAATGGTGCTATAAAATCTATCTGTAAGCAGAAATTAAAGGCATCAGGTTTATATTACTATATATCTATGAATTTAGCATATCTATATTTGTCTAGGTTAGTTTTACATTGCTCACAATTAGCTTTTGCCTTTTTAATTTGGTGCCATGTCACTTTTTGATTTCTGTCTGATAGCCACCTATACATTGACTGTGTGTTCCCTTTAAATGTCCTTTTTGCTTATGTAATTGTAGGAGTGTTTGTGGAATGGTGTCTGGTGTCTGTTTAATTTTAGTCACACCTTGTTTCATTATAGTTATCAGGGGTACTTAAGGTATCTCCCATTCACTATCTGATTTTTGTCCTGAGTTGTGGAGGTGTAATGAATGTCTCCCTGAGTTGTCTGGATTTCTGTGTAGTTTTAATTTGGGTATGTTTTGAATGTCAATGGTTATGTTTCTTGTTAATGTATCTACGTGTTTATTAAATTTTGTGGGCTCTGAATTAACTTTTTGGTGTGCTGAGACATGTGCCACAAATATCTTAATTCAGTTTGATAATTCATGTAGTTGCTCCCAGTAAGATTTGGACCATATACCTTTACCATTAATTTTGAAATTGTTTTGTCTTCATTTATGTGGCTGCGGGGCTATGCCTGCAAGTCTGTAAAAACGTAAATTTTATTTTGATTTTCTGAGTGCCTGACTGCTAGAACAGCTGCAATTAGTTCTGCCAAGAGTGATTGACCTGCCTCCTTCAGGATCGGTTGGTCCTGAGGTCTGAGTGCTGCTGCTGTCCATTGAGCCTGGCCTTGGGTCACAGAGGCCTTTTTGTCTATAAACCAGGTGTTGGGTAAGACGTTTGACTAGCCTGGGCCCCATTTTCCTATATTAGCATAAACTGTACCTACTCTCAGAATAAATTTTGGCACATCTATTTCAGTGTTGTGAGTTTCCTCAGTAAGGAGACCTGGTTGACCCCTAAAGCCTGTGTCTCCATCCTGGATATACCATTTCCATGTGAACAGCTTTGGATCAATTTGGATACCTGTCAATTTTTTTATTTTTCAGGACTCAATTTTATCCCATGAAGGAGAGGCATATGGTATCTAATGGTAATATTGCTGTTGCCAGTCAGAGGCTCAGTGTTTTTGAAGGCTTCATATTTAAGATACACACACACACAAACACACACACACACACACACACACACACACACACACATATATATACATTTTTTTTTTTTAGAGACAGAGTCTTGCTCTGTCACCAGGCTGGAGTGCAGTGGCGTCATCTCAGCTCACTGCAACCTCCACCTCCCAGGTTCAAGCAATTCTCCTCCCTCAGCCTCCTGAGTAGCTAGGACTACAGGTGTGCACCGCCACTGTGCCCAACTAATTTTTGTATTTTTAGTAGAGATGGTGTTTCACCATGTTGGCCAGGATGGTCTCGATCTCTTGGCCTTGTGATCTGCCCACCTTGGTGTCCCAAAGTGCTGGGATTACAGGTGTGAGCCACTGTGCCCGGCCCCATATATATTTTTCAAATGGGCTGTATTTGTTGTTAGAATATGGAAACTTTGTTGTCCAAAATCTGACCAGTAGGATTTAGAATCTGATTTCTTTGTCTATAATGACCATGTTCCATGTTCATTGCTCATTAAAATTTCCAACCTAAGTTCCAAATCTGGAGATGGGTAATGTCATGTTTGGAATGTGGTGATGTAGTCTTTGAGTGTTTCAAATGCTTGTGTTTGTTCTTGTCCCCATATGAAGTCTTGGGATTTCCTGGTTATCTTTTTGGTTTTAGGATGATGCTTAGGTAAGGTATAGGCTGTCTCTAGTATCCAAGGAAACTTACTAGTCTTTGCTTCCTGTTTATTTTTTGGTGCCCTATGGGCTTTTGATCCATCTATCACTGTGGTCAGAATTTTTATCCCTTCTGATAACCACTGTACTCCTAAAACTTCGCAGTTGGTGTCTTGATTTATAGTTGTATCT
Organism: Homo sapiens; assembly: GCF_000001405.40. NCBI lineage: Eukaryota > Metazoa > Chordata > Mammalia > Primates > Hominidae > Homo > Homo sapiens. The sequence goes on along the minus strand of NC_000007.14, from coordinate 134,488,610 downwards.
ATAATAATCATCCATCTCAGTGATCTCAAGTGTGTTGAGATTTCTTTTGGGTAAGTTTTTCTTGGTATTGTTTACCATTGTAATGTCATCTATGTACAATATTATTAGTGATGTGTATTTTGATTGATCTATGTGTGATAATAAAATGGAGTGAGCTGTTATTGGACTATTTAAATATCCCTGTGGTAATCTTTTAAATTGGTATTATTTGCCTTCCCAGGTAAAGGTAATATATTCCTGGTCTTCTTGGACTATTGGTGTGGCAAAGAACATATCTGACATGTCTATGGTTACAGAGTATTTGTCATTATAGTTAGTGATCTTATTTATTTATTTTTGAGATGAAGTCTTGCTCTGTCACTGAAGTCTCACTCTGTTGCCTAGGCTGGAGTGCAATGGCATCATCTTGGCTCACTGCAACCTCCACCTCCCAAGTTCAAGTGATTCTTTTGCCTCAGCCTCCTCAATAACTGGGATTACAGGCATGTGCCACTGAGAGGTGAAGCCAGCTGGACTTCCTGGGTCGAGTGGGGACTTGCAGAACTTTTCTGTCCTACAAGAGATTTGTAAAATGCACCAATCAGTGCTCTGTAGAAACACACTAATCAGCACTCTGTAGCTAGCTAGAGGTTTGTAAAATGGACCAATCAGCACTCTGTAAAATGGACCAATCAGCACCCTGTAAAATGGACCAATCAGCAGTTTGTAAAATGGACCAATCAGCAGGACATGGGTGGGGACAAATAAGGGAATAAAAGCTGGCCACCCCAGCCGGCAGCAGCAACCCACTCGGGTCCCCTTCCACACTGTGGAAGATTTGTTCTTTCACTCTTCACAATAAATCTTGCTGCTGCTCACTCTTTGGGTCCGTGCCACCTTTAAGAGCTGTAACACTCACTGTGAAGGTCTGCAGCTTCATTCTTGAAGTCAGCAAGACCACGAACCCAGACACATCTTGGGGGCTCGTCTGAGATATTGCCATGTGGTGAGTACCATCAGACCCCTTTTGCTTGCTATTCTGTCCTATTTTTCCTTAGAATTCGGGGGCTAAACACCGGGCACCTGTCAGCCAGTTAAAAGTGACTAGCACAGCCGCCAGACTAAAGACACGGGTGTCAGGCTTTCTGGGAAAGGGCTCTCTAACAAACCCCGATTCTTCGGAGTTGGGAGTGTTGGTTTGCCTGGAACCAGCTTCCACTTTTCCTGTACTTCCAGGCAGAGCTGAGGGTCAACAGAGAGGAAAGCCATTCAGCTTCAGGGTCCCAACAAAAAGTTGGTTGATCCTGCAGCCATGAGCGGAACTCTCAAAGATACGTCGCCCAAGCTATACTCACCCATCTATCCCATCTATCCTGACACTTGCATCCTGGGTCCTAATGCCTGTCAGACAAACTTTCTCCCACCTCTCTTCTCCAAGACTAGTCCTGCTTCCAAAAACCATTCCCTGTCTCTGGTGCTTTTCTAGTTTCTCCTATAAGAATGATTTCTAGTATAAATTGCAAGACTGTTCCTTTCTTTAGGCACCCAGGCTCACCAATCAGACAAACATAATTTTTGCCCAAAGCCCTGTCATGGGCGAGACTATCTGGGATTTTTGGATCCCTCCTCAGAAGGATGCATTTCTGCACCTGATAGTGTTATGGTGTTCCATTATCCCATAAATGGCGGAGTCAGTCTGCATCTGTGGTCTGTCTTTAGCAAAAATCTATTCTTAGTATTTGTAATTCTGCTCTGGTGTATTCTCGTCCTGAGGTCTGCCATTTCCATCATTACAATCTATAACTCTTTTTCTAGTTATCATAGGTCTTGACTTATAGATCCCACCTCCAACAGGGATCATTGATTCTCCTAGGTCCTCTGGATGGAGGTCCTTAAGACACAGGGTTTCCTCCTTAAAAGTTTCATTGGAAAGGGATTGACTTTTCCTTAGAATTCTGTGAGCTAGCTCTTTGCCTTTGTGGTGACCCCTGTCTATCTGTAAGATACTTTGCATTAAAAGTGCAGGGATTTCTTCTTTGGGGGCTCTGGTAATTAAAAGCTGAATAATTTTTGGGTCCCTCAAGTCTGACTGTATGTCCTCAGAGGATCATACAGAGAGTCTTTTCCTGGCTTCCAACTCTGTTGGGTACCAAGGATCCTCAACACTGGGTACTGCATTTGGGTGACAAGCCCTCCAGCATGCTTGCTTAAGTTTCTTTCCTAGGACCCACATTATGCAATATTGGTAGCTATTTTATATAGTTTCTCAATGATATATATTTCAATTTCCCACTTTAACCAGACATAAGAGTGCAGGTTATGTAATAATTGACTTTCTTTGGGCCAAATTAAATATTTGTTTTGCTAACCATCATCTCATAAATTGAGACCCTGCTTGGTATGAGCCTTTCTGGCTCCACCAACTTCCTAGCTTGGCATCAGTCAAGACCTTGTCAGCCGTCATTATCTTCATGACCTAGGTAAGGTCCCCTGTCACCCAAGGTTTTCCTCAGGGAGACAGACTTTCAAGGTGAAGAGAGATTATCTCTTCTTAGAGATGGTGGCAGTTTGTTTTGCCAAATGGCATGACTTCCAATTTCAGTTTAAGTGGGGACTTCAGCCTTAAAAATCAACTAACTATGCCAATTATGCCAAGTAAGACAACTGTGCTCATTGTACCCAGTAAGCCAACTGTGTCAATTTTGTCCTGAGCTGTGCAAGGTTAGAAATAACCAGATCCACACATGTTTGTGTCTTTCCACAGTGTCAGGCTTTTATTGATGCTATTTCAATCACAAAATCCACAAGCTACACGGAGTTCCCAAGGAGGCAATTCTCCTTAGTACTTCCCATTGACTTGTAGTCAGAGCTGTGGGCACACAGACTCAAGCCACTTCACAGTCAGTCAACATTACACATCATATATAATTGTATACTTAATATATAAATGTTATAGGTTAAACATCCCACAACAGACAAAGTAACATTTAACATTAAGAGGAAAAAGAGATAGGAGAAAGAGTAACAAGACAGTGCACAGAAAACTAAGAAGACAAAAGGAGTCCTGGTCTGGGCCAGGTGTTCTGTTGGTCTTGCAAGGAAGAGTCTTTGAGGTGGCAGAGCCTTCGGCGTCAGATGCCAAGTTCTTATCACGAGTGACGGCAAGAACGGCAAGTGCCAGTTAAGATGGCCGTTTTGAGATGCTGAAGAGCTAATCTTTGATAGTCACAGCTTCCTCTGGTGAGAACTGATAGTGGAAGAGTGTCCTTATCTGGTTGGATACAGTCTTTATTTTTTATTTGTTTATTAAACAAAATATCTTATCTTTGTTGGCAAAGTACCCTATGAAATATAAAATGGAGTCTTCTCCTAAAATGGAATTAGTTATGTCAAGGGTGCTCTATACAATATTTCTACTACTTTAAGAGAAGGGCATATGTGGAATGTTGGATCCCCCAAAATAACACCAAAACAATCTATTGATCCTACTGATAAGACAATGCTACCTCTGTGACGTCTTACTAGCATCTTAGAGGGAAAGGTCAACATGAAGAAATGTATTGAGATTTTTGAAGTCTGGTTTAAAGCAGGTCTCTCAGTAGAAGAGGGAGGAAGGGTTGGAGCTTGATTAAAATTAGATAAGCATCATGACAGAATAGATTAGAACTGTTAGATGCAGCAAGGCAAAGATTTTGAGGAGAGGGTTCAAGGAATCTTGAAGTGTAAACTAAACTAACATTTGATGCCTTATATAGTTTCTCAATAATATATATTTCAGTTTCCCACTCTAACCAGCCATATGAGTGCAGGTTATGTAATAATTGACTTTTTGGGGGCTAAATTAAATATTTGTTTTGCTAACCAAATTATTCTGTTGAAGAGTTAATGAGTCATTTAGGAAGTTCCAAGGATCAACAATAAAGTTATCAGCAATTTTTAATTTCTTGGGCAAGAATTCCCTAAAGGAGTTTGGTAAAGAAGAAAGCAAACTTATGTTCACAGAAGCTGTGAGATGTGGATAGTTTCAGTTCTCACTGTGGTTTTCATTTAAAAAAAGAAAAGAAAAAGAAAGAAACAGGCCGGATGCGATGGCTGTAATCCCAGCACTTTGGGAGGCTGAGGCAGGTGGATCATGAGGTCAGGCATTCGAGACCAACCTAGCCAACATAGTGGAACCCCATCTCTACTAAAAATACAAAAATTAGCTGGGTGTGGTGGTGTGCTCCTGTAATCCCAGCTACTCAGGAGGCTGAGGCAGGAGAATTGCTTGAACCTGGGAGGCAGAGGTTGCAGTGAACCAAGATCACACCACTGCACCCCAGCCTGGGCAACAGACCAAGGCTCTGTCTCAAAAAATAAAAATAAAAATAAAAAATAACAGAAAACCACACAATTTTTAATAAAGAAAAAGATGCCTCATGCATACATGTTTTTAAAAATTTTGTAGCTGGGTATGGTGGCAAACACATGTCGTTCCAGATACCCTGGAGGCTGAGGTGGGAGGATTGCTTAACCCCATGAGGCCGAGGTTGCAGTGAGCTGAGATCATGCTACTGCACTCCAGCCTGGGCAGCAGAGCAGGATGCTGTCTCCAAAAACAAAAAAAAGAAAAAGAAAAAAGAAAGAAAGAGAAGAGAAACCATAAAGTTGTATTTTTGATATTTATTATATATAAATAATATAAATTATTTATAAAACTGAATACAAATATATTTACACATATTTATTGAGGAGTGAATGAATTAATTAATTCATGGAAACTCTAGACAGGGAGGAGAAGTTGACCAAGCAGCTACCTCTGTCCCCCAGGCTTCTCCTTCCTCTTTGAGTGCTAATATTTAGTGTCCCCTTCACTACCATGCCCAGATTTCCCTGAGTACAGTTTACAATTCTAGCTCAAGTTGAAACAAAAATATCCTTTCTTTTGGATTCCCTTAGCATAGCTAAGCTAGGCAAGAATTTTAGAAATTATTGCTAGCTACTTAGAAAACATTGGGAGAATTGAACAAAGAAATAGCCCCAACATTCAAACAAAGAGAACGACACCTACAATAAGCAATGGTATGTCCACTCACACCAATCAGTGCTGAGTCAACAGAACCATCTATTTACTTAGTGAAAATTCCATCACTGTTTCTTCAGGGCAGCATCGCTGATACTACTCTGCAATGCACACACTCTGATTTTCTGATGTAATTCCCAGAATATTCCACATCCACAAGAAGTTAAGGTTCCTTTGCTTGGCACTCAAAACCTAAACAATCTGTACCAGTTTACCTTTCTGGCCATATTTTCTTCTCCCTTTCCCCAGTACCTTCTTAGATGTTCTCCCCAAACTCTTCACACAGTGTTACTCAAGAGCTAGGACAAATAGGACCCCTCTATGAAAACTGTCCCCTTCCACCCCCACTCCCCAGTGTCCCCATTGAAGCCATAATCTCCAATATGATGGTATTTGGAGGTAGGGCCTTGGGGGTATTAAAAGGTTTAAAACTTAGACACATAAAAAATTTGAAAAATTTATTTGAACAAGTAGCAATTCATGAATTGGGCAGCACCAGACCCCAAGCAGTTCAGGGCTCTACCAAGAGATCACAAGGGGAAACTTTTGTAAGGTGTTTATAGAAGCAAGACAAAGAAAATATTTGATTGATTCAAGTGGAAAATCCCTAGTTAGAGGATAGTTGGCAGTTTCTGATTGACAAAGTTGCTAGTTGGAGGTTAGCTGGTAATCTCTGATTAGTTAAATTTTGTTTTACTATTTACACTAAGTTAGGCTTCAGTTTGCTGATGTAGCAACTCAAGGTGGCAGAGCTGCCTCAGCCTAATGGCCTCCAAAGTAATTATTTTAATGGGGAGGTAATCATGTTTAGATGAGGTATGAGAGTGGGTCTATCATTATGGCACTAGTGGCCTTATAAGAAGAGATACCAGAGAGCTTGTTCTTTTTGTTTCTCTCAGTTATGGGAAGATATAGTGAGAAGGTGGCCATCTGCAAGGCAGGAAGAGAACCCTCACTGGAACTGGACCATGCTGACACGTTGATCTTGAACTTCTAGCCTTCAGCACTGTGAGAAATACAAGAACTGATTAATACATGAGGCTAACTCTGCACGTTTGCTCTAAGCCAGGGTGTAAGTTCGTTGAGGCCCAGGAGGCTGGTACATGGTGCAATACATGCTAGTTGAACTACATTGACTTGACTTGGTTTGGTTTCATTTAGCTTTATGAAGCCTGCCACTTTGCACACTCCTATGGTATTGCTATACTTTTAACCCTTGTGGCAGCTTTTTAAAATTGAATTTACAAGGATGAAGTGATGTATTTAAAAAGTGGAAGAAGAATAAGAACATTTTAAAAGTTTAAGTTCCATGAGAACTACTCCGTATCAAAGTTATGCTCCTCTTGCTTCTGATTTCCAGACAGGAGATAAGTAGAATCTTATTTTAAAATAGGTATTTTTAAATATTCCATTTTTCACCTAATGAAGTGTACCTACCTCCGTACCTACAGACAATTTATCCTGGATGTGAGAAATTGATCCAAACAAGAAGAGCAGATTCCATTTTATGTGCCTTGAGATCCTTGAAGGCTCTTTCTCCTTTTCTTTCAGATAGCTAGGACTGAGGGGTGCATGTCAGACAATGGGAAGCCTTCCAAAACTGCCCGGGGTTTCTTATTGTGAAAAAAATGATTTTTACCATGTCTTTTATTCCCGCATCCTCTTTTAGGAACCCTTGACTGTTTTCCTGGCCAGGGTGATCAGACATCACCTGGAGCTGTGGAGGAAACTGATCAAATATCGAGTTGATCAGATATTGAGGATGGGGGTTTCTTGCACAACTGACTAAGTAGAGCTGTTTGGTAGAACTGGATTTTACAAAGAAGTGCACAGATGGGCCTAGTAGAAGATTTAGAAGCCTGACTGAAGTTTGGCCAAGCAAAGAATCCTTGTCAATTTCCATAACATGCTGCCTTTTGTTATCAGTGAAATTTTATTTTACTTTATTTTGTTTTATATTTTATTTATTTTATTGAGACAGAGTCTCAGGCTGGAGTGCAGTGGCACAATCATGGCTCACTGCAGCCTCGACCTGCAGGCTCAGTCTTTTTTTTTTTTTTTTTTTTGCAGAGGTGGGGTCTCGCTCTCTTGCCCAGGCTGGTCTTGAATTCCCATGCTCAAGTGATCCTCCTTCCTCAGCCTCCAAATGTGCTGGGATTACAGGCATGAGCCACCATGCCCGGCCTGAAACTTAATTTTAGCTGGGCAGGTGCTGCCAAGTGCAATTATGAAGCAGCTTAATGTAGGAGATGGATGTGTGAAGAAAATAAATAGGGAGAGAAAAAGAAGATACAAAATCAGTGCCAATGTCTAGACTTTACAGATGTAATGATTATCTAGTTATGTATCTCATAAGAGCAACCAGGTATATGTGGAGAAAGATCCTGGTTATCTTCCTTAATATCAATGTAATTGATTTGGGATGATGCCAAAGGTTCTAGTTTCCTTTAACAATGCACTCTGGAGCTGCTATCCACAATTACTTGTCCCAAAGGGGTTTTTTTTTTTTTTTACAATATTGATGTTGGCCTCACTTTGCAGATTTTGATTTTCAAGGTCTAAGGCCATGAACCCCCATCTGTCCTTAGGCAGCCAGCTTTGTTCTGTATGCAAAGTTATGACTCACACAGAAAGGCTTCCTGTGGGTGAAAAGGAATGTGTCGCCGATTTCAGTGGAACAGTGAGGACAGAGCTTGATATTGGATGTCAGAAGACCTGCATTTGAATTCCAACTCTGCTTTTTACTGGCTGTAAGAAATAAGTTTTTTGAGCTTCAGCTTTATCATCAACAAAGTGAGCAATATAAAGACTAACTCCAAGGGGTCAGGTGAAGGCTTAAGAAGACAATGTATGTGAACTGCTCATTGTAACTCTATAGTGTTTTAAGAAGCTAAGTTTTTGGAATGTATTATATATTGAAAGTAATGTGGGTTTTGACCTGTATACTTAGGTTACTTAATCTTTTTTAAGCCTAAACATTTTCATGTGCTAAAAATCAGACAGAGAAAGAAAGAGAGACAGAGGCAGAGCTATTACAACCTACTTTTGTAGGTTCTTTTGAGGATTAAGAAGGATAATATATGAAGTGTCTGGCAAAAATCCCAGCAATAAATGGCCTTCCATCTTCCTATAAAATTACAACTCTTTATTAAATTATTAAACCATTAGCTACTTGAATTTTTAAATAAGAAATGGAAGAATTGCCCACACCCAAGTTCTATCAAATCATATCCACATTCATCTTCCACTGTTATCCATCACTGTCATTTCTTCCAGCTCAATACAGTTTCTCTTCTTGAGTCCTTCTTGGCCCATCAAGGACCTGTAACTGTGAAACACCAGGCCCTTAAGCTAGTATCACAAAAAAGCTCTGGATATTTATGGCTGACAGATTTGTATTCTCATGACTACCTGACACTCAAGACTACTACATAGCTAAAGCCTCTTTCTGAAAAGTCCATGAAAAAAGAAACACATTTTTGTTCTAGGCACTTAGGTGAAACAGGCAAAGAAAGAAATTCTAAATTCATCACATATGCATAGCTCCCTCACCACGGGGCTTTTCTATGTATAGATCGTATAACCCATCCTACTTAAGGTGTAGATCAGTTAGTATTGTCACACTCTCCAACCAGTTTCAAGCTCTTGGGAAATAATTCTCTAGTTGGCAATTAGATAAGGTGAAAAGTGAAGGAGCTTTCTAAAGTCATTCAATCTTGGCTCCATTCCCTGAGTAGTTCTGTATGGTCTTGGGCAAGCTACTGAACCCTTCTGGGCCTTAAATGTCTCATCTGTAAGATAGCAACCATACCCACCTTTCAGGATATCAAGAGGACTAGAGAAACCTGGATGGAAATAGGCTGCACGGAGGAGGCAATTTCACAAAACACCTCCTCCATTTTAGAACATCTTTGTCCAGACACTAAAGGTGGAGAGAAGGGTGCATCACTTATGCTTCAGTGGTGATGTGTATGTGACACTCCTGTGATGAGATCAGCCCCTTCATCCAAGCTGGCCCCTTGTGACTGCTCTTCCTCAGGGTCTGGAAGTGTCCACGCAGCCTGGAGGTTTTGTATGGAGTCTCTAGACTCAGACTACCTCACTACCTGTCACCTTGCCATATGAAACACTTAGCATATTGCCTTTCATGCAAACCATTTCATGGGACCTCTCTGCTACATTTCTCCAGATTCTACTTTACCCCCATAAAGTAGGTTCTGCTCTTGGGAAAATCGTTACAAGATAACACCTATTCTCTTTCATCCAGCTCATCACTTACTCTCTTCTGAGGGTGGTGGAGTGTTTTATCTGATGAAATCAGAAAAAGGAATTGTGTGCACTTGGCACAGCCTCTTTTGGATCTGCTCTCTCTCTCTCTCTCTGAGAAAGAATGCTATCTTCAGGTTGCACATACTTTCCACCCAGGTGATCTACCTCTGAGAGGGAGTCACAGTGGTCCAGTTTCGCCTGACACTGGTGGGCACATTCATTCCAGGGGGGCATTTGGTGGAGTCTATAGACAAAGATCAAATTACCTTCTGCAATTCAACCTTGTCAGAAACCAAGCTGATATTTTGATCTTCATGTGCCTGGTGTCTGTTACTCAATTTATTATCAGTTCAAGAAAGGAAGAGCAGTCCTACTCAACTTCCAGTAGAGGGTGATAAATACACATTGACTATTAATTTTATGTTTGGTTTTCCAGAGATTTCCATGCATATGAACATACATTATATTTTGCCTAACATGAAATGAGTGTTCTTTTGTCAAACAAGCTCTGGTACTTGTAAAATAGAGCCATACTAATGGCGTGAATTTAACCAGTTTTGTATCTACCTTTCATCCATTTGTACAGGCACACCTCATTTCATGACGCTTCACTTTATTATTGCAGTTCACAGATTGCATTTTTACAAACCGAAGTTTCATGGAAGCCTTGAGTCAAGTAAGTCTACTGGTGCCATTATTCCAACAGCAAGTGCTCACTTGAGTATCTGTGTCACATTTTGGTGATTCTCACAATATTTCAAACTTTTTCATCATTATTATATCTGTTATCATTATCTCTGATCAGTGATCTTTTATGTTATTGTTACAATTGTTTTGGGATTCCATGAACCGTGTCCATATAAGAGGGCAAACTTAATCGATAAATGTTGTGTGTTCTGCTCCACTGACCAGCCGTTCCCCCATCTCTCTTCCTCTTCTTGGGCCTCCCTACTCCCTGAGACATAAGAATATTAAAATTAGGCCAATTGATAATCCTACAGTGACTTCTAAGAGTTCAAATGAAAGGAAGAGTCTCGCATCTCTCACTTTAAATCAAAAGCTAAGTAGATTAAGACATGACTAAGCCTAGCAAGGAAGGAATGTCAAAAGCTGAGACAGGCTGAAAGCAAGGTCTCTTGTGCCAAATAGTTAGCCAAGTTGTGAATGCACAGTTCTTTGAAAAAGCTCTTGAAGGAAATTAAAACTGCTGCTCCAGTAAACACATAAATGATAAGAAAGCAAAACAGCTTTATTGCTGATATGGAGAAAGTTTCAGTGGTCTGGATGGAAGATCAAATGAGCCACAACATTCTCTTAAGCCAAAGCCTAATCCCGAACAAGGCCCTAACTCTCTTCAATTCTATGAAGGCTGAGAGAGGTAAGAAACTTGCAAAAGAGAAACTTGAAGCTAACAGAGATTGGTTCATGAGGTTTAAGCAAAGAAGCCATTTCTGTAATAAAGTACAAGATGAAGCAGCAAGTGCTGATACAGAAGCTGCAGCAAGTTAGAGAATCTAGCTAAGATTATTGATGGAGGTGGCCACACTAAACAATGGATTTTCAGTGTAGATGAAACAACTTTATACAGGAAGAAGACGCCATCTAGAACTCTTCATAGCTAGACAGGACAAGTCAATGCCTGGCTTCAAAACTTCAAAGGACAGGCTGACTCTCTTGTTAGGGGTGAATGCAGCTGGCGAATTTAAGTTGAAGCCTATGCTCATGGGTCATTCTGAAAATCCTAGGGCCCTAAAGAATTATGCAAAATCTGCTCAGCCTGCTCAATAAATGAAACAACAAGGCCTGGATGACAACAAATCTGTTTACAGCATGGTTTACAACATGAATATTTTAAACCCACTGTTGAAAACTACTGCCCAGAACAAAAAAAAAAGGATCCTTTTCAAAATAGTACTGCTCATTGACATGTACCTGGTCAACCAAGAGCTCTGATGGAGATACACAAAGAGATTCATGTATTTTTTTTCTTGTCCGCTAACACAACATTCATTCCGCAGCTCATGGATCAAGGAGTAATATCAACTTTCAAGTCTTATTATTTAAGAAATACATATTGTAAGGCTATAGCTGCCATAGATAGCTATTTTCTGATGGGTCTGAACAAAGTAAGTTGAAAACCTTCTGGAAAGGAATCATTATAGATGTCATTAAGAACATTCATGCTTCATGGGAGGAAATCAAAATATCAACATTAGCAGGAGTTTGGAAGATGATGATTCCAACCCTCAGGGATGACTCTGAGGGGTTCAAGACTTTAGTGGCGAAAGTCACTGCAGATATGGCAGAAACAGCAAGAGAACTAGAATTAGACATGAAGCCTGTAGATGTGAACGAACTGCTGCAATCTTATGAGAAAACTTGAATGGATGTAGAGTTGCTTCTTGTGGATGAGCAAAGAAAGTGCTTTTTTGAGATGTAATCTACTCTTAGTGAGGATGCCCTCAATATTGTTGAAATGACAATGGATTTAGGTAGAGTATTATATAAACTTAGTTGATAAAGCACTGGCAGGGCTTGAGAGGACTGACTTCAATTTTGAAAAAAGTTCTACTGTGGGTAAAATGCTGTCAAACAGCATTGCATGCTATAGAGTAGTCTTTTGTGATAGGAAGAGTCAATCAATGCAGTAAACTTCACTTTGCTCTTATTATAAGTAATTGCCACAGCCACCCTGACATTCAGCAACCGCTACCCTGATCAGGCAGCAGCCATCAACATGAAGGCAAGAGCAAAAAGATTATGACTTGCTGAAGGCTCATATGATGGTTTAGCATTTTTTAGCAATATTTTTAAATTAAGGTAGATACATTGTTTTTTAGACACAATGCTATTGTACAATTATATTATACAATGTAAACATAACTTTTATTTACACTGGGAAACCAAAAAAAAGTCATGTGACTTGATTTATCATGATAGTTGTTTTATTAATGTGGTCTGCAGTCAAGCCCACAGTATCTCTGAGATATGCCTGTACTTCTTAGGTGCTTGGAATAATGCCTAGTATGGATTAACAGAACCAGTTCTAAAGCCAGGCTGCCTGACTCTGTCATCTACTCAAGCCCTGTAGGTCTTGTTTCCTTAACTACAAAACTGGTGCAATAATACTTACCTATGGGTTATGATGATACATAAGTGAGATAATGTGTGCAGAGTTTATGGTAATCCTTCAAAGGTTAGGGTCAGTTTCAGCTGTAATACAGACCCCAAAAGAGTAACATTAATACAATGAGAGTTTTTTTTTTTCTTCTGTCTCAAAAAAGGAGATTGGAGGCAGGCAAGTCTGACATGGCAGCTGCATCCTTTAACAGAATCTAGGCTCTATGAAAGAAAATAAATTTTCTTTCTGAGGAATGGTAGCCCCCTTTAATGATCAAGCCCAGGGAAGCATTGAAATGCAACAGCAGTAACATCTCACTCCCCCTTGAGCTAGATAGTTACCTCTTGAAGCCACTTACTATGTGGGCTCTGGACTAACTGATGCCAAATAGCCATAAAATACCATATGCTGGCTGGGCATGGTGGCTCAAGCCTCTAATCCCAGCACTTTGGGAGGCTAAGGTAGGCAGATTACCTGAGGTTGGGAGTTCGAGACCAGCCTGACCAACTTGGAGAAACCCCATCTCTATCAAAAATACAAAATTAGCCAGGCATGGTGGTGCATGCCTGTAAGCCCAGCTACTCACGAGGCTGAGGCAGGAGAATTGCCTGGACCTGGGAGGCAGAGGTTGTAGTGAGACGAGATCATGCCATTGCACTCCAGCCTGGGCAACAAGAGCAAAACTCAGTCTCCAAAAAAAAAAAAAAAAAAAAAAAAAACTACCATATGCTGGACATCAAAGCTTATACCCTATAGCTCGACAATGCATAAGCCAATCACCAGCCAATGTTATCTCTGTAAAACAATAAGAATTCCAGTCAAACAACATTTTTATCAGCGTACTCCTTGTCCCCCTTTGCTTTTAATACCCTGCTTGTAACGAAGGCTAAATGAACATTCCCCAAGGCAACTTGAAGTGTGTCCCAGGCAGTTGTCCTCAACCTTTGCCAAAATAAATTATCTACATTAATTTTTGCCTTAGTTTCTTCCTTTAGGTTGATATCTCTTTCTATTCTGCTGCTTTAACCATGCTGTCTCATAATCCCAGCTGGCTGCTTGAGCTCCAGCCATTACATCCACATTCCAGGCAGTAGAAAGGAAGAAGCAGCAGAGAAGGGCTGAAACAACCCTTTACTGATTTCTTGGCTTACCAAGAAATGTTCTCTTAGAAAACTCAGTTCCCCTTGCTCGGTTGGCATTAGAGTAGATTTCTCAACTATAATTTTACTTCCTTTAAAACTTACTAGGAATTTTTCTGCACTGATCATCAGAACTAAGCATAGAGTTTCATGAAACATTTCCCCCCAAGCTGTATTACAGATATTTACTAACAGTCTTACAATCCAACTTTTAAATAGGAAGCTTACATAAGCATTTTGCCACATGTATATATGACAAGTTATGTATGTGTAGTGAGTGTGTGTGTCTGTGTGTGTCTGTGTGTGTCTGTGCATGTGGAGAGACAGAGAGGCATGTTGCAGTCTCTGGACTTATAGTGTGTACTTTTAGCATGTACATTTTATAGAGGCTGCTCTCTAATAATCTTAACCTTTTTGGGTCAGAAACCCACTCTAGGATCTGAAAGAAAGCTTAGAACTCTTCTCTGGGAGAATGTACATGAAAACATACACTCCAAATTATAGTCATAATGGATTTTTATTGCATTGGAAATGTATTTCTTTCACAAAAATTATAGAAAAAAATATTTACAACAATTTGTGACACTAATAAATGTTCAAGCTTGGCAAATGGTTTTAACAATGGTCTTTCCTTTTCTCTCAACAAAAAAGTGCTTGAAGTTCAATTTTGTGTCTCCAGAAGGCCTCTGCACAGTCAGTGAGTTTCTTAAAGTCTGCTCTCATTTCTTGACAAAAAACCTCTCAAAAAATGGTGATTCAAAGCCCTGATTCTGATGAAACTGATGACTCTCACAACAGTAAACAAGACTTCTTTCAAGATTTCCGCAGAGTACTTGAAATTTTTTAATGAAATGCGAGGCCTCCTCACTCCCTCCCCGGTCCCCAGGCATTCTCCACCCCATCATCCTGTTTTAACTCTTTCGATGTTGTAATCACTCTATGAAATCATTGTATTTGTTTGGTTGATAAATGTATTACTTTGCTTAGCATTTATCTGTCTCTGCCACTAGAATGGAAGTTTCCCTGAGGCCACACCATAGCCCAATGCCTGCAGCTGTGTGCAGAGTTATTTGTATTCCCGTGAGGATCATCACTCACCGGCCAGCTGGAGCCCATTGCACAGGCTACTGAGAGGCAACTGGGCTCATCTCTCCTTGACTCCATGTTTGGAGAAGCCAGCAGTGCTATATGAAATCATATCGGAACCTGAGTCAAGAGGAAAAAACATGCACCCCTATATACAGTTATCAAAATATCCTTTCATGTGGTAAACCAAGTGGAAAAAACTAAATACTATGATAAAGAACAAAAACAGGCTGGGCATGGTGGCTCATGCCTGTAATCCCAGCACTTTGGGAGGCCAAGGTGGGTGGATCACCTGAGGTCAAGAGTTCAAGACCAGCCTGGCCAACAATGGTGAAACCCCATCTCTACTGAAAATACAAAAATTAGCGGGGTGTGGTGGCACACGTCTGTAATCCCAGCTACTCAGGAGGCTGAGGCATGAGAATTGCTTAAACCTGGGAGGCAGACGTTGCAGTGAGCCGAGATGGTGCCACTGCACTCCAGCCTGGGCGACAGAGCAAGAACCTGTCTCAAAACAAAACAAAACAAAAAAAAAAAAGAAAAGAAAAGAAAAAAGAAAAAAACCATGATTAGCCAGGCACAGTGGCACATACCTGTAGTCTCGGCTACTGGGAACGTTGAGGCAGGTGTATGGCTTGAGACCAGGAGTTCTAGGCCAGCCTGGGCAACATAGCAAGACCCCATCTCTTAAAAAAATAAAAAAACCAAACAGAAAACCATGATTATGTATAAAGCCCTGCATAAGTAAATTAGAGATATGTAGACATAAAAATTTGCCCAATTCAATCTGTTCCCATGCCACTGTCAACTGTCATAAAACACCCTGTTGGGTGACTCAAAAGCCACTAAGACTGAGGAGCCCCGGGCTGACTGGAAACAACTGTTGCCATTGCACAATCATGCAGGTCCGAAAACACAAACAGCAGCCCATCTTTAATCCATGTTTTATACTTTGTTTGTCATGGATTTTTTGCATTGATTTTGATTTTTTAGAATATTGCATTAAAACCTTAGTCATTATGATTACTGAGATTGTCCAAGCCCCAGTCTTGGCACTGAATGTCAGACAGCTTAAAATAGGCCACTGTCTGAGCATTAATCCCCTGGAAACTGGCAAGGGCTGCTAATCAGGACTCCACTCCACCCCTCCCAGAGAACTGGTTGTTGAACTTTATTTATCAATAGACCACTGCCAACAATCCTCATTGTCAACATTCCTTATACCTTACCTTCTATCTCTTCTCTCAGTGTTCATTTCCTGTTCTTGCTGTAACTGATAACATGCATTCCCTTGTGGACATTGCTTCACCTGCTGTTCTCTTAAGAATTGTCTTGTTTTTCTTTGTCCATCCTCATACCAGTGATCCTAAAAGTAAGGTGGATATTCTCTTTGGATATTGCGGCTCTTAGCCTATTTTTGTCAATATCCCAGGTACTTTGAAGTACTCAGCATCAAAACTATACACGCTACTATTATTTTAAATGATCTTAAGGTCACACTCATTCATCAGAGATTTTATTGCTTTTCGCTACCACTTTTGTAATAATTCTTGGAGACTTGCCATATCCATATAATTCTCGGTGACTTTGTTATCTCAGTTAATTTACCCCCTCAATTGTTAAGAACTTTTCCTCTCTTTATTGTCATTACAAACAAATCTACTACCATTGAGTCTCAAATTTAAGCATCTTATTCTGACCAATACCTCTTACCTTTCCATCTTATTCCCTGTAACACTCATACTTTATCAATTCTTTAACACCATCAAGATCTCTGATCCACTAACCTTATCTCATTTTACTGTCTGTCACCATCTTCCTGGACAATCAACTTCTTCTTGTCCCTCTTTATCCAGTTAAGATACTGTAATTGATCACAGTAGTTACTCCTTACATTTATGTTTAACTGGCAAATGGATCTCTTTCTGTTCCCATCAATAAAGAGGATCAGAGACAGTCTGCATTCAGATAGAAGAGGCAATAGTATGCTTTTACAGCTTCATCCCAAGGCTAGGTTAGCTCTCTGACCTATTGTCAGAGTTCAAAGATATCTAGACTATCTGACATCCCACATTGATCTATCATGTTAATAACATCATGCTAGTTGGATTATATGAGCAAGAAATGGGTAGCACACTGGACATTTTGGTAAGAAACGTACTCCAGAGGGATGAAATAAATCATATTAAGACTCAGGATGTATGTCACACCAGTAAAACATTTAGGAGTCCAGTGGTTGGGACATTCTGGGACATTTTCCCCCAAGTACAAGAAAGGATGAATTGTTGCGTCTCCCTATCTAAATCTAATTGTCATAAATGAAGATGGAAGTATAGCTCTTGGTAGTTCTCTTCAAGCCCTGGTGGCAGCATATTTCACACTTGTGAATACTGCTCAAACCCATATCCTAGATGTCACCAAGGCAGCCAGCTTTGGGTGAGGCCCAGTGGAAGAAAGAGCTCAGCAGCCAGATAAGGTTGCAATGTGAGCAGCCCTGCTCGGGCTGTATAACCCAGCAGACCCTATGGTATCAGTATCAGAGTATCAGTAGGGGAAAAGGATGTGTGTAGAACTTACAGAAAGCCTCAATTGGGAGAGTCACAATGAAGACCTAGGACTCTGGAGCAAGTCCATGCCATCAGCAGCAGATAATTTAATGTCTTTTGAAAAAGAACTTTTGGTGTGCTACCAGACCCAGACAGAGGCAGAGTACCTGATCATAGGACAAAAGTGACAATGTAGCCACAATTCACATCATGTCCTAGGTTCTATCAGACCCCCAAGTCCATAGGTTGGGTAGGCTCAGTAACAATGCATCCAAAGCAGAAGTGTTTATCCAAGATCAAGCATGAGCAAAACCAGAGGGCACAAGTAAGCCATGTGAGCAGGTGACTCAGAGCCATGTCATCCACTGTTGCACCAGCACCTCTCCGTCGCTTCACCCAAGCGGTGGTGTGGGGGATCCCTTATAAGTAGGTAATGGAGGAGGAAAAAGCCTGAGCTTGGTTTCTGAGTTGGTGAATTGGTTATGGGGGTGCAAGTCAAAAATGGATGGCAGCTACACGATGGCTCACTTGGGAATAACTTTGGAAGACAATGCCGAGTTGAAGTCCTCCCAATGAACAGAGCTTCAGGTGGTGCACTTGGTCATCAACTCGTGGGCAGTGACCAATGTCTTGGCCAGTCTCTAGAAAGAAAGCTTCATATAATTGGAGATTTTTTTTTTTGAGCTGGAATCTCACTCTGTTGCCCAGGCTGGAGTGCAGTGGCAAGATCTCAGCTCACTGCAACTTCCGCCTCCCGGGTTCAAGAGATTCTCCTGCCTCAGCCTCCCGAGTAGCTGGGACTACAAGCTCCCACCACCACACCCAGGTAATTTTTTATATTTTTAGTAGAGATGGGGGTTTCACCATATTGGCCAAGCTGGTCTTGAACTCCTGACCTTGCAGTCTGCCTGCCTCGGCCTCCCAAAGTGCTGGGATTACAGGTGTGAGCCACTGTGCCCGGCCTCGAGACTTTTATTCTCTTCATCTCTGTAATCCTGGGGCCAAAAATAGTTCCTGTTGATATTAAATAGTGAATGCTTGTGGGATGAATGAATGAAGTTACTGAATAATTGAATGAATGCACCTCTTCCGTAAAGATACCAAACTTGCTAATACCACAGGCTCCTCACCTGTGCACAGAAATCTTTTCTTCTAGGAGGTTTGCTTAGCAAAGTAATTTTTCGCCATCTCAAAGGTAGCCATGGCCCTAGTAGTTTCCAAAAGTTGCTCCCAATATTAGAATGCTTCATGAAAGGCATGGATCTGGCCATCAAAGAGGAAAACAGGAGCTGGAGGCCAGAAAGTGCAAGGTTCTAATATTGGTTGGAACCCCGAGAGCTCGCGGACAAACAACACAAGGCAGTGTGGAGCAACACGCTGTTTTAATGAGCGCCTGGGTGCAGATGGGCTGAGGCCTAAAATGATGTCAGCCCCAAATGAGGATGGGGCAGAGGTTTTATAGTCTCCTATAAACAGGAAGTGTCCCAGTCTGATGTAACTGCTACGTGGTACCCCCACGGCCTCTCTTTCTTGGTCTTCAAGAGGTACGTGTCTTCTGGCCAGCTCTCTTCCTGCTTCGGCTATCTTGCTGACGCACACTGCTGGTGCAGGTGACCTTGTGCCTTGGCACTGGACCTGAAAAGGGAGGAGTTATTCATTCCCCCAAGCTTTCAGGACCGGGGGAAAGTCTTTCATTCCTGTCTATTTGGTTATAGAAAAAGGGAAAAGGGATTACTTTTTAAATAACTACTTCAGGCGTGACATAGAGGGTGGTGTGGGCACCTCGGAAAAAAGAAAAACTTAATTTTGGGGGTATTCCTGAGAGACGGGTTGGTATCCATTGTGTCGTCGTAGCAGGATTGTCTGGTGGTTAACTGTAGTTTCAACAAGACTTTTAATGGCTTTTATTATCAGTGGGATAATACGGGGGAGAAACAGAAGGAACCCAGTGGTGAAGACTACTGTCCCTACCAGCGTTTTAAATCCTCCTAAATTAGAGAACCACCCTCCTAGGTTTGCTGGTTCCCATCCCTTCCAGGTTTGGACTGTACATGGGCTACTTTTCTTATGTTTGAAGCGATTTCTAGAAATGCTTTTCTATTATTGTCTATGTTAAGACAACAATTGGAGATACTAAACTTACCACAGACCCCACCTTCTTCTGCTAACAAGTAGTCTAGTGCTAGCCTGTTTTGATAAATTGCCACGCGCATTTGATTTTGTTGTTGCACGACCATTTCCAGGGCTGAGGAGGTTTGGTTAGTGTTTATTTCTAGAACAGCCTGTAGTCTAATTATTCTATTTAGCAAATATATGGGAGTGCGATCACCCGATGAACCATTCTCAGCCCAAGTGGCCGGACCATAATATTCGATGATCCGTTGTGGAGGCGCCTCATCCTCTTGCCATCTTTGGCTTCATCCTACCTTCAAGGATCGTTTTTCTTTGTTTAGGTTATCATACACAGGGACTTCGAGGGTGTTGCCCACCTGCTTTGGAAGTCAAAAGAATCCAGGTTTAATTGTTCCTAGGAAGAAAGTACCTTGCCAGTGATAAGGTGGCCACAAGTAAGCCTGGGTTCCACATATCCAAAGGAATCCATCAGGGGCAATCCATTGTAGGCTGGTGTTCATAGGATTGTTCCATTGTGCACTTAGGTGGGGGTATGTGGCATAAGGGTTAGTGGTGTTTGTACAGTTCCAGCCCCTTTTTGACGAGACATGATTGAGGTAGCTTAATTTAGAAGGAGACCAGGCTCTGTGGAGTAACCTTTGCCACCACTCTGCTGCGGAGGTGTTGACTGTTAGGGTTTGGTGACAGGGACTTTTACCTATGGCACGATGGGTTTTATTAGCCCACTTGCGGGATATGCACACCGTCCCTCTTACCGGGTTGGTAAGTGTCCAGGACTGCAGGTGTTCCTGAGGAGTGAAAGTGAGGCTGGAGTTTTGGGATGCTAGTAAGTAAGGGAGAGTGTCTATCCCATACCACGGCCACTGTTCACTCACACGAGCTCCCCCGCATACCCAACAATTGCACACATTCATGGTAAGCACGATGCGTTCTCCTAGATCTACAAGCAGGTTTCTTTCCTGGCTTGGGAAGGGATAGGCCTGCTTGTAGTTTTGTATAAAGAGGTGGAAATACCATGGGTGTTTTTTTTGGGGGGGGAGTTGTTGATTTTGGCCTTTGCTTTGGCTACAATCTGTTCTCTCTTTATGTCCTCTAGCACTTCAGTGTTTACTCTCCATTGTCCAATTTTGGTGAAGCAAAGCCACTGCTTACCTTTTGCACATATAGCCCCGTTATACCTGCCAGATACTCCTAGATTTTTCACTTTATAATAACTTTTCCCTGATTCAACACATTCCTTGACTAACGTTCCATAACAGGATTTTCTATATTATTATGGTAAGTAAAGGATTGTTGCATTTTTCCTCCGTAGTGGAAAGACAGATAACACTCACATCACAGCAGCTTGGAGGGGCTGCTGTGGACAGCAGGGTGGCTACTGACAGTATTAGGATTGTGGTGAGGGATATAGGAATTAAGACCTTTGGTTGGAAGTGAGGCACAGCAAGCGGTTGGGTAGATACAGGCCATCTCTGGAAGCAGGTGATTAGTCTTCCTCGCGTTTAGGCTTTCTAGGGGGTTTTTGGCTTTAAGAACAATTTTTGGGTTAATTTAAGCTTGGTAGGAGAAATTGGCCTGGAGGACCACTTAGCTGTTAATGTTTTAGAGGAAGAAATAGCCTTGGGGGTGAGCTTGACCTGGTGCGATGGATCCCGCGGGGGAGCCCTTGTACTCTCATTGCAGTTGGCGTGCTGAGTACCACAGTGTAGGAGCCTGTCCACTTCAGTTGTAGCTTTTTGCGAGGGTCAGGTTGGCAGATAAACACGTCTGTGCCTGCAAGACAGTTATGTTGAGAAGACAAGGAGGTGTCGACAGGGAGAGGCATGGTCTCATTTGCTGCTTCATGAATGAAAATCCAGTGTCTAGATTAAGGAGAAGAGGTAATTCCTGAGTGGCTCAGAGTCTGGAAAGGGTGGAGGCTCCAAGACAAAAGTTCAGCCACACACGATTTCAAAGGGACTATAAAAAGAGGATGCCTTTTGTGTTGCGTGGAGTCTCATGAGGGTGAAAAGGAGGTTTTTTGTACATGACTGGCAGGTTTCTAGAGCCGGCTTGGTGAGTTGGGCTTTAAGGACAGAGTTAACTTTTTCAATTTTGCCTGAAGATTGAGGCCTGTAGGGTGTGTGGAGAACCCATTTTATACCTAAGGATGTAGAGATGCCTTGGGTGATTTGACTGATGAAGGTGGGCCTGTTATTGGACTGGATGGATGTTGGGAGTCTGAAACAGGGAATTATATGCATGATGAGGGTTTGTGTGATGATATTTGCACCTTCTGAAGTTGTCGGGAATGCTTCTACCCACCCGGAGAAAGTACAGACAAAGACTAGAAGATAGCAGAGCCATTTTTTGGGCAGCATGTGAGTGAAGTCTACTTGCCATTCTTGCCTGGGTACCTGGCCTCGGGCTTGTTATTGATTTCTAGTTTTATTCCATTGTGGTCAGAGAAGAAAGTTGATATAATTTCAGTTTTATTTATTTATTTATATGTTTGTTTGTTTTATAGTAACGGGGTCTCATTCTGTCACCCAGGCTGGTTGGAGTACAGTGATGCAATCATAGTTCACTGCAGCCTTGAACTCCTGGGCTCAAGTGATCCTCCTACCTCAGCCTCCTGAGTAGCTGGGACCACAAGAATGTGCCATCAGCCCCAGCTAATTTTTTTTCTTTTTGGTAGAGACAGGATCTTACTATTTTGCCTAGGCTGGTCTTGAACTCCTGGGCTCAAGCAATCCTCCTGCCTTAGCCTCCCAAAGTGATGGGATGACAGGCCTGAAGCACTGCACCTGGCCTTCAAAAATTTTTAGAATCTTATTTTGTGTCCTAACATATGGTCAATACTGGAGAATGTTCCATGTCCTGACAAAAGTAATGTGTATTCTGCAACTGTTGGGTAAAATATTCTGTAAATATTTGTTAGGTCTACTGAGTCTATAGTGCGATTTAAATTTGATGTTGCTTAATTGTTTTTCTGTCTAGATGAATCTGTCCAATACCAAGAGTGGAGTTTGGAAATCCTCAGCTATCACTCTATTGGAGTATATCTCTACCTTTCAATCTAATAATGTTTGCTTTATGTATCTAGGTGTTTCAGTGTTAGGTGCACATACATTTCAATTGTTATATTCTTTTGCTAAATTGATTCCTTTATTATTACATAATATCTATTTTTCTTTTTAGCTTTTTATTTGAATTCTGTTTTGTCTGATATATCTACTCCTGCTCATTTTTTTGTTTCCTTTTGAGTAGAGTATCTTTTTCAATCACTTTCTATGTGCATCTTTGCAGGTTAAAAGAGTTTCTTGTAGGAAGCATATAGTTGTGTCCTCTTTCTTTTAATTAACTCAGCTAGTCTATATCTCTTAAATGAGAAATTTAATCCATTTACATTCAAGGTTATTATTGATAGTTGAGGACTTACTCCTGTCATTATTAATCATTTTCTGGTTGTTTTGTATGTCCTTTGTTCTTTATTTCCTCCCTTATTATTTATTTTTGTGGTTGCGTGGTTTTATGTAGAGATAGGTTTGACTTCCCTTTTTCCTTTGTGTATTGGCCCTACCAATGAGTTTTATAGTTTTACGTGTTTTCACGATGGTGATTAGGGTCTTTTCACCTCTAGATGTATGACTCCCTTGAGCATTTTTGCAAGGCTGGTCTAGTGGTGATGAATTCCGTTAATTTTTGCTTGCCTGTGAAAGATTTTATTTCTTCTTCATTTCCAAAATACGGATTTGCTGGGTATAATATTTTTGAGTGGTCGTTTTTTCTTTCAGTATTTTGAATATATCACCTCTTTTTCTCCTGGCCTGTAAATTTCTGCTGAGAAATCCACTGTTAGTCTAGTGGGGATTGTGTTATAAGTCATTTGATGCTTTTCTCTTGCTGTTTTTAGAATTATTTCTTTGCCTTTGCCTTTTGACAATTTGACTATAATATGCCTCAGAAGAGGCATATCAACCTGTTTGGGTTGACTCTATTTGTGATTCTTTGAGCTTTCTGAATCAGGATATCAGTCTCTCTCCCAACATTTGGGAAGTTTTCAGGTATTATTTTATTAAATATGCTTTTTTTTTTTGAGATGGAGTTTCACTCTGTTGCCCAGGCAAGTGCAGTAGCATGATCTCAGCTCATTGCAACCTCTACTTCCCAGGTTCAAGTGATTCTCCTGCCTCAGCCTCCCAAGTAGCTGGGATTACGGGTGCCCACCATCATGCCCGGTTAATTTTTGTATTTTTAGTAGAGACAGGGTTTCACTATGTTGGCCAGGCTGGTCTCAAACTCCTGACCTCAAGAAATCTACCTGCCTTGGCCTCCCAAAGTGCTGGGATTACAGGCACGAGCCACTGTGCCTGGACTTATTTCATTAAATAAGTTTTCTATATCATTTCCTTTATACTCTCCTTCTGTAATACCATAATGCAAATATTTGTTTGCTTAATGGTGCTTCATAACTCCTGTATGCCTCCTTTTTTCTTTTTATCTTTTTTGTTGGTTTGCTTGTTTTATTTCAAATGACCTATCTTTTAAGTTCAGAAATTCTTTCTTCTGCTTGATCTCATCTGTCATTGAAGCTCTCAGTTGTATTTTTATTTTATTCATTGAATTCTTTAGCTCTAGGATTTCTGTTTGGTTCTTATCATTGTTGAATTTCTTATTCAAATCATGAATTGTTTTCCTAATTTTGTTGAGTTTTCTATCTTTATTCTTTTTTATTTCATTGAGTTTCTTTAAGATTATTATTTTGAATTCTTTTCCTGGCATTTTGAGTATTTCCTTATTATTGCAATTTGTTACTGGAGAATTACTGTGTTCCTTTGGAAGTATTATGTTTCCTTGCTTCTTCTTGTTTGATGTGTCCCTACACTGATTTCTACACATCTGGTGGAACAGTCACTCCTTCCAATTTCATGGAGTAGGTTTTATATGGAAAGACTTATTCTCATAGATCGGTCTTGGGGAGTAGCTTCAGGGCAGTGCGTTGGCTTTGTTTCTAGGTGCATGCAGTAGTGTAGCATCTGCATAGTTTCTTCAACTATAATCTATCCTTGCAATGTTTATGAGTATCTCGGTGTCCTAGGCTGAGAGATTTTGTGGCAGTGGCAGTGCAGCTTTGCCATGGTGGTCTTGCCAGGCCTTTCTCATGTCTGAGTGCATGTGTGGCCACATTGGGTTGGCCAACTTTGGGTCTGGCTCTCTGTGATTTAGTGCCATGGGGCTGTTTCCCAAGCCTGGGGGTCAGGTGTGTGGCTGCTTTGATGGCCCGCCTGCTTGCCTTCTAAGGATTGCCTATGGGGCTATCTCCCAGGCCCAAGATATGAGTGCATGGCTGCTTGGCTGCCTGGAAGTGTGTTTGCCAGGGCAATCCACAAGGCCATTTCTCAGGTATGGGATGCAGCCACACACCTTCTTGGCTGGCCTGGGTGCATGTCTGCTGGGGGTGGCCAACAGGGCTGTTTCTCAAGCGTTGACTGCACATGCAGGTCCTTTGGGCAGGTCAGCAGCATGTCCATGGTAGGGGTGTGGTCCCATGCTGCTACTGTGTCTTAGGCCCTGGGCATGGGCACACAGCTGCTCTGTGGGCCCAGTGGCATGTCAGCTGTTAGGTGGATCAAGGACCTCTCTCACTTGGGAGAGGGTGTGCAGCAGTTTAGCTGGCTTAAGGGTAGGCTCTCCTCAGACAAGACTTCCAGAGTCTTCCTCCAACTGTAAAACCAGACAGTGTAGGTTGGTTTCACTGCTGTGCAGGACCAGAGTCACAGGCAATTCTGGGCCCAGAATCCATGCAGCTGGAGTTGTGGGATTCAGCCACCTATGGGCTTCACACAGCTACTCAGTCAGCTTCTCAAGTTTCTCCAAGCCCTGGTTGTGAATGCGAGGCAATCCAAGGGTGTGTTCATGGAGGGAGTAGGTGCTACAGGCCTGTTTTTCAGGCCCTGTACATCTGCATATGGCCACTCTGCTGGCCTGGGGGCAGGCATGTCAGCTGTTTGATGGGCTAGGGACCTCTCCTGCTTGAGGGAGGACACACAGCCATTTGGCTGGCTTAAAGGAAGGTTCACCCTGGGTGAGACTGTCAGACTGTTCCTCCAGCTGTATTGCAGATGACAGGGGTTGGTTTCACTGTGGTGCAGGACCAGAGTCATAGCCAATCCTGGGCCCAGTCTTTGTGCAGTTGGCCCACATGTGGGCTTGGTGGAATGAAGATGGAGCCCCAGTGCTGGAGAAGTGCAATGGCTACGGCCCCCAGAGCAAGGCACAGTCCAGAAATGGCTCTAATCTCAAGATGGCGCCATGCTGCAGCAGCTTGGCTCACTAAGGGAAGGGTGTGTACACACCCTGTGCTCCTAATCCGGAGTGATACAGCTATATGGATTCCCAGAAGCTCTTCAAACTGGGCACGGGGCTTGCAAGGACTGTGGGATTATTTTGTAATGAGGACTGGAGTCATTTACAGTGGCAATGGAGACTGGTGAGGTTCTTTTACCTTCTCCCTAAAAGGGGACTTCCCTCCTGTCTCTGGGCTGATGCAATTGTGGCAGGCAAGATGGGGCTACAGAGGCCATGTGCCTCCATGGTACTCTCTTGGGCTTCCAATCACTACAAGTACCCCTTTACTCCCCCATTGCACTTTAATGCTCTTTTTTCATAATTGCAGTTAAATATTAGCGGTTTATTTATTCCCTTGGTCCTTTCTTATGGTGGGGACAAGAACTAGGCATTTCTAGTCAGCCTTCTTCCTGACGTCACTCATTCCAAAATTCTTAGTGTGAGTCACAGTTTAAAAATTTGAAAGCTACTGGTAGTGGTTAAGAGTTTGAGTGCTATAGTCAAATTCCTAGGTTTAAATATTGACCCTAACATTTACTTAATGTGAGATCTTAGCAATTTTTCTCACTTCTCTGCATCTCAGTTTCTTCACGTGTAACATGGATTGATCATAGTATCCATGAAAGGGGTGGTTATGAAGATTAAATGATTTAATGTACATAACTCAATAGATATATAAGCAGCAGCAGCAGCACCTTCATATAACATATGCCAAGTGCTGAACCATAATACAGTGTCCAAACCATAATAAAGACTCAGTAGTGGTTTGTCGTTGTGGAAGAGACTTCTGTTGCTCACCATACCCATTCACTTCTGTTTTCTGGCATACAGGAGGATGACACTTCCCCATCCCATTGAAGATAGGCCTGGCTGGGCTCTACCACCAGATCTGGTTAAAGGATTATAGGTAGAAGTGATGTGTGCCACTTCCAGGACTGAGCAATTGATTGCTCATTTGAGACTCTTAGGTTCTCTTTTGCCTTCCTAAGCCAAACCCTGAAACCTTGGGTTGGGACAGCAGGGAAACAATGTGGTGGGACCTCCATAGCTTGAGTCCCTGAGTGACAATGTGAACAGAGCCTACTGTCACCCTCAGCTCCACCAGCTTGTGTTGGACATGTAGCATATAACCTTTGTTTGTTTATAGAAGCTTTATTGATGTATAATTTACGTACCATATGATTTACCTTTTTAAATATGCAATTGGGTGGTTTTTTTGTATATTCAAACTTGTACCAGATCTCGCAGGGCCTTGAATGCCAGGCTCAAGAGTTTAGGTTTTATCCTATGGGAATTGGACAGTTCATAAGAAGTTGTCTTTTAATTCAAAATGTGTTCATTAAGGAAATAATCTGACAAAGAGTATTCCCCATTTCCTTCTGTCTTCTTCCTAAATTTCCTAAATGTTATAGGTTGTATTTTCCTTCTTAGCATCATTCCATAGCTATATGACTTTGTTTTCTACTTTCACCTTAACATTACCTCATATACATTTTTCTCTGTGTCTTTGTCATCTTTACTTTTGATGGCTACACCTTATCTCTTGCTATTGTTGGATATTTACAGTTTTACTTTAAGTATACAGCATTTTAAAAATACATACGCATATGTGTATATCTGTGTGCAGGCCTGGGACTAAGGGAAGGCAAGTGCCAAGGACATAAATGTAAAAAAGCTCCTACCTTCTGGCATGAAAATTTGTACCTGTGTACCTCATTTGTCTTACCTTGGTCCCAGCCCAGCCCTATACCTAGTGTGTGTGTGTGTGTGTGTGTGTGTGTGTGTGTGTGTGTGTGTGTGTGTTTTCCTTTTAAATTATTTCCTTAGGAAAAATTCCCATGATGGGAGATTACTGGTTCAGAGCATGTTAAGATTCCAATTACTAGAGTGTTTCTCAGGAGGATTCCATTGAAGGTTTTTTTCCCTTTTTCAAACAAAATTTTGATATGTATACTTATCAAAAGATGGGAGATCAAAAATCTTGAGATCAAAAATTTTGGTATGTGTACATTTTACAAAGATTACAGAGGCAATGGGGGATGTTAGGGGGCTATCACAATAGCATGTCCCAACTAGAGTGCTATTGTTGCTATAGAAATTCCACTGATACAACTTTTCATGTCTGCATGGCCCAGCCAAAATATTCTGGGTTTATTTATTTATTTTACAGACAGGGTCTTGCTATGTTGTCCAGGCTGGTCTCTAACTCCTGGGCTCAAGCAGTCATCCCACCTCAGCCTCCTGAGAAGCTGAGACTACAGGTATCACTCCAGCTTTAGACACAGTTATAACTTCATGCAATCAAGCTGTATACTCAATTATTATCAAACCAACAACAAAGCCTCTGATATTGAGTCCATGTCCCTAACAGACGACCCTTCTGTGTGTACCAACCTGGCCACTCAAGGTGTATCATTTTCACAAGAGATTAGCTCTTTGGATTTGGACCCAGGAGGTTCAATTGGCAGAGCAACCTCCAAGTCAAGAGGACTCTCATGGAGGAAGGAACTTGCTGTTTTACACAAAGCAAGTTCCCAGCTTTAGGCTCAAGTTCAAATTCTATTACTTGGGGACAAATGAATTTGCCCAATAGCAACAATTTTTACAAAAGTTACATGGAAAAATATCTGGGCTAGTCTGTTCTGTATAAATTTTTCCAGGAGGGAGCACTTTTAAAGAAAGCACCAAATGGAAAATCACCGGCATGGAGTTTAGAGAGACCTGGTGCTTGAGTCACTACCAGGCAGATGGAGTTCCCAATCTTGCATAATTAGGGGAAAGATCGGAGGGTGATGGAGCAGAAAGAGCAGTTGGGGTGAGGTAGAGTATCATGAAGAGAGGTTGTTGGAAAGAAACCAAAATTGTCTTCAAGGATCTTCAAGTGACTTTTCTTAGGCTATCTTGGAAAAATGTGTGTTTCTACCTGCCAATTAGGGTGATCAATTTACTATTTTGTACCTTCTAATTTGAAATACTGGAAGCTACAATATTAGAGTCAACTTTTTCTTCTGTGGTTTTCTGTCTGTTCACTTTTCTTCCTCTAGAGAGTTTTGATAAGTTACTGTACTGGAACTTACTGCTTTGATAGAGTCTCACTTTCCAAAGACTGATGAAATTTGTCTTACTGATTCTGAATGGACAGCCTTACTTTCCAAATTCTTCTGAGAGTTCTGGATCAAGCCCATCAAGGCTTTCTAACCTCAAGAACATCAAAGGATGCTGGCTTTTGGTGGAAGGCTTGCTGAACCACACCTAGTATGCACAGACACAGCTAACACCTAGAGTGGGGTGCAAAGAGAGATCTAGAAGGCTACAAAAAGTCTGGGCAAACCCATATTTTGTGAAGGTGCTTTGCAAAAGGATTGCAAGCCATTTTTCTGGCATGCACCTTTGTCTAAGAACAAAGTGCGGTAAACTATATGTGTAGTCAGTATGATTCACATAGATTAAGGACAAGGTATTCGTCAGATTCCCAAAGAGCATCAAACTGGGGTTGGACAACAAAGGCATTCTTCTGGGCTCTTAATGAAACCAAAACTTATTTCTAGTCTATGTATTTATGGGATGCCTGTTATTTTCGCTAAAGCATTCGCTTTCCCACCAGATACAGCAGCTGAGGAACTCCTTTCTGCCACGCGGGGCGCGGGCGAGCGTTGGGGGCGGAAAGAATCCGCTGCCACTAGGACCAGGCGGAAGAAGCATCCCCGCCGACCCTTGGGGAAGGCCGCCGCGGCACCCCCAGCGCAACCAATCAGAAGGCTCCTTCGCGCAGCGGCGCGCCAACCGCAGGCGCCCTTTCTGCCGACCTCACGGGCTATTTAAAGGTACGCGCCGCGGCCAAGGCCGCACCGTACTGGGCGGGGGTCTGGGGAGCGCAGCAGCCATGGCAAGCCGTCTCCTGCTCAACAACGGCGCCAAGATGCCCATCCTGGGGTTGGGTACCTGGAAGGTAGGTGCTCGTGGGGGCGCGGGCCCGGGGCTCGCCTCACACTCTCCGCGCGGCCTGTATTGGCGAGGGACCCCGAGTGACCCTGAGCAGCTCGCCCCGCGGACGCCCGGCGTGCTGGGAGCCACGCGCGGGCTTGCAGGGTCCCCAGCGGGCTGGGGTCGGCCTTGCAGAGACCGGGGGCCTTGGCTCCCCGGGTTGGCCCTGGGCGTCAGGGCAGCATCCTGCGAGTGGGGTTTGGGAGCAGCTCACGGGAGCCCCCGCCCTACCGCGGGCAACCCTTGATGGGCGGCCCACCAGTCCGCATTTTGGGTCCTAGCGGGCGCCCCAAGCGGCACAACGCGAGAGGGAGGCGGGGAAAGTGGGCTTCACAGACCGGTGGACCTCGGGCGCAGACAGGGACGTGGAGCCGTCGGCAAGGTGTGGGAGCGCAGACCCAGCCTCCTTTCCCTCGAGGCACCTGTAGCCCGGTTGCCTCACTTGTAAATAGTTGGTCTCAATCGTTTCGATTCTTGCCCTCCCTGAGGAATAAGCATCTCAAGCCGGTAGAGGGCAGAGAATTAGGTGGCGCGAGTTTGCCCGGACCCAGCTGTTAACAAGGCGCAGTGCGGAGCTCCTCGGCCAGGCGCCGCCTCGGGGTGCCCTGGGTCTGGAACTCGGGAGAAAAATCTGGGCACCCCGTAGCTAGTTGATAATTCAGGAGGCGCCAAGGTTAGCATTTTCCCTGTAAAACCTCAACACCACACAGCGTCCCCGAGAAGTGCCTAGCCGGATGAGAATGACAATAGGACATGAAACATCATAGGATATGAAAAATGATAATATGATATGAAAAACCAAAAATAATAGCCTGAGCCTGATTATCTGAAAATTGAGCAACAAAGGTGGTGGTATGGGAGCTGAGGCAAAACCTAGAATTTTTAACCTTCTAAGTATTGCATATTATATTCCACAGCCATAACCTGGGTTTCTCAGTTTCTGTTTTTGTTGTTTGCTTGTTTGTTTGTGACAGGGTCTCGTTGCCCAAGCTGGGGTGCAGTGGCACAATCATGGTTCATTGCAGCCTGGAACTCCTGGGCTCAAGTGATCCTCCTGCCTCAGCACTGCGGGTAGCTGGGACTACAGGCGCTCACCACCACACCTGGCTAATCTTTTTTCTTCCCCGCAGAGACAGTCTCCGCTTGTTGCTTAGGGTGATCTCCAATTCCTGGGCTCAAAGCGCTCCTCCCACCTCGCCTCCCAAAGCTACAGGTGTGAACCATCTGGCAGGCCCACGTCCCAGGTTTTTCTCTTAAAATTTGAATATGGGCCTGGGCGTTGGATATTTACACACAGACAAGGGAAGAAAACAACAGAAAGAACTGAGTGAACTGTGAGATGTTTGAAATAGGACAGAAGAGTTTACATGTACCCTAAAACCTGCTGTTGAAAATTAGTAAATATAAGGTAAGAAAAAGGTCATTTGCATCAGGGAGAGTGTTTCTTGGCCAGAATGATCAGGGTACGTGATTTGTTTCCTCCAAAAACTCCAGTGGTGTCTCTAAGGTTGTAATTGAATTACAACCATGACACCAAGCTAATTTCCATCTGTTGCATGTTATGCTCTTGGAATGGATGCAGAAGGATGCTTTCTTGGCAATAGCAAATACTTTCTAAGCATGATGCAACGCACAGATATATACATGTAACTGGAATAAAAATTACTTAACAGTACTTAACCTATGTAGGCTGCATTTCAATATTTTTTTCTATTCCATTTTTCCAAAAATTATTGTCATACCTCCAGAAGCTAGTTTTGTGACCCATCATTTGAAAATCACTACTCTAGGGTAAATAAGGAGTAAAAGTTTATTTTTTTTTTTTTGAGACAGGGGCTCAGTGTCACCCAGGCTGGAGTGCAGTGGCATGATCATGATTCACTGTAGCCTTAACCTCTTGGGCTCAAGTGGTCCTCATACCTCAGCCTCCCAAGTAGCTGGGACCACAGGTGTGTGCCACCACACTCGGGTAGTTTGTTTTTAATTTTTTGTAGAGACAGGTTTCCCTATGTTGTCCAGGCTGAGGAGTAAAAGTTTATGAAAGAGGGTTTCAGATTATTCACTTGAGCACTCAATGCCCCAAAAAGCTATGTATTTGTTTAAGATAACATCACATCATAACATCTGTACATTTAGGTTATGCATTCCAGTAGACAGAGTTCATTGAGAAATTGGATAATGTCTGCTTCATTCATTACTATTTCTAGCACTTCTCACAGTGCCTGGCAAATATAGGAGTAGGTATCCAAAAGTTATGTGTTGAATTCATATGAAGAAGTAAAACGACTTTAGAGATAGCTGTATGGTGAAAACGCCCACTTGTATTCCTGTGGATGAGGAGATCAGGTTGGTGTAGAATTGTACGGTGGGGGCAGCGGGGAATGGTGGGTCAAAGTAATGGTATAAGGATGGACTTGGAATCAACTTCCTTTTTTTTTTTAATGACTTAAAACCTTTCCCTGGGGCCGGGCGCGGTGGCTCACACCTGTAACCCCAGCACTTTGGGAGGCAGAGGCGG
The DNA here is from genome assembly GCF_000001405.40 of Homo sapiens. NCBI lineage: Eukaryota > Metazoa > Chordata > Mammalia > Primates > Hominidae > Homo > Homo sapiens. Next base: position 134,456,443 of record NC_000007.14, on the reverse strand, counting down.
GCAGATCATGAGGTCAGAAGATAGAGACCGTCCTGGCTAACATGGTGAAACCCCGTCTCTACTAAAAATACAAAAAATTAGCCCGGCATCGTGGCACGCACCTGTAGTCCCAGCTACTTGGGAGGCTGAGGCAGGAAAATCGCTTGAACCCCAGATGTGGAGGTTGCAGTGAGCCGAGGTCCCGCCACTGCACTCCAGCCTGGGCGATGGAGCAAGACTCCATCTAAAAAAACAACCAAACAAAAAAACCTTTCCCTTGTATGTGTGTATGTATTCTTTCACAGATGCTCGACAGAAGATGTGATCCTTTGCCTGTCTTTGTGACAGCTGGAGGAGGCCCTGCAGGCAGGTGCAGTTCCTTATTCTCCTGGGTCTTCCCATGCCGTAGCGGCTGTGTTGTACCTTTCAGACCCTCAGCAGGGCTCTGGTAGTCTCTACTCTTGAAGGTCCTCAAACTCCATTCTCTTCTCAGGTGAGGGTTTCAGGCAGATGGGGAGACCATCTCTGCCCCAGACCCATGTGGCTTGGACAGGGTTTCTTTCTGGCAGTCTTGCCTTCTACATTGGATAGTAAACAATTACACCTGTAATCCCAGCACTTTGGAAGGCCAAGGCGGGTGGATCACCTGAGGTCAGGAGTTCGAGACCAGCTGGCCAACATGGTGAAACCCCCTCTCTACTAAAAATACAAAAATTAGCCCGGCATGGTGGTGGGTGCCTGTAATCCCAGCTGCTTGGGAGGCTGAGGCAGGAGAATCACTTGAATCCAGAAGGTAGAGGTTGCCATGATCTGAGATTGTGCCACTGCACTCCAGCCTAGGCGACAAGAGCAAAAAAAAACTCGGTCTCAGAAACAACAACAACAACAAAAACCCATCACAGCATTGTAAAGCCAGGAAGCTTTTAAAACAGAGATGATGTCTGGTGCCCACCAGTGTCTTGTTACTGATAGTGTTTTTAATCTAGTTGAAAAATTGTTGGAGGTAAAAGTCATTGTAAGTCTCCTATGTATGCTCACAGAATACTCCTAGGGCTGAAGGTACAACTATGTTTCTCCATCTTTTGCCATGATCACTACCTCCCTCCCACCTAGGAGCCTTGTGAGACTTTTTTTTCCCCTAATTTGCCCCAAAATAAAATTGTAATATCAGAGATAATATTGTACTTCTGCTTATGGCCAGTAGCCTTCTAGAGGGTCACAAGCTGTTCTATAAGCTGAGGGGGGTTTTTTTGCCCCAGAGAACTAATTTTTGTCTCTTTGGGGACAATAGCACCCACTTTAAGAATGCATGAGGTAAAAGAAAATGTGCCAGGAAAGACTTGCTCCACCTTCCCCAAGTGGGGTAAGCTTGTGATGGCCCAAGATCCTTGGATGGGGTGAGGGTTGAGGCGCTGTGGGCATGGAGGTAACACAGGAGCCAGATTTACTGTTCACTTCCCTGGTGTCTCTAAAGCCCCCATCTCTTCCTCTTCAAGACCAAAGACATTTAAATAAGCCCTGCCCCTACAGGGTCAGTCCTGGTCCATGCACATCTCAACTAGTTGGAAACAGCAGTGTCTTAGAATTTGGGACAAATTGATTAAAACAGAACAGGAGGAAGTTAATTTCTGCTGCCAAACCTGATTCTGAGTGATCGTTTCCTGTTCCTTGCTCCAGGATTATCAGCACAGCATTCTCATGCTTCCTACTCAGGACCGTTTCTTTACCCAAAGTGAAGTTTCCTTTGCCCCCTCCCCTTATCCTTTGATTTCAGTAGTAACACCTGCTAACTAGAGAACATTTCAAAAATGAAGAGTTCCCTGTTCCCAGAGATCCCCGTGGTTAATATTGCAAAATATCCAATCTCTGAGATACTTTGGTTTTACCATAAACACTGTCCTGTGACCGTCTTCCTGTTTAGCACTGTGGCTTGCTTTTTGACTTGCAGAGGGAAGAGAGGGAGGGGTATCTTGAAGTAACTAGCAAGACCTGTAAGCAAAAGGGAAGAAGACTAGGTTTTAAAAGGAGTGTTGTATCTGTGTAGGAGGGAGACACTGATTTTAGTTATCAGTGTCTCAGAGTTGGTATTAGCCAGCCGGTGTTATCAAAGGAGGAACTAGGACCGCTGTCTTGAAGGAGGTGGTGGAGGACTCAAGGGCAGAGGCTTCTCACTGCCATCACTTGGTGCCATCAGCCCAGAGCATTTCAAGTCACTGCCCAACGTAGAGCTTTGCAGAGCCAGAAGTTCTGGGAGGAATGGGCATGCATGGTTTTGCCCATCAAGGGCACACAGATTAGTGGCAGGATCGGGTTAGAAACATGTAGGATTTGTATGATTGAGCTGTAATTGGAGTGTTTCATATACTGCATTTCTACAGCTCTCATCAGTAATGGCTGTGCCTGGATGCCACCCAGCATGTTTTCATAGTTTACCTTCTTTTTAGAAGTCAATCTGGACCCCTCCTTCTGTTTGCATTTTCTCTTTGTTGACATGGAATGGGGAGATGTTGTCATCCTGTGTTGGCATTCCCAAGTTTAGTGAATGGTTTCTCACCATAGCTTAAGTTGGCTGCTTCATTTTTCATAAGGCAAATTAGTTTCTCTCAGGGAAGGGCTGTACATTGAGATCATTAACATAGAATGTGGTTGTGGATCCTCGTACATTTTCATTGCAGAGGTGACTTTTTCCCTCCAGCACCTTTGATCAGCCTCCCAGCACACATGTCTCCAGCGAATGGCACATATCCAAGGAATGATCAGCAGCTTCTTCGTGACCTCTTGCAGTCATTGCTGTCTTTTACTTTTCTAGAAAAACCTCTCACAACTTTTTTTTCATGTCGTGCCAACGCAAGCTTGATTATCCTAGTCTGTGCTCTTTTGGTTCCAAAGAACTGAAAAACCACTTTAATCTTAAGCAGGAAAAAAAAAAGTGTGTTTGGGGTGGGGATTGATTGACTTCCCCAAACAACAGCCGCTGACATTAGGTGTTTGAGATTCAGGGTTGTAAATGTTGTCACCAGGATTTGGCCTCCCTCCACTTTCCTGCAGCAGCTCCAGGCTGACATTCTCCCAGCTCAGTGACCCCAGCAGAACCGGGGCTGGACTCAGGGGTTCCAATTCAAGTGCAAAGATTGAGTCTTATGGCCTGGATTGAGTCATGTTCCTGTCCCCGCACCAGTTGCATGGCAGGCAGTGCGTGGCTAGGCTGAGCCTGCGGAGTGTGCCCTCAGCAGCTCCTCAGAGAAAAATCAATCAAGGCGCCATCAAGCCTGGAGAAAGTTCAGTGTGTCCTGGGCAGTTTCCTGCCTGGGCCCCAGTTGTTCTTTCTGGGGTAGGGATGTCCTCTGCTCTCCCTGCTGTCATCAGTGGTGGTTGTGCCCGGACACCACTCAGGGCCTGTGGTAAGGCATTCTTTCTGGAAATTGAGATTCTCTGTTCCTTCAACCGTGCAGAGTGGGGAAGGCTGCAAGAGCAGCTTCTGAGGTCCTCCAGTCAAATAAGAGGTCGCCAGGTCCTCTGAGGGTCGTCCCCTCTTAACCCACACCTTCGATGAGCATCCCCACCCTGCCTCGCTGCTCCCTCTGAGGTGGAGAGTGAGCTCCATGCTAACAGGCTCTGGTAACGGGCTTGTTCAACTGGGCCCCTTTCTTCCCCAAAGCCTGTTGAAAATAGCTGATGTCAAAACACAGATGTCTGCAGCTGCTATGGCCCTGGGGGGTTTTTCTTTTCATTTGTTTCTACCCCAGCTCTCCAAAGGAATGTGCTCTGTTCATTCAACAGCCCGCTGCACATGTTTATTGCTCAGCTCTGTGATCATAGCAGGATAGTGAAAGTTGGGGGATACGTGTCCATGCAGCCTACCTGGGTGCCAGTGAAGCGCGATGCCATGTAGGCACTTCCTCCTCCTCTTCAGTAGCCAGGCTCCCCACAGCTGTTCTGGTTACTCAGATGGTCAGGTGGCTTGGCCATGGACACCCATTCAGTCATTTTGCCAGGTCAGCCACTAACCATTTGGTGATCTTCCATGATCCACATTCCCCCTCGTTTCCCTTTAACTTATTTCTCTCTGCTGATACCTCTGAGGGGCCATCTCCCGTGTCTCCACCCCTTGAAGCAGATCCTCATACAGTGAGAATTGACACATGGGCCTTTGAATAAACATCAGTGATGTGCTTAACTTCATGATAATCTCCCAGAACCGCTTGAAAACAAGCGACTGCCGGTATCAGAAGCCATGCATGAAAAGAGAGCGTAAGGGGCAGGCATTCACTGGCTGAACTGGGGAGCCACATGGGAATTGGGGTCCATAGGACATCTATTTTTGAAATATTTTGAGATATTTGAAGGAAATGGTTTCCCTTACTATCTCAGCATTCAGAGTGTGGGGAAATGTTTTTAATACAGTGGTTTGCAAATCAGTGGATGTGAAGAAGCAAGAAAATGAGATGGCTTCAGCATATCTTTTAAAAGTGATCTCACCTACACTTAAGTGGCTGTCAGATTCTCCTACAGGGCAATGCTGTGTGGCCTTTCACTTCCATCCCCCGCGTCTGAGGCTGATAGTCCAGAATGCTGCTGAGGAAGTGCACGTGGTCTGTCTTTGCTGAACAAAGTGGCAGGCTGGTCAGCAGGTATCGGTGGCTGCCACTGCCCCTCCTCCTTGCTGTGCAGACTCTGCATTCTGCGGGGCTCACGTTCTTTCTCCTTTCAGTCCCCTCCAGGGCAGGTGACTGAGGCCGTGAAGGTGGCCATTGACGTCGGGTACCGCCACATCGACTGTGCCCATGTGTACCAGAATGAGAATGAGGTGGGGGTGGCCATTCAGGAGAAGCTCAGGGAGCAGGTGGTGAAGCGTGAGGAGCTCTTCATCGTCAGCAAGGTATCGTTCCGCGGTGGGGCTGGAAGGGGCTCTCGGTCCCATCATCTGTTGGTGCATCAGCCCAAAGCCAAGTCCACACTCAATACAGCTACACTTTTCACTGATGGGCGATTCTTCCCGGGGAAACGTATCACCCACGGCCATACAGGGCTCCAGAGCTCGCCCATCCTTGGCTCTCTGTTGAATGGTCATTCCATCTGGGCCCATTGCTTAGAGTCCCGTGCTGATGAGGCTGAGGTTGTGGATTGGCCCTCCCTTTCCAGGGAGTCGCTTTCAAGGATGGAACTTGGTTCCCATCTGCAAACTGAATCTCCAGTGCTAGCCACTGTCTTTGACCTGAGATACTGATGCACAAAGGACATGAGGCAGGAGGATGGGGCTGGCTCCACAAACACCAGCCCGGGGGGAAAGTTTCGAGAGTTCTTGCTTAGGCCTAGGGCAGGCTAGCCAATCTGTCCATTCCATTTTGTGTCCTCTGGTCCTTGTAAGAGGTCTCTGTGACCTGGTCATCCTGCCTGCCTTTGGAAAGTTAGGATCCAGTACGCAGTGGAAATGCCCTCACAACCATTCACAGCATCATGGTAAAGCAAATGGGTTTTGGGGAGAGGAGACTGCTCTGTCTTTCCAGCCAGGAAGCTGCCTTGTGGCTGGCAATGATGACATGTGCCCTCTCGCTGGCTTAGCTGTGGTGCACGTACCATGAGAAGGGCCTGGTGAAAGGAGCCTGCCAGAAGACACTCAGCGACCTGAAGCTGGACTACCTGGACCTCTACCTTATTCACTGGCCGACTGGCTTTAAGGTATGGGATGCCTGGTGCAGACCAGGTCCCTTGGGGCTCAGGTGCAACCTGTGGTGTGTTTTGAGCTCCCTTAGCAGATTACGTGTGGGTGACTTTCTGTTCTTGCTGCTCAAGGTATAGCCAGTGGACCATCAGCACTGGCATCACCTGGGAGCGTCTTAGAAATCACAGTCTCGGGCCCCACGCAGGCCATTTGAATCCGCACCAGCAGTGACTCATACGCACACTTCTTCAAAGTTTGAGGAGCACTGCTCTTTGCCAGTTGGTAGATGTGCAATTTAAAACTGTCAGCAAACACAGCTGCTGTCTGTAGTGCACACAGCCATGAGGCACGGTCAGCCCTGGCCCTCCCCTCCAGGCACGTGCACACACCAACCCCCATACACATGAGTCCCTACCCACGTTCTACATGCATACCCTGTCCTGTGGAGGCCCGGTAACTATTTGCAGTCTAGTTGTTGGCACAAGAAGAACTTGAGAGTTACTTTGTCTTTTGCCTTTTTTCTAGCCACTGCCTCAGTTTTCTGCTGTGAGCCAGGTTCAAAGTGTGGGTTTAGCTTTATCCCGTAGCCCTGTTTTATTGCACCACAGCATATCAGGGCTGAAGGGACTTGACTTTTATCTTTTGATTTTAGGGGTAAGCTGGGGAGGCTGGGCCAGGTGGTAGTTTTATAGGCCAGTGACCCGCCAGGCCTTGGGCCCTGTGAGTCCTGGTCTTGAGTCCTTCCTGTATCCACACATTGCAGTCAGTGGCGGGGCTAGTCTCTGTGACCAAGTAGTGTCCATGTCTCCGTCTGACAGTCTCAGCTCCAGCCCGTTTGATAAAGAAGTGTTGGCTATCTGCCTATTTCCTTTTCATAGTGGCACACAGATTATCCCTAGCCAGCTGTGGTGGTTTAGAATTGTTTTAGATGCCAGCTTCCCCCAGCAGGTCTGTGAAGGACTATTACTGATTGTTTTGTTTGTTTGTTTTTTATTGTAATGACAGCCTGGGAAGGAATTTTTCCCATTGGATGAGTCGGGCAATGTGGTTCCCAGTGACACCAACATTCTGGACACGTGGGCGGTAAGACAGCCCCTGGTTGGACCTTGTTTTCGTGACTGGTTCCCTCTTCTTCTTAGAAGCAATCTGCCTGCCATTTCTCACATTGCATTTTGTTATTCTGTCCCTGTTGTTTGCTCTCTCTTTTTTTTTTTTTGAGTTGGGGTCTCCCTCTGTTGCCCAGGCTGGAGTGCAGTGGCACAATCTCGGCTCACTGCAAGCTCCACCTCCTGGGTTCACGCCATTCTCCTGCCTCAGCCTCCTGAGTAGCTGGGACTACAGGTGCCCGCCACCACGCCCGGCTAATTTTTTTGTATTTTTAGTAGAGACGGGGTTTCACCGTGTTAGCCAGGATGGTCTTGATCTCCTGACCTCGTGATCCGCCCGCCTCAGCCTCCCAAAGTGCTGGGATTACAGGCGTGAGCCACCGCGCCCGGCCTGTTTGCTCTTCTTATCTCATTAAAGCCAGCCTGGCTTTCGTCTCACTGTCTCTTAGCTTCTGAAAGGTCTAATTCACTGGCACTGAAGAGTGAGGGCAGGACCCGTTAAACTGGTGCAAACGACACTTCTGATCCTGTCCTTTCTGGGTTCGTTTCTGCACCACACAGACACTTTTCTCTGTAGGCCATGGAAGAGCTGGTGGATGAAGGGCTGGTGAAAGCTATTGGCATCTCCAACTTCAACCATCTCCAGGTGGAGATGATCTTAAACAAACCTGGCTTGAAGTATAAGCCTGCAGTTAACCAGGTAAACATCCCCCAACGACACTGGCATTGCAACGTTGCTGTTTTACTGTCTGATGCTGGTAGGGATTTCTCGTCCACCTCACCCAGCAAGTGGCCAGGAGGCAGCTCCTGGGTGTTGGCAGAGTCCTGAGTTATGATTCAGCATGACACAGCACATCTGGGAGAGGAAACTTACAGGAAAGAAAGAGTTTGAGCCTGGCTTGTGACGATTTGGGGTCTGACAAAGAGGCAGCCATGAGATCCTCAGAACTGTGATAGTTGATAAGTGGCTAAAGCCAAGAAAAGCCTCTAGGGCCCATGAGAACATCTATAATAAGATAATAATAACACCAAGGATACTACCTGGGAACTGTAGGAAGTTACAGCTTATCTGGGAAATAGGGTGTTTGTTATACATAGTTTTCTGTATGGGGTAGGGAGGGACTTTAGCATAGGAAGCTTCATCTGTGTCCCATCAGCGTGTAGCCACAGTGCTCCCATCAGCTCTTGTTTTTGCATTTGCAGATTGAGTGCCACCCATATCTCACTCAGGAGAAGTTAATCCAGTACTGCCAGTCCAAAGGCATCGTGGTGACCGCCTACAGCCCCCTCGGCTCTCCTGACAGGCCCTGGTGAGCTTCCCACAGGCTCATGCTCCTGTGTCACTTGGTGAAGATTAGAAAAGACTAAAAAGAACAATTCAGCCTCAAGGAAGATGTTTCTGGGGGTGATCTGCAAAACTTCCCCTGAGCCTCTTGCTGGTTTTCCTGGAAGGGTTGGAGTTTCTAGTAGCAAGACACCTACTCTTTTTCCAAAGGGTTGGGGGTTCTTAACCCAGCTCTGAGGAGGAGACTGGTGGCTGCCCTCTGAGGTCGATGGGAGGATTAGGGTTGGGGTTTCTGGCTGCTGTGAGTGGTGGCCATGATGGTGTGACCTGGACTGTCTTTCTATCCTCAGGGCCAAGCCCGAGGACCCTTCTCTCCTGGAGGATCCCAGGATCAAGGCGATCGCAGCCAAGCACAATAAAACTACAGCCCAGGTACAGCCACTTCAGGTGTTGCTGACCGTCCACAACTGCCTGCATTCCTGACAGTCCTGTTAGCCAAGAGGAGGAAGTGACTGAGCCTGTTACACCCTCACAGGAAGTATGGTTAGGGGTCCTCAAGTACAGAGTGGAAAGGGCACAGATCGGGGTTTTAGAAGACTCTGGCATGGGCTCTTAGATTAATAGTGCCTGCCCCCACTACTGCAAGGGTGACTGCCACGAGGGCCAGCGCTTGTTCATTCATGTGGAACCTCATCTGTACAAATGTAAGAGCTCTTAGCCGTGCAGGGAATGTTCTTTCTCCTGAGTGGTAGTGTGCATTTCTAGCCAGTGGAGGGCCTCATGTGGTCTCATGATATGCCTGAGACACTGAAGCGTGTGGCACAGTGGCTAGCGCAGGACTCTGGAGTCAGATCTGGACCTGAATGCGTCGCCTACCTGTTGCTAGCTGTGACCTGACATCTTGGAGCCCCTCTCTGATCACCTGTGGAGTTCTAGCACGTCCTTCTGCAGGTTGTGTGTGTGAGAGACTGAGATGATGGGTGCGAGTGCCTGGCATGTATACACACTCACTGTCTCCTTGGGCTCACAGGTCCTGATCCGGTTCCCCATGCAGAGGAACTTGGTGGTGATCCCCAAGTCTGTGACACCAGAACGCATTGCTGAGAACTTTAAGGTAAGATCTTGGCTGGTCAGGCCTGGCCCTCCTCCATGGAGTGGGGGATGGGGGAGGCCTCTCATCCTGTCTCTGGAGTGTCATCTGTGGGATCACCACCATCCTCTCTTCTGAGGCCAGGGAGCTGTGGCGAGCAAGCCAAGACTGAGACTGACACCTCACCAGTGGAGCCGTGTGCAGGGGCAGGCCTTGGGCCTCCAGGGCCCCGTGCTGTGCACGCATACACCTACACCTTTGCTCAGGCCCTTCAGCCACACCGAGAGGTTACCCGGGGAGAATCTCGCTCTTGAGCTTCACTGCCTGGACCTGCCCTGCACTGGAGCTCTGTCAGCTACCAGCTGCATAACCCTGGGCAAGTCGCTTAACTGCTCGATGCCTCAGCTTCCCTATCTATAAAATAATATCCATTTTGAGGGTTGTTACGAAGATTAAGTGATGCATCAGAGCACTTCACATGGTGCTTAATACCTTAGTAAGTGATCGAGAAATGTTGCTGTGCTGATAAGTCCAGGGACTGCAAAGGACCCTCTGGGCCATTTAGTCCATTCACCAGCTCTGCAAGGAGTTCGTGTGATGATGGGCAGAGCCTAGACCTGTGTCAGGACTCTGGCGAAGCGCTCAGTGTGGCAGCTGGAGCAGCTCAGGCTACTTGGCGCCACCTCCCTCCCTGCCTGCCCTTGCAGCATTGGTGGCGGGGGTGTGGGGGAGGGGGGGGGCACGCCCAAAGGAGAGCAGCTCAGGGGAGTCCTGATGGCCCAAGAGCCTCTGTTCTCACTGAGCAAAGTGGCTCTGCCAGGGATGCTCTGTCTTTATCCAAGATCTGTGCCGAGCGCAGCACAGCCATGGGCCTGGGGCTCTTGGGCAGGCCCCAGCTTAGGTGAGCAGCTGATTTTGCCCAATTCCACTGCCCAAAGACTGTGGCCATAGTGCCTGCCACCTGTCACATATGAGACAGGGATGAGAGTGATCCCTGAAGAGGGAAGTGGAGCTCATTGTTTAGGAGAGGAGACGTTTTTCTTCTTACGTGCAGGTAGATGTTCTAAGTACACAAGATAAAATGGCAAAACAGTGGCCACTGAGGGAAAGGCATATCCCACCAGAGATGCATCGTTTGTTTCGTATTTCATTTTTTAAGGAATTAGGAAAGAAAAAATAAATGACTAATCTCAAAATGCTAACCTAATTATTTTATTTTTGCATCTTACTGTATAGCTTTTGCACATTTTTCTGTGATCATAACCACAGAGCCTGTAGCAGACTCTCTTTCTGCACATTCTGTGATCATCTGAAGCTAAGAGCCCTTCGGCTCTGGGAGTGTGTGTCAGCCTCTTGTGGGTCTCACCCAGTGGTGCCTGCCTGCCTCCCTCCCTCCCAGCCTCCATGCCAGCTGAGTTCTGTACCGTCTGCTGCCTTCATGCAGGTGGTTCTCTTCTCCCAGTATACCTTTCTTGCCCTCTCTGTCAAAATCTTATACTTCTTAGGCCATGTCAAATACCATCTCCTCTTCGGCTGTGGTTGTTCAGTTTCCCGGCTGGAATCCCTTTGGAATACCTCTGCCCTTCCTGTGCTGTTGAGTGTCTTATACAGTGTGTGATTAGTTATTTGTATTACAGTTGTAGAAATACCTCTGCCCTTTGTTTGCTTCATAAAATAGAGGCAAAGACACATCTTACCCATAATTATATTCCTCACTGCAACTTATCACAATAGAAGTGCTCAGTAGTGTTTTTTGAAATGAAATAAAATGTATCATTTCCCTGGGAGGTTCTGGAAAGGAAGGACTGTTTCCATCGTTCCATATATTATCTAGCCCAACATGCACATTTCCTGAATACTAATATATCAGCTTTTCCTAAGTTCAGTTTATCTTATCGCTCCTCTCTGCTCAAAGCCATGGAAGACATCTGGGTCCTGCACAGTATTTTGTCTTTTATTTTTATTTGCAGAGCTTACTGGATTTTTTTGTTTGTTTTTTAGGTCTTTGACTTTGAACTGAGCAGCCAGGATATGACCACCTTACTCAGCTACAACAGGAACTGGAGGGTCTGTGCCTTGTTGAGGTGAGTGAGCCCCAGTGTGAGGAGCAGTTCCCAGGAGATATTCAGATGCTGCACAGCAAGAGAGTGATCCCTGCAGGCCTCAGCGCCAATGTGCTCTCGTCACAGCTGTTCTTGCTTTGCACATTACCTTGCTTTCTCAGCCACGTGACTTGCATCAGCTGAACTGCATGGAGCCAAGATGCCAAGAGATCCGCTCTTGATATCTTCTTCCAGCCCTGGGGCATTGTTGGCCTGGCCTGAAGTAACTACATATTTTGGCTTTCCATTCAATTTTTAAATCCTAGCAGTTCATCTGAAACTAGGTGATCCCAGGTGACCCTGGATCAAACTCTGGAAGAATTTGCCTGTGACTTTTTGTCTTAATGACCCTAATGAAAGGGGTTTGGTCGGGAGCCCCTGGGGCTGAGGTTTGAGACAGTCCCGGCTCTGACCTGGTAAGCCACATGGCTCCAAAACAGGCCCTCCCTCTGAGCAGCAGGCACCTCAGTTCCTCCAGCCACACATCCTCTGGTTCTGTTTCCTCTGCATGGTAGTTTGGAAGGAGCTGCCTAGGAAGGTTTTCTGTGGGGTTTTCTCTTTTCCTACCATTACAATAACTAGGTGACGCATGTAACTCACTTTCTGCTTTCAAGAAGGAACTTCTCATTTTGCAGTGGAGACTGAGACTCTGTTTCTCTCTCACTACCCTTATTCTTGTCTGAGCTCTGTGTTTCCACACTCTCTCCTTTAGTACTTCCTCTTCTAAGCAAAATGTGAACATTCCCTAAGATGGGGTGGGCTACCAGCTTTCCCTTTCCAGCGTCTGTCCCATCTCCCTCCCCGGAGTTTGCACTGCTGGTGGCTTCAGCCACCGCCCCAGGCAGATGTTTGCCCAGTCTGCGTCCTGGACAATAACTCTGGCCCTGCTTCAGGCATATGCGTGCCTGGCAAGCCTGCTGCTGCCACACTGTGGCCTCACACTCAAAATAGGCCGCAAACAGAGCATGTCACAGGCAGCCCCAGGCCAGTGCCCTTTCAGACATCTCTGTTAATGCTACTTAGCCCTAGACATTAAAATCATTTTTGGATCTAGTGGACAAGGAGGAGAGGAGTGAATCAGTCACCAAGCTACATTCGTTCTCCTTTCAGAATCTCTCCCATTCATCCGTCTTCCTTTTCCCCTCCCACTTGAGACAGAGTGGATTGAAGCTTTCAGGGCTGAGGAAACACAGTGGTTTTCTCATTGCTCCCTTTACAGTTAGGCTCCTCTGCCCTCCAGTATTGTGCTAGAAACTTCTGTTCGATTATCCTGTTGCGTGGCGGTGAGTGGGAGGAAGAGGCTAGCCCTGACATGCTCAGGTCTCCTAGGGAGTTTTCGCTAACTACACACACACCACCCCTCTGGCAGATAATGCTTTACTGAGCCTGACCTGCTGATGTCAGTGTCACTGTGGGTATACAAAAAAGGCAGACCATGGAGAACTTTTGAATAAGAGTTACAGACTGTAAGCACCCAGCTCAGATTACATAACTCTGGCCTTGCGTGAGCTGCCCAGCTATCTGTCCAGTGTTCCTGCCTTTATGTTCCTAGCACAGCCATTGGCCCTACTAGATGGACAGTGAGTGAGCCTTGACAAACACGTCTGCACCTGTGCTCCCTGCCATGTGCTCCCTGCCCTGTGCTCCCTGCCCTGTTTCCAATATAAAATCGCCGACCGTTGATTGGGCTCACTTCAGCCCCCACTGATACAAGGAGGCTCCCTCTGTCCTCAGAGCACTTGCCGTTGCTTCTCTTATCCTTTGAGATTCAGTCACATACAGACTTTTAACATCCCTTTTTTTTTTTGAAATGGGCTCCTACTCTGTCACCCAGGCTGGAATGTAATGGCATGATCACAGCTCACTGCAGCCTTGACCTCCTGGGCTCAAATGATCCTCCCACCTCAGCCTCCCAAGTAGCTGGGGCCATGGGCATGCACCACCATGCCTGGTTAATTTAAAAAGTTTTTTTATTAAGATGGAAATCTTGCTATGTTGCCCAGGCTAGTCGCAAACCCCTAGCCTCAAGTGATCCTCTCGCTTCAGCCTGGGATTACAGGCGTGAGCCACTGTGTCTGGCCTGCCTTCTCATATTATTACACAAGATGTTTAAGACCACAAAATACTGTCTGGTCCTGCCAGCTAGACTGAGTTACTGGAAGGCAGAAATCGTGTTGCCGTCCTGCACGGCCCAGGCACAGTGCTGGGCACATGGGGAGGGTGGTGTCCCTCACACATGTGCTGCTTGATGACAGTAGTGGTAGAGGGGTCTGGAGGGTGAGTTGCTTCCCCCAGCTGCAGAACCATCATCTGCACACTCAGAACTAGCTTGTTGCCTCTGAGGTTCTATTTTATTTCTTCAGTGAGACACATCATTTCTCTGTTGGGAGTTGGGTATAGTCAAAATCACCTCTTCAAAAAGCAACTGTTTTCTCCTTTCTCCTGACAGCTGTACCTCCCACAAGGATTACCCCTTCCATGAAGAGTTTTGAAGCTGTGGTTGCCTGCTCGTCCCCAAGTGACCTATACCTGTGTTTCTTGCCTCATTTTTTTCCTTGCAAATGTAGTATGGCCTGTGTCACTCAGCAGTGGGACAGCAACCTGTAGAGTGGCCAGCGAGGGCGTGTCTAGCTTGATGTTGGATCTCAAGAGCCCTGTCAGTAGAGTAGAAGTCTCTTCCAGTTTGCTTTGCCCTTCTTTCTACCCTGCTGGGGAAAGTACAACCTGAATACCCTTTTCTGACCAAAGAGAAGCAAAATCTACCAGGTCAAAATAGTGCCACTAACGGTTGAGTTTTGACTGCTTGGAACTGGAATCCTTTCAGCAAGACTTCTCTTTGCCTCAAATAAAAAGTGCTTTTGTGAGCTTGGTTTTGTGAGCTTTGGTTTTTTAAAACAATAGCAACCTTCTATCTCACTTCAACCATCACTCTCCACATACCCATAAGGCAGGCCAGTCAGTGATGCAAAAGGAGTGAGGACTTGACTTTTCTACAAGTCCTCAACTGCAAGTTGGGGGCCCCTCACCCCAGTACTTTACCCATTTAGCTTTAGGGTTGTGGGTCTCATCCTGGCTGCACACCAGGTCACCTTTGGGGGCTTTAAGGCTGGTGATGTCTGGACCTCGCCCTGGAGGCTGATCTGATTGGGCTGTGATCAGGACAGCAGGAGTGTACAGGCTCTCCAGGTGATTCCAGGGTGCAGCCAAGGCTGAGCCACAGCTTTAGGGTAAACCCATGTTCGATTCCACAGATTCCTTGGTTGCTCCTTCTACGTATGAAGGCCGAGGTCGGTGTTTACTAAGCAGCACAACCTGAGAGAAATTGCTTTTCTGAAGCCTGTTGTCTAGACAAGAGGAAAGAAAAGCATAAATAAATGGCTTCCAATTGGATGAAGATGAAATAGGGCTACAAAATAAAGATTTTGAGGCGGAATGCTGTTGCTTCTTTTTGTTACCGTTTCTTTATCCAGAGTTAAGTTAACAAAGGCCAAGAAAGGAATGGAATAGACAAGTGCCGACTTGAAAGTTCATCAAGTTAGGTTGTTTTGTGGCTGCCCTTGTTTATTGGATAATTAGGACCCCCATGATCAAGTCACATTAACTGCTTTGCAGGTGATCTGTGTTTAAGATGCACCTCTAAAGGTATAGTTAATTGGGCAGTGGTGGTTCCTGGCCCTCACCCAGCGCTGGAGGGGCACACCTAGCCCCTCTGCGGCTGGGGTTGAGCCCGGTGGAGAACCCAGAGCCCCACTGCACAGGCTGCCCTTACTACCTGGCAGCCTTGGGCCTGGGTCCCTCATGGCATCTGCTGATCACAGTGGTCCAGTTTCCCCTGCCAGAGTAGGCAGGTCACACCTGTTAAACTGCAGACCTTATGTTGCCCTCTGATGATTAAGAGTAGATTTTAGTTTTGTTACAAAAGTTACGTCAAATCATCTGACCTGATCCCCACTCTGTTTCTCCAGTTGGCTTCAACACTCTTTGGAAAAACTTTAAGGTAGTCACTGGTAACAGTTTTTAAATCGGTTACCTGCCTTTTAGATCTCCGCTTAGTATAGACCATTGTAGCATGACAATTTGAGACTCAGCCCAGGAGCATAAACAAGATAAAAGGCAAGCTGTGCAACCTCCCCTCCCTACTTTCCAGCAGAACCCTCAGATTTTTTCTAAGGACTGCCCTTTAGGAGCCTTGCCGGCAGTGGAAGAGGAGGAAGAGAATTAAAGCATGCCACGAATGACAGGGAGAACAGCTGGTTCTGCATTTTGAAGCTCCAATCGTATTTTCAGTAGTCAGCGGCTTGGGCTCAGGTAAGGCCCGTTGCTTGTATGCTGAAAAGTGTGGCTTAAGGAGCAGAAGCTGAGGCTGTGGAGCTCAGTGGAACCAGCTTCATTCCACTAACAATTCATCCAAGGAGTGGATGGATGAGAGAAGGTCCGTGGATCAAGACAGGTGCTGCTTCATTCACCAATGGAGAGCTCCATTCTTCCTTCCCCTTGTGGAATCAAAACCGCTACACCTTCCTGGGCAGACTCCAGCCCAGCCTCAGGACTCTGGTGGACTCATCACGATGAATGAAGTCACCCTTCAGAGGGCAAAGTCAGTGGCAGTTATAGAACAATGGTGCTGGCCCCATCTCGGGACATTTGCCCCTGTGAAGTTGGGGGCACAACATACATTCATGAAGCAGTGGGGTTTTACCAAAATAATGTTCCAGCCAAGGAGCAGAATTGTTAAGATATTGAGACCAATGGAAATACAGAACAAAATATTAAATCACACGGGCAAGTAAGATCTGCATTGGAAAATCTCTGAACAATGCCTCCGGAGACGATTTCAAACAGCATCATTTTTCAGGATCTGATTTCAAAGAACAAGGTTTCTCAACACTATGTCCTTTATGTTGATAAAATTGCACAAACTGCTGTAGTGCAATGTCCTTGCTGCTCTCTGTCACGGCTTATCACGGGGCTCATTGGCAGGACCCTGGGAGGGTGCCCAGCCGGGATAAGCACAGTCAGTATTGGATTCAACCCAGGAAGATTTCCCTGGAGGGGCGTTCTGGGAATTCATGGCTCTCTAGGATCCAGCCCCCTAGGTTATACCGAGTCTTTCTGTCCCTTGAAGGCAGTGGAAGCAGCTGATGGCTCCTCAGGTCCTCTTACAGCCCCAAATCCCAGTGTACCCTGGGGTGCCAGCTTCTATTTTCCACACCCTTCTATCCAGTTTCTAGAATTCCACCTGGGCACAGAGTAAACTCTCAGTAATGTCAGTTGCATGAATGAGTGAGTGAGTGAACGTAGAGTTTTTCTTATAATGCCTATTAGAACCCCCAAGTTTTGAAATCAGTATATATTAAACCCAAATGCTAGCTGTTCAGTTCTGATCCTGGCCCATAATTCACTGAATGGTGGCCAAGAGTTCTAGGACTATAGACTCTTAATTGCAGTTCTAATTCATTTAATCTATCAGCCTTAATTTCCTCAACCTACAAAATGCCTGCCTCATTGTGGTGATGAAGACTGCATGAGATAAAAACCCCCTGTCCCAAGGCCTTGCACACAGTACTCAAAACATGCTAGCCATTATTGTTGATATTGTTAATATCATTATAATCAAATGTTGACAACAGAAGCAAACCTATCCAGCCCCTCAAGGCTGGCAGGTGATGCCCCAGGGGGGCAGAGCTATGCCCTGAAAGGGGCTTTTTCTCTGCAGGAACATCACGCCATTCTCACACAAAGGAAGGGATTCTCTGACACACTTATCAGTGAGCAGCACAGTTTTTGTTTCCTACCCCTAGGATTGTATTTCATGGCAAGAAGAAAATACTGCCCATGGGCTTATAAGAGTTATCTGTTTCATACTGATAGGTGGAATCAGAATGCGAGAGACAGAAAAGACTATAGGGGTCATCTAATCCATTGTTTTTCTAAGCCAGAGTTTTCAAATTTATTTTTGGCAGCAGGCTCCATTCTTCAAAAGAAAATCTACACGGGTCCTCAGTATGTAACACAGATACAGGCAGAGCTGCTGTGGTTTCCGTGGGGGAGGAATCTGGGAGCCAAGCCAGCAGAACCCCTTCCCACATTCCCCTCCACCCATGAGGATGCTGGAACAGTTTCAAAGTCTTGGAATCTAATGCTTTGCTTTTTGTTTGTTTTTAATACCTACAAGGATTTATTTCACACAGTTGCTGGTGTTCAGCAATTTTGGAGAAGCTTAGCTGGGTGGTTCAATATGAAGGCTTGACTGGGGCCGGAGGCTCTGATTCCAAGATGGCTCACTCAACCACTGGCAAGTCGGTACTGGGTATTGGCAGGGACGCTCATCTCCTTCTTATGTGTACCTTTTCCTAGAGCTGCCAGAGTGTTCATGACATAGTGACTGACTCTCCAAATGAGTGATTGAAGAGATCACAAAGTGGAAGCCACAATGTCTTTCATTATCTAACCTCAGAGGTCACACAGCATCATCTCCACAATAGCCTATTGGTAACAATGGTCAGCCCTAGCCACTGGGGACATCTCAGAGGGTGACTACCAAAATTTGCAACCTGAAAACTACACATTGTTTAGAAGGCATTCCAGAAGTAACTGTAAACATGAAAATGGTACTTCAAAAGAATATATGTTCAGATTAACAACAACAAAAACTCTGAGGATCAGAAAGATGAAGTGACCAACCAAAGCTCGCACTGCAATTTAGTGGCTGAAAGGGGCTAGAATCTTGGTCTGTGGAAACTAATCTGTGGCATTGCATCATATTATTACAATGACATTCCATTACAATAAAAATTATAGTAGCTTACACATGTATAAAGCTTTATTGCCAGGCCAGGCATGGTGGCTCACGCCTGTAATCCCAACACTTCGGGAGGCCAAGGCAGGTGGATCACCTGAGGTCAGGAGTTCAAGACCAGCCTGGCCAACATGGTGAAACCCCTTCTCTACTAAAAATAAAAAAATTAGCTGGGTGTGGTGGTGCGCACCTGTAGTCCCAGCTATTCAGGAGGCTGAGGCAGGAGAACCACTTGAACCCGGGAGGCGGAGGTTGCAGTGAGCTGAGGTCACGCCACTGTACTCCAATCATAGTGACAGAGTGAGATGCCATCTCAAAAAAAAAAAAAAACAACACTTTATTGCCAAGTAATCAAGGTTAACATCAACAGTGATAGGTTATGTTGATAGTATATAGTCATGATATGATGTTATGAGAATGACACTTGACCTCTATGATCTTCCTTCCAAAAACCAAAACCCTAGTCCAATCATGAGAGAAACATCAAATTGCAGTTGAGGGATATTCTACAGTATTTCTCAAAACCATCAAGGTAATCAAAAACAAGGAAAGTTTCAGAAACGGTCACATCCAAGAATAGTGGAAGCAGGGTGCCTCAATGTAATGGGGATGGGATCTTGGGATGGAAAAAGGACATTGGGTAAAAACTCTGGCAGTCTGCATAAAGCAAGGACTTGAATTAATAACATCAGTATTGGTTCATTATACTAAACGTACCATAGCAATATAAGATGTTAATTATTGGAAAGTAGATGTGGGATATATGGGCAATCTCTCTTCACAATTTTTCTGTAAATCTAAAACTATTCTAAAATAAAATGCCTTAAAAGAAAACTTTATAAGAGTGGTCTTTCTAAACAATAGCCAATATGTCTACCTAGATTACTTACCTGCTTTTAAAAATGCCTGCACCTTTTTTTAGATGAAGCAGATAAAATTATTAGCAAGGGTACCGATTTAAATGGCAGAATTACTAATTTTTTCCTTGGAGAACACATGTTTCTAAGCACATATGTAACATTTATGTTAATCAGTGATATGCTAGGCCAAAGTGCTGGCCTCAACAAATTTCAATGAACTCATATATAGATATTATTCCTCTGGCCACAATTACATAAAATTATTTAAAAAAATAACAAAAAGTAATGAAACTGCCCTCCACATGAATTTGGAAATTTTGAAATAGATTTACAATCAATTCAAAGGTTAAAGAAGAAAAAATAACAGCAAACACTATATATGGCATTTATTAATTACCTACGGCAATTTAATAAGTATTAATTACCTATTAAAGACCCAAACACAGTTTTAAGAGTTTTACATATTTTTCCAACCTCACAACTCTATGAGGTTGATTCTATTGCTATCCCATTTGCAGATGAAGAAACTGGGACCCACAGAGGATAAAGAACCTTCCCAAGATCATATAACTAGAAAATGGTGGAGCTGGGATTTCCACTTGGGCAGTCTGGCTCTGGAGTTCATCCACCAGTTCTGCTGGGCTGCCTCCTACTGTAGAAAACACATGTGGAATCATAACAACTTTTGGGATGCAGCCAAAGCAGTACTCAGAGGGCAACTTACAGTGTTATGTCCATTAAAGAAGTTGAAAAACTAGTTAAAATTTTTCCTCAAAGAAAATACCAGACCAAGATGGTTTTATAGAAGTGTTGTATGTCACATTCTAGGTACAGACAATACCAATCCTATTCAAGTTCTCCCAGAAAACAGGAAAAGAGGGAATACCGTCAAACTCATTTTATGCAGCCAACACAACTCTGACACTAAAATTAGACGAGGACAGTTCAAGAAAACTACAGACCCATCTCATCAAAGAATATAGTTGCAAAAGTCCTAAACAAAATAAAGTTAGCCACATCCAATGATGTATAAAAGAGGGATTTGTGTGATTTTATCACAGGAATGCAATGTTGATTTAATATTAGAAAATTATGAATGTAATCCATCACATGAATGAATTAGAGGTATATGTATGTATTCAAGTAGAACAACATTTGGTAAAATTCAAAATGGTGTTATGATAAAATCTCTTGGCAAAGTAGGAATAGGAAAGAACGTCTTTACCTGGTAGAAGGCATCTGCACGAGTGGATCACAGTGTGTTCTTACAGTGTACAGGCTACAGCTCTATGCTTCTACATAAATGAATCTCAAAAGTACTAAGGAGAATACTAAGGCAGAAGAAAAAGCTAGTCACAGAAAAAAGGCATATAGTAAGAATCCATTTATATGAAATTTACAAGCAGGTAAAACTAAACAACATTTTTTTAAGGATACAATCACAGGTCATACAACTACTAAGAAGATAAAGAGAAGGATTTATTCCAAATTCATGGGTGGGAGTTGGAGTGAATCTTGATATTGAAGAGGGATATACAAGGAGTCCTAAAGTACTATTTATTTCTTAACCTGGGTTATGAGAACATGTATGTTTATTTTAATTCTTTAAATGATACACAGAGATGTTGTACACTCTTCTGCATATATGATTTATTTCTACTTTTTTTTTAAATTAAGACAAAGTCTCACTGTCACCCAGGTTGGAGTACAGTGGCATGATCTCAGCTCACTGCAACCTCCGCCTCTGGGTGCTCAAGCGATCCTCCCATCTCAGCCTCCCAAGTAGCTGGCACTATAGGCACGTGCCACCATGCCCAGCTAATTTTTTAATTTTTCGTAGCGATAGGGTCTCCCCCTGTTCCCCAGGCTGGTCTCAAACTCCTGAGCTCAAGCGATCTGCCTGCCTTGGCCTCCCAAAGTGCTGGAATTACAGGCGTGAGCCACCACACCTGGCCTACATGTGATCTATTTCCTAATAAAAAATAAATGTTTGCTGAATAAACTATCTCATCTGATCCTTACAACAGTCCTGTGAGACTCGTGTGTCATGACTCTTCATTTATAGATGATAAACTAAATCAAGAAAACTCATTTGGTATGCCAAATGTCTCACAGCTAGTCAACGGTTTCGCCTCCAAACTCTGTGACCTTTCTACTGAATCACATTGAAGCTATTTTTTATGACTACCTCTGCTGCTATCTTAACTCTAGATACAGAAAAATTTGATTGCCCAACTGCCTGTCATTGAGCAAAAGAAGTGAAGTCCTTTCAACAGAGTTATCTTTTCATCTTGTCTCCAATTCTTGGCTTCGAGTGATAAACGGTGTTTGCCAGAGTTGCAAGCCAGGAGTAATTTCAGTGGTATTAGAGAGTCAGAGATAAAACAACAGGTTTTGGATGAGAATTATGAGTATCCCAAACTGTTAGAGAGCTGGGACCCAGGGAAAAGGAGAGCCAGGCTTAGGGCCCATGGCAAAAGTCAGGTAAGTTTTGGTGGAAATACAGCACAGAGTCAAAGGAGACCAGAGAATGGGGTACTGACCACAGGGCACAGTACAGCATGGAGAAAGGACAGGAACAGGCAGTGGGAGGAAAGCAGCGGGAGGCCATTAATATACTCCCGCTACACAGATCCACTCAGGCCTGCAGCAGATGCTTCCAGGCCTAAACCTGGGCATTAAGAATTGCGTGGCCTTCTCTCCCAGTTACCGCAAATCAGCAGGTTGTGACTTTGCCAGGGCTCTCAGAGGCCATATGGTCCCAGCCTTCGTTGTACAGGAGGGATCAGGTGATTTTGTCAAGATCAGCCAGGACTAGAACTCTGCAGATCTTTATCCAATATTCTTTTTCTGTAGGTCACCTACCTCTTAGTCTGAACACATGATTTTGAAAACCCCAGGCCATCCACTCGTGGCCTAATCTGGACTAGAGACCAGATTGTTTTGTTATCCAGTGGGAGGCTGTATGGTTCAAACCGTGTTTCTGAAAAGGCCTGGATTTCCTCCCTGGGCTGAGGAGGCAAGGAAGGGGTGGTGTAGGTGTCCTCTCTCCCTGTCCTCACTGCCTCAACCAGAGCAAATTCCCTTTTATCTTCTTTGTTGAAATTGTATGTACGATTTCATTTGTGAAAAGGGTTCTGATTCTTTAAAAAACTTTAAGAAAACTTAAAATCCATTCCATGGAAAACCAAGTGGGATCTCTTGAACTCTCTCTGTCCATTTCCCAGATTTTAGTACCATTCAATAAGTATTCTTGGAGTCCTAGTTAAATGCCTAGTGTTGTGGCACATGCTAAGGGACATATAAAAAGAGATTATTTGGCTGGGCGCGGTGGCTCATGCCTGTAATCTCAGCATTTTGGGAGGACAAGGAGGGCAGATCACCTGAGGTCAGGAGTTTGAAACCAGCCTGGCCAACATGGTGAAGCCTAGTCTCTATTAAAAACACAAAATTAGCCAGGAGTGGTGGTGGGCACTTGTAATCCCAGCCACTCGGGAGGCTGAGGCAGGAGAATTGCTTGAACTCGGAAGGCGGAGATTGCCGTGAGCCAAGATTGCACCATTGCACTCCAGCCTGGGAGACAAGACTTTGTCTCAAAAATAAATAAATCAATGAAGTTGTTCTATTCCCCAAGGTGCAGATTTGCAAATTAGTCATGGGGTAGCTTCTTGGAAGAGGGTAGCATTTTCCCTTAGAAACAGCTTTATATATGATGTTTCATGTACGATGTTCCTACCATCCTATTTAGTTGCATCTTATTTCTTGGATGTCCCTGCAGAAGGGTTGCAAAAGGATAGTACGATAAGATCTTGGTCCTTACAACTTGTTATTTTTCTGCCACGAAAGTAGAGGAGATTTCTTTCTATGTGTGTATGGGTAGCTCTAGGTGAAAAACTTTGCATAATTTTCTGTACAGGGAGAAATACGGCAATAATTTCTTCTTCTTCTTCCTCTTTTTTTTTTTTTTTTTTTTTTGAGACAGGGTCTTGCTCTGTCACCCAGACTTGAGTGCAGTGATGCGATCATGGCTCACTGCAGCCTCAACTTCCCCAGCTCAAGCAATCCTCCCAGTAAGCTTCCCAAGTAGCTGGGACTACAAGTGTGCACAACCATACCTGGCTTTTTTTTTTCTTAATGTAGAGTCTCACAATGTGGCCCAGGCTGGGCAATAATTTCTTCATGGTGGGGTGAGGGAGGACAGAACAGGCCATTCTAGGTTAGATGTTTCTAAGTTGGGCACAGCATGTGTAAAGCCTGTTCGTTCCTGGGACTGTGTGGAGGGCAGATGATATTCCTACCAAAAAGAAAGCAGGTGAAAAGTTAGATAACATGAAGAGTTGAAGGAAGTACGTAGCTCCAACTACTGTGTGGTAGAATTCTTCCCTGACCCCAGCACCTGCCCTCTCGATGTATGTGATTCAAATGCTGCTTGGCTAGAATGGGATATACACCAGCTGGTCTCTGCCGGGTCCCTGGCCTGCCTTCCTCACCAGAACATCCCTGACAGTGCCTAGGCAGTCTGGGTGCGCTTGGTCCTACAGCAAGGACCGGTAGGCTTCCGAGCACCATGGCCAAGCAAAGGGGGCGAAGGAAGCCTCGGTCATCGAGTTCAGCCTGTGTGAGCAAAAGGAAGTCCCCATCCACACTCGCCACTCCCCGTCCTTAGCCTCCTGAGCTTATAGTGTGGTGTATGCTTCCCCCTTCTGGCCACAAATGGTCAACAATGATTTTTGGTAATCCCTGGTGGGAGGCCCTGCTTACTGCTGGGAAGTGGACCTTCCTAGTAACAGCGACGACAATGATACTGTTGCCAGAGCTATTGATGGAAGTGGTACAATCCAATAGGTGCAGTAAAAAGCCCTTTACATACACTGTCTCATTTAATCCTCAAAGCCAGGGGTCCCCAACTCCCGGGGCCACAGACCGGTACCAGTCCATGGCCTGTTAGGAACGGGGCCGCACAGCAGGAGGCGTGCGATGGGCGAGCGAGCAGAGCTTCATCTGTTTTTACAGCCACTCCCCTCTCGCATTACCGCCTGAGCTCCGCTTCCTGTCGGGTCAGCAGCGGCATTAGCGTCTCATAGGAGCATGAACCCTACTGTGAACTGCGCATGCGAGGGATCTAGGCTGCGCGCTCCTTATGAGAATCTAACGCCTGATGACCTATCACTGTCTCCCATCACTCCCAGATGGGACCGTCTAGTTGCAGGAAAACAAGCTCAGGGCTCCCACTGATTCTACATTATGGTGAGTTGTATAATTATCTCATTATGTATTAAAATGTAATAATAATATCCCGAAACCACCTCCCCACCGCCAGGTCTGTGGAAAAATTGTTTTCCACAAAACCAGTTCCCGGTGCCAAAAATGTTGGAGACTGCTGCTCAAAGCAATTTTGTAAGGGATGTATTATTATCCCCACTAAACAGAAGACAAACTAAGACACAGCAGTTAAATGACTTGTGCAAAATACGTGCTGATAAACGCAGCAGGGCGGGGGTTCACGCCTAGGTGTGTCAGGCTTCAAAGTCCGCGCTCTGGGCCACTGTGAACATTCCCGTTTCTGACGGGCTGTATTCTGGGTGGGGTATCCTCTGTCAACAGAGACATCTGTCAGACCATTCCTGCCCTTTTACTTCCATCAGTCCACATTCTGGCATCTTCCGTGTCATTTTTCCTCTTCACTTCTTGTGCTCCTCGGCAGATCTATGACCATCCCAGCCTCTTTCTTTTCTTCCTGATCTTTGGGCAATTCGCCTCCCTCCTGCTTGCTTCAAACATTCACTCTTGTGCAGCAGTTCTTTTCTTATTTATTTATTTTTTGAGATAGAGTCTCACTCTGTCGCCCAGCCTGGAGTGCAGTGGCGCTATATCGGCTCACTGCCACCTCCGCTTCCCAGGTTCAAGCGATTCTCTTGCCTCAGCCTTCTGAGTAGCTGGGATTATAGGCACCTGCCACCACACCCGGCTAATTTTTGTATTTTTAGTAGAGATGGGGTTTCGCCATGTTGGCCAGGCTGGTCTTGAACTCCTGACCTCAAGCCATCTGCCCGCCTTGGCCTCCCAAAGTGCTGGGATTACAGGTGTGAGCCACCGTGCATGGCCCATGCAGCAGTTCTTAAACTGGCACCCACAAGAGGTCTGGATTGAATCCGAGAGGTCTGTGAACATGGACATGGAAAATATTACATTCTATCGTGAATATAGAGAACAGAAGTGGGGCCTGTAACTTTGTCACAAATAGAAAGTCACAGCTCTTGCTATATCCCATTACTGTTACTAGGAATATCTCACGATGTCATCTATGTGCATCACTACTTTGAAATTACCAGAGTTATTAAACCTGTCACTAGACCTGTTATTTAGTCGTTAATAAAAAGCCTATATATTATCATATTACAAATTTGGTTTTTAAAAATATTGTGATAGCAGTCTTTCAAAACTAAAGAATTCCTTGGTAATCTTGTGTGTTTAATTTTATGTACTTAAAAACATTTTTCTTAGAAGGGCTCCAAAAGCTTCCGCAGCTTGCCAAGGGGATCCTGGCATGAAAAATGATGAAAAGAAAACACACTATCCTTGATTTTATGCCAGCTTTGCACCTCCTGACCCAGCCCATATAATGTAACAGTGACCCCCTGTAAGAGGGTTGCACTTCTCCAAATAGGAGGACCACAGGATTTCTCTTCCAAACAGGGACATTTGAGTATAGATAGAGTGATACTAGCATAACAAGAGTAAACTGGAACATATGGCCACCCCTCTCAAATATCAGGTATTCTGGAAACTGAAGAATTAGATAAGAAAATGCCAATGTAATTTACAAGAATCAACATAGAAACACCCTATCTGTAAATATGCTACTGATAAAACTAGATTGTCTCCTAAAATCCAACCAGAAAAAAATAACTAATATGAAATATATCAGCTTCAAATGAAATAATTATAGCATATAATAAAATAACGAATACTAGTGTATCACTTGCTATGGACAGACATTGTCTTACAACAGCCCTCTGAGGTTGGTTCTATTATTGTCCTCACTTTAAAAATGAGGAAAACGTGCCCCAATCACACAGCTAGAAAGAGGCTGAGCTGGTAGCAAATCCAAGCACACTGGCTGCTAACTGTGTGCTCTGACCCACTGTCTCTCGTGTGTCTTTGTTAGGAAATTTCATGATCCGACTGGAATCCAGGAAAATCACAGCTGAAATACAAAACATCAGCCCTTATCTCCAGCACTGTACATGGCAGAAACTGCTTTTATTCTAGATGTCTAGATCCAGGTATTTGAAATAAATTCTCCAGAAGGGGGGGAGAAATCTGGAAAGTTTCCATAGAACAGTTGCAATATCCCTTTATAACTCTTGAGTTGTAAGTGATGCTGTCTCCAGATATTAGCCTTTTTCTTTTAGCTACAACCTCTAGCTCCCACGTCAGAGGCAGCATGGGCCAGTGATTAAGAATCGGGTTTGCAGTTCCAATTCCAGGCACCTATTTAAGCTGGATGACCTTGACTAAGTCGCATAGCTTTTTGCACTGCAGTTTTCACATCTGTAAAATGGAGATAATGCTAATGGAATGCAAAATGCAAAATGGAAATAACGGTGGTGAGGAGTAAATGAGCTGGGCAAATACACAATAATCAGGAACGATTATTACTATCCTTTTACTCATCTCTATTCTGACAGTTTTGTCTCCAAACCCATCTCTCTTGTCTTATTCTGAGTTCTTCCATGCGTTCTGGCGTTTTCAACTTGACTTCTTCTTCAATATTTTTCATCATTTGGTAGCTATCTTTGGGTAATAATTATAACATTTGCTTATACAGCATTTGCCCCAGAACTCGTTTTGCTGAGGCAGCATAAACTGACAACTGGAAGTGAGAATGGGGACATGTGATCTCGTGATTATCACACATTCTCAATTTACCCACTCCATAATAGCATTTGCACCAGAGCTCTTCATTTGCATTTTGCTGAGCCAACGTGAATTTTTAGAAGTTCCGAGTGTCCAGAGAATGCTTCAGTTAGAATTGAGTTGACAAAAAATAGGATAGATCATTTATCACCTCTGTAGAAACAAGATGAATTTCTGTTTACAACTGAAATAAGAAATTACAAAAGATTGTTGGGCCTGACCACATGAAAAATTAAAATAGTGCAAAAGAAAAATAATTCAATACAAAAAGGGAAGCTACAGGCTGGGAGATGTTTACATCGATATAAAAAGGGGTTAATAAATATGCTTTATAAGACACATCTTTTAAGAACATCTTTGTTGCATCTCCGCTAAGAAGGAGGGTATCACAACCCAATACAAACTTACATTGAAATAAAAGTTTCATACAAAAAAACGTACTATACTCTGTCGTTGGGAATGTAAATTAGTACAACCCCTATGGAAAACAGTACAGAGATTTCGCAACTAAAAATAGAGTAACATTCAATCTAGCAATCCCACGACTGGGTATAAGGAAAAGAAATCATTATATCAAAAAAATACCTACACCATATGTTTGTTGCAGCACTATTCACAATAGCAACGATATGAAATCAACCTAAGTGCCTATCGATGGATGATTGGATAAAGAAAATGTGGCACGTATAGACAAGGGAATACTATTTAGACATAAAAAAAGAATGAAATAATGTCTTTGCAGTAACATAGATGGAACTAGAGGTCATTATCTTAAGTAAAATAACTCAGAAACAGTCAAATACCACATGCCCTCACTTACAAGTGCAAGCTAAGTAATGTATACACGTGGACACAGAATGGAGTGATAGACATTGGAAACTGGGAAGGATGGCAGGGTGGGAGGATGGGAGGGGGTAAGGGATGATAAGTTACTTAATGGGTACAATATACACTACTCAGGTGATAGCTACATGAAAAGCCTAGACTTCACCACTATACCATATATCCATTTTAAAAAGATGAACTTTTACCCCTGAAATATATACAAATTTTTTTAAAAAACACAAAAAATCTTACTATATGCAGAATGCTCTGATATTTCCATTTTATTCTACTCTGTTTTTTTCTTTAATACCAGTCATGAGCCACAATATATTTTATAGTCCACTAATGAAATTATGACATACTTTAAATAAACAGTGATGTCAAGAGCTCTTATAAATACATTATTGGATAAAGAATATATATAGATGCTTCAGATAGGAGTAAAAACAATTTCTGAAATATGAAAAAATCTCTACTTCAGTACTCACTCAAGATACACAAATGAATAACAATGATAAAAATACAATTTCCATTGACTAAACTAGCAAAAAATTAAAAGTGATGGTGATATCTGATGCTGATGCAAAGACAGTAAAGGGTTTTCTTTACTACAGTTTTTTACTTATGCCCTCTTTAATTCAAAACACATTTGAGGTGGTTTTATGTACCAACATAGCCAAACAACTAATGGCAGAATCAATGCAATTTTGTTTGAGAAGTAATTTGGTGGTACGTTTGGGAAGCCACAAAAATGTTCATACCCAAAAGTAATTCTACTTCTGGGAATTTGTCCCACTGAAGCAATTCAAAGAAAGAGAAAAATCTCTATGCATAACTTTTTATATCATTACTTAAATAGTGAAAAACGAGAAACAGTCTAAATAGCCAAGAATAGCACAATATTTAAATAAGCTATACTACATCAACTCAAAATATTTTGTAGCCAGTAAAATAATTATGATGACTATAAAGCAACATGAGAAAATCCTCATGCTAACAAATGCAAAAGTTATAAAACAAAACTCTCCATGTATTTCAGTGACTATAGCTGCATAAAGATTACCCAAAAACTTAGTGGGATGAAACAACCATTTTTTACAGATCAGAAATTCAGACGGCTTACAGCAGTATGGCTTATCTGGGCCCACAATGTCAGGGGCTGGATTCACATGAGGGTCATTCAACATCAGTTGATGTTGGTCATCTGGTGAGGCCTTAGCTGGCTCTGTTGGCCAGGACACCTCTGTTTGGCTTGGGCTTCCTCAGAACATGGTGGCTGGGTTCCAAGGACAAAAGACCCCGGCGAGAAAGCCAGGTAGAAGTCAGTTAATCATATATGACCTAGTCTTAGAAATTTTGCAGTGTCATTTCCATTTCCATTCATTGAGTCACAAAATCTTGTCAGTTTCAAAGGGAAAGAAAAGAGATGCCACCTTATGATGGGAGAGCAACAAGTTTCTGGAAAAGCATACAGGACTGGAAATACTGCTATGGCCAGTTTTAGAAAACATAATCTGCCACAATTTTTGATTGGGTTACAACCACATAAAAATAATGAAAGTATTAGGATTAGAACTGGGAAGAAACATGGAAAAATAAATGATTGATTTTAAAAAATTTTCCGTTATTTTGATTATGTTCTTTGGCCAATAAGTACATAATTATTAATACAATTATATTGACAAAAAATTAAGCTGACAGTACTTCAGGAATTATCCCTGGGGGTAACCCCAGCTTTTTGCTTTTACTCCTTTATTGATAGAATCCTGCTGTTCTCACTGTTTTGTTTTTTTTTGTTTTTTGGGTGTTTTTGTTTTTGTTTTTGTTTTTTTTTGAGACAGGATCTCATTCCATCACTCAGGCTGGAGTGCAGTCGTGTGATCTTGGGTCACTTCGGTCTCAACCTCCCAGGCTCAAGCAGTGATCTTCCCACCTCAGCCTCCCAAGTGGCTGGGACTACAGGTGTGTGCCACCACACCTGGCTATTTTTGCTTATTTTTTGTAGAGACAGGGTCTCACTATGTTGCCCAAGCTGGTCTCGAACTCCTGGGCTCAAGCAATCCTCCTGCTTCGACATCCCAAAGTGTTGGGATTACAGGCGTGAGCCATCACACTTGGCCTGTTCTAACCCTTAATTCACTGCATCAGCAACATCCCTCCCATTATCGTGAGATGGGCCTGCAGCCAAGGCCCCAGCGCACTGTGGGCATGAGCCTCATCCATATACACCACCCTCCCCAGGCCTTCATAGCACAGCCTCCCCTCCACAGGGGCAGCCTCATTTGCAGACAACCTCATCTTTCAGTTACTGAAGAATAAAGGGGAAAGGGCACATCTCTGGTCTCACCTATTAATAAACCCTCATCTCCACCTGAGAATTCCTGAGTTCTCACTTGCGGTTGGGTTACAACCACATAAAAATAATAAAGGTATCAGTATTAGAACTGGGAAGAAACATGGAAAAATAAATGACTGATTTTTTAAATTTTTCTGTTATTTTGATTATGTTCTTTGGCTAGTAAGTACATAATTATTAATAAAATTATATTGACAAATATAATTTCCTTCTTGGAGAGAGAGGTCCTTTTCTGCACAAGGCCAGTCCTACCACCTGTCCTCTTAATCATCCCTCTTCAACTTCTTCCCAAGCTGTCCCACTCAACCATCACACTCAAAAGCCTCCTCTTTTTCCTAGCATCTTTCATCTTTGCTCATTGGCTGGATCTTTTCTCTCTACCTACAGACATATCCAGGTCCTCCATAATCCTGATCATGCAACCCACTCAAAGTGTCATCTGATTTATTATTCTTCACCTACTCCAGTAACAAACTCATCAAAGGAAACACTCATTCTAGCTGTTTCCATTTCATCTCCCACTCACGCCTCAACACCAGTGGTTTACCTGACAGATTTCCTTCCAACCACTATGGTCATCTGGCTTTCTTAAATGTCATTTTGATATCCTACTTGTCAAATTGAATGGCTCTTTTTTCATCTTCATCCTCCCTTCCTCTTGCAACTTTAGATTGTGTTGTTCACCATCGTCTTCCTAAACTTCTCTTTCCAAGCTTCCCAGGACCATCTCCCCAGCTCTCCCCTCACCCCCGAGCCCCCTTTCTGCATTTCGCTCTTCCCATCACTGGCTCCTGCAGCCCAGTGTTCTCATAATACTCACATTCTTTAGCTAAGTTCAATGACTCTCATGCTTCTATTACCACTGAATGACTCCTTCATGAAACTGGAAATGTAACGCATACTACATCTTGTATGTGCAAGATTATAAGTGCAACTGTTAAATAAGGCCTATCGCTAGTAAAGTTAATCAGGCTGGATAACTATAAAAGCCCTGGAAGGTGCCTCAGTCTCTCTTGAATTACAGCACACTGGCTTGCAGCTGGCATGGCCTAGCTCTGCAAGAAGAGGCCCCTGGCCTTGCGGGTACTGGTCTAGTCTTCTGGGAGGGCCCCTTGCTCTCCAGGGTGATATTCTTGGCTGACTCCTTCCCTGTGCGCTTTATGGCCTCTGATCTTGAACCCCCAGCTGTCTAGCTTGGTCCTGGGGAGGTCCTTGGATGATGGAGCCACATCTTAACTGTCCCTGGCAGCACAATTCTTACCCCCAGACCCCACCCCATACCCCCTAACTTCACCTTCTTTTTCCCTCGGAGGGAGCAGTGTTTCTTCTAACGCCATAGCTACCTTCGTTTACATTTTCACCACCAGAGCCTTAAGACAGGGTGGGGAGCCTTCCTGTTGATGAGCTAACTGAGGAAGAGGGAACTGAAGGAATTCAGTGACTCCTCTCTCAGGATAATATCCTGGCTTGAAGACCATTGTCCTGCCACATGATCATATTTTGAATGTCAAAAGTTGAATATCAACCTGGCCTTTTTCTAGGCAATCCTTCTCTAACAGGTTCTAATCTCTTCCCAGACACATGGCTGCCTAGGGCAGACTTTGTGTAAAGGTCACAGACTCACAAAGACAAAAGTGACAAATCGCATGCAATTTCAAATTATTTCTCCAGTTACAATCTTGAATCTCTATCCACCCTAACCCAGTGGTTTTTCCAAGCTCTAGCGTTTAATAGCTAACTGCCCATGAGATATCTGCAACTCTAAAGCCAAACTCACTGTCTTCCTGCTCTTCTTCCAGTCTAAAACCTGCTTTTCTTCCAATGTCCCCAACATCCAAGTTTAAGACCAGGTGTTTTTCAAATCCCAGGGCTATTCACAGAGATTCTGAATGGGGCTTAGGAATCTGCGTCTTTAACAAGTAGGCCAGGTTGTTCTGAGTCTGACGGAAGTGGCATGGGAACCACATTTGGAAAATGCACTCCAAGCCCTGCAAGGCAGGAACCAGATCTGGAGGAGAGAGCGAACCCCACCTGTGAAGTCCCCTGTCCCTCCCATCATCTTGCTTCATGATGTCACCATTTGCCCATTTGCCTAGTTGAGAAGCCTGGGAGTCCTTCTCTCTCACTGCCCTGCCCTTGACCATCGACTGACCTGTCTTCCAAGTGCTCTTGCATCTGTCCTCCCCTGGATTCTGCCTCCCATCACCTGATCCAGACCTGTGTCAGTTTTCACTGGAAGGCTACGCTGTCCTATTGATGGCTGTCCCAGCCAGGGCAGCCCTGATCTAATCTGCCCACTGCACCAGCTCCTTTAATCACTTCCACTTCAAGGCTCACAGTGGCTGCCATGTTCTTCAGCCCAAATCCTTCACAGCTGAGGCCAAGCCTCCAGCTGAGCCTCACCACCTGCCCTCTTCCCTCACAGAGTCAAACTGTGGACTTGCCATTCCTCCACCATGCCAGGGCCTCTACATCCCCTGTGCCTTGGCTCAGGCTGTGTCCCCCACTTGGGCAACCCAAGCCTGGCACTCCACAAGTACTTCCTCAATGGGGCTCTGGTGAGTAGAGTTTGGGGGACATACACGATGGCACTACTTTCCTCTCCTCCCACCAGCCCCATGCCACACTCTGAGGTTCACCTGCTCAGCGGGGCCGGGTCCCTAGAAGCCACAGAAGAGCCTAGACTGGCCTCCAAGGTGCCCTATGCCAGGTGGCCAGCTCTGTGTCCTTCCAGCCCTGACACCCTGGGTGATCTTGAGCAAAGATACTTCACCTCGTGGGCCTCAGTGCCTTCATCTGAGAATGGAATGTGGATGGAGGGATGAGTTGGAACAGGCAATGCATATGATTTCCACCAGCTCCATTCCCCTGTAATTCTCAGAGTAATTTGCTATTGTTGTTGTTGTTGTTTTTTGTGAGATGGAGTCTCACTCTGTCACCCAGCTGGAGTGCAGTGGTACAATCTCGGCTCGCTGCAATCTCCACCTCCCGGGTTCAAGTGATTCTCCTTCCTCAGTCTCCTGAGTAGCTGGAATTACAGGCGCCCACCACCACACCCAGCTAATTTTTGTATTTTTAGTAGAGACACGGTTTCACCATGTTGGCCAGGCTGGTCTTGAACTCCTGACCTCGTGATCTGCCTGCCTCAGCCTCCCAAAGTGCTGGGATTACAGGCAAGAGCCACTGCACCCAGCCTTCTCGGAGTAATTTGGATAGCAGCACCAAAAAAGGCTGTGTTTAAGCCCTCAGGGAGGTGGCCATTCAGACCTCCATCTCCAATGCCCCACCCTTAGACTTGATCTCATGGAAGGTCTGGGGCTGGATTTCATCTGCATCCCAGGAGGGGCAAGAGGACCACGGAGGAAGGGTCTCTGGGGGTGGGGACGCTACTCAGATCTGAGATAAGAGAAAGGGTCCCACCAACTCTTCCCCCCAACCTCGGTCTCTGCTGTCATCACCATGGAAATGTACACTCTGGTGGAATAGATTTTTTTTTTCCTAAGACCTTTGTACTTAGATTCCAACCCTGCCCCAGGGTTTCTGAGGAAAAGTTCCTTTTGGAAAATTCCCACCCAGCCCCAGCTGACTAAAAGGGAGGAAGGATTTTTCCACAGGGTGCTCTGGGTTGGTGTGGGATTTAGAGCCCCCGGCAGCCACTTGTCTGAAGGAACAAGGAGCTGGGCTAGACAGAAAGGGAGTCCCAGGCAGGCTGGAGCTGAGGTCACCCGGGAGGGCAGGAGCTGAGGTCACCCAGGAGGGCAGGAGCTGAGGTCAGCCGGGTGGTGCTTCCCCTTGGACCCCACTGCCCCTCCTTGGCATGGATACGGGTGGAGTTTTCACTCTCTGACTTGCTCTTCTAGAACTCAACACTTTGGTTTCATCTGAATCCTAATTATCCAATATATTAAATCAAGTGATAAGATAAACATTTTTCCACCTCTTTCTATCCCTAAGCCTCTGGTGACTTCTTTTTTTCCCTTTTGATAAGTATTTAAATGTTTTTAAAAATTAAAATATAATTCGCCCAATTCACTAAATATGAAATTCATCATTTTAAAGTGCACAATTCAGTGATATTTAGTGTAGTCACTATTTCCTGTGACTTCCTGTCCTGGTGGCATTTCCCATGAGACAGAGAGAAAGGGGGCTGGGGCTGGAAGTTTCCCTGACATGTTCCCCGGGTATGCCAAGGCTTCGGTCCTAAAGGTCTATTCCAGCTCATTGGCACCACCACACCCCTCTCTGGAATTTCTGGGAAAATCCTGTCCATGAAACTGGAAACCAACCATTCATGGGGCAGCTGGGTTCTTAAGTAAAGTTTTCCATGTGACAGAGCCTCTCTCATCAGCGGCACTAGGCTCAAAGTTTCCCTCATAGGCCTGTGGGGGGTTAGAGATCCCTGACCCCACACTGAAGCCAAACCCTCAGGGTGATCAAACCAGGTGAGCTCCAGGTCAGGGCCCCAGAGGAGAGAGAAGAGTCCTGGGATGCTGCTAGAGCCATCACATCCTTTAGCTCAATTCCCTCCTCCTGAAGATGAGGGAATAGAGACCCAGAGACTCCAAAGATGCCCACTCCAGTGACGGCAGAACCAAGACCAGCACCCTGCCCTTCAAATCCTGGGCCATGCATTCTCTACCAGGTGACTCAGTCAACAGCAACCAGTGATTAGACACCCTCTACCCTTCATTGGGCCAGATGGGGGGCACCTGGACATGGACACACAGCCGAGAGGGTGTATTGAGGCAGCCCTGCCCAGTGGAGCCTAACATAACCGGGAGAAGGAAGAGAGCTCCAGAGAGAAACCCCTCAGTGAGGCTGGCTGCCTGGCTGGCAGCTGCCCAGATAGTCCTGTGTGTATCCCAGTCTCATATGAAGGATTCTCTTTCCCTTCACATTTCTATCTTTTTATTTACTTA
Organism: Homo sapiens; assembly: GCF_000001405.40. NCBI lineage: Eukaryota > Metazoa > Chordata > Mammalia > Primates > Hominidae > Homo > Homo sapiens. The sequence goes on along the minus strand of NC_000007.14, from coordinate 134,421,540 downwards.
TTTATTTTTGAGATGAAGTCTTACTCTGTCACCCAGGCTGGAGTGCAGTGGCACAATCTAGGCTCACTGCAACCTCTGCCTCCCGGGTTCAAGCGATTCTGCTCCCTCACCCTCCTGTGTAGCTGGGATTACAGGTGCAAGCCACCATGCCCGACTATTTTTCGTATTTTTTTGTAGAGACAGGGTTTCACTATGTTGGCCAGGCTGGTCTTAAACTCCTGACCTCAGGTGATCCACCCGCCTCGACCTCTCAAAGTGCTGGAATTACAGGTGTGAGCCACCACGCCCGGCCCAACATTTCTATCTCTTTTAAACACGACTTTTCTTCCTCCTGTCCATTGCCTCCGCTCTCTTTTTTACAGAGTGGGTAAATGAGACTTCTTGCACCTCACTTACTGGCTTCTCACTTAGAACTCACCTAAGGCACCTGTTAAAAGTACAAACTCCCAGTCACCAGCCCCAGAGATTCTGATTAGGGCTGAGGTTGGCCCAGGAATCTGCACCTTTGACAAGTTCTCCAGCTGGTTCTGATGCAGGCAGTATAAGAATGGCATTTTCAAAACATTTCCTTGTGTCACCGACTAAATAATTCCATATTTATTGTTTTCCCTCTAGAGAGGATTCATAGCTGCTGCTCCATCCTCATTCTCTGGCTTGCCACCCTTCCTAGCACAGCTGTTTGATGTTTCCTTCTGGTTTAGCCGGCCCCATTAACCCTACGCTCTAATGATCCTACATCAGGTTGAGGCTCCATAACTCTAAGGATAATAATGTTAATGAAAAACCAGCAGCCAAGCTCTCACTCACAGACACACCACTTGGGGGAGTCATTGCTCCACTTTTCTTCTCTGGTCCAGTTGACTGGAGTTCTGTAGCTCCTACTTTTGTGTTGATGGTTTCGGGGGAATTTTGTTTTGATCTGCTTTTCATCCTCTGTTAGAATCTTCAGTTCAGATAGACAGTGACACAATGGGCAGCGGGTAGCCTGGGAAAGGGGGTGGGTTTCTTTCACCCTCACCACAGGCCTGAGGAACGTGAGACCCAGCGCGATCTCTCCATATCCCACATTCTTTTGGCTACAATTGCATCTCTGTACATTCACTGATCAAACACCAATAACAAAGCAGATTTGTGAGCGATTCTATCTTGGACAACTCAAGGGCACTTAGGCCTCTTCCTACAGTCAGGAAGGAAAATACTGAGCCCTGACTGCTAAGCCGTGGACAGAGTGGTTCACTTCTACAGCCAAGGGCAGGGCAGATTAAAAAATAAATGAGAAGAAGGAAAATGAAGTACTTTCTAATGAATGGACAAACATAGTCCCATTCACAGTTGAAATCAATGGGGCAAAACTAGATGACATTTGAGCAAGCCAGATTGAAGGTCCCAGAAGCCCTCATCTCCTTCAGTTTCCTGAGGACACCTCCCACCCCCTCACAGCTGCAGATCTCTGCGGTTGTTCCAGAAGCCACTGGAGGGTGTGGCTGAAGCCACGTGGGATGTACAATGTAGATGATGCCCTCCCTGTCTTCATCCTCTCTGTGTTTAATGAGGGTGCGGGCAGGATGGGGTTCCAGGTTGGTTAAGGTGAAAATAGAACTTAAAGGGCTAAATTTTGGAATTACATCAAGTCATTTGGGAACAATTAAAAGCAGGTAGGACATGGCAAGGCAGGAAGAAGCCATGTCTCAGTAAAACAATGGGAAGTGAGATGGAAAATTGTTGAATGAGAGGCCGACTCTGGCAGGGGTGGAGAAAGCCCTGATACTGGTCATCTATTTGGGTGGGCATCTATTTTCTTATTTCAGTGCCCATAGGGGTCTTTTGCCTTACTGTTCTTCCACAAGCCTCCCATACACTCAACTCAACCGGCCACTGGACCCTGCTATGGGCAGCATCTGAGACCACTGAGATCACTTCCTTTCCTGAGATCCACCCACTTTATTTGCATCTCTTTCCTCTGCTTTATGATAACCCTACTCTCAGGACACCAGATCTGCCTAAACAAGACAAAAGGGGAAAAATCCAACTAACCAACAACCCATAGGGGTGACGTGTAGCTAAGCGACTAGTTTATCTGATTTGCTTGATGCTCAACTGTGGATGTCAAAGTCATTTAACTGCAGTTCGAAAGGGGTTGTGCTGTGTGGCCTCTCCATGGCCACTCATGAGCCAGGTGTTTGCCTCCACTGTTAGCTGTTGCCCCAGTCTAGATGTGCTGGCTTCCTGTGGCCCCAGCCCCTGTGTGTGGGCATGAGGTTCACATCCCTTCATTTACACACCCACTTAGCAAATATTTACTCTATGCCTGCTCTGTGCTCAGCCACCCTCTAGGCACTGGAGGTCACAGTTGTGGGTGTGACAAGGAGGTCTTTGCTCTCATGGAGTTGATGTTCTAGTGAAGAGAGACAAGTGATAAACAAATAAACAAATAAATCAGATGGCGATGAAAGTTGGGGTGGAAGTAAAGAAATGCAAAGTGACCCAGTGTATCTGGGGGCTTAGTTTAGAGTGGGAGGGATCTTCAAGAACCATGCAAGTCTTCCCTAATTGCATCCTTTTCCAGATCAACTGCATGGGGTCCTACAGGAGAAGACCAAGAGACAGAGACAGAGACCAGGGAAAATGACCGATACCATTCCTTCTCAGGGATGCTACACACCCATGGGGCAGAGGATAAGAGGTTCCTGAAGGCATCACCCCTCTGGCCATGGCTGGTGTGCAGACAAAGCTGGAGATTTGGAGTAGCCTGTTGTCCCACTGACTCTTAGACTGCCCCAGCTAAGAAGAACCAACTCCTCCTATTACAGATGAAATAAACAAAGCTACTCAAGCTCTCTGGCATCGCCCTGACGGTCATCATGTGCTTCACATTTCCCTCCTGCCCCCCCTGATTTTCTGGAAAAGGGAGAAAGTGTGTGAAAAAAAATGGACAATAACTTCTGTTAACTTTGTAGATGTCTGGTTCCTCCATATGAGGCTGTGCTTGAATCAATTTTGGAGAGAGGGTTTCTAAAGTCTCTCTAGATTCTATTAATTTTGATAGAGACAATAAAAGGCAGCAGGACCAACTCTGTGTGGTGGGAGATCTAGCAACCATTATAGTCACAATAGCCACCACTTACTGAACACCCACCATGTGACAAAGAACAAATGTGCATGAATTATGTCACATTTTTCACAAGCACCCCTTGAGTTGGGAGTTCACTCATGAGGCAACTGAGGTTCAGGGAGATGAAGTAACTCACCCTGTAGGTAGGAGGGCTGAGATCTGGACGTAGATCTTTCCTCCAAAGCTTTGTCTTTTTTTTTCTACTATAGCACACCAAAGAGAGTTCTAGAAAAAATGAGAATAAGAAATTTACCTGTAATCCTTGCTCAAGAAACTGAAGCTCTGAGGCCACATTGTTCCAGCCTTTTGCAGCTCCTGCATGTGGATACCAGCACCAGCAGCTCCCCGACCAGGGGCCCCAGCTAAGCCCTCCCAGAGGATGATCTTGGCTTTGTACATGGGGTGTCAATATCCTGTGAGTCCAACAGAGGGAAGACATAAGAATATGGTCACCCAGGTAAGTGGTGGATAGCTGAGTGACTGTATTCTTGCTCACCACCACCCCCATCAGAGGGGGTGTCTTTGTTTCTAGTTGGGGGAAGCTTTGGTAGACTGTCAGTAATTCCTCCCTGTGTCCCCCATCCTGTGTCAGGTAACAGACATTTGTCTTAATGTATTCACTGTGTCATCAGAAGCCACTTCTTATCCATCCTTGTGAATACTTGATGAATGAGGAGTCAATGATTAAATGAAGGAAAGAAAAGAGACTGAAAAGGAGGTATGAGAATGGGAAAGACGAGTGGAAAGACGAGATAGATATTGCCCTAAAGACACAGTAAGCCATCAAATATCTGTTTTCTAGTCCCCTTCTGGGCCCTCTTGGATTTTGAAAAAGGGAGGAAGAAATTGGAAAAATTACCAATAACTTCTATTGACTTTGTAGATTCCTAGTTTCCCCACATGTGGCTATGCTTGAATCAACTTGTAAAAGTCTCTTTATAGTCTGTTGATGTTCATGCAGGCACTAAAAGGCCACGGTCGGCCTACTTAGATGATCCACTCCACCCTGGGCTCCGGAAGATGTTCCAGGGCATTTGCCTTTACTTGACCCTATGCTGAGAAGCTACCAATATTTTTCTTTCCCCAAATTGGTTTTATTTGTACCCTTTATATATTAAATATTAGAGTATTGGCCAAGTTGAAGGAGTCTTCTTCTATGGCTGGTTTCAATAAACATGGTGGAATAAATATATATATCATATATATATAGTATACGTATATATATTTTATATATATAGTATATGTATATACATTATATATATAGTATATGTATATATTATATATATAGTATATGTATATATTATATATATAGTATATGTATATATATTATATATATAGTATATGTATATATATTATATATAGTATATGTATATATCTTATATATAGTATATGTATATATCTTATATATATAGTATATGTATATATATACACACATGTGTGTATATATATGCATATATTTCTTAGTAATTTAAAGTTGCAAGGGACTTTGGGATCATGAATCATTTTACAGTTGTGGAACTGAGAGCCAGCAAAATTAAATGACTTGCCCAAGAATACTAGCAAGTTAGTAGCAGAACCAGGACCCATCTTGTCTTAAAAGGCTTAAGAGGTAGTCAGTCAATTAATTAATCAAATATTTATTGATAACCACAATCCATCCCCATCCCTCATGAAGAGCAGAGACTAAATTGCCAACTTGCTTTCGCCAGGAGGGCTATGATACAATGTAGAAAGTACTGGCATTATTGTGTTGCTCATATTAAGGCTTGTGGCAACTCTGAATTCATGAATTATAGTGACTTTAATAGACAACATAAAATAGTGAACTGAAGGATGACTTTTATCTGTAGGTCAAGCAAAGGGATATAGACCGTATGGAAATACAGCACCTCAGGGGTGCCTGGTGTAATAAGAAACAACTTTAAAAAAAAAGGAGGGGATGTGGCCCTAAAAGTTATCAACTGTCAATCAGACTTGACCATGAAAAATTGGCCAAAGAAAGATTTGGGCCCACAGGTTTTGTACAGAGGAAATCCAGGCTCCTAACGATGGCGAAAGATGGGAATAAAAGGATCAGAACACTGAGCTGGATCTTCAGTTCATTTCAGGTATGGAGAAGGGTAAATGGTCTTTAAAGAAGGCCGACCTCAATGAAGGTGTCTTCCAAGGCCTTGTCCACTCAAGGACATGTTGCATGCCTGAAACTGAGTATACAGGAAAAGGATAGAAATGGAATAAAATGGAAACCCATAAATCACACTACCCTGCTATGCAGTTTCAAACCACTGACTTAATGAAATGTTGATCCACTTTGCCATGGATGCCCCACTTTTTAACTCCTTCTTCAGAGTCCCAGGAGGTGAGGCTCTTCTGTTTAACTGATTTGCAGAATTTTTGCTTCTGCTATTACAATGGCTTCCATAGTTGAGTACCAAAGACACTTTACTATGGTGCCACAGAGATCATTTTGCAGATGAGGAAACAGACTGTTCTACTACCCAGGCTTTGGTTTTTTCTACTCAGTCTTGCACAATCTCTCACTCTCAGCCCAGAACATTGCTGCATTTTTGTGAGCCATCAGCATCCAAAGTGAACACAGGGTCTAAATAACTGAAGATGGCATGAGGGAACACACAATCAGGTCTTTAAAAAAAGAAGAAAGTGAATAGGCAAACTGAACAGGACATCTAGGACTGAAAAGCCTCTGTGAACAACTGGACTCAATATGAAATTGGCGTGAGCTCACAGAAGACCAGCTGAGTTCCAGATGTGGTTGGGTAGCTTGGGTTATGGGCCCGTATAAAAAAAATGGTCTCTTCTTGTAAAAGGAATTCAAAAAAAGACTAAAAGTCACCCCAAAGAGTCACTGTCTTTGTCTTTTGGCCATTAGTAAGTCAGAAGAGACCTCTAGAGGAGACTGGATTTTGTGGCTGATTATCGATTAATTGATCATCACTGGGTATCTTTGGGAGTGTTGCCTTCTCAGGGAGAAGCTGAAAATCATTCTGTGAAAGGTATGTCCACTGACAATCATTTAAGCTCTTTGGAGGCAAGAAATCAGGTATCTGGGAGAACTCAGAGATAACATAGGAGCGACAGGCTGAAACCATGAGCGAGATGGGCAGATGGCTTGAGAATGACGATGGGCAGAGGAGAGCAGTGGCAGGGAGAACCCACAGGCCTCTACTTGGAGTCAGCCTGTCAGCAGGATAAGCTACAAGATCACCCTCGAGGGAAACTGCAGGCCAGGTCAGGGGCACTGCAAGCTGCAGGTGTGCCCAGGCAGGAGGGCAGGTGGCCTGTGATGAGGGGCCATGACTGTGTGGTGGGCTCTCCCACACCAGGAGCAACTAGACACTAGACTGAAAGTTCTTTTAAGTGAGGGAGCCATCTTCTGTCCAGGGAAAAGTGGTTCGGGATACAGGAGGAGCCCTGCACCACAGAATCGGTCTAGTCTCAGGCTGTCTGTTCCACAGGAGCCTCCAGCCCAGTGATGTAGGCAGCTATTCACAACCACATCATGGCACAAAGTGAGGCCTCCCAATCCACAGCCATCCCTGATTACAGACACTTCACTGGATGTCTGAACATAGCTGTGTGTGCCTGGAAAGCCTAGAAATAGAAACGCTCCTTTTTTCCCCAAGACGATCATCTCTACATCCTGACCTGGATCAACAGTGATCCATTCTGGACAATCCTGGACACTCCTGCTCCTGGAGAGAAGGGATAGATAACTTTTCCACCTGCCTGCCTGTCCTGTCCACCTCGAGGTGGTCTTGTGGCATCTTGGGCCTCACATGTCCCATAGTCTCTTCTCATCCCTCCAATTTGCTCCTTCTCCAGACTTCTCTCTCTTGGTTGAGTGGTTCCACCATTTTCCCAAGTTGCTTGGACCCAACACTTGAGTTACAGCCAACTCCTCTCTTTCTCTCACAACCCAAATCTAATTCATCAGTAAGTCCTGGTGGCTCCACATTCGGAATGTTCCTGGGATGCCACCACTTTTTGTCATCTCTGTTACTGCTAGCCTGCCCCTTGCTACTGTCAGCTCCAGCCTGGAGGACTGAAATAACCTCCTCACTGTCTCCAGCTGTTCTTCCCGCCCATGGTCTATTCCCCAGACACCACCAGAGGGATGCTTTGAAGTCCAGATGGCATCATGTCATTTAGAATGAAACCTGAGGTCCCAAGTGTGGCCCGAGGGATGGTCAGGTTGCCCCCAGGGCTCCATTTCCTGCCACTCTTCCTCTCTCTCACTCTGCTGGAGCCACATGGTTACTATTCCTGAACACAGGAGGCTCCCTCCTGCTTCAGGTCTCGTGCAGATTTGTTCCCACAGCCTGGGGACAGATTTTATCCCAGAAGTTCCCAGGGCTTGATTCCTCCCTTTATTTAGTTCTCAGCTGAAATGTCCCCTCTTCTGAGCAGCCTTCTCTCACCACCCGATGGAAGCAGCCGTCCCTGCACGCTCTATCACTTCACTCGGCTCTATTTTTCTTCCTAACACGTTCACAACTTGACATTCTTTTATAATTTTTCACTTATTTATTGAGTGCTGTCTCTTCCACTAGAACCCCTGAAAGCAGGGATTTTTATAATCTTTTGGCCACCACTAGATTCATAAGGATGCACAGAGCCTGGTAGGCTGCAGGCTGTCCATAACTGCTTGTTGAATGAATCGATGGATGAATGATCAGCAGAAGCTCGTTTCTCTCCATGAAATACAACGGGTTCCAAAGAAATCGAAGCCTTTTTGAAAGGCCTAGCCATACTTCACCCATACAGCTGCAGTGGCAGATCCATGCTCATGACCTCATTTCTCTCCTCAGAACCACCTTAAAAGTAGACCTTTCAGAGCTACCCGAGAATCCTGGTCCCTGCAGCTGATCTTCCCACCTCCACCCAGCTCTCGTCCTCCTCTTCCTCCCCATCCACCATCCTGACCAGGTGAGCTGGCTTCCCCTGCTCAACAGCTCTACGAGTTTGCACTTCTGGATTTGGTCAGGTCAAGACCAGCTCCCCCAAATATACCTCTGTCCTAGACAGCCTTGTTCTAAACAGAAACTGATGATAACATGGAGGAAGAGGCTTGAACGGAAAGGTGGAGGAGGGAAGGAAGGAACAGGGAGAAGTCATCTCTAGGTTGGCAGTCCCTGTCAGCCTCTTAGGACTTCTCACCTCTGCAGCAGTGATGGTAGAGTCGTGTCTTACTCCCTGGGGGGAGGTGGGTGGTTCCTGACACCATCCCCTGCTTCCCCAAGTTCTCCTCTTTAGAAAAGGATGGAGGTCTATGATGCAGGCAAGGTCATCACAGATTCTATTCCCTCCTTCTAGTGATCTCAAACGTGACATTAAATAAATGTAGCAAAGAGGTTCTTTATGAAGCTTTTGATTCTGAAATAGAATCATTCATAAAATATGAAGTAACTCTAGATACCAGATCACCTATCTTCTCATTTAATCCATGAGGAAACAGAGAGATGCTAAGTAACTTGCCCAGGGTCACAGAACTGGTAAGGCACTAAACTAGGACTTGAAGCCTCCTGAGCTGCTCTGCTGGACCGCCAAGATGCTGCAGAGACCAGTTCTTTCCAGCAGGAAGTCCAGTTCCCAAAACACGCATGGGCTGCTCCAACCTTGCCAATAATTCCCCCAAATGGTGGAACCTGCAAACATACCCCATTGGCCTAAAATATTTGCTTAAGGTCCACCTCATTTACCCCAAATTATCATCCTCTTCCTCTCTCCTTCCTGCCTCTGCCCTACTCTTCCAATCTCAAATCCCTCAAGCTATCCAATAACTATTGAGAGTTTAGGCATCCAGGTCCTCAGCTGTACCAATCCAAGGCTGGGGAAAGATCTCCTTTCCTTTTTCTATCTTCATTGGAAGATATTTCATGAAAAAAATCAGCAGTGAGTTCTTCAATAGGGGAGCAAACATTGCTTCAAAACTCAGCTCTAAACTGCAGAGAAGGCCAGGCACAGTAGCTCATGCCTATAATCCAGCACTTTGGGAGGCTGAGGCAGGCAGATCACAGCATTTTGGGAGGCTGAGGTGGGTGGACCACTTGAGGTCAGGAGTTCGAGACCAGCCTGGACAACATGGCAAAACCCTGTCTCTACTAAAAATACAAAAATTAGCCAGGCGTGGTGGCAAACACCTGTAATTCCAGCTACTCAGGAGACTGAGGCATGAGAATCACTTGAACCCGAGAGGCAGAGGTAGCAGTGAGCCGAGATCACACCACTGCACTCCAGCCTGGGCAACAGAGGGAGATTCTGTCTCCAAAAAAATAAAAAATAAAATAAACTGCAGAGAAAATAGCATGGGCCAGGCCAGCCAGAGGGTCCTGTGCCACGTGCCATCAGTGCTATGGTGGGAGCTTATTTCCACTCCCAGGTCAGCACCTCCTCCCTCATCTGTGCCCCCTAGGTCGGCAACCCCTGGGACCCAATGAATGGCTAACCAGGCCTGCAGCTGAAAGCTCTGGCTCGTAATTTGTGAAATCCTCTCCTCCTGGCAGCATGTGAAGTGGCCATTTAACAGATGGCCAGTAATATATTGCATTCCTGGAAAATCTATATTTCAGTAGTCACATTATTTACATTTTTCATTTATTAATCCTATTAGGAATATTCCCTCCAGGACACAAATAAAGGTGGAACAAAAAAGCAAGACAAATAGGCAACTGTGAAAAAAACCCACCTTATTCAAAGGCCTGCTGTTTCCCCTGGGCACAGCTTATATATCACCTGTGTGCAAATAGGACATCTGACTTGGTGCAGATAGGAGAACATCTGCTGCTCAAATGTCTTTTGAGTATTCCCAGAGACCCCATGAGATACCAGCCAGAGGAGTCTCTTGCTGCAAGGAAAGCTGTAGCCAAGTATATAATTTTTAATCCAGTAATATCAAATTCAACAAAAACTGTCGAGAGCACAAAACATGGTTAGAAAATAGACCAATGGAAGAGCCAGCAGGCATGGGCTGTTTGGTTGGCTGACTGGTGGTAATGAGTGTACAACGGGCTAAACATTGACCTGGATGCATTGGCAACATGGTGAATGCAATCGCCTTCATTTCAGCCCAATGCCTGGCACGTACAAAGTTTGGGATTAATGCTAGGCCATGAGGTCGTCATTGCTGTTTCACCATCTGCTAGAGGAAATGCTCCTCATCCTTCAGGGACCAGCTGTCATGCTGCCTCTTCTGTTAACGCGTCCTTGCATTGGTGCCTTCTCTAAACTCCTGCAAAATCGACCTTACTTTTTTTCCTCCATGTTTTTTAGTCCTTTGCCAATCTGATGTCCCTCACTGGATTGTTAGCTCCATAAAAACTATAATTTCTATTTACCTTTGGTTCTACCCCCACAGCACGGCCCCTGCAGTGACCTGCATCTAGTAAGGGTTACTATAAGTAAGTGATACAATCCCAGAAGTTGACAGTTTCCATATGTTTTTGGTTTGGGTGGTGTATTAGTCCATTTTCACACTGCTATAAAGAACTATCTGAGACTGGGTAATTTTAAAAGAAAAGAGGTTTAATTGACTCACAGTTCCTCATGGCTGGGGGGCACTCAGAAAAGTTACGATCATAGCATAAGGGGAAGCAGGCATGTCTTTACCATGGTGGAGCAGGAGAAGTGGCGGGGCGGCGGCATGGGGGCAGGCGGGGGGAGGCGGGGCATGCCACACACTTTTAAACCATCAGATCTCATAAGAACTCACTCACTATCACAAGAACACCATGGGGGAGATCCACCCCCATGATCCAATCACCTCCCACCAGGCCCCACCTTCAACATGTGCAGATTACTATATATATATATATGGAGTCTCGCTCTGTCTTCCAGGCTGGAGTGCAGTGGTGTGATCTCCGCTCACTGCAACCTCTGCCTCCTGGGTTCAAGCGATTCTCCTGTCTCAGCCTCCCAAGTAGCTGGGATTACAGGTGCCTGCCACCATGCCAGGCTAATTTTTGTATTTTTTGGTAGAGACGGGTTTTCACAATGTTGATCAGGCTGGTCTCAAACTCCTGACCTTAGGTGATCTACCCGACTTGGCCTCCCAAGGAGATTACAACTTCACATGAGATTTGGATGGGGACATAGAGCCAAACCATATCAGGTGATTTCATTCCTGTGTCCTAACTCTTATACTGTAATTTCAGAGAGGGGAGAAGAATGTCATAAACCAGACAGGCATCAGGGAAGGGGGATTCTTTTCCTCACCTGCCTTCATGCTTTAGTTTTCTTGAATTCCAAGACAATGGAAAGAATCTTCACCAATTTTAAAGAATCAAGAAATGAAAAAAGGTGGAGGCATCAGTTTCCAAAGTTATAATTTGTTCATACCTAAGATGAATACTAATTCCTATTCTAACTACCTCACAGGACTCTCCTGAGGCTCAAATAAGATAATGTGTGGACAGAAACTCTTTGCTGGTAGGAAAGATGATATGGGTGTAAAGTATTATTAGCCCTTTAATCTTTCTCGTCTCATAATGGAGAAAATTTTCTAAAGACAAATTGGGAGCTCATTTCAGTCTCTCAGCAGCCTCTTGCTACATGATGTCCATGACAATTACATGCTGCAGAAGAGTGTGGCTGAATCCAAATAAACAGTAGCATGAAATACATTTGTCAGTGCTCTGGCCCTGCTAAAGACAGGTGGAATTCTCCTCCAGGCCCCAGGATTCATCCACTGGCTGAGATGCAGTGGATGAACGGTATAAAAACACGGTAAATGCCACTCTGGGTCAGACCTTTCTTTCATGGATCCAAGTTTTCTGCTCTTACTGTTCCACCAAGGGCCATTCTGTAGGAGGATGTGGCTGTTCCCCGTGATGGTGGAACACAAAGCCTAGAGTAGCCCCTTTGGGACTGAGGGACTCATTGCTCCTGCTCCTGGGAATGATGGCAGCTGGTGGTTCTCCTAATCAGGGCACTAACCTCAGCCTCAGAGTCCCTTACTCAAAGCCACACCCCGTCCCATATCCAATGACTATGGTGTGTCAGTGGTGGGAAAGGAGGCAACAAGACCTGGCTCCCTTGTCTAGGGTGGGACAAGTCTGCAGGGCTGATTTCCCATAGGGTCAGCTGAGTTATCTGATGCCATTTTATTGCTGCTCAACTTCTCCATTTGCCCAGTCCCACGTCCCTTGCCCTTCACAAACATTGTCCCTGCAAACACTGTTTAATAAAACTGAATACTGATCTCTGAGGAACTTCACCTATGACACTTCCCAAACAGTGCATCTGTGGATGGGTTACTGGTCTGTAGGGATATTGATCCGCTAAGCCTTTGGAGAAACTAGGTGGATCCTGCATCAATCCATGTCCCCAAACCAGTTACCTGAGTTGTAAGCGTCATTCGCCCTCTACCCCAGCATGCTACACAAGCATTATTTTCGATGTGCCATGATGAGAACAGGGACCTGTGTAATGTCAGTAATGTGTGGCACACTCAGAAATAAATCCGTTTTAACACAGTATAGTCATCTTTCCAATATCCATCCCTCTTCTTTCTTACTAATGGATCCCTGATTTTTTTTTGCTTCCAGGCAGTAATTTTCCCAGCAAAACAAACAAACAAACAAAACCATTTCGCAGCCTTCTCTGCAGCCAGGGAGAGCCATGTATATAGTTCTTGCTCAGTGGACAGAAGCAGAAATGTGCTGCTCTTCTAAGAAAGGCATCTCCATGTTTTCATGTTGTTCCCTTCTGTATCTTCCTGCCTGGAACAGGGATGGGAGGCTAATGACCAAGAAGATATCCACGTGCTGAGTGGATGCATCTTCTATTGCAGCATTTAAAAATACGCCAAACTTTGGAGGCTTTAAACAAACACTTGTTATCTCAGTTTCGTGGGTCAGGAATAATCATGGGGATTCTGTGCGGTCCCTTGGTTATACAGCACATAACTGTTACAACATGAGAGGAAACTACACCAGGGTATACATCCCAGGAGGCGAGGCTCTTTCGAGGCCTTCTCAGAGGCTGCCTCCCCCAGCCCAGCCTCTGACCCCGAGGAGTCACATCCATCCCACATACAAAATATCGTCATTCTCTCCCAAGGTCTCCAAAGGTCTCATCCCATTACAGCATGAATGCGCAATTAAGAACCTAATCATCTAAGGCAGGTCCGAGTGTGGGGAAGGCATCTCAGGCATGGCTCCTGAAGCACAGCCCTCAGGTACAGTTCTCTGGCAAACCATGCTTCTCCAAAGCCCTATATTTTGTTTCATGACTTACCCATGGATGTATCAAAAGGAAGGGAAAAGAACAATTTGACCATCTGCTATTTCAATTATCTCCCTACCTACCTCCTTATCCACTTGGCCCTAAAACTAGAGAGTGCCTGTATGAGGCTGTGCAAACACACACACACGCACACACACATTCACACATTGTGTGAAGTGGCACTCTTGCCAAATAAGCAAGACAAAGAGGATGACAACCAAGCAGGAATGCCAAAACTGATGTTTTCCTAATGAGAACAACAATGCAATGAGAAACAGAGCTCACGAGTGGCTGACCCAGCAGATGCCCCGTGGAGATACGAACTCTTCTTTAATTCTCCCTTAAGACCCCAAAAGAAGCAGCAAAGGAGCAGAGTGGGGTGGGGAGGGGGAAGGTTGGCCAATTAGGGACTGGGACAGCAAGGGCTGGAACCAGGAAAGGAACCGTGGAGAGTCCTACAGGGCAGCAGTGTGCCTGTCTTGCTTTAACATTCTAAGCAGGCATCTCTCTGATTTCTTGCAATACTGTTTGAAACACTCTCTATGTTCTGCAAAACGAGGGGTATAGAAACACTCCTCAGTGAGCATGTCTTCAGCTGCTGAATTGCCCAAGTGTGATCTGAGGCCCTCCATTCCTATTTAGTTGATGGCACGTCTTTGGCATTTTCATTAATTTCTGATAACTCTCTCAGGAATGGCCAGCTAAGCACTTTCTTCATTGTGCTATCTGTGTGAAAAGTCACATTTAAGGGTTCTCAGAGGATGATTTCAGATACAGATATAAAAGCTATCCCTGAATGCCACTCTGCTGGCTTTGCTGTCGTGCAGATGCTCTCAGAGATTCTATCATTCTTTCCCTATTTTTTGAAGTTCATTCTACAAAATTAACCTTAATAACCAATAGAAACCTTCATGTTTTTTTTTCCCTGCTGAAGGCACTCGACCAGAATTTTAAATCCAACCCTTTCCATCCTGTACTCAGCAGACAGGAGAAATTTAAGAGCCTATAGTCAATAGCTAATATCAATTCCCCTTGGCTAAGAGACACTGTCTGATCTTGGCTCCTTGGTTCCAATCATTTTGCCCTCCCTTATTCCATTTGGCCAAGTCCTTGCCATGAGCCCCAGTCCAGCTAGATCCTAGCCTTGGTTCCAAGGACTTCAGCACATCCAAGAACTGGAGAACATTCTATCCTGCCTGCTCCGAGGATGGATGTCACATTTTTTTAACTCAAATTTCTGAAGATAGATGGTGGCTCCACCTGGTGAGATATTCCCCTGATGCCTACTTGTTTCTGACTTGGCCCTTCTCCTTGCCACGGATCTTCTGGAATCCCAACTGCTCCCAGGTCAAGATAGGTGGGCTTTTGGCCACATTCCTCACTTGTCAGACCACCTATGAGAAACATGGGATTCATGGCTGGAAGGGACTTCAAACACTCTCTAGTCCAACCATTCAAGCATGCCTTGCCTGACAATAAATGCAAATCAATCAAACAACACCTCCGATTCAGAGCCCTCCTTTTCTCATGTTAAATAAGAACAGCTTAAAGTTAAACATTTAAAAGAATTCTTCCTAATTCTAAGGGCCAGGGCTGCATTACAGGTCTCAGGAATGCTATTTTTGAAGTGGTTTTAATAAGTCTGAAGCCTGACTATTATTGTCAGACACACAGAGCCCCGTTTCAGACAGCAAAGAGGTGGCAGAGGATGAGGGGGGACCTCACATACCTCTGATCTTCACAGCAATGGCCTCCCTGAGGCTGGGCATGGAGTCCAGCTGCCTCCTGCCTCCTGATTCAGTCCTTTGGTGAGGCCATCCCTCAGATACTATACATAAGGCTCGTGGTTAAGCAAAGAGGACTACCTTTATGGGTTTCAGTTTTTCAAATTCTGGAGTGATCTGATAGTCTGTGGATTTGAACCATTCTAGCTAAACCTTTAAGACAAAGTATGTCCTTCCTGGACTCATGGTGTATTAGTCCATTCTCATGCTGCTGATAAAGACATACCTGAGTCTGGGTAATTTATATAAAAAAAAGAGGTTTAATGGACTCATAGTGCCCCATGGCTGGGGAGGCCTCACAATCATGGCAGAAGGCTAAAGGCACGTCTTACATGGTGGCTGGCAAGAGAGAATTGACAGCCAAGCAAAAGGGGAAACCCCTTATAAAACCATCAGATCTCATGAGACTTATTCACTACCATGAGAACAGTATGGGGGAAACTGCCCCCATGATTCAATTATCTCCCTCTGGGTCCCTCCCACAACACATGGGAATTATGGGAGCTACAACTGAAGATGAGATTTGGGTGGGGACACAGCAAAACCATATCACATTGTCACCTAAGGAGCTCTGGACAAGCCATAGAAACAGCCTCCCACCTTCAACCAAAGCTGTGGATTTTCTTTGCAAAGCATCCCCTCTCCTAGAGCACTTCTTGTGGGTCCACCCTAGCCAGTTACACTGCTGACCGTGGGTCCTTGCACCAGCCTGGTCGGTATTTTTCTGAAAGTGCACCCTTTCATATAAGCTAGCCCATAGGACACCCTGCCAGGCTGGGTGCCCAAACACATTAGGGAAAGCTGAGGACATGAACTTACTGCTTTTTGTAGATGTAGAGAAGGCCTGACCAAGAAATTCTGGGAGGCCCATGAAGTGTGGCAGATTTGGGGCAAAATGGATTCAGCAGGGACACAACTAATTCAAGAGGTGCCCTGCTAGGGGTTCCAAAGCCTCGATGGGATGTTCTTTGCACCAAAACACCTGCAAGTTCATGGCATACACAGTAACAGTGACAGCCATGCCCAGGCAGAGGAAGAAAGGAAGCAGAATGTGGTTGAGCCACTTGTGGAATATTTATCGAAGCAGGTAGTTTGAAGATAGCTAGCCAAATAGCATCAAACTTCATGTGCTCTACCTAGCCGTTAAGCTAAATGTAACTAAATCCCTGGGAAGGGATAAGGCTCACCCAAGACTTCTCGGAGGGCTTGCAGAGGAGGAGGGTGAAATTGTACCACTCTCAGCTAATGCATCAACTGTCAACACAAAGAGCCCCAATATCTGGGGACCAGAAAATACCAGTGGGACCCCAAGTACAGGGAAGGCTCTGAAGGAAGTCCTGGGAACCACAAGTGAAGCACATCCCTTCCCACACTGGTGCAGGCAGGCACATGAAATCCATAGGAGACATTCAGACTCACAGAACTTACCAGTGAAAAGGCAATTTCAGAGGGAGAAAGCAGCCCTGATTAACGCACTGCAGCCTTTGAGAAGATTAATGCATGGACAGGGAGGAACCAATGAGTGTAATTTATTTAGACTTTCAAAAAGGCTCCATACCAAAGGCTATTTTTAAAAGTCACCGTGGCATCTGGGTTTTAAAGGACTAGTTTTTGAGGTTAATGCCTATGAAGACACCTACATTTTCTTGGTGCCAGAGCCACATGCTGTGGAGGACTGTTGACTTGTGCCCTGCATGGCCCTTTCTAAGCAGATTCTCACCTCCTCCTGCCCCTCAAGAAGTGACCTCTCTCTTCCTTCTTAACTTCCAACTTGTTCCACTTTCTATGCAATATGTAATTGTCTATGCGTGTCTTATCTCTGGAGTAGCCTGGAACCTACCTCAGGACAAGGGCAATGTCATATCCACTTTTGTACCCTACACAATACCTATGACTAGGATTCTATGACTCTAAATTGGAGAAGACTCAGTGATTTTTTTTTTTTTTTTGAGACAAGGTCTCATTCTTTCACACAGGCTGGAACGCAGTGGCACAATCATAGCCCACTGCAGCCTCGACCTCCTGGGCACAAGCAATCCTCCCTCCTCAGCCTCATGAGTAGCTGGCACTACAGGTATGTGTCACCATGCCTGGATAATTTATTACTTGTAGAGATGGGGAGAATTCTTTTATCTTTTTTTTTTTTTTTTTGAGACAGAATCTCACTCTGTCACCTAGGCTGGAGTGCAGTGGCATGATCTTGGCTCACTGCAGTCTCTGCTTCCTGAGTTAAAGTGATTCTTCTGCTTCAGCCTCCTAAGTTGCTGGGACTACAGGCACACACCACCATGCCCAGCTAATTTCTGTACTTTTAGTAGAGACAGGATCTCACCATGTTGGCCAGGCTGTTCTTGAACTCCTGACCTCAGGTGATCTACCTGCGCTGAGGCCATTGTCCCCACCCTTGTCACACACAGCTGCCCTTTCTCCGACCCCCTCTTGCTGAGCGGTCCCACCATGCACTCGCCTGGCAGTGGGCTTGGCTGCCTCCTGCTGGCTCATTGCTCATGGTCAATCCAGTTGGTCAAGTTCTGTGCATTCCTCACCCCAGATGTTCCCACATTTCTTCATCCCCACAGCAGCTGCCTTACCCTGAGCCTCACTGCTGCACCTGTATGACATCTTCAGATCCTGATCAAATTCTTCAAAGATCATGGCCAGTGTGTGTAGGGTTTCCCATGTCCCTGCATCTTTCTAAAAAATATTTTTTTGAGGCAGGGTCTTGTTCTGTTGCCCAGGCTGGAGGGCAGTGGTGCAATCACGGCTCACTGCAGCCTCAGCCTCTGGGCTCAAGTGACCCTCTCACCTTAACCTCCCTACCCCTCCCCACCCCCCAGTAGCTGGAACTACAGGTGCACACCACCATGCCCAGCTAATTTTATTTTTTATTTTTTATTTTGTTTAGTAGAGATGAGGTCTCACTCTGTTGCCCAGGCTGGTCTCTAACTCCTGAGCTCAAGTGGTCTTCCTGCCTCTGCCTCCCCAAGTACTGAAATTACATGCATGAGCCACCACACCTAGCCACACCCTGGCATCTGGATAGCTGTTGTTATCACTCCTATTGCCTTCCACACCTTCTTTCTCTCCCTTCTTCCAGCTTCATCCTGTAGTGAAATCCTACTTGTTAAAATAAATGCCCCCTTCCGCCACAGGGCCTTTGCATCTGCTGCATCCTTCCTTCTGAAACTCTTTCTCTCTTTTTCCTGGTACTCCTTCATATTTAAACTCAGTTAGTTCCCCAGGCTAGATCAAATCCCCCTCCTTTATACTTTTGTCACAATTTGTACTTCTCCATCAAAGCATTTAACACAGTTATAATTTTATATTTATTTGTATCATTATTTGGTTAATGACTTCTAACTCCTCTAGATTGGCCATGTCCAGTTTGGCTCATCTGAATAGGGCTGGCGTAATAGAAACTCCACAGGTATTTTCTATATGAAACAGTATAGAGAAGTGAACAGCAGCAAGTCCCCAACCTGGTCTAGGGGGGTTAGAGAGAGCTGCCCAGAGGAAGTGGTAAATCAGGGACCCTGAAACAAAAGTGGGGAGCAAAAGTGTTCCAGGCAGCAGGTACAGTGTTGGGAAGACTCTGGAGCTAGAAGGCCCAGAGTTTTCAAGCAGAGGTCTCGAAAATAGGACACATGTTTCCCAGTGTGTATACAAGATGGTCCATTAGGAAGCAGGAAGAAAAAAATAGATATGTTTATGCTAAATGTTCAGCTTAACTGAATAAGAAAGCAAGTAAGCTCTGCTACTATATAAGAAACAGGCTAAAACCAGAGGCTTCCTTAGTGCAGGTGTCCCAGAACCATGTGCCATGCAAGGTACATGATGTCTCCTGAAAGAAAAGTGGCCATGCCCCAGTGTGCAGCCAGGGTGTGTCTGTCACCGGAACTCACGGATGATATTACCTACTCTGAACCAGCCCTCACTAAATGCCACACAGCTTAAAGAGTCTCCTGCAAAGAATTCACAGATTGGTGGTAATACTACTAATGGAAGTATAAGTGAACACACATTTTTTTCTGAACTCACACTGTTCCTGCCTTAGACAAGCTCTTTGTCAGCCCATGATGAGATTAAAAATGATTTAATCAGAACTGACAAGAAGTTTGCCAAAAGAATACAAAATTATCACCAATTCTTTTGAAGTACGGCTTTGTATCCTCTGTTGTTAATGTTGAACCTTGTCTTAACCTAGCTTTCCTCATCTGAATATATTAGTTAATGGTGATAATACATGTAGACAGCTTTTTTATTATTTACGTATTTATTTTGAGATAGGGTCTTGCTCTGTCACCCAGGCTGGAGTCTGGTGGCACCATCATAGCTCACTGTAGCCTCAACCTCCCAGGTTCAAGCCATCCTCAAGTCATCCATCCTCCATCTTACTCAAGCCATCCTCCTGAGTAACTGGGACTTACAGGTGCATGCCGCTACACCTGACTAATTTTAAACAATATTTTTTGTAGAAACTGGGTCTCACCATGTTGCCAGGGCTGGTCTTGAACTCCTGGGGTCAAGCAGTCCTCCTGCCTGGGCTTCCCAAAGTGTTGGGATTATAGGCGTGAGCAACTGCACCTGGCAGACAGCTTTTAAGTAAATATATACACCTTGGAGTTTGTATGTTAGCATACATACATGGGAGCCTACATGTTTTCAGCTTGTTTATTTGCTGTTGTTTTCTCATTGAGGTGTGCAGTCAAACTATGGAAACCATTGTATCAGGAACTGAAAGGAGATCAACATGGCAGAACTGGAGAGTGGGAGAAGGCAATGTTGAGAAATTGGACTGGAGAGAGAAGCAGGGTGCATATCTCTATTATAGTATTTATCAGACTACTTATCATTATTCATTTTAAAAGTTCTTACTTGATATCTAGGGTTGACTTATACCCAATAATTTACATATCTGAATATTTTGTGGAGATAATTAATAACCTTCGTACAATTCTCTAAAGTTCTATGTCTTAGTAAACATTATTAATCTAATTAGTGGTCTGGCTCTCCCAACTATGCTGCATTCCTTGCTGTCAAAGAATCTAATTTTTATGATTATCATCATACAAAGTGTGAAATAGGTATGAATTATTGAATGAATTAATGAATGAATGATTTATCTATTGCTTTCTCTTTTGGGCATTGGAAGACAAAAGAACCTCAAAAACTCACATACAGCCAAAAGTTGATTTCTCTTTTTTGTAATAAGAGTTTCATGGGCTTCATTTAATGTACACTCACATAGTACCTTCTATATCCCAGACACTAGTCATCCTGTCCTCATAAAAAACCTAGGAGTAGGCACTATCATTGTCCTATTTCCAGATGGCAAAGCTGAGGTGTGGCTTGATGAGGCCATATAGCTGTAAGTGGCCAAGGCAAGAGTCAAATGCAGGCAGCCTAGCTGCAGAGTGTGCTTGTAACCAGCACATCATGGCAAGACCTGCATGTCAGCTCACACAGTTACAGGGTTGGTGTCATCAGAAGGTGCTCAGTGTAACCCGACAGCAAAATGCCCGCCATAACCTTCCTTACCCCTCAGCAAAGACTACCCTTCAAAAGCAAATAGGGAAAAGCCAACTGAGATTCAAAGGCCTTGGCTTCACATGGCTACAAACGATAGGGCTCAAGTGAAGAGCTCAACTTGACAAAATAGCAAACTGCTCACAGAGCCATGACACTATATTTAATATTTTATTATGGAAATTATCACATTCCAGAGTGTAGAGAAAATATAATGAACCTCCAACAATTATTAACACATGGCACATCATTTTCATCCACAAGCTTACTCCTCCATTTTGTCTTTGTTTTTTGTTGTTGTTTTGTTTTGGCTCCTTTGAGACAGAGTCTCACTCTGTCACCGAGGCCAGAGT
Organism: Homo sapiens; assembly: GCF_000001405.40. NCBI lineage: Eukaryota > Metazoa > Chordata > Mammalia > Primates > Hominidae > Homo > Homo sapiens. The sequence goes on along the minus strand of NC_000007.14, from coordinate 134,400,523 downwards.
GCAGTGGCACAGTCTCAGCTCACTGCAACCTCTGCCTCTCAGGTTCAAGTGATTCTTATGCTTCAGCCTCCCAAGTAGCTAGGATTACAGGCACGCACCACCATGCTGGGCTAATTTTTGTATTTTTAATAGAGATGGGGGTTTCACCACATTGGCCAGGCTGGTCTCAAACTCCTGACCTCAAGTGATCCTCCCACCTCGGCCTCCCAAAGTGCTCGGATTACAGGCATGAGCCACCGTGCCCAGCCCCATTGTTATTTTTAAGTAACCTCCTGATCCCACATGATTTCCTAATGGGACTTAAAAATATTGTATTACCCACTTAGAAACTATCTAGGCTTGACGTCAGAAGACTTGAATTTGAGTCTTGCCTCTACAATTTTCCAGCTTTCTGTCCTTAAGCAAGTATTTCTCTGAGCCTTAGTTGCAACATCTATAAATTATGGATGGTAATACTTGTTTCACCATATGGTTTTGAGGATTAGATAAGTCAACATGAGTGAGAGTGACATTTAAACTTTAAGGTCCTCATTGAACCTCAGCACAACCCTACTTCTATTTTGCCCGACCACAAGGACTGTCATGGTTCATTTTATGTGCCAGCTTGGCTAGACTATGGTGACCACTTGTTTGGTCAAAGACCAGTCTAGATGTTCCTGTAAAGTTATTTTCTAGATTATATTATTATTTACAATTAGTTTAAGTAAAGCAGATTGCCCTCCATAATATAAGTGGGCTTCATCCAATCAGTTGAAGGTCTTCAGAATGAATACAGATTTCCCAAAGAAGAAAGAATTCTGCCTCCAGGCTGTAACATAGAAATTCTGCCTGGGTTTCCAGCCTGAGGACTCAAGGCTGCAACATCTACTCTTCCCCGCATCTTTCATACCTGCCATTTGCCCTACAGATTTTGGACTTACTAGCCCCCACTATTGTTTGGCTTCAGGTTGAGATAGGTCAGCAGGAGTCAGCAGGTGATTGCAGGGTGGAGGGAGAGAGAGGTTGGGGTATTTCTTCCCATGGCTTTTTCCTGGTAGGTTGGCTCAGGCTTCTTGGCCCATCTACCAAGGTGGTCCTCTCACTCCCCAGGACTCGTAGTGCTTCCTCCCCTCCCCTCCAGGTGATGGGGTCATGATGCTCTCCCTATGTTATTTGCCAGCCCTCTGCACATCCCTTGTGTTTTCCTTACATCACACGGTGCCTACACCTTTGCAAATAGTCTCTTTATTGAACGCTTCTCAATTACCCAGCTCGAGAGTGCCATCTGTTTCCTATTGGGACCCCAAGTGATACAGATGCTAGATAAAACAATTTAACAGAGAATCCCTACTAGGTGGATGAAACAGAGTCACTAAGAATTCCATTTGGAATACTTTAGGTGCTCATCAGTATCAGTTTTCCTGAGTCCCCAAACTGTCATGTTCCCAGTTCTCCAGCTCTCTGGGAAACAGCTAATGCCTCCCCAAAGCCCTCCACCTCCCCTTCCAAGGCATCCCCAGCTGGGTGCTGAAATCACTCAGAGCCCTCAAGTTTACCCTTGACCATGACCCTGAGTTTATAACCGTCTTGGTGGCTGGGGGGTGGGGGGACCCCTTCCCCTTGCCCATAGCATCACTGATTTCCTTCTTTCTGTGCCAACCCCCAGCAGCCCTTCCCAGTCCACAGAGCCTCGTTGTTTCTGGGGACTGGCCAGCCCACCACCTTGGAAGCCAGCTCAGACCCAGTCTTCAGTTCCCAGATCGCGCCTCCCCTGCCCGTACACCCTCACATACACATGGAAAAATACTTTGGTTATTTAGGTTGCTATGATCACTTTTATTTTAAATGTAGTGATTCACAGTTATGGCCCTTTCTGCAGCACTACGCAGTTAATTTCCACCCAGAGCTAATTGTATATCCTTTCATTTTCCCCACTACTTCCCCACGGTGGTTCCCACCAACACTTGCTCCCATAAATGTGTATAACTCCACTCCAGATATTAGCAGTGTGTTTTGAAAAACACATCAAATTTTACCAGGAATCTGATATCATATTCAAAGCTAGTCCCAGCCTTTCCTTCTTCGGCAGCTTACTTTGGAAGCTGCAAAAAAAAATCCCTTCTTGTTTATAAAAAGTTAAAATAAAAAAAAAAAAACTTGACCTTGATTTACTAACACAACAGTGTGTGGAAAGTTTGCTTTAAATAATTAAAAATACTAATAAGCCACAAAGCAGCCCTTCTACTCTGCTATGGCGAGATATGTTCATTTTAACGAGACAGTGATACAGTATAGTGATTTTGATGTTCCCCTGATTTCATTAAAATGGGATTATGTGTGGGTGGGCGTGTGTAGCCATAAGTACAAACTCAAAGACCAAAAAGTAGAAAAGCTGTTTGAAAGTTAATTAAAATGACCTTCAGGATTTGGGGACAGCAAGAGAGTAAACACCATCTCCCAGCTGGCCACCCTCTCCCTGCCACGGGCATGCGGTTTGGAGTCAACCTATTGCTGCTTTTGGAGTTTATAACTCAGCTGGTTAATGATCTGGTCTGTGGACATGAATACTACCAGCCCCAGAGTCATCAGCCAGCTGGAGCCCCTTTGACATCTTCCCCCATCTCCCTGAGGCCATGGCACCTTAAAATAGGGGCCCCTCCCTGAGTAAATCCATTCACCTTATGTGACCAAAGGATTTTCTACTCAGTCATGGTGAGAAGCAGCCTGGGACAAGGCTGAGAGTCGCTGGGGACGAGGACTGCTAGGGACCGCAACTGCTGGGGACCACAGCAGGGACCTGGGCATCCAGGCCAGCCTGACCTCCTCCCACGATGAGTTCTGAAGCCCCACAGCACGCCTGACACCTCCAACAGGCCTGGCCTCCACCTGGACTGACCTCCACTTGGACTGACCTCCACCTGGACTGACTTCTACCTGGTCTAATACCCACCTGGCTTCACTCCTTCCCTGGCTTCACCTCCCACCTAAAAGAAAGGTCCACTCCATCCCCAAAGCTTTTAAGAGAAACGTAACTTCTCTTTTTCCTCATTAGCCATCAGCACCCCCACTTGGGAACCACTTAGAAAGAATAGGTGAAAAATAAAGAAGTTCACCTTGGCTGGGCTCAGTGGCTCATGCCTGTAATCCCAGCACTTTGGGAGGCTGAGGCAGGTGGATCACTTAAGGTCAGGAGTTCAAGACCATCCTGGCCAAAATGGTGAAACCCCGTCTCTACTAAAAATACAAAAAAATTCGCTGGGCATAGTGGCACACGCCTGTAGTTTCAGCCACTTGGGAGGCTGAGGCAGGAGAATCACTTGAACCCAAGAGGCACAGGTTGCAGTGAGTCAAGATCGTGCCATTACACTCCAGCCTGGGCAACAAGAATGAAACTCCATCTCAAAACAAAACAAAACAAAAAAAAGAAATTCTCCTCTCCTGGGCACCTCTCACAGTCTGGCTCCCTAAACCCTCCCGGCTAATCATCCTCCTCTCTGCACTTACCCCACCATTCCCTTCAAACCTACTTAGAGAGAGGGTATCACATGGCCAAAGGAAATAAAGACGTTTGCCATCGACCTCTTTGCCTCCCACATTTTCTCTCTGCAATTGAGCAGCATGGCTGTGTGGTGAGGGGGTCCGTGGGAAGATTCAGGTCTCTCTTGCTAGTCTGTCTTCAGCACGCCTTGGGAAGAGCCTAGGCTTCAGGGGCAAGCAGCCCTGGACACCTTCATTACCCGGCGACCCTGAGACATTATGTAACCTTGCTGGGTCTGTAGCTCCTCATTTATCAAGTAGGGACAACAATAGGTCCTAAGAATGGGATAATTCTGAGGATTAAAAGTAATTGGGGTCTCTGTCTCCAATTCTAATAGCTTGGAGTGGCAGGGAAGGGAGTGGCATGGGATGGCACAGAATGGAATGGAATGGAAGAGAACACTGGGACGGAAGTGGAGTTCCCATTGGAAACTACACAGATTTGGTTACTGGCAGCTGGCCGCGTGCTGAGGTTCTTCCAATCCTGGAGAGGCCCCTCTTTAAAGAGGGAAGGAATGATATTGCACAGGTCAGAGGAAGCGGGAGTTGAGGTCAGTTTTGCTTCCATTCCCAGGAGCTCCTGAATTAAAAATTCTGAGGTAGGTCTTCAATAACACAACAACACAACGTTATCAACCTCAATCACGACAAGGGCACAGATTTGACATTTTCTTTGGAAGCTCATAGTTATGTGCCAATTGTGACTATAGAAGTCACAAGACTGGGCGAGTGGGAAACCCTTGCCTGGAAACGAAGAAGTAGTCAAAGTGGCTTCACTGAAATACTCCCTGACTCCCAGCACCTCTCACAAGTGCAGTGTGCTCCCTAGAGTTTCAGTTCCCCCAGCTGCATGGGGAGCCAATCTCTTCTTTTAAATAGTTGAGAATGTTAAATGAGACATGATCTTGATTCTGGGCTCGGCTGTGAAGGTTTTCCCCACCAAGTCCAGAGGACTTGGATCAGGTCTCCTAGTTGCACTCTTAATCCCACTGCAGCCTATTCTTCTCACAATGGTGAGATGAATCTTTTAAACAATAAATCAGATGGTGTAACTCCTCTCCTATGATCTCCCAGGGGCTCCCTATCTCACTCGGGGTAAAATTTCAAGTCTTTCCGGTGACCTACAAGGTGTTCCATGACTTACCCTCCCGCTCCCCCACCCCTCACTGTCTCTTTAAACACATACCAACCACAGGGCCCTTGCACTTCCCTTTCTTGGCCTGGGAGTTTTTGTCACCACATGTTCATGGGACTTGCTCTGTCACTTTTAAAACTCTTCTCAAATATCAACTCATCAGTAAGAGCTCCCTAATCTCCTAAAGAGTAAAATAGTTCATGCACGTGCATGCCCACACACACACACACCACACCATTACTTTCCATAGTGTTATACTGCTTTATTTTTCTTCATACCACACATTACTACCTGACATAATACACATTTTTTAAAGCAATAGACTTTATTTTTTAGAACAACTTTAGGTTTACAGAAAAATTGGCAGAAAGTACAGAGTTCCCATATAGCCCATTGTCCAACACATGTACAGTTTCCCTATTATTAACATCTTGCATTTATGTGGTACATTGTTAGAACTGATGAACCAATATTTGATACATTTTTATTTTTTTTTAGACTGAGGCTGGCTCTGTCGCCCAGGCTGGAGTGCAGTAGCATGATGTCGGCTCACTGCAACCTCCGCCTCCTGGGTTCAAGCAATTCTCCTGCCTCAGCCTCCCAAGTAGCTGGGATTACAGGCACCCGCCACCATGCCCAGCTAATTTTTGTATTTTTAGTAGAGATGGGGTTTCACCATATTGGTCAGTCTGGTCTCAAACTCCTGACCTCAGGTGATCCACCCACCTCGGCTTCCCAAAGTGCTGGGATTACAGGTGTGAGCCACCACGCCCAGCCTGATACGTTATTATTAACTAAAATCATAGTTTACATTCCAGTTCACTCATTGTGTTGTATAGTTCTATGGGTTTTGACAAATGCATAATGTCATGTATCTGCCATTACAATATTATTCACTGCCCTAATAATCCTTGGGCTCTCTGCCCTTCCGTCCTTCCTTCCTCCTCCTCAATCCTTTGCAACCACTGACCTTTTTATTAATGCTATAGTTTTGCCTTTTCCAGAGTGTCACATAGTTGGAATCATACATGTAGCCTTTTCAAATTGGCATTTTTCATTTAGCAGTAGGCATTTAAGGTACCTCCGTGTCTTTTTGTGGCTTCATAGCTCAATTCTTTCATTGCTAAATAATATTCCATTGTATAGATGCACCACAGTTTCTTTATCCATTCATTTATTGAAGGATACTGTGGTTTCTTCTAATTTTTGGTAGTTATAAACATTCATTTATAAGTTTGTGTGTAGACATGAATTTTAAACTCGTTTAGTTAAATACCAAGGAGCATGTTTGGTAGATTACATGGTAAGAATATGGACAGTTTTGTAAGAAACTGTCAAACTGCCTTCCAAAGTGGCTGTACCATTTTGCATTCCCACCAGCAGTGCATGAGAGTTCCTATTGCCTCATATATTTGCCAGCATTTGGTGGTGTCAACGTTCTGGATTTTACCCTTTCTAATAGGTGTGTGGTGATATCTCACTGTTGTTTTAATTTACAGTTCCCTTGGAACTCAGCCTACCAGCGGCCCAGAGAAATTAACATTCCTTTGCCATTAACTGTGTGTTGTTGATCTCTGCATGTTCAGGGCCAGGCGAAGTATTTTAGGGACGGAGTAGGTGCACAGTGATTGCATGTGGAATGAGTTGCAGTGGTGTGGAATGTGATAGAATGCAGTGGCAGGGAAGGGAGTGGCATGGAATGGCACAGAATGGAATGAAATGGAAGAGAACACTGGGACAGAAGTGGAGTTCCCACTGGAAACTACACAGATTTGGTTACTGGCAGCTGGCCACATGCCGAGGTTCTTCCAATCCTGGAGAGGCCCCTCTTTAAAGAGGAAGGGAATGATATTTCAAATGTCAGAGGAAATGGTGGTTGGGGTTAGTTTTGCTTCCATTCCTAGGAATTTCTGAACAATTCTGTATTTCCTAAGCAGCATCCACCATGGGCTGCAGACTTGTCTGAGCTCATCCTGGGTCCTGATGCAGCACATCCCCTTGGCATCAGTTTGCATAAGTGAGGACCCAGTAGGCTGCACAGGTCTGATTCAAAGACAAGAGACTTAGTCCCAATGTACTGATGGCAATTAGGGTCTCTGTCTCCTCTTCTTTTTCTATGTCTGTGGCCTCTGTTTTGCCCATAGTCAGCTTCTACACAAATTCAAACCCACTTATTGTTTTCCATAAGAAATCAAATCAAACCAAGAATAGTTTTTAATGATATTAGTGAAGATGAATCACATTGGGCAACACATGAGCTCCCACTACCTTGTTAGCTTATTCTTCCCTTTTACTGTCCCTTTTCCTTCCCTAAGATAAAATAAAAACACAAATAAATAAAGTTCGTTCTCTTTTCTTCTTATACAGAATAGTTTTGACTATGTCTTAGAAACCTTGGCACCAGAGAACAGCCATGCTTCAAAGGAATTGACTACACAAGTGAGCTTATCAAGACATTTTCCTCCAAAAGGCAAGTCTCTTCCTAAGATAAAGTTTTATACCAGCTACTAAGGGGATAGCAATTTTTTTTCATCTCATTGTGCCTGGAAATTGCAGCTGAGAATAAGGCATCTGTCACAAAGACCATCTCCTGGTCCAGACCCCAGGTGCTTGTGGCTGAGTTCTGCAATAAAAGAGCAAGTCAAATCTCAGAGAGCTTTTTCATTGCTATCTCCGCAGGGCTCTGAGAACACAGGCACCCATACATTGGTCCCAGCAGCTTTGCAATGGTGGGTGATAGTGCCAGAGGCTTCAGAAGTGCACATAATGACTCCTGGCTCAGACATCTAGGCCTTCAAATCAGACATCAGGCTGGTGACCTAGGTGAAGGGTCCATGCCTAGATGATGCTTTTGGAGTTGGCTCAATCTGGCATCAGCCAATGAACAGGAAAAGGAAGACTACAGATGCCACTGCATAGCCAAGAGAACTAATGCATAGAATTCATATGAGACACCCTCACCTCTGGGGCACCTTGAATGCTCTGAAAGGAATTTGAGTATGAAAGAGATTAACTACCCTACATTCTGAGCAGATGATAGCTGGGTGACCTAACAGGGGACTCTGCATCAGATTTCTATGCCAACTGGGAAAAAAATTTTCATTGTATGGAAAATCTTTCCGTACAATGAAAGATGCTCTGTCAGTTTGTCTTCCATAGCACATGGCAGTGTGGCTTGTCTTGCTCAAGATTATTTAATAATAACCTCAAAGTGTGCAGGAAAGACAGCTTGGTTAACCTGGCCCTCACTTCTCTTCTCTAGTGCTCTCCTGTCTTCCTTTCCATGTCCTCTCTGGGAGACACAGATACATGGACAATGTTACACAGGTGTGTTTTGCTGATCCAAGAAAGGGCAGAGACTGCTCCATCTCTGGTACAGATACTCCCACCTTTCCATAACAACTTCTTTAACCCCCAGGCCTTTCCCAGATATTCCGGGCCTCCCAGGCAACTCAGTGAATACACATAAGCTAAGATCTCAGTGCCTTCGGATAACTCATGCTAGAATCCAATCTTGTAAAGTTAAAAGGCCTGTTCCTATAAATCTCAGAGCAAGCCAGTGGCTTTATAGCTTGCTACATAGTTTAATCATTTTTACGATGTGTGAGCTAGAGCCCATTCTCCCATCTACTCTGCACTCGTTGTATTGTCATCAATATCCTTCCAATCTCCTTAAGTTGTAAATAGATGAGCCACAAATTGGGGGAGTTGAGAGGTATACTGAAAGAGAGTTGAGAGTTCAGTGCTCTTGAAAGCTTTACTTGATGTCAATACTAATTTGTTTTATCTAGTGATCTGCATGGGAATAAGCATAAAGGGAAAAGGGAAGTTTGTGTTAATGGTGATAACTTATACTTGAGTTCATGGGGACCGGCAGCTTCCATAGAGACCCTTTTGTCTATGATGGGATTCTAGGTTGTTTTTTCTCTCCCAGGACTCTGGGTTGTGTAAGCATTACCTCCAGCCAGAGGCAGCCAGATGCAGAAGGTCCTCTGACCTCACGCCCTCTGCCTCCTCAGCCCCATAACTGCTGCTTCCTCCCTAGCACACAGAAATGAGTTTCTCATCAGCTTCTCAAAGGCTGTGTGTTTTGACCTCAGCATCTTTTCTTTCTCCCAAAGCGGAATGCCTTTTTCTGGACCATCCACTCCACCTGCCTTCTCTTCTCCACACCAAACTTCTGTGGATTTTCTCTTCTGTGGGTTCCTCAGTACTTTAAACCAGCACCAGTATCTGTAGTTTTCCCTCATGCTATGTGATATAGTTTGGATCTGTGGTCCCTACCCAATCTCATGTTGAATTGTAACTCCCAATGTTGGAGGTGGGGCCTTTGGGAGGTGATTGGATCATGGGGGTTGATTTCTCATGAATGGTTTAGCACCATTCCCCTTGGTGCTCTTCTCGTGATAGTGAGGACTTCTCACGAGATTTGGTTGTTTCAAAGTGTGGCACTTCCTCCCCACCTTGCTCCCGCTTACACCACGTGACATGCCGCTCCCCTTTTACCTTCTGCTATGATTGTAAGCTTCCTGAGGAGCCCCCCAGAAGCCGAGCAGATGCCAGCATCGTGCTCCCTGTACAACCTGCAGAACTGTGAGCCAGTTAAACCTCTTTTCTTTATAAATTACCCAGTCTCAGGTATTTCTTTATAGCAATAGGAGAATATAAATTACCCAGTCTCAGGTATTTCTTTATATCATGAGAGAACAGCCTAATCACTGTGCATCCTGTAATTTTAAATCGTTTTATTCTTATATTATTTCTCTTTTTCTCACACATGGTAAAAACATCACTACCCAAATACTTCAATTGTTAGTATTCCGTTTTTCCTACACAGTTACCCACTTCCTATTTCATTTTCTACTACCCTGTGATGAAAACCTTGGATTTATAGTGACCACACTCTCTTTGTACCAAATAATACTGGCCACCATTTGTTTAGGTATTTGTAACCTCTAATATTGAGATGAGAAAATTGGGAAACAGAGTGTGTAAGAAACTTGCCTAGCATTATCCTGCTGGTAAGTGGTGGGGGGTGAGACTTAATTCATGATCTTGTTGAAGAGTCAGCTTGAGAAGTCAGCTCATTCTCTTCATCCAAGACCTGGCTATGGGACTGAGTATTTGGAATCAGTCCTGACACCAATATTTGATTCCTGTACTACTCCTCTTAGAATGCTAGACTGCCTATCCTTCTACATAATAATTTGTTTTGGTGGAGGGACAGCCCTTATGCACTCTGCTCCATCTTTATCCTGCTATTCTCGGGTGTCCTGGGCCTAATCAGCCCCAGCCAACAATCTCCCCATCATCAAAACTCCCATTCCTTTCTTCAGAATTCAGATAGAGGAACTAGATTTGTTTTTAGACCCAAAGCATAGCACAAACCCATACTTAGAATCATTCTAGCAGTTACTTTATAAAGTTGTTTGCAAATGGTAGCAGTGTTTCTCCTTGACCAACAAAGTTAAAATTTGAACATGACCTTCCCAAACTTCCAAAACTGAGAATGAGAGAAACCTATGGATTGAAATAATAAAAAGGATTTGTAATGGTTAATGCATGCCAAGTTACTTTAATGATTAAAAGAGATATTTTTGAAATAAATATCAAAACTCAATAAATACACACAATGTTATTAATACTTGCATAATATTCAAATAAATTTTTATTTTCGTTGGTTTTCTGGGCTCATATTGGAGGCCACAAAAGGAATTTATTCTCAACCTGTACTTCTGTTATTTGATTTAAAGGTCTGTGCACCAAAGAGGCAAAAAGGTTTAGAGCTGGGGAGGGGCAAGTGTGAATTCCAGATTGATGGCAATTAGTATTTCAATAGGTATCAGGTCGACTAAGGTTCTTTTTATTTTGATGTCAGTTTGCTCTCAAAATAAATTTTCTTCTGAATCTAGACTATTTAGATGAATTTAATATGATGAGAATGTTTTCAACATGTTCTTAGCTATTCTCACCTATTCTCCAGAAAAACCTTATAATTATATTGCCAGGTTCCAAAAAAAAAAAAAAAAAAAAAAACCCCAGTCTCATCAGAATATTGATTGCATTTTGAAAAATGAATAAACTAAGTTGAGAAGAACTGACATTTTTACAGCATTCAGTTTTGTTATACACAGCCTAGGCCTCCACATTTTTAAAACTTAAATTTATAAGTAGTGAGTGTATTTTGCTGTTTTACCTCCCAAATTATGCTATTTTTCTGCTGGCTTTAATTTTAAGTGATTTCTGCTTTTACTCCTGCCATTTTGTTTCTTCCATTTTTTTTCTTTTTTAGATTTGTTTTATTCTTACTATTTTCCTCTTCCAAAATAAGAAAGCTGTTGAAGTCTGTGAGTTTGCCTATTAGCAGAACTTTGGCTGCCTTCCATTAGACTTCATATATAGTGATTTGTTTTACTTTCTCCTTGTTTTGTAATTATAGTTGTGATATTCTGTTTGATTTAATGGCAGTCTGAGAACTTTCATAAATTTATTTTATTTTCTTTCTTTCTTTCTTTCTTTATTTTTTGAGACAGAGTCTCTCACTCTGTCGCCCAGGCTGGAGTGCAGTGGCACAATGTCGGCTCACTGCAACCTCCACATCCCAGATTCAAGTGATTCTTGTGCCTCAGCCTCTCGAGAAGCTGAGACTACAGGTACCCACCACCATGCCCGGCTAATTTTTGTATTTTTAGTAAAGACGGGGTTTTGTCATGTTGGCCAAGCTGGTCTCGAACTCCTGATCTCAGGAGATCCACCTGCCTCAGCCTCCCAAAGTGCTGGGATTACAGGCATGAGCCACTGTGCCCAGCCTAAATTTTACCTTAATCAATTGGAATTTTTATTACTTGAGAGAGTTTTATTATTTTTGAACTTTTATTATTTGAAGGATAGAGAACGTGACCAAAAAATAATACTGACAATAATAATACCAGTAGCTAAAATGTATTGACTGCTTACTATGTGCCAACCACTATGATAAGCTCCGTAAGTGCTCATTTACTTCTGACAGCCCCCATAGACAGCAGCTATTAGTAAATATTCACCTTTTACAGATTAAGAAACTAAGTTTCAGTTGGTAAACAGATGTGCCTTTAAACTTCTGCATTTTTTTTTCAGTTCTCAGAATAATTTCCCCTCATTTGAATGTATGGAGGTTATCATTGGGCCAGTATTTATGATCAGCTTTGGTGATGCTCCGTAGATGCTTGCTCAGAACTCTGTTTACAGTGACCAACTTCGAAGTAGATCTATTCATTAACATTCTATTTGCCCTTATTTCTGTTGCCAACTTCATCACGGACTGAGAGTCTCAATGATTGTGTTTCTATCAGTTTCTCTGGATTGTGTCTGAAATGAATAAGCCTTTCATATTGAGTAGAGATGTGTCACATCATTGAGCCTATTTTTCACAGCTTCGTTATCCTTTACTGCCTCCAAACTAATTTTTTTTTTAAGACAGCATCTCACTCTGTCAGCCAAGCTGGAATGCAATTGTGTGATCATGGCTCACTGCAGCCTCAACTTCCTGGGCTTAAGAGGTCCTTCCACCACAGTCTTTAGAAAATCTCTTTGCCTTTTAGTTTCCATGCAAGCCCTTCTTATTTCCACTATCTCCATTCTCATCTCATCTGTTGCCTTTACATCTCAGTTTCCTCTCTCATTATTTTACCCTGTTTCGTGGTAGAGGCCTTGTCTTCTTTCATTCTACCAACAATGTCAAATCACCCTCCAAAATTTTCCTCTGATTTCAGAAAGCTGCTCTCCCACCAAGCCGTGGACATTATGTCCCTCTTACTCCCCCTGTTCTCTCTCTTTCTTTCTGTTTATTATTTGTGCCTGCTGAAAGACAGGGCATGAGAGTATCCTTGGCCTTAGGCTTTTAACCAATTGGGTGCTGGTCAGATTCCCTTTTCAGCTCTGTGTTGTGCTTGTGAGTTAATGTGCATAACTCCTACCCTAATTCCTAGTTTTTTCAGGAATTTTGTATTTAATGTTGCTGAACAGAGATGGGAGCTTTGATTTCACCACTGCTTGACTTTCTGATTCTCTGACTAATGTGAACAGTAAAAGACAATCCACACATACATGATGAACAGAGCTCCTCCTGTCTCGACCTTGGTTTCCAACAATTTGTCTCAAATATGAATTCAGAAGTCCATGAGTTCTACAAGAATTTTTAAATTCTATTCTTTTATTTTTATGGAAAATCTAAAAAAATTTATTGCTACAGGCATACCTTGGAGATTTTGTAGGTTCTGTTCCAGACTACGATAAGAAAGCAAATATCACAATAAAGCAAGTCACACAAATTGTTTGGCTTCCCTGTGCATGCATATAAATGTTATGTTTGCACTATACTGTAGTCCGTTAAGTGCACAATAACATTGTATCTAAAAACTGTACATACGTTAATTAAAATACTTTATTGCTAAAAAATGTCAAGAATCATCTGAGCCTTCTGTGAGTCATAATCTTTTTGCTCTGGAAGGTCTTACCTAGATGTCGATGGCTGCTGACTGAAAAGCGTGGTGGTTGCTGTAAATTGGGATGTTTGTGGCAATTTCTTAAAATAAGCCAACGATGAAGTTTGCTGCATTGATTTGCTCTTTCTGTCATGAAAGATTGCTCTCTAGCATGTTGTGCTGTTTGACAGCATTTTACCAATCGTAGAACTTCTTTCAGAATTGAAATCAGTCTTCTCAAACCCTGCCATTGTTTGATCAAATAAGTTTATGAATATTCTAAATCCTTTGTGGTCATTTCAACAGTGCTCACAATGTTTCCATTAGGTTGGTCCAAAAGTAATTGTTGTTTTTGCCATAAAAGTAATGGCAAAAACCGCAATTACTTTTGGACCAACCTAATAGTTCACCAGGAGTAGATTCCATCTCAAGAAATTGCTTTCATTGCTCATTCATAAAAAGCAACTCTTCATCCATTCAAATTTTATTATGAGATTGCAGCATTTCAATCACTTTTTTAGGCTCCACTTCTAATTCTAGTTCATTTGCTATTTCCACTACATCTGCAGTGACTTCCTTCATTGAAGTCTTGAATCTCTCGAAGTTGGAATCAAATTCTTGCAAATTCTTGTTTATGTTGACCTTTTTGACCTCCTCCTGTGAATTACAAGTGCTCTTAATGGTAGCTAGAATGGTGAATCCTTTCCAGAAGGTTTTTAATTTACTTTGCCCAGATCCATTAAAGAAATACTATCTATGCCAACTACAGCCTTATGAAATGTGTTTCTTAAAGAATAAAATTTGAAAGTGAAAATGACTTCTCAATCCATGGGCTGCAGAATGCCTGTTGTGTTAGCGGGCATGAAAACAACATTAATGCCTTTCTGCATTTTAATCAGAGCTCTCGGGTGACTAGCTGCATTGTCAATGAGCAGTAATATTGAAAAGAATCTTTTTTTTTTTCCTGAGCAGTAGGTCTCAACAGTGGGCTTAAAATATTCAGTAAACCATGCTATAAACATACATGATATCATCCAGACCTTGTTGCTTCACTATAGAGCACAGGCAGAGTAGATTTAGCATAATTCTTAAGGGTCCTAGGATTTTCAGAATGGTCAGTGAGCACTGGCTTCAACTTCAACTAAAGTCAGCACCTGAATTAGTGCCCGACGAAAGAGTCAGCCTATTTTTTTGTAAGTCTGAAGGTAGGGATTGACTCCTTGTCTCTAGTCATGAAAGTCCTAGATGACATCTTCTTCCAATAGAAGGCTGTTTCACCTGCATTGAAACTCTGTTGTTTAGTGTAGTCACCTCCATTAATGATCTTAGCTAGATCTCCTGGATCACTTGCTGTAGCTTCTAGGTCAGCACTTGCTGTTTCACCTTGCACTTTTATGTTATGGAGACGGCTTCTTTTCTCAAACCTCATGAACCAACCTCTGCTATCTTGAAAGTTTTCTTCTGCAGCTTCCTCACCTCTATCAGCCATCATAGAATTGAAAAGAGTTAGGGCCTTGCTCTGGATTCGGTTTTGGCTTAAAGAAATGTTGTGGCTGGTTTGATCATCTATGCAAACCACTCAAACTTTCTCCCTCTCAACAATAAGGCTGTTTCACTTTCTTGCCATTTGTGTGTTTACTGGAGTAGCACTTACAAATTCCTCCAAAAATTTTCCTTTGCATTCATAATTTGGCTAGTTATTTGGTACAAGAGGCCTAGCTCTTTTTTTTTTCTTTCTTTTTTGAGACAGAGTCTCACTCTGTCACCCAGGCTGGAGTGCAGTGGCATGATCTTGGCTCACTGCAACCTTTGACTCCCTGGTACAAGCGATTCTCCTACCTCAGCCTCCCGAATAACTGGGATTACTGGCATGTGCCACCATGCCCAGCTAATTTTTGTATTTTTAGTACAGACAGGGTTTCACCATGTTGGCCAGGATGGTCTCAATCTCTTGATCTTGTGATCCACCCGCCTCGGCCTCCCAAACTGCTGGGATTACAGGTGTGAGCCACTACACCCAGCCAAGAGGCCTAGCTTTTAGCCAATCTTGGCTTTCGACATGCCTTCCTCACTAAGCTTAATCATTCCTCACTTTCGACTTAAAGTAAGAGATGTGCGATCTTGCTTTCACTTGAACACTTAGAAACTATTGTGGAGTTATTAAATGGCCTCATTTGAATATTGTTGTGTCTCAGGGAATAGGAAGGCCTGAGGAGAGAGAGAGAGAGTCAGGGAACAGCCGGTCAGTGGAGCAGTCAGAACACACACATTTATCAGTTAAGTTTGCTGTCTTACATGGGCACAGTCCATGGCACCTAAAACAATTACCATAGTGACACCAAAGATCACTCATCACAAATCACCCTCACAGATCTAATAATAATGGAAAAAGTTTGAAACATTTTGAGAATTATTAAAATATTATATGGAGACCCAAAGTGAGCACATGCTGCTGGAAAACTGGCGCCGACTGACTTGCCTAACATAGCATAGGCACAAACCTTCAATTTATAAACAATGCAGTATCTGTGGAACACAATAAAACAAGGCACAATGAAATGAGGTGAGCCTGTGTAAAGATTAATTTCTGCTGCAGTGATGATTTATAGTTGAAAGTTTTGTGCATAGAATCAGATATCATTTTTAGGTCAGTTTTTAAAAATGTCATGATTAATTATTAGCATAATTAGCAAAATTGGGTTAAATTATAGTATTTGATACATTATTACATTTCCTGATTTTGATGTTTATTGTTGTTATAGAAGAGAAAGTTCTTGTTTTTAGGAAATAGACATTGGAATATTTGTGAATAGGAATAAAGGCATGATGTCTGCAAACTACTATCAGACGGTTCAGTGAATGAGTGTGTGTGTACATAGAAGATTGATAGATGAGCAAACGAGACAAAATATCAACAACTGTGTTAACAATTGGTAAATCTCAGAAAAGGTTACATAGATGTTATTTGTATATCTTGTAACTTTTTTGTAAATGTGAAATCACAACAAAATAAAAAAATTTTTTAATGACATGACTTTCAGGACCTCAGCCCACAAAGTATTCTTAGAGTGTGGAAAAGGTGGATTTTTAAATTTATTTAAAAGTGATTCAAGTGAGACACACACCAATAAATCCTTCACTGTGCCACCAGATTGATCATTAGATGGATTGAGTTTTAAAACCCTGATCATTTTACTTTCCTGCTTAGAAGTTTTCTACCGGCTTGTGAGCTCCAAGAAGGCAGAGAGGTCTTCTCCCTCTCTGTGTCCTCCACACCTAGCACGGTGACCAGGAACAGAGAGGACATCTGTTGACCTGAGGAATAGAGAAAACTATCAGATAGTGGGGTGGGTGGCAGGGGGGCCAGGGGTGAGTCCTGCCATGTTCACGGAGACTATGACTGCTTTGTGAGGGGCGAGTTGAAAAGCCCCAAGAGAATCTGCCTCCCTCAAATGTTTCCCACACTTTTTTGCCACCATGTTTGCAATTTCTACATTAGCACCTGTCTTAGTCTGTTTGTGTTGTTATAAAGGAAGGCCTGAGCGATTTATAAAGAAAAGAGGATTATTTGGCTCCTGATTCTGCAGGCTGTATAAGAAGCAGGTGCCAGCATCTGCTCCTAGTAAGGGCTTCAGGAAGCTTCCATTCATGGTGGGAGGACAAGGGGAGCAGGCATCACGTGGTAAGGAAGGAACGAAGAGAGAGGGGAGGGGGTGCAGGCAGATCTTCTGAGAACTAACAGAACAAGAACTCACCCATTAGAGCCAGCACAGTGCTAAGCCATTTACAAGGGATCCACCCCCACAACCGAAATACCTCCCATTAGGTCCCACTTCCAACACTGGGGATCAAATTCCAACATGTAGCTTGGAGGGACAAACATAGAAGCTGTATCAGCATCCCTTGTACTCTTTCTAGAAAGATAAAGTTTAACTGCACCTGTGTTTTCTGGTATGAGAAACCTATTAACATGCATTACTATAACGGCATAGATTATTGTCATTCATGAGTATCCTATATGGTGTAAGTTCCTTGAAGGTCTCAACCGTACATATATTTTAGTTTTTTCTAGCCCAGCAAAGTTCCTGAACATAGTAAGTGCTCAATAAAAGTGTGTTGAATAAGTAAATGAACAACTTTCACACCTGTTAGCACATTAAATACTAACATAAAAAGCCCCAAACCAGGAGAGACGCTGACTGTAAACCTTCTGACACCATTTACCCAAGAGGTAGGCTGTATGGAGTCAGACAGGAGACAGTTCTAGATGACACACTTGTCTCATGGGTATTCATGTTCACTCATGATTTGGTGCTAGTGAGAATAAACTTTTTGAAGAAGGACAATGATGGCTTTACCTGAGCTCAAAATAGGTGCTGAGATACCTCTTCTGAATCCTGCCAATTCAGCAAGGGGTTAATAGAAGCTTTCAAGCAGGCTACGTAATTAACAGGATTAAATCTCTACCTGTCAATTAAGCCAATATATTTGAGTATAATGCTATTTAATTCTGTACCAGAAACAGTGCAATAAATCAAAGTTTACAGATGTCTTCAGCAAGCCCTTGATGGATGAAACACTGTAACTCAGAGGTGCAAAGAAAATCTCAAATAAGATAACCTCCCATGTGATTAATATAGCTGTCTGCATTGGCATTGGCTCCAGAAGGTTCTAATCCAAACATGTTTAACGTCACATACTTTATTGTGACAGATTTAGACACCTGAACTAACTAACCAGGCAAATGGTGCTTAATTATACTGGCTCATTATGGACCTCAGCAATAAAGCTGGGACACAGAATTATGTGTTAATTCTCATCACATGGTCACACACAAAAGAAGCAGTCCAATATCCAAGGGTCCTATAGGGGTTCATGCACAAAGCACAGGATAGCAATCTGATTCCTCTAGGGGCTACCTTCCTTCTCTCTGGGCAATGGTGCTTCTAGTTCAGCCTGGCTAGCCAGCAAATGCATATTACTGAACAAAAGGGAAACAGACATGTGGACATGAATGTCTCCACAGACATTTGCCCATTTAATAAACAAAAATAATTGAAGGCCAAGTCTTTTTTCTACACAAAGGATGGTACCTTCATGAGAACATATGCATGACTGGAACTCTTGTTTAAGAGGCTAAACCAAATGCTTATCAACCATCTGCATTTATTTTAGAGTGCAATCCCCAAAGCATAGCCTTCTAAACAAGTGTACAGATTTGAGTTATTAGAAGTGGAATAGGAACATTCAGATACCAAATTCAACTCTGAGTCCCGTTTCTGAGCTGAACTTACTCATAGGGGACTTTTCTGTTTCTTATGAGTATCAAAATGTGCACAACTAATACAAAATTTTTTCAATAGGGTCAGCATTTGATTCCATCTGTTTGACTTCATGTGTGCTGAAGTCACAGTAAGAACAGGAGGCATGGGACTCAGTCATTGTTTGCTGATTGACTAGTCGATCATTAGCGTGTGCCAAATATTGTGTAAGAATGGTATGGAGAAAAAGACTGGTATGGGATGGAAATGAAGCATAATTCATACTCTCTACTATCAAGACATATCCCGTTTATTTGGGGAGAGCAGCTTGACACTGCTAAGGTTCACAGTGATGGTATTGGCTAGACAG